>NC_000015.10:55151874-55776874 GCF_000001405.40 Homo sapiens
GAGGCAGTGTTGAGACGTTCCTATTCCTACACTTGTCATAGTGACAGCCTTACACCTCACTGTACAGTATCTAAGAAGCTGTCTTTCCCTCAGTCATCCATTGCACAAGTCCTCCCACCTATATGGTGCAGAGGAAGCCCTGTGTCCAGGCTGGTAGACAGTGTCCAGGTTTGGACTTGTGGGCAATAGTGGTCAGAGTTGATGGGTTTAGGACAACTGCAGGGTCAGCCCTATAAAGAAGAGTGGCCATCACTCCAATCACTCCGTTGATCTATAGAATGGTCTGAGAGTAGATATGTTTATTGTTGCCTCAGTTTCCCCAAAGGGGATCACTTTTCAGGATGTCATTAGAAATATGGTCCAAAGGCATATGGCACAAGGTTTGATGGCTACCTTTTGCCTCTCTGAATGGCAGCAGTCTCCTTGTTTCATAACTTCAGCACTGTGAGATACATATACATATACACATATATACACATATACATATACATATACATGTACATGTACATGTACATATTCTTGGTTGTCACATCCATGGGAGGTGCTACTGGCATCTAGTGGGTAAAAGCCATGGATGCTGCTAAACATCTTATGATACATGAAACAGCCCCACAACAAAGAATTATCCAGCCCAAGATGTCAATAGTGCTGAGGCTAGCCAGACACAGCAGCCCATGCCTGTAATCCCAGCCCTTTGAGAGGCTAAGGCAGGAGGATCACTTGAGCCCAGGAGTTCAAGAGCAGCCTGGGCAACATAGTGAGATCCCATCTCTACAAAAAGATTTTATTTTTAATTAGGCGGGGTGGTGGTGGCACCTTTAGTCCTAACTACTCAGGAGGCTGAGGGGGGAGGGTTGCTTGAACCCAGGAGGTCAAGACTGCAATGAGCCATGATCACACCACTGCACTCCAGCCTGTATGATAGAGCAACACTCTGTCTCAAAAAAAAAAAAAAAGTGCTGAGTTTGAGAAAGCCTGACCTATAAGGTTCAGTCTCAATATTGACAACCCACTGACCTTGCCTTATTTCTTTATCTTCTTTCTTTTCCGCTACATTTCTGAAAAACTGACCTGAGGTTTCAGTAACACACCATTGCTAATAATTATCACAACAGTTACCATTTATTGAGCACTTACCATGTGCCAGATATCAACCCTTTAATTATTTAGTCCTCTGAGAACAACCCCCTGAGATAGGTGTTATTTTCATCCCGATTTTACAGATAAGATGACTGAGACTCAGAAAGGTTATAAACTTGGGCTGGGCATGGTGGCTTATGCCCGCAATTCCAGCACTTTGGGAGGCCAAGGTGGGCGGATCACCTGAGGTCAGGAGTTTGAGACCAGCCTGGCCAATATAGTGAAACTTCGTCTCTACTAAAAATACAAAAATTAGCTGGGCATGGTGGCAGGCACCCATAATCCCAGCTACTCAGGAGGCTGAGGCAGGAGAATCACTTGAATCTAGGAGGTGGAGGTTGCAATGAGCCAAGATCCTGCCACTGCACTCCAGGCTGGGCAACAAGAGCAAGACTCTGTATCAAAAAAAAAAGAAAAGAAAAGAAAAGAAAAAGAAAGAAAGGAAGGTATATAACTTGCTAAGTATTACCCAAGTAGAAGAAGGCAGAGTTGGGATTCAAATTTAGGCAAGAATTGATTTTAGAGCTACTGTTCTTAATAGCCATGCTATACAATTACATGCATAATTTCTCTAGCCTTCTTTTGTCTCTGTAAAATTACTTACTGTTTTCCAAACTTACTAATTCATATACCACCCTAATTAATTTTTTTAGATTACATGCTCTCAATGTAACTTGCTTAATGTTTGTCTTTAAACCTATTCATTCTTTCTTCATAGCCTCATTCTAAGCAATGATATCTATGAAAATATACATGAGGCAGACACTGTCAAGTGACCACTCCAAAGCCCTTCAAAGCTCCCTTTTTCTCCTTGGGTTGAACCCAGAAAACTTTAACAATATTTAATTTCTAGGACACTAATGTCACAGAGCTGCTGTACCAGCCTCAGACTATAGGGGTGGATACGGGTTTTCTAAGTTCTAAAGTTTATGCAGTTTGGGGAACCTCAACAAAAGAATCTAAGATTAGGAAAGCAATATTATTAGGCCCTCCCCAGGGCCTTGAAAGGAGCCCATGCAGGTGTGTGGTCCTGGAGCTTATTGCTTTATTAAATTCATGGGAAACTGCCTTTGCTATAATTCCCTGTTATGTAAAAAACACTCCTGTCCCTATGTGTTTAGGCCACTGTTCTCTGGGTTTTCTTTTACACAGACCTAAATGCAATTCTGATTGACACAATGGGTTGGTTATGATTTTTCCTAGTAGACAGTAAAATAAGCACATCATTAAAACAAAAATCTACTTGGTTGTGTACTGGCTGTACTACCTGGATATGGTTTCCTATACCACTGGGAATAATTCAGTTCTCTTTGGGAAATACCAGCCCATATGCTTGCTGGTGCCCCTTCTCATGTTCTCTGCTCTGGTAAAAGCAGCCTCAAGTGGAAACTCCAGCAAGGGCGCATGAGAGATTTAATCTAAGACCTCAAAACAATTAGAACCAGAAACAGATACATACGCACCATCCTGAGCCTCCAAAGTACCACCCACATGAAGATGGAGGCTAGTGGAGAAGTGGTCAAAGGCTCAGCAACCAGGAGGAAGGTGAGAGGACGGATATGGTGCGCCATCACATGATCTGAATTTCTTCAAAAAGTCAGGAACTGGAAACACCAGATAGTGCAGAGGAGAGTGAAAATAGGAGGATTGCTTTAAATTCTGCATAAATGGTTAGCCTCGTTGCCAGTTCTTCATCACCCCAAAAGCTCTTTATATGGCTAAACTATCAACCAAGTGTGAAGGTAAAATAAAGACCTGTTTAAGTCACGTAAGGCCTCAAAGCATGTGTCCTCTGATCACAGCTATATATTCATATAAAACTCTACATAAGCATAAACGAAAATTTTTAATTGTTGAAAAGATACACAAAAATCTCAATTTACTTTCAAGACTCGTCATCTCAGAAAGCTGCTGGAGAATGGCCTGAGGCTTTTGAAACCAAATCCAATGAAGAAATGCGAAAATTTCCAACAGAGGAAAAAAGATCATTGGTTAATAGCCCCAAAATATTTTTGCAGCTACACACCACTGCCCAACACTCCCTCCTCTCCCCAGTCCTAACATTAACAGCACAAGATGAATCTTCTTACCTCTTCCACTCCTCTGGTTACACAAGTTACAGCATAAAGGCAAAGATAAAACAACTAGAAGTGAAATGGGCATCGGTGTTAGCGATCACAGAGGTAGAGTCAGCAGTTTGATCTAATCAATTTCAAGATGATTTCTTCTCAAATCTAAGAGATTTGGGGCAAAAATATTATAGGAACAAGGAAACAATGGTTTTGTTATGAAATGTAGGAATTTGATTAACTGAACTGTTAAAGTCAAACTGATTCATTGATATTTGACCTAGAAATAAATCTTTTTTATTATAACTCATTTTAACTTAGCAGACTGACCAGTTTTAGGAGCAAACAGTGAAGTGCTACTTTTTAGTTTTTGTTCACATTGTATCAGTTGCCTTTTAACTAGCTACTAAAAGTTAATTACCACATCTAGGTTAGTAATCAAAACTTTAAACAGTAAAATAATCACCTTCCCCAAACTATGATGGCATTCTCATGTTTACTACACATTCCTTTAAAATTTACCTTTGAATCACATTCACAATTGCCACAAAAAGAATAAAATACCTAGGAATACAGCTAACCAGGGAGGCGAAAGATCTCTACAAGAATTACAAAACACTGCTCAAAGAAATCAGAGATGACACAAACAAATGGAAAAACATCCCATGCTCATGGCTGGAAAGAATTAAGATCATTACAATGGCCAAACTGCCCAAAGCAATTTACAGATTCAATGCTATTCCTATCAAACTACCAATGACATTCTTCACAGAATTAGAAAAAACTATTTTAAAAATCACTTGGGGCCGGCCGGGCACAGTGGCTCACGCCTGTAATCCCAGCACTTTGGGAGGTCAAGGCGGGAGGATCACTTGAGGTCAGGAGTTTGAGACTAGCCTGGCCAACATTGTGAAACCTCGTCTCTACTAAAAATACAAAAATTAGCTGGGTATGGTGGCACGCACCTGTAATCCCAGCTACTCAGGAGACTTGAGGCAGAAGAATCACTTGAACTTGGGATGCGGAGGCTGCAGTGACCTGAGATTGACTGCTGTGCTCCAGCCTGGGTGACAGAGTGAGACCCTGTCTCAAAAAACTAAATCAAAATCACTTGGAACCAAAAAAGAACCCAAATAGCCAAGGCAACTCTGAGCAAAAAGAACAAAGCTGGAGGCATCACGTTACCTGACTTCAAATTATACTACAATGCTACAGTAACCAAAACAGCATGGTACTGGTACCAAGACAGACACACAGACCAATGGAACAGAATAAAGAGCCCAGAAATAAGGCCACACACCTACAACCATCTGATCTTTGACAAAGCTGATGAAAGTAATGGGGAAAAGACTCCCTGTGCAATAAATGATGCTGAGATTACTGGCTAGCCATCTGCCAAAGATTGAAACTGGACCCCTTTTTTATACCATATACAAAAATCAACTCAAGATGGATTAAAGACTGAAATGTAAAAACTAAGACTATAAAAACCCTGGAAGACAACTTAGGCAATACCATTCTGGAGATAGGACCTGGCAAAGATTTCATGATGAAGACACCAAAAGCAATTGCAATAGAAACAAAAATTGACAAACAGGACCTAAATAAATTAAAGAGCTTCTATACAGCAAAACAAACTATCCACAGAATAAACAGTCTACAAAATAAGAGAAAATTTTTGCAATCTATCTATCTGACAAAGGTCTAATATCCAGCATCTATAAGGAACTTAAACAAACTTACAAGCAAAAAAATGAACAACCCCCAAGGTAAGCAAAGGACATGAACAGACTTTTCAAAAGCAGACATACATGTGGCCAAGAAGCATATGAAAAAATCCTCAATATCACTAATCATTAGATAAATGCAAATCAAAACAACAATAAGATACCAACTCATGCCAGTCAAAAAGGGTGTTACTAAAAAGTCAAAAAATAAGAGATGCTGGCAAAGTTGTGGAGAAAAGGGAATGCTTATACGGTGCTAACTGCACTGTAAATTAGTTCAGCCATTGTGGAAAGTAGTGTGGTGATTCTTCAAAAAACTTAAAATAGAATTACCATTCAATCCAGTAATCCCATTATTGGGTATACACCCAAAGAAAAACAAATTATTCTACCATAATGACACATGCACATGTGTGTTCACTGCAACACTATTCACAACTGCAAAGACATGAAATCAACCTAAATGCCCATCGACAGTAGACTGTATAAATAAAATGTGGTACATATACACCATGAAATAGTATGCAGCCATAAAAGAAAAAGATCATGTCCTTTTCAGCAACAGGGATGGAGCTGGAGGTCATTATTTTAAGCAAACTAATGCAGGAACAGAAAACCAAATACCACATGTTCTCATTTTTAAGTGGCAGCTACATGATAAGAACACATGGACACACAGAGGGGAACAACAGACACTGGTGCCTGGGCCTACTTGATGGGGGAGGGTGGAAGGAGGGAGAGGATCAGAAAAAATACCTATTGGATACTATGCTTATTACCTGGGTGACAAAACAATCTGTACACCAAACACCCATGACATGCAGTTTACCTATATAACACACCTGCATATGTACCTCTGAACCTAAAATAAAAGTTCAAAAGAAAACAAAGTATTAAATTCACCTTTGAAGTAAGTTCATTATTTCCCATTTCTTACCTATGTTGTGATGAAGTCAAGACACCTGTATTCTGAATGCAGCTCTACCATCTACCACTATGGGTAAATACCATGGACTTCAATCTTCTCATCTGTAAAATAATGTCTTTACACAAGATGATTTCCAATGTTCCTTTCAACTCCAATATTCTATGATAAACTCCTTGCATAAAAATTCCAAAATAGTCCAGAGCTAAGGTACTTTGTACTAGAAGTGAATGAAATGCAGACTATGAGGAGTTAGGCAAGAGAAGCATTAGTGCTGAAAAGCCTGCTCTTTCCCCCTAAAGTATGCATTCAATCTTTCCAGGCTGAGAGAAGTTCTATTGCAGGAGGCAGTTAGTGGAGAGACATTAGAAAGACCCAGAGAGAGACAGCTGTCTGCCTCACTGAAGATTTGAAACCACGCAATCATTTATTACACAGCAACTCCAATCTGGCGAAATTTTTGTCTAGAGAAACCTCAAGCCTTGTTAAAAGAATTAAATCCCTGTTCTGAGTTTTTTGCATCTTACTCACAGAGCCTGAAAAACAGAATAATTTAGGTTGATTTCTTTTAGTGTCTACCCAGAGCTTGGTTTTGCCATCACCTTGGTCCTCTTCTATCTACCCTTCTCCTGATGTCTTGTGGCAACAAACTCAGAAACAGTGTCTCCCATCATCCACTTAATGGACTGTTTACTGTTGAGCCCAGACAGGAGGTGTTTCCTAACTTTCTCCTTAGAAAATGTTTTCACTGATACCACAGAAATACGAAGGATCGTAAGAAATCACCACATACAATTTTATGCTAACAAATTGGATCATCTAGAAGAAATAAATTCCTAGACACATACAACATACAAAGACTGAATTCTGAAGAAACAGAAAATCTGAACAGATTAATAATGAGTAAGAAGATTGAATCAATAATAAAAAGTCTACCCAAGAAAAGCCCAGGACCTGATGGTTTCACTGCTGAATTTTACCTAACACTTAAAGAACTAATTCCAATTCTTCTCAAATTCTTCCAAAAAACTGAAGTGGTGGGAATACTTTCAAACTCATTCTAGGAGGCCAGCATTATCCTGATACTAAAGCCAGACAAAGACTCTACAAGAAAATTATAGACCAATGATGAACAGAGGTGCAAAAATTATAGACCATGGTGAACAGAGGTGCAAAACCGCTCGACAAAATGTTAGCAGACCTAACTCCACAACATTAAAAGAATAATTGTCATAATCAAGTGAGATTTCTCCCAGGAAAAAATGATGGTTCAGTAAATGCAAGTCAATGAAAGTAATATACCACGTTAACAGAATGAAGGATAAAAATCACATGATCATCCAAACAGAAGCAGAAATAGTGGTTGACAAAATTCACCATCCTTTCATAACAAAAATTCTCAACACATTAGCTATAGAAGGACATAATAAAGGACATATACGACAAACTCATAGCTAACGTCATACTCAATGGTGAAAAACCGAAAGCTTTTACTCTAAGATGAAGGGCAAGGCAAAGATGTTCACTCTCACCACTTCTATTCAGCATAGTACTGGGAGTCCTAGACAGATAAATTAGGCAAGATTTTTTTATTAAGGCACCCTAATAGGAAAGGAAGAAGTTAAATTGTTTATGTTTGCTGATGGCATGATGTTATATATGGAAAACCCCAAATACCTTAGATATTCCCAAAAACTGTTAGAACTGATAAAAATTCAGTAAAGTTGCAGGATACAAAAATCAACATACAACAATCAGTACTGTTACTGTATAGAAATAAACTATCTGGAAAAAAAGAAAAAAGAAAATCAAGATAATTCTATTTATAACAGTAACAAAAAAATTTCAATACTTGGGTGTAAATTTAACTAAGGAGGTAAAAAACCTGTACACTGAAAACTATAAAATACTGATTAAAGAAACTGAAGAAAACACAAGTAAGTGGAAAGATATTCCATACTGATAGATTGAAAGAATTAATATTGTTAGAATGTCCACACTACCCAAAGCAATCTACAGTTTTAACACAAAATTCCCATCAAAATTCCAATGTCATTTTCCACAGAAATAGAAAAAACAATCCTTAAATGTGTATGGAACCACAAAAGACCACAAATAGCCAAAACAATCTTGAGCAAAAAGAAAAAAAGCTGGAGGCATCTCACTACCTGATCTCAAAATATATTATAAACCAATTGTAATCAAAACAGCATGGTATCACATAAAAACAGACACATCTACAAATGGAACAGGATGGAAAAGCCCAGCCCAGAAATAAACCCACACATTTGTGGTCAACTGATTTTCAACAAAGTTGCCAAGAATATACAATGGGGAAAGGAGAGTCTCTTCAATAAATGTGATATTGGGAAAAGTGGATATGAAATTAGATCCTTGTCTCACATCATATACAAAAATAACTCAAAATAGATTAAAAACTTAAATGTAAGATCTGAAACTGTAAAACAGCTAGAAGCAAACACAGGAAAAAAGCTCTACATCATTGGTCTGGGAAACAGCTTTTTTCTATATAACCCTGAAAGAACAGGTTACTAAAGTAAAATCAAGCAAAGGTAATTGCATCAAACTAAAAAGCTTCCGCAAACAAAGGAAAAAACAGAGTAAAGAGACAGCCCACAGAATAAGAGAAAATATTTTCAAAACATGCATCTGACAAGGGGTTAATATACAAAATATATACAGAACTCAAGAACTCAAACTATTCAATAACAAGAAAAAACCAGGTTTTTTTTGGTTTTTTTTTTTTGTTTGTTTTTTCAGACAGAGTCTCGCTCTGTCACCCAGGCTGGAGTGTAGTGGCGTGATCGGCTCACTGCAAGCTCCGCCTCCAGGGTTCACGCCATTCTCCTGCCTCAGCCTCCAGTGTAGCTGGGACTACAGGCGCCCGCAACCACGCCCGGCTAAATTTTTGTATTTTTAGTAGAGACGGGGTTTCACCATGTTAGCCAGGATTGTCTCCATCTCCTGACCTCGTGATCCACCGTCTCAGCTTCCCAAAGTGCTGGGATTACAGGCATGAGCCACCGCACCCAGCCAACAACCACATTTTTTTAATGGGCAAAGAACCTGAGCAAACATTTCTCAAAAGACAACATACAAAAGGCCAACAGACATGAAAAAATACACAAAATCACTAATGATTAGAGAAATTAAAACCCCAGTGAGATTTCATCTCACACCTGTTAGAATGCCTTTTATCAAAAAGATGGAAGATACATGTTGTTGAGGATGTAGAAAAAGGGGAACTGTTGTACATTGTTAGTAGGAATGTGAATTATATAGCAACTCATAGAGAGTAGAGTCATGGTTGCCAGAGGCTGTGTGGTGAGGTGAGGGAGGGGATGGGGAGTTGCTGGTCAGAGAATACAAAGTTTGATAGAAGGAATAAGTATTGAGATCTATTGCACCGCAAGGTGACTATAGTTAATAATAACGTATTACATATTTCAAAATAACCAAGAGAGTAAATTTCAAATATCTCACCATAAAAATGACAGGCAAAGGAGATGATGGACATATTAATTATTAATAGCTTGATTTAATCATTCCACATTGCATATATCAAAACATCACATTGCATCCCCATAAACGCATACAATTATAGTTTTTTAATATTAATTTTTTATAAAAGAAAGGGCTGTTTTGTTGCAATTAGCCTTTGCTTTGAACAGATAAAGTACACCCTTCTTAGGATGCTTCTGCGGGCTTCCAGAAGAACCTCTGCTTATTCAGTGCCTCTGTCCTAAGTGACACACCCCAACCCAACTCCCCCTCAACTCTCCACTCTTTTCTCATTCTACCAGCTCTGTTTCCTGTTTATAGTATTACTTTACCTTCCAGACCACTTCTCCAGCTCCAAGACCCTGTTTCAGCTCTGGACTATGATTTGGCACTCAGTTCCTAGTTAGGATGCCTCTTGCCACTCTCAGTAAATATGCTGTTCAATTCAGCCTGGCCCATAAGTGGCCTGCAGGTCCTTGTGGCCAAGGTCCCCACCCTGTGGCCAAGGCCTGCCCACAAGCAGAATCTATGCCACTGAGAATCCAGTCAAGCAGGGAAAGTCCCTACAGCAGCTCCATAAAGCTGCAGACTTTGTGAAGGAGGAAATCTGAACCCCGATCCAGAACAAATGCCTGAGACAGCAACGTCCTGTCCCCTGTCTGTGCTGTTGGTGCGATACCTGATGATAACCAACTCTTGGTCTTGAGGAAAGGGAGAGAGTCATGAATAGTGTTTCATCTTAAACAGCTCCCCAAGGCCCACAATAATGGTTACTACAAACAAATGCCCATTTTTGGATGAGTGATGGAACACTGGTTTCCCCTATGGCAAATGGCCAGTGATTGAAAAAAGGAATCCTAAATTATATTGTATGCAGCCTTACCAATGGAAAACCAAATGAGAGTCCTCAAAAAAAAAATAAAAATTTGTTTGTTTTTTTTTTTAACCCAGCCATCCCATTACTGGGCATATACCCAAAGGATTGTAAAACACGCTGCTATAAAGACACATGCACACGTATGTTTATTGCGGCACTATTCACAATAGCAAAGACTCGGAACCAACCCAAATGTCCAACAATGATAGACTGGATTAAGAAAATGTGGCACATATGCACCATGGAATACTATGCAGCCATAAAAAATGATGAGTTCATGTCCTTTGTAGGGACATGGATGAAGCTGGAAACCATAACTCTCAACAAACTATCGCAAGGACAGAAAACCAAACACCGCCATGTTCTCACTCATAGGTGGGAATTGAACAATGAGGACACATGGACTCAGGAAGGGGTACATCACACACTGGGGCCTGTCGTGGGATGGGGGGAGTGGGGAGGGATAGCATTAGGAGATACACCTAATGTAAATGACGAGTTAATGGGTGCAGCACACCAACATGGCACATGTATACATATGTAACAAACCTGCACATTGTGCACATGTACCCTAAAACTTAAAACATAATAAAAAAAAAAAGAAATTTGTTCTTTACTGCTGGAATTATTCACAGGAAATAGAGCCTAGTTATTATCTTTTGATACCAAATAAATGTCTATGAAGGGAAGATAAAACATTATTTCTAAGGATATAGCTGCCTTTACCCATTCTCCTATGTATTTATGTTCTAGGTAAATGTATTTTTATTTGACTAAGAAACATTATTACAATATTGGATTCATAAAAGTAGTTGGAATTGTATTTGCTCATTTCCTACTTAATAATATTTTGAGAAATCTTGGTCATTTAAAACTCTTTAAGCATAGTGTTGGAGAAATAAAACTACCTGAGAGGAGCTCAATTTATTCAAGCCACTCTAATTATCTCTACACTAGGCTGCTACCAAATGGCGTCTATTTTTACAAAACAAAGATTTTGAAGAGGAAACGTTCCCCTTGCAAGTCTGTTCAAACTATCCTGTCCCTCTTGGAAAGGAGCAGTATAAGCCTCCTCCCACTCTTAGCATCTAGCTGCCTTTCTGAACACCAAGATATGCTGGAATTCCCACAGAGGAAGCTCCAGCATGTTTCTCTGAAAGGCTGGGTTATCTACAAACTGGTCCAGGTCAAAGCAGGAGATGTTATTATGCTGAAACAGAGGTAGCATTGTGTGATGACATGAAAACAGCTAAGAGAATGGAGGCCTGGGTTCCAGCCCTAGGGCTACCTTTAACTGGGTATGTGACCTTGAGCAAGTCTGTGGGGCCTTTATGAGTTTCAGTTTGATCATCTATCCTAGGGGAATAATAATATGGGCCCTTCAAACTGTGCAGGGTTGTAACACACCTTAAATGAAAGAATTATGCAAACGTACCCTGAAAAAGTTTAGATCTCTGTAAAAATGCCAGGTTGCAATCACCACTGAATGAAATCTCATGGTATTTGGGGAGACAGCTAGTTCTAAAAGTTACAGAACCTGAGTCATATTTGCTCCATTCCCTGGTATATAATCTGAAATCGCTTCTTGATGCTTTATTGATGAAAAATATCCCAAGTCTTCCTCGTAAACACATTTTTCATGATTATTTTCTTTCACAGTGTTTTTCTATTCAAAATCAACAGCTGAATAATTCAACCCATGTCTGTAAGCCCACTGCCTTCTGTTGGCAGGACTAACAATGGAGATGGGAAAAAATGAGGGCAGAAGAGAGCAAAGCCATCCCTTTTTGTATTTCCATCAGAGAGCTTGCCTGGAGTCTGTCCTAGGTCCTTAGCTTCTCTTATTGGTGAAAATATTCCCTGTTACAGCTCTTGTCACTGCCTTGGAGACATTTCACCCTGACTGGTAGGCTGTCACATGGCTGTCAGTGGCCTCAGCGGGTTCGCCTACCTGCTTGTATTTCATTTCACATCCGTGCAAATTGCAGCAGTAAGGTCAGCCGGAGAGATGCGCAGCCTTTCCACCGCACCTTCAGCAGAAGCCCACTTCATGCCCTCCTCTGCTCACCATTCGTCAGCCTGGGTCCTCAGGCCCTTATTTTCTGCCCAGTTCACACAAACCCTATTACTTATTTTTCTCCTCTCCAGCAGGGGAGCAAAGCTACATTGCCGTCTGGAAACACAATTCCTCCTGTAGATCAGACCGAAAGAATGTCTCATCTTCCCAGTAGTTTTTCTTATCTTTAGAAGAAAAATCCAAAGTGACTTTGGCTGTGGTCAATCATTAGACCTGAAGTCACCAACTTCATTTGTCTGTTTTACTCTTAAAATCAGGGTGACAGGAATGTTCTCTTGGCAGCTGGCCAGCCCTTCCAGTATTATTGCTGTGTCTTCAGCAAGCATGAAGTTTGGGGTTAGAGTTGAGAGTCCTGGAGACCTCAACATTTTCCCAAGGCTGAAGTTCTGCCAGCATCTTGGGCAGGTTACTAGTTTGCTTCCCTTTAGCCAAAAACTCGAGTATACCAGATTCTTGGGCAAATACGGGTTATCAAAAATGAGTCAGTCCTTCAGTAGCATGTAAGAAAATATATACGACTTTCCTCTTGATCACCATCTCCCAAAAGAACAGTGTGTCTTTTAAATGATTGTTTTCCATGGCAACTTCCTCTACATTGAGAGTCACAAGAGTGGTCCAAAGTTGGCCCAAGAAAACCTGTACCTTTTACTCCCAAGTTGATTTTTCAAGCATCTCAGACCATTACAGACCAGGTCAGCTTTCTCAGCTCTTCTCTAGTGAGAAAGGGTCTCCGGAAAAGTCGGTGAGGACAGCTACTCAGGTCTTCCATGGTCAGTTTAGGAAAACAGATCAAAATATTTTATGAGGTGTAAAAATAAGCCATGAAAAATTGTATACTTCAGCAGAAAGCCCGTGCTAAAATCCCAATACACTGAAAAGTTTCCCTGCAGTAATATTGGTCCACATTTCAGAAGGCTAGAGGGAAAACACTAAGAAATAATTTTCTTGTTCAAAGAATAATTTGTTCTCTGGTAGAGCTGCAAGTTTAAGCAGTATTTCATAATGGAACCCTTTGGGAAAGATTTGAAACAAAATAAGCTACAATCATTCCCTCATTCATTATTCAACGGTTATTTATTGAACACCTACTACATGCCAGGTTTGTTGGAGACTCAGTGAGGTTTCCAAAGATGAATCAACCCTGCCTGGATCCCAAACTAGGAATTTGACCAAACTCATTGAAGAGGAAAACGTCAGCATTAGCAGTAACAACATAAAACTTCCTGTTTATCAAGTGCTAGGAACTATGCTGGATATTCTCTTCCCAACAGCCCTACCAGAGAGGTACAAGTGAAGTCAGTGAGATTAAGAGACTTCTGGTAAACTGGCCAGCATATACACAGCTAGTGTGTGGCAGAATCAAGATGCAAACCAGGGCCACTCTGACCCCAAAGCTTTTGATATGATAAGCACCGCAAGGTTCACTCTGAGAAAGCTGACTGGCAGTGCTAGAAGGGGAGAAATTACATCTCAGCCTTTCTTTAACATGGGGTTTCAAAAGCAATGTTAACCTAGACTTGGTGGTGTCACCTTAATACACATGTAACATACAACTTTTCTCATCCTAGGAATGAACCTGGCAGCTCACTTCAGTTTCTCATGCTCACTTATTTTTGTAAATGTTACTGATTGGGTTATGGATCTTAACATCTTTGGACTGGCTACTTTGTCCTGACCTCTCCCGTGGCAATCAGTTCTAATTTCATTGAAAATGCTACATGTTCAGTCTGTCCACTTTCCTAGATCCCCTTTTTCTTTCCTGGCAGAAACCTTTACCATGTGGTTCCCACGGGGTTATTCCATATCCTCCCATATTAGTCCATTCTCACGTTGCTATGAAGAAATACCAAAGACTGGGTAACTTACAAAGGAAAGAGGTTTAATTGACTCACAGTTCTGCATGGCTGGGGAGGCCTCAGAAAAATTACAATCATGGCGGAAAGCACCTCCTCAGGACGGCAGGAGAGAGAATGTGCCAGCACAAGAAATGCCAGATGCTTATAAAACCATCAGATCTCGTGAGACTCGCTCATTAACACGAGAACAGCATGGGGGAAATCGCTGCCATGATTCAATGACCTCCACCTGGTCCCACCCTTGACACGTGAGGATTATTACAATTCAAGGTGAGATTTGGGTGGGGACACAGAGCCAAACCATATTGCTTCCTTTCCCTAAGAACAGGATCAATCCAGATAACCTGAATATTCCATTCCCACTGACCACAGTGATTGGTTCAGATACGAGAATGGGACCCACTCATACCAATCAGTCTGGAATGCCAAGGAAGAGAGTCTCTTGCCACTGGGTGGTAAGTTGGAAGAGTGTGAGTTCAGAGCTCAATTTGCCATCTTTCCCCACATACACAGCTGACGGACAGAGTGTGTGCACCCTGACAACACCACAAAGTGTCTGGCCCCTCGTACCTGAGGCTAACTGCACATCTGGTCTTTTCAGTATGGAATGCCAATAAGTGCCTTCTTTCTAGAAGCTCTTTTGAGTTGGGTTTCTGTCACTAGAAATCACAAAAATTCTAACACATTAGGGCAGTTAGTTGTCTACAGAATTCTTTGATTATGTGTGCCCCATCACTAAAAAATTTTGCTCACCCTTAGTATATGTACATTTATTATATACTTGTATTGTGGCACAAACATTACAAAGCATACACAAAACATATATGTTATAAAAGGATGATTAAAAGCTAAATATAAATAATAGCTTAATGTTTTCTTTCTGAATCCCTTTGAATTACCTTGCAAGCCCCTGAATAGCCACATCCCACTTTAGAGACCACTTCATTAAAGAATAGTACCAACCTAATGGTTTACAACCTGAAGCCATATTGGAAGGCTTTTCTTCAGAATGCCAGTGTTGTCAATAATATGACTGCAGTCTAACAGAAACCTGCAGAACCAAATTCTCCTATTATAAGCAGATGCCCGATCATTAGCTTTTAATTATATATTTAAATTGCAAATATTTCAAAAAAGAACAGCATTCCAAATTGACACATCTGGAACTCCGTGGAAAGGGAAAATGATCTAAGCAATAATTCTGGACAGAGCCATGTCTACTGTCTTCTACCTAGAGAGCAAACAGGAAGAAACACTATTCAGTTTCCTGAGGTCTGTGTGGAGGCAATCAATGCAGTAAGAAGAATCATAGCAAGAGTGTGAAGGCCCATGCCTATGAAGAAACACCATCTTTGTACTTATAAACTGCTCAATAAAAGTTTCCTAAACAGAGTTAGGAGGATAAGAGATATTGGGCAGTACTGAGAGAAAAATCAGAGCTCAGGACTTAAAAAATAAAGCAGTTTCTATTGGTGATGCATTCTAGCCTGTCGCTTTGCTGGTGATTGGTAGAGATGAAAGTCATTGAAACTTGGAAGACTGGGAATTTTAGAAAATGGGATGATGAGGAGCTCAATAACGTCCTCTCCTTTTCAAGGCCATCGCTGAAACCCTCGCTGCCCTCCCCATGGAATTAACTTTCTCATAACTTGACTTTGGTGCCTGTCACACTGTGTCATAGCTAGGTGACCTTCATCTAGCTCTTTCACCTAGCTGTAGGTATTTTGACTACATTTCATTCATCTCTGCATCCCTAAGGCTTGCTTAACACAGGACGGGGCAACTTCTGTGATGAACAAATGCATGCATTACCCAGCTGAGAGCCAAAAAAAAAGAAATTTATTTAAGGCTTTTGTTTGGCAAGAGATAAAACAGTAAGAACTCCAATGTACAAGGAATACCATTCCAAATAGAGAACTTTCTCATCTCTACCTGAAGATGTAAAGTGGATAAGAAATGGTGAGCCTTATGTGAGTCACTTTAAACCCATATGTGGTAAGACCTGCAGCCTGAGTCTACTGCTTCAAAAGGCAAGAGGTACCTTCTTATACCTTCTTATGCCTTCTCAATGACACATTAAAATAAGGAAAATAAAAATGGAAAATATTCAATATATGTGATAACCTCTTTACATGCATCAACAAAAAATATAAATATGTACTATCATCTCCAATTTACAGATGTGAAAACTGAGATTTGCAGAGGTCAAATAACTTACCCAAGTTAACAAAGTCAAAATTCAAACACAGAATTGTGTGACTTCAAAACTGTGCTTTATTAGAGGTTTCATTTGTTAAGCAGCCCCTCTCCTCTAGGTGGCCCTAGCTGTAATCCCTCTCAACCAGGATGCAGGATTTGATCCTTGGGTCCTTGTTGACTACGTTCCCATTTAACCCCTTTGCTGACTGACATCCTGTCTTTCTGAGCCTCTAGGATTGGTAGGACAGCACCTTTAGGAGTCCTGATTCTAGCAACTCTCTGCTGCCCCCACCTGGCACCCAGAAGCACATACTTGATCATTTCAACCTAATAAATCCCTCACTAGCACTATCCAATAGCCACAATATGTAGCTAAGTTTTCAAGAAGCTACATTAACAAAGTAGAAAGAAATGGATGAAATCAATTTTCATTACTTTGTTTGGGACAGGGTCTCGCTCTGTGGCCCAGGCTGGAGTGCAGCGGCCTGACGTGATCTCGGCTCACTCCAACCTCCAAGTCCCAGGCTCAGGTGATCCTCCCACCTCAGCCTCCCGAGTAGCTGGGACTACAGGCGCATGACACCACGCCCTGCTAATTTTTCTATTTTTAGTAGAGACGGTTTCGCCATGTTGCCCAGGCTAGTGTCAAACTCCTGGGCTCGAGCAATCCTCCACCTTGGCCTCCCAAAGTGCTGGGATTACAGGTGAGAGCCACCACGCCTGGCTACATTTTTATTTAAACGTATATATCCAAAATATTATTTCAATACCAAAAATTAATGATATTTTACACACTTTTTCCATCAAAATCTGGTATATATTTTTACAATTAAAACACATCTCAGCACCATGGGGAAAGGTATATTTAAACACACACACACGTAATTAGCCGCTTTTTAAGCACTCAGTTACCACGTGTGGGCTAGTGGCTGCTATAGTCGACAACTTACCCTGAGACACTAAATCCACTTTTCATGTCTGGTGAAATAAGTAAAGTGTTTCTGTCTGGAGAGAAAATGGCATTACCAAATTTAAATACTTAGCTAATGTGTTCCACCAAATCAACCTGGATTATGATAGAAGTCTATTACTTGAGAGGCAATCTTAATATAATGAGGAAAGCACGGGCTTACTGGTCAGATGATCTCAAGTTCAAATCCCAGCAAAACCACAGATGAAAGGATCTTCACTAATTGTAATTGTGAGAAAGCAGGCATTTATTTAATGGAAAATTAACACTCAGCAAATGGATAACAACTTGTGGTACATTTATATGATGGAATATTATACCTCATTTAAATTAATAAGCTAAGTCTACCTGTATGCACAACATGGATATAACAATAATAATGTTTCGTGAAAAAATATGATACAATAGGACATCCTCACATGAGATCATTTTTTAAAAGTATAAGTACTTGCAAAATAATATAATATATTGTTTGTGGATATAGACTGACGAAGCTAAATTATGAAAACACGCCTGAAAAGGTAAATATCCACTTCAGAAGAGTGGTTCTCCCCCCACCCACCACCCCCACCGCAGAGAGCAGAGAAATCTGCTGGCCCCTCACAGGGGACCAAAGGAAGGATGCTCTACAATCGGGGAAAAGGGGCTATAGGCCCTGGGAAAGTTGGCTTGCCTACCTGCTGCTCTTCTCACAGAAATGCCTCTTTTTTTTTTTTTTTTTTTTTTTTTTTTTTTTTTTGGAGACTGAGTCTCGCTCTGTCACCCCAGGCTGGAGTGCAGTGGCACAATCTCAGTTCACTGCAATCTCTGCCTCCCAGGTTCAAGTGGTTCTCGTGTCTCAGCCTCCTGAGTAGCTGGGATTACAGGTGCCTGCCATCATGCCCGGCTAATTTTTGTATTTTTTTTTTTTTAGTAGAGAAGGGTTTTCATCATGTTGGCCAGTCTCACCTCGAACTCCTGACCTCAAGTGATCCAGCCGTCTCAGCCTCCCAAAGGTCAGCCACCACAACTGGCCAGAAATGCCTCTTTAAAAAGACATCTGATGAAATACTATAATTTCTAAGTGTTTGAATGTTGTTATAATTATTAATCATTGACACGTTAATCATTTCCATTTAGCTTCTTATCAATCACTACAATTCTTAAGAATAAAATGTCTGCCCAGAGATAAGAATGTGGAGTCGGAAGATGCTTTATTACTAGAAATATTAAATCAAGATGAAATTGCAGAGTTGTTCCAAGACAAAAATGTAAAGGCACTTTCTGGCCCTTTCTATTGAAAACTAAAAGGAATTTGAAAGGGTAGTTACTGCTGTTAATGTTTCACTGCGCGACAATTTAAGGAATTTACTTTGTTATAATACATCTGACATTGCCTCAACTCCCGTTCCAATCACAGAAATGCCTCCAATAAAATACATGCCAGGAATTAAAAACACTTTATTATTATCATTATTCCTTTAAAGGGGATATGGGGAGTTCTTTGTGCAGTCCTTGTGATTTTTCTCTAAGTTTGAAATTATTTCAAAATAAATTTTAATTTAAAAAAAGGGGGTGGTTCTCTAGGGGTTCTCTGAATGGAGAGAAATGGAACACAGTGTGGAAGGGGAGACTTCAACTGTATTTGTGATGATTTATTAAGAAGGAAGAGGAGGAGAGGGAAAAGAAATTCTAAGACCAAAACTCGGGCAGTTAACAAATGACTACACGTCAGGAAGCCCCTTGCCTGAAGAACACCATTTGTTCAGCCTCTCTCTCCTGTTAGTTTTGAAGGAGCAAACCCATCCAGTGCAATTCTTTTTTTTTCTTTCTCTCTCTCTTTTTTTTTTTTTTTTTTTTTTTTGAGATGGAGTTTTGCTCTTGTTGCCCAGGCTGGAGTGCAATGGAGCAATCTCGGCTCAACACAATCTCTGCCTCCTGGGTTCCAGTGATTCTCCTGCCTCAGCCTCCCGAGTAGCTGGGATTACAGGCATGTGCCACCACACCCAGCTAATTTCCTATTTTTAGTAGAGATGGGGTTTCTCCATGTTGGTCAGGCTGGTCTCGAACTCCCAACCTCAGGTGATCCGCCCACCTCGGTCTCCCAAAGTGCTGGGATTACAGGCGCGAGCCACTGCGCCCGGCCACAATTCTTAATCTAGAGAGTTTCAGACAAGCTCCGAACCAAAAATCTGTTTTCCAAGGTAGCCCACCTTCCCACATGGCAAATCTGTCCTTCAACGACACTGGCTTGGAGAAGGTTCGAGAAGCACAAAGGGGTAATTGCTAAATATTGAACTTCCTAGACAAGTCTGGGAAGAAACAACTTTCTGAACCAGCTAATAATTTAAGTTAAATGGAGCATGAAAAGGAGTGCCTCCACAGTTTACTCAATCTGTAGGATTTCTACAGAAAGCTATACCCAGAATAAGAAATTTTTTAGTAATTAATGCAAAGTCGCTTGTCCTGCAGGCACTTGGATTTTAATACAGTGCTTACAGAGGATTTATTCCTAGACATCTTTTTTAATCAACATCTCCTAACCCATCTGTGCTTCTGCAGTGAGGTTTCTAATGCTGAAGTGCTATGACTATTTCCATTTGCTCCATTATAATTATGCAAAACCATGTGTTTTGTTCTGCCTGATCCCAGTTCAATTTAAACACTGATTAAATTGGAAATAAATTAATGTGGTGCAAGTGTTGATGGAATCATCATAAACTGGCACTTACCCCTGGAAACAAACCATCCTCTAATGAATTAATTGTACTCTTTATTTAGGGAGAACATTAGATGTAATCAAATGGAGTGCACACATATTCACAGGCCCAAATAAATGGGTATGTTACAAGTGTGATAGTAAATTAAGTTAATTTCAAGAGGCTCTCTAGCACAGGATACACAGGCTGTAATTAGAAAAATAAGGAGTCCAGTAAAAGAAAACATATGATCTGCCTTGCCCATTTGACAACACCTTGTCCTTCCAAGGTAATGTGACTTTCAATCAAAGAGAATGGGGATGATTAATTCCTTGATTAATAACATGTACACATTCAAAGTAATGGAAATTCTAGATATTCACCAGAGAAAGTTTCTGCAGACACCACAGGAGTCTTCTACAAACCAGTATAATGCCACAGGCCCTGGGTTCCTTGCAGATAAAATTTGGAAGCTCATTAAAGGTATTTTATGGCTAATCTTTATTTCCATGAGCGTCTTATAAAGAGGAGATAGCTAAATTAGCAAGTGCATTTCCACTCCTAGAAATCACAATATTCCAACCCAAACAGTGAGACAACTCTAACCCAGCTTTTCTGGAGATGAGCCTGCACTGGACCTGAAAGGGTGGAGTTCTCAGCAGTTGAGGCATTCTCTGGGCACCCTGCCTATCTTTGGGGACCCTTGCTGAAGGATGGAAGGGGTCCCTCTAGTTTCCTTCAATTAGAACCCATGAACTTCTAAGAACACGCTATTCAAAATAAGGAACAGATTACTTTCCTGGATGGATAGAGCTCACAATTAAGTGGGCAAGTACAGCAACCCATGTTATGGGAGTAAACCAGGCCCAGGCATAACCCAGGTTCCCTCCAAATAGAGGCATCACAGATACAGGCAATGAGGTGTGCACAGGTAAGGAGAGCAGTAGGAAAATAAAAAGATGCCTGAACCTTTTTAGAAAAAAACCTTCTCAGGCTGAGATAGGTCCAAAATTTAGCACATTTTAAAATAGTTTTTGTTTTTAATTACAAAGTCAGTACTTCTCATTTAAAGCAACATCTGAATTAACACACAAAGAAAAATAACATTTAAAACATCCATAATGCTATTTATTCAGAAAATATTTGTCCTTGCAATGGTATTTGTAATTGTTTAAAAGCAGGATTTCTAAATCTCAGTACTACTGACGTTTTGAGCCAAATAATTACTTGTGGTAGGGGGCTGTCCTGTGCATTGCAGGATGTTCAGCGGCATGCCTGACTGCTAATCACTAAAGGCCAGTAGCACCAACCTCCACCCTGCTTGTAACAACCTAAAGGGTCTCCAGACATTCACAAATGGCCCCTCAGAGGCAAAAATCACTCCTGCTTGAAAACTACTCTTTTAGAGGAATCATATCATACAATTTTGAAACCAGCAATTTTCATTTAATGTATTGTAAGCATCTTTCTATGTCATTCGACACATGACTGCAGCATCTAATTTAACTAGTCCTTAATCAGTCCTTAACTTTATTTAACTAGTTCTTCTTTTCAATGTTGTGCTAAAAAATATAGTGAATATTTTAGTACGTGCATATTTGGGCACATAATTATTTCCTTACGATATATTTCTTAAGTACAATTTCCGAGTCAAGTTTTTGTATATTTTTTATGTCATTTTTCTTTTAAAACCCTTAACACACCTTGTATCATTTTCCATTTGTGATTGGTGTCAGCCTCTGTGACTTTCTTTCCCTCACTATTCCATGTGTGCAAGGATTGCCATCTGTTCCATTTACTATAATATCCCCACCATGTCTAGAAGTGCCTGGCACATAGTAGCACCTCAATAATATTCATTGAATGGGTGAATGGATAACCGAAAAAATAGCAGTTAAACTTTCAAACACTTTGCAGGTTGCTAGTTTTGTAACTCACTCATCTTATCCAAAAATAAACATTTGAAGTTGATCCCAAAGTAATAAATAGGCTATAAATATATCTTGCTTTTAGAGAAGAGGGAAGGGTATTAAGAAGAGGTAGATTAAAAGTCCAAAACCTAGATAGGAGCGGTGGATCACGCCTGTAATCCCAGCACTTTGGGAGATTGAGGTGGGTGAATCACTTGAGGCTAGGAGTTCAAGACTAGCCTGAGCAACATGGTGAAACCCCATCTCTACTGAAAATACAAAAATTAGCTGGGCAAGTGGTGGCAGGTGCTTGTAGTCCCAGCTATACTCCGGAGACTGGAGCAGGAGAATCGCTTGAACCCAGGAGGCAGAGGTTGCAATGAGTCGAGATCGTACCACTGTATTCCAACCTGGGCAAGAGTGACGCTGTGTCTCAAAAGAAAAAAAAAAAAGTCCAAACCCGAACACTTGGGTTTCAAGGCTGCAGTTAGAGTGAAGAGATTTTGGTGGAGATAGGGAAGCAATGAACTATTTATTAAATCCCCATAGCTCCAGAGCTTCTTTAAAAAGTAATACTTATTTACTACCCTCATGACTGTAAAGCTCCCTTCCTGGGAAGAAAATAATAAAGACAGAAAGTGGCTTATTTGTTTTTATAAGTCAGCTAAGAAATTCAGAAGATGCTGCTTTGACTAAATCATTTGTGTTTTATGATGGAAACCCTCCAAAATGAGATTGAATAGTTCATCTGCACTAACACACTGTACCTGTCCATATCTCACTAATGGACCTTGAACTCCAATGTCATTGGGGAAACACAAATCTGATGGTAGAATGTCTTAGTCTGTTTGCTGCTGCTAAACAGACTACCTGAGACTGGGTAATTTACAAGGAAAATAAATTTGTTTCTTACAGTTCTGGAAGCTGGAAGTCCAAGGCTGAGGGACTCGCATCTGGTGAGGGCCTTCTATCTGCGGCATTCAATGGCAGAAAAGCAAAGGGCAAGAAAACACATGGGAGAGACAGAGCCCACTCCCAGAGCCATTTTTTAAAGGCGTTAAACCCACCCACAAGAGTGGAGCCTTCATGGCCTAATCACCTGTTAAAGATACTGTGTCTCAATACTATTACAATGGCAACCAAATTTCAACATGAGCTTTGGAGGGAACAAACATCCAAACTGTAGCAAAGAGGTTCTGATAAAATGCTTCAAGTAATATTCCACTTACTGCTATGCCTGTCCACAGATGGTACAACTCACTTATCTTGGAATAAAAACCCCAATGTCCTCCCTGCATATGTCCTCTTCACCTCCTTTTAAAGTTAGGTGAGTTTTTGTGTGTGTGATAAACCATGCACCAATGGAAGGACAAGATTATGATGAGTGCCTCATTTAGGATCCAAGCAGAAGTCTTAGCCAGGCCTTCATAATTGGGAGAATTAAAGATAAAATATGTAGATCCTGGCAAATGGACCATGCAATCCTCACTGTTTAATTCCAAGGTCGCATCGACCCAGAGAGAATATTAATCAAACTCCAATAAAAAATGAAAACGATTGTCTTTGTACCCTGTTTTACAGCTCAAGGAACATCCAGCTAACTATCATAGTGCAGTCCTATTAGGTATTTGGAAAATTATGTAACTGCTACCGTAGTTATCCAAGCATCAATCTAAAAATGTTCTCATTATTTTGGTGAGCCACTTGATAACATAAATACAGTGTTTCACAACATGCCTCTTGAAAAGGCACTATTTGAAAACACCTTTACATTAATTGCCTAAACTAAGAAATTCTAGCTATTACATAGATCACTAGTTCTGAACCTTGGGAACACATTAGGATCACCTGGTGGCTTTTTAAAAATACCAGCACCTGGGCCCCAATCCCAGAGATTTTCATTTAATTATTCTGGGAGAGGCCCAGGCACTGGCAATTATAAACCTGCCCCAGATAATTCTAATATGCAATCAGATTTGAGGCCTCTCTCTCAATGCTACTGGAGCTCATCCTCTGCTGCTTTGACCCAAATCCTCCTGGATACCTAATCTCTAATGGAGACTTCTCAACTCAAAGAAAGAAAACTTGTTCAGTAAGGTAAACTTTATTTCTGGGAGTCCATATAACTAACAGTGGGGATGAAATATTGTCATGTGTGTGGTGCATTGAGAGAACATGATCTTAGATTCTTTGCCACATCAGTTGTTAGGAAGACAATTCAAATGGCACACTAGTAGTCGGGAGGATAAGGCAGGAAGATTGCTCGAGCCTGGCAGTTTTACAGTGAGCTGAGATTGCACCACTGCATTCCAGCCTGGGTAACAGAGCTAGACCCTGTCTCTAAAAAAAATTAAATTTTTTTAAAGAAGAAATCAAGTAACACATCAGGCAACTTCAAAGCCTACTTCTTACCTTAGATGAACCCTGACACTTAGCATCCAAACGTTCATGCCCTGGAACAAAGACAGTATTCTTATTGGCAATAATCTCAACAACTTGGAGAACTTGAAAATTGGCACAAGTGCAATAAATATTAGATTTAAATGGTCCTAAAAGACATGATCTATATCTAGAATACACTTCCCTATAATTCAGATTTCTCAAATATAACACGAGCTAATTATTTTGTTGCTAAATGAGGCAAGCAATGCCTCACACATAGCAGACACACAATAAACATTTTTTAATCTAATTAATGCTGAAATTGCTCATAAAGTGGGTATTGATAAAATTTAGAATTCTTATTTGATAACAAGATTAGCAGGCATTTCAGCACTGACTGTAAGACAGTTCCTCCAACAATTATACTAGAATTAATATCGTTGCTGTACTAATTTTTTTAAGAACAGTAAATTTCAAAAATTGTCATTTCATTAAAGTTGCTGTCTTAATTACACTTAACCTCAAATGATATCCTGTCAGTCCTGAAAGAACTGGGAAGAAAAAGTATCCATTCTTGTCACAAGAAAAATTAAACTACTCCATAAAATCTATCATTTCCCCAAGACATTTTCTTTTACTGCTAGATTTTTTTCCTCCAATGAATAAAAAACATATATTGAGGACCAACCATGTGCCAGGCAGGCCCCATGTTAGATGCTGTTTAGGATATCGGCTAGTGATTAGGAGTCAGACAGACCGTGCTTGAATCTAAGCTCTGCTAGTTGTTAGTGATATAGATCAAGTTACTCAATTTCTCTAACTTTCCTGTTTCTCATCTGCACAATAAGAAGGGCTAACTTGCGGGGTTGTTGATATTGGGAGACAATATATGCAATGTACCTGGCCTTAATTATTGCTCTGTCATTGGAATCTCACAACTCTGGGACTAGAGGGTACTATATCCTCTTTGCAAATGTGTAATCAAAGGCACTAAGAGGTTGTGACCTAGATACTTTTATCTTTTGAGATGCTTTCTCCCTACACTTTTTTCGGGGGGGTTGGGGGCAGACAATCTCTCTCTGTTGTCACCCAGGCTGGAGTGCAGTGGCACAGTCATAGTTCACTGAGGTCTTGATCTCCTGGGTTCAAGCAATTCTCCTGCCTCAGGCTCCCAAGTAGCTAGGACTACAGGCATGTGCCACAGTGCCTGGCTATTTTTTTTTTTTTTAAAGAGTCAGGGTCTCACTATGTTGCCCAAGCTGGCCTTGAACTCCGGGCCTCAAGTGGCCCTTCCGCCTTTGCCTCTCAAAGCACTGGGATTACAAGCATGAGCCACCGTGCTATTTCCATTGTATGTTCTTTTAATGCATCTTCTGGTAATTCTTGTGTTTCTAGAAATGTAGAAATTCTATCTCTACAGAGTCAGAAAGCTTCTAGCTCTTGTGTTCTGGCAGCATGAAGAATCTGAGAATAGTGAAGAAAAACTCAGGGGATAGGATTGTATGCAACTGTAGCTTAACACAGCATGAACAAGCCTTTTGTATCCTCATCTGCTTTGGGATGGCATACCCTTTTAATCAGGTGAACTGCCTTTAATAGTTGCTTGCTGCCTGCATTGCGTTTTCTGACACCATAAAAGGAAATACGTGACAAAATCATGAAGTACAGACTAAGAAACTGTATGGGGCAACTGATTAGAATAGCATTCGCACTGGTGTTCCTCTTAAGATTCCAAGGCTTGGTGTCGAACCAAATGTATAGACACTTTCTAAAATATAGTACACTAAACAAAACAAGTATGTAACAGTTGGCATTCTGAAAACAAAGAGTTTCTTACAATACTAAGGAGCCAATGTCCTATATTTTTGTCTTGAAGAAAAAAATCTCTGTTTCAACAGATTCTCCCTAATTCGTTCTCCTTATTTCTAATTTTATACTCTGGCTATTGAAGTAAAGGACTATTTCCATCAACAAAGCAAGTTCCAGACAAAAGTTCTTTAAGAAACTTGCCAAAAAAACAGCTCATGCTGTCTTTCCTGGGATTCTTCGACATGTGAATGCTCCAGCCAGACCCAGAAATGCAGCTTTTACTACCATTCGATAATGATCTAAGAAGCAAAAATCAGATATGTAACCCTAAAGCCAGCACTGCTCCCCAGCAAGCCTTCCCAACAGCACAGATTTCATTAATGTCACAGTCACACGGGCTGCTTCTGTTCTTGGTATATCTCTCTGTTGTTAATTTATTCTTTGTATCTTTCAAATTACTGGTTATTTTTAAAATAGACTAATGTAAACCTAGCATATGGCTACACACTCATTTTCCATTTAGTTGACATTGACTGAGCACCTTCTATGGTCCTGGTACCCAATACATGCCTGGGATAAGAAACAAACAGTCCCCGCGCTCTTGGAAATTATGATAGAAATGCATTACCTGGATATGTTGGAGGATGCCTTCCAGTTAAAATTTGGGGCTGCAAACTTTGATAAAAAGGAACTTATTAGCAGGATCATAGGGAGACACAGAATCAATCAGAGGCTAAAGAAAGAGACCAGGTAACTGGTACCCCAGGGAAGATCATGCGGCAGAAGAATCACCTCTCCCACATGCTAGCTTCAGTTGATTAAGATTAAAACGGGAGAGCTTAAATCAGAGGTCATCCTATAGCAGCACCAGAAGGTAGACTCTTATTTAGCATAAGGAATACATTCTTCAAAAGAGGTAATTTCCCCTTTTGTAGAAACGATTCAAATAAACATGAAGACATGCAAGGTACAATTTGTGGATCTCCTGTTCAATCCTACAACATATTAATCAAGGAATATAGACTGGGAAATCCTTCCAGAGTCCTTGAAATTTAGTTTTTAAGTTTTTAATGTTGATGTTTTCCCCTTGTCTTTTCAACACAATTCAGCAAGCTGCCATGTTAACTTTTACACAGAACTCTGCATTGGATATTAGAATTTACCTTAAGCTGTGAGCAATTAAAGTCTGATGTCTTTTTCCAGATCTCCATTTAAAATGTAAATTAAAGGGCAAAGGGAAAAGTAACTTCCCTTATGTCACTTAAATTATCCCTTAAGATTACAGGAAACTATTCATTTTTTCAAACTAAGAGGAACCAAAAATGTATTTCCCCTTCCCACTCTTCACAACAGAAAATGCTCAGGTAGTGAGATGCTCTTCTTAGTAACAACTTTCTGGCTGACTTGAAGGCTAAAATTGATGTTTTAAACCATACATGTCCCTGTTTTTGTTGATTAAGTGGACTTCACTCAATTTAGCCACAGCTATCCCCAAACCTTAACACTCTCCACCTTTCTCCCAAGTCGAATCTCATTGCTGTTGTTTTGTGTGGCCACACACAACCAATCCTAATAGCTAACATTTTAACACTAGCTTACTATGGTGGTGGCCTTTAAGTATTTTACATGTATTAGCTGATTGAATCCTTGCAAAGAATTCCAGGGTTGGTCCTATTATTAACTTCATTTTTCAGATGAAGAAACCAAGTCACAGTCAAGTTGAGTGTCACTCTCTTAGCTGTTATCTGGACTTGTGAAGACTTGATACACAAGGCTCTGGATAAAATCCTACATAAATGCAGGGAAACAGACTTGTATAAACACAAATCACTAACACCTTGATATTCTAGTTGTGTGGTAAAGGAACAAGTTACCTAGTCCTCAAAGTTTTCTACCTATATATTTAAATGGGAATAATGCTATCTACTTCATGAGATACTGTGAAATAAGCCAATCTTCTCAAACTCTTCTAAACTCAAACTCTTCTAAACTTACTCTTCTAAACTCTTCTCAAACTCTTATAGATACAGAAGTTTATCTACAAGATAAACTTCTTCCTAAGGTTTCTATTTTTAAGAAATAAGAATTTTCAAAAATAGTTTTTCTGTATTCTTACAAGGTATTGTAAGGTATATGTGTTAAGGATATTCCTTCCCATGATTTCCAATCCTGTATTGTTCCAACCTGGGCAAAATGGTGAAACCCTGTCTCTAAGAAAAAAAAAAATAATAAGACAAAAATCAACCAGGCAAGGTGGTGCAAGCCTTAGTACCAGCTACTTGGGAGGCTGAGGTGGGAGGATGACTTTAGCCAGGAAAGCAGGGGTTGCAGTAAGCCAAGATCACACCACTGCACTCCAGTCTGTGCAACAAGGCCAGACCCTGTCTCAAAAAAAAAAAAGTTCCCTGTAGTAAACATTATGCTTTGTTTCACTGCTAGCTACTCAGCACAGGCCTCTACCAAACAAGCTAAAACAAGGTAGCCTAAAAGTATTATACCATAACAACTTCTCAGGCAACATTTTCATGGGAAGTGATCCAAACAAGCTTAGAGGGTTATGGTGGGATGAAAAAAAAAATTATGGCATTTGTATCCATATAGTTTAGAATGAGATCTGGGTTCTCACAATACTATGAAATCATGACAAGGAAGAGAACTGTTTGGATGCTAAACTTAAGATGCAACATCAGCTCTTCAATTCAGCCCAATTTCCCCCAAACTGATGGTCGCAAAGCAAGGGCAGCTTGCTCCTTCGCTGGCAAGGTAGGACACTTGTTTCCTAATAAAACGTAACTTTCAAAATGTTTATTTCTTTAAAAAATGAATACGGTATGTAGTAAAAACCCAAGAAATTTTACAAATGTCTTTCCTCACATGTATCATTTCCCCTAATCTTCAATCAATAATATTATTTACAAATAAGAATACCCAGGCAAAACCACATTGGAACTCAGGTCTCCTAACACTTGGTCCAGGGACTGGTCTACAGCCTTAGTTTTACTATCTAATACTGAAACAAAAAATGAGCCATTACTTTATAATTATGTAAGGCTAAGAATTACTGATTTTAAACTCTACCCTAAAAAAACCATTATGCAAACTGATCGTTACTTAATGTATTTAACATACTTAAAACTGTAAACAATGTAAAAACACAAAACATTAAGTATTAAGTATCTATTTCTCTTTAATTAAATGTATCTCCTACTTAAATGGGATGTGTGGAGGAAGATTTCTTCTTCCAGGTCATCAATATTTCATATCTTTGTTTAGTGCCTTTAAAGAATAAATATCAGCATTACTTTTTAAATGGTTTTATTTTATGTACAAATAATGAACATACGTTGTACCCATAAATTCTACTTTCCAAAAACAGGAGCTTTTTAAAAGAAAACCACATAACAACTTTTAAAAGGCGCTGGGATTCCTCTGCTTCTAGATCAATGCTGGGCTAGAAAAGTAAAGTCTGTTCTATCAGGAATCACAAGTTGGAACTGAGTATTCTCCAAAGTGGAAATTCTAGAGTGTAGTGTCACTCCAGGCAAAGATTATTCAGTTCTCATCCCCAGCATCCACAACTACCTATCAGAAGGGTTAAACCAGGTCAAAACAGTCCAGCATAATTAGGCTTCATCAAACAATGTCATTATGCTCTTCTAAGATGCAAATAAACCAAAACAGGAAATACTAAAATAAAAATATCTGACACTGCCATACAAATTGTTAGTTCCTTTTTGTATCCCCCCTTCTATAACATTAACAAAGGGAATATTTTACTGCAAAGAATATTTTATTTTATACATCACTAGCCATGAATTTTTGCCATTAGTTACTATACAAATGCTGCCTAGTGCCATTATCCAAATAGCACAACCATTTTACGTCCACAATTCACTTCTATAGTTACAAGTAGAATTTTCATGATTTACTTAAGTACATCTATCAGTAAAGATTTAACACTGAGATGCAATCTAACATCCGTAATATCTGATATTATGTAGATGGCAATGCAGGAAAGATGTCTTTTAATCGCTTTTCATTTAAGTGACCTTATGTAAAAAATAAAATAATTTAGCAGTTCCAAGTATCCAAAGGGCATTTTCAAATGTACATAAAAGAAATGGTTACAGAGATTTTTAAGGAGCATCTTCCATGTCCACATCCTCTTGTAACTGCTGTACCATTTTCTCTTCCAACTGTTTCCCTTTGCCTTTAATAAAAATAAGTAAAAAATAAACAACTTAATTAAATGTGACCTTACAGAATTCACACCAACACTTTATAAAGGATCTTGCATGTTTTCAAGTAATATTAGCCACTCCTAAGAAATTTAATAGTAGCTAAACTAACATAGGTCTTATGATATGCCATGCATCAAATAAACATTCTACATACATTTATTTGCTCATTTCACCCTCATAACAACCCCCATTTTAAATATGAGAAAACTGAGGCTCAAAGACAGATTAACTTGCTGAAGGTCACTCAACTAGAAAGCCATTTAAGTCAAAGTGCTGGCATGTGAACCCCAGCCATCTGGATCCAAGGTGCCTGCTCTTAACACTGTTCTATCTACCTCAAAGAGGATTACCTAAAAACTTAGATAACAATGGTTCATTTCTGGTGCTTTTTGACTATCAGTTTGTTATCATGTATATGTGAAACAAATGCTCCAGAATTTTGCCTATTTTGTTTTAATAAAATTTGGTACAAAAATAATACAAGTAGATCTACACAAATGTACTCAATATGTGATTACAGAATTTGACCTTTACTAAGATTTCTTTCCCTTTAAGTGATCTACATAAGTAAATTGCATAAAAGACTGTACTGGTGTTAGCTGAGCAAAAGAAACAGTAGTCCCAATTTTAGTATCAGAATCATCTGGGATGTTACTGAACAGTGGCCCAGACTCAAAGAGCCTGGGCCTATGTATTTATACTAAGTTCCCCAAGTTGGTAATTCTGATACCAACCAAAGTTTGAGAACCACTAATAAAAAATATAGTCCTTTAATCAATACAAGTGCAAGACAAAAATCATCTACAAAATTATTACGCAAATCATTTTGCATAACTTGGGGGGATATGGAACATAGAATTCAATGAAGGCAAAAAAGAAACACCATATAAATAGACTGACTGCAATTGGGAAATACACTGAATAAATTACATTTTTATAGGCCAAATCATATCATAAATTTACTATGAAAGATAATATTTATAGGAAAAAATACCCAAAGTTAGTTGGTACCCAAATACACAGACCACAAAAATCTAGATGTGCAATGTAGTACTCACCTGCAAGAGGGGCTCGGATAAGATGGATGTTTTGCTTGACTTCTTTGATATCCTGAACTTTCTGTAGCTCTTTATTTTTCTTCAATCTACAACAAAACATATTAAAGCCAAAATTTCAGTTACTAACACTGCTTTAAGAGGCATCAATTCACAATACAGCTTCTAAATTTTGTTACTTAAGTTAGCCCCACAGATGGGGAATGGAAACATGATGGCTGCCCTTCTGTTCACTCCCCTTTCTTCTCCCCACAACGCCCCCCATCCAGCAGGAGCATCAACACCAAGTGAACAGAGCCTCTCAGTCCTCTCACATTACTCCCAAATGGCAAGTGGTGAACTTAACCTAAAAGAGATATATACCTTACATTTATTCCCAAATCTAAGGTAAGGTCACCTGTTAAGCCCTCACAAATGTACATTTTCTTCTCTAACAACTCAAACTCAAAGTGGTTTTTTAGTTCGTAATTAGCTCAAAATAGGATTCCTACCCTACCACAACACTTATTCATTCATTCATTCTTTGTACCTAGACTGGCACGAAATGGGAGCTCAATACATATTTGCTAAGTAAATGAAGGATGTGAGTCATGAAAAGAAGCAGTGCTCTACTACATAAAACAACCTTTAACTGTTACAGTGCCTAGATCTTTTCTCCTCAAATAGATAAGTCTCTGTTATATAATTTTTAAAAAACCATTGGGTAATTACAAGAGCACAAATCACATGATATTCAATAGAAATGCTAACAGACTAGTTTTCAAACATTTTTGTGAAATGCTTTAAAATTTTTAAGCCAGAAAGCTGCTGGCACGTGCTTCTTTTCCATGACATATTCCATAGCAATTAATTTAAAAGCTAATGGTCCTGCTCTGAAAAAAATAGTTGATTCCAAGCTGGGGAAGAGGAAACATCTTGTTAGCTATAAAACATGAATGCACTCAAAGAATGAGGAGAATTGTCAAAATGACATGACAGTCTGCCTGAAGGAACTCCCACAGGCCAAATATGGGCCACTTAGAACTTCAAAATAAATAATGACAATAAAGAATTATAACCCAATGTATACCATAAGAATCCATGAATACACACAGATGTAATATGAATAAAGGAATAAATCTTGAAATTGATGGAAAAGGGAAAGCTCTTTCTTACATGAGAAAATCAACTAAAAAATGTAGAAGAAATGATGGAATTAGAAAAACCACCATTTGGCAACAATCACAACAATAGTAGTAACTGATTCAGGCAAGACTCTAATGAAAACCAAAACCAGTAGGTACAAGTTTGAGGAGTAATAGGCTTTTTACTGAATCTCTATGTATCTCCCCCAAAATACGTACTGATTATAAGGAAAACAAAATAGTAATCTTCCAGTGGAGAAACCTGACAGACATCACCTTAATCAAGTGATCAAAGTTAACATCACCAGCAAGGTGACATCATGTGCTTCCCGATATGATGCATGAGAAGGATACGCCATCATTTCTGAGACATCCCTGCCAAAGGTGCCTAGCCAAAATCTAATGAGGAAGGTATCAGACAAACCCAAATTGAAGAACGTTCTATACAATAACTTGACCTATAGTCTTCAAAACTATCAATGTCACGTAAAAGAAAGATGAGAAACTGTCCAGATTAAAGGAGCCTGAAGAAATATGAAGGACTTTGTGTTGCTATGGACGTAATCAGAATAACTGGTGAGGTCTAAATAAGGTTTATAGATTATATAATAGTATTACATCAATGTTAATTTCCTGACTGATAGATAACCATACTGTGTTTATTTAAGAGAATGTTCTTATTTTTAGGTTACACACACTTAAGTATACTTAGAAGGAAAAAGCATTATGTCTTCAATACATTGAGACAAGGATAAAGTAAATGTAAAATGCTAGCAGAATATACAAGAGTTCTTCATATTATTCCTTGAAGTTTTTGGTAAGTCTGAAGTTATGTCAAAATAAAAAATTTTTTTAAAAAATACTAATGCCTCTAAATATCTACTAGTAATTATTTTCCAAAAGTTACTCCATACAAATATTCATACCTGTTCATTATAAATTTAGCTTGGCGCTTCTGTTTGATTTCTTCAACTCTCTTCATCGCATCAACTACAAAAAAATTCATGAGTTAGCAAATGTATGCACATTCAAGCGGTATGATCAACAACTGCATTAACAAACACTTCTTTATTATTCTGATTTAGAAATGAATTTACATGAAAAAAATCATTACAAAAACAATCCCTACTCAAAAAGCTGAAGAAGGTGTATACTCCTGGCCATCATGACTCTCAACATTCTCTTTCACAAGTATCATTTCTCTAATTTTTATCTGACAAAAGTCTCTACTGCTGTTAAATTTTCCTTCCACTTTAAACCAATCCAATGCTTTTCAAATTTTACTATAAAGAGAACTTGGACTACTGACAACTAATCCCATTCTTAACTTGTAATTTCCATGAATAAAGACAGCATCTTTCTGGTTATGAACACTTAAAAGTGCCTGGGATATGGTCAGCACATGATATTAGCAGAATGAACCAAACAATCAATACTACTAAGTTCTCAACCACAAAAATCCAACTGTTTTAGAAAATGCCTACAGGAGTGTTGGCTAAAAGGGGGCTGAGTCCAACTATGCTCTAAAATTTCTATCAGTACTATCCAATGAAAGACAAACCACATATGAAATTTTAAATTTTCTAGTAGCCGTATTTTTTAAAGTAAAAACGAACAGGAGGAAATTTAATGATACATTTTATTTAACCCAAATTTCCAAAATACTGTCACTCAACATGCAATCTATATAAAATTACTAGTGAAACATTTTATCCTTGTTTTCATATTAAGTCTTCAAAATCCAGCATTCATTTCACATTTACAGCACAACGCAATTTAGACTGGCTCAGTAGCTCAGACACTTCTGATCTAGTCTAGCTCTTTAAAGTGTAGTCTGTAGATCTAAAGAATAATAAGATATTTATATAGTCTTAAAGTATCTCTCAAAAGTATACTTATTAATTAAAAAGAGTAAAACAGTAACTCTTCAGTGGAAAAACCTGGCAGACACCACCTTAACCTAATGATCAAAGTTAACACTGCTAGTAATGGAACTAATGGACAGCTTGTGTCTCCTGACAAAACACACTGAAAAAACTCAGCATCAAATCTCTGGTGCTCTTGCCAAATGTGCATTATCCAAACCTAATCTGAAGGAAACACCAAACAATCCAGTTAAGAAATTTTATACCAAACGCCTGGCCCATATTGTTCTAAACTGTCAATATCATGAAATATAAGGACAAACTCAGGAAATGTTCCAGATTACAAGAGATTAAAGAGACATGACATGTACTATTCTTACAAATTTTGCTATAAAGGATATTACTGGGACAATTGGAGAAATATGAATAGGACTAAGATTAGGTAATAATAGTCTATCAATGTTAATTTCTTGATTTTAATAATTGCAGTGTGGTTATGTGAGAATGCTCTTATTTCTGGAAATACATATTAAACTAGGGACCAAGAAGTATTTTGCATGCTTAAACAGTTCAGAAAAATATACACTAAAGGGAGAAAGGGAGAAAGAAGAGAGACAAAGAGAAAAAATTAATTTAACAAAATGTTAACATTCAGGGAGTCTGGATGAAGGATATCAGAGAACTCTACTCGTGCAACTTTTCTGTAATCTGAAATTAGGTCAAAATAAAAACTTTTAAAATGTAGCCTGGGACCAGTAACAGTGGCATCATTTGGGAGCTTGTTAGAAATGAAGGATTTCAGGCCCCACACAAACCTACTATATCTGAATCTACATTTTAACAAAAACCACCAGGACAATCTTTGAGACCTCTAGTATTAAAGCAATGTTTGTATAAATAACTCTAAGAAAATGTCAACTATAAATCTGCATATGCTGTAGCTCAGAATTAATAATATGCTGGATATATAACTTTTTTTCTTTGTCTTTCAGCAAAAATAAGTACAAGTTCTAGTACTCAAAAGCATTTCCACACTTTAAACTTATTTAGAAGGGAAATAAACACAAGTGGCAGGAAAATCCCTTCCAAAGAATAATATGCTGTATTTCCAAATATTCCAGAATACTGAAATATTTTGAACCTAAGAAGCATCTAACTGTACAATTCACAACTGCAAAGATATGGAACCAACCTAAGTGCCCATCGACCAACAAGTGGGTAAAGAAAATGTGGTATTTATACATGATGGAATAGTTCTCACCCAAAAAAAGGAATGAAATAATGTCTTTTACAGCAACTTGGATGGAACTGGAGGCCACTATTCTAAATGAAGTAACCCAGGAATAGAAAAGCTAACACTGTATGTTCTCACTTGTAAGCAGGGGCTAAGCTATGGGCACGCAAAGGCATACAGAGTGGTATAATGGACTATGGGACTCAGAAGGGGGAGTGGGGTGGGGTAAGGGGTAAAAACTATAGATTGGGTACAATGTACACTACTCAGGTGATGGATGCACTAAAATCTCAGATTCTGACAATCTACAATTAATCCATGTAACCAAAAAAACCACTTGTACCCCAAAAGCTATTAAGATTAAAAAAAAGTTCAACAAAAATATGTAAAAAGTTAAAATAAAAAATAAAAAAAAATCTGACAGATATTAACAATTCACCTGCAACACAGACAGCCATGAGGGACAAAGTGCAAACTATTTTTCCCGGTATTTTTGAAATTCTAACATACTACTGTTTCTACAGACATCAGTACCTTAACAAAGGTTGTTTAATCCATATCCTCACACAATTTGATAATGTAAGCAATGAATATACAACTCTTGTCAATAGATTAGTTTATAGACCAAATGATACTGAAATACGAGGGGTGTGGAGAATCAATGAATCTCTTAGAAGAATAATATATTGTTCTGGAACACTACTGAAAACAACTTTTCTTAATTGTATAAAATATCATGAAACAATCTTAAATTCCAAAGACTCTCATACTATTTACCTAGCACTCATACTGTACACTTAGCAGATCTTCTCAGAAAAATCTATTTTTAGGATCCCAGTAAAAAGGAAAGCAGAATCAGTGCAGGAAAAAAGAAATCAATAGAGCACTGCTTCTTACAGAATTTACAGATGTATAAATGTGGGGGGCAAGAGAATGAGACTCTGTAATAAAACCTAACAGAAACAATAAAATAGGAGTACTCAGTAAGTGCACCTAGAGGGCAGAGACCGTGTGTGACGTGTTCATCTTTGTATGCCACAGGCAGTGCTTAATAAATGTGCACTGAATTAAAATAAATTAAGAACTGTAGAGAACACTACCATTACAGTATGTGAAGTCATACAGAACACAGCAGTATTTCTCTCGAGCAATGTAAATAACATGACACCAGCATGGAGGACCATGGAACTGATTATTCACATATCGCTAAAATTGTATATGCAACTCTTTTCAACAACAACCTAAATACCCGCTAAGTAAAAGTAGTTACAAAATATGTAAAAATGATCTGGAGCTGCTGTCTTCAAGTAATAATAACAACAACAAAGGTCAAAATGAAATAAAACTGAATGAAGTCCAGAAATGCCTCAGGACTGGCCAAGTGCGGAGGCTCACGCCTGTAATCCCAGCACTTTGGGAGGCCAAGGCAGGCAGATTGCCTGAGCTCAGAAGTTCACCACCAGCCTGGGCAACATGGTGAAACCCCGTCTCTACTAAAATACAAAAAAATTAGCCGGGCGTGGCGGCGTGTGCCTGTAGTCCCAGCTACTCGGGAGGCTGAGGCAGGAAAATTGCTTGAACCCGGGAGGCGGAGATTGCAGTGAGCCGAGATCCCACCACTACACTCCAGCCCGGGTGACAGAGCAAGACTCCCATCTCAAAAAAAAAAAAAAAAAAAAGAAATGCTTCAGGACTTTCCAATAATGTCCTTGATAAGAGTGCCTTTTGAAATCAATTTAAGAATCCTATAGTTAATCTCTTTAGAAATCCTTGAGTTTGAATAAGTGTTATTTCCTTACCAAATAAACCCAATAAAAATCAACTGCTTTTCAGAAATTAACTCCTCCTCTAATTATAAAGCAGAAGGAAAAGACCTTATTTTTTAAAAAGGGGTTGGGGGAGACCCAAAGGGTACAATAATTAGGGCTAAGTACAGAAAAGGCAATTCCAAATCTAAACTCCAGTTTCTCCACATGGTCCTAGGTAAACAAAGCTTTAGAACAAGCTTGACCAACCCACGGCCCAATATAAATTCGTAAACTTTCTTAAAACATAAAGAGATTTTTTTTGCAATTTTTTTTTCCCTTAGCTCATCAGCTATCATTAGTGTTAGTGTATTTTCTGTGTGCCCCAAGACAATTCTTCTTCCAATGTGGCCCAGGGAAGCCAAAGATTGGATGCCCCTGGTTCAGAAGGTATAAATACTACCACAAAGGTCCACAAATTTTCAGTTCTTCCCCTGAAGTCTCGTGACTGACTGGAGGACACAAAGGGATGCCCTGCCTATGATCCATTAGCAGAGTAATAAAGTTTGTGGAATTCTAAGCCTTACAGACTCTGGTTAACAAACCACATCACCCCCACACCCAATACTAGAAATAGCTACAGGCTGCATAAAGGTAGCCATGGGAAGAAAAGAAGGCCGGGCCGGTGCCAGGCATGGTGGCTCACGCCTGTAATCCCAGCACTTTGGGAGGCCAAGGTGGGAGGATCACTTGAGGTCAGGAGTTCAAGGCCACCCTGGCCAACATGGCAAAACCCCATCTCTACTAAAAATACAAAAATTAGCCAGGTGTAGTGGCATGTGCCTGTAATCCCAGCTACCTGGGAGGCTGAGGCAGGAGAATTGCTTGAACCTGGGAGGCAGTGATTGCAGTGAGCCGAGATCGTGCCACTGCACTCCAGCCGGTGGGACAGAGCAAGACTTTCCAACTCAAAAAAAAAAAAAAAAAAAAAAAAGGCAAGGCCAAGGGTCCCAAACATACACAAATGTGGTAGAATCTACAAGCTAGCTCAAGGGATTAACTTTTTCTACATATGAGACTTTTTTCATTAAACTTTCTGCCTATTTCAGGGAAAAAAAACAAAACAAAACAAAACAAAAAAAACAAGAACTAGATATTATTGCTTTTAATTTCAGAAGATTATAACTTCATTTTTTACCTAAGTCAAACACTTAGAAATTCTCTCAGAACATTTGTAATGATGACCTTAAGCACTACACTTTTTAATTTTAAAGAAGCACTGAATTTTATAAGGTATACAGAATACAAGTTTATATCCTAAACTATATGGTCTAAACATGTAAAGTGTGTTAGGTTTCATGTGTATTTTAACCATCCCACACTCACCCTAAAACAGTATTTTCCGTCTCTATTTTTTTCAGCCATTTTTATGTTTTTACATCTCTGTGTGGGCACTTCAAGTAGTATCAAAGTTAATAATTACATTATTTTAAAATGAACACACCAGCCAATTGTAAAAAAAAAATGATGAAAGATCTGACTACAACAGAACCATTAAAATGAGGATAAAATAATAAAAGCCAAGGAATGATAAATGGAAAATTCAATATTTAAACAACAAACTGACACTTAAAGTTATAGTATTATCCCAAACCAGTCTCTCCTCAAAATTACTGGTATTTCTTTGTGACTTACTAGTTTTATTCCATAGCTCTCGCTGGTATTTGATAGGTTCATTTCTACGTTTTTCAAATTCAAATGAATTATCCTGTAAGAGGGAACAGAGGAGATAAAAATAAGGTTTTAAGAAAGGTAGAAAGGAAACATTTCTTAAAACGTCTTCCTTTTCCTAAGTGTTCTAAATGAACATACACCTAGATTCACCCCTCAGGGTATCTCAGAGAATATAGGTTTTCAAATTTTTTCTCCTTTACACACCTCCCTATTGAAGACATCTCTCCATATACTAGTGATTCTCAAAGAGAAAGGAGGAGACAGTAACACCCCCATCCCTCAGAAGGGCATATAACAATTATCAGGATTACAAACTGAAAAACCTTCCCAATGTCCCATTCCCAGATAAGATTCAAAGCCAGAAAACTTTGAATTATGTTGAACCATATGAAACTGCCATTTTTTACAGATCAAAAAAAGTCAACATCAAGAATTCCATGTTCTTCCTGTAGGAGACAGAAAAAAAAAAAGAGAGAGAAAACTTCATATGGTTCAACCTAAATATCTATGTTATAGCAAAAAGGTATGAAAACTATATATATCTTCAAATAAATGAGGTGCTACTCTGCAGAATAAAAGTCAGGCCCTACATTTCTTCAGATCCCCTCCAAACACGGTTACCGTTGCTAGTGGCTGGTATTTTTACAGTTAATGATCCTTTTAATCTTAAAACACACAAAACAATTTTGGAAAAGCTACAGGTATTTCTTGGTTTTCAAATCTATCTGACAGGCATATAAAACAGCACTACCTCTGGATTTGGCTACTATTTCTTTTATATATACACAGCTTTATTCAGATCATAATAACCTCAGCCACGAGGTAAATGGTAATCAGTAAATGACTGTGACCGGCAGTGTTTCCTCAGGCAGCTGCCACTTGCATTTGGGCTGCTATGCTTCTTTTCTTCCAGAATGAAAATTATTTTTGTGACAGTAATTATGATTTGGCCTTGCATCTGGTCAAACAATAGTCTTTACATTCATTGCAAAGCTCTGGTATTAAGGAGGCCAGGAAAGGGCTTCATGGAAAATGCTTGTAGATACTGCCCTTTAGCAATAAAAAGGTGGGAAATGGGTCATTGGTTTGGTGGGTAAAGGAAGCCATGGATGGAGAGGACAGTTTAAAAGATCTTCCTCCCTCAAATGTAGCCTGTACTGCATTTTCATCTCCTTCCTTTGCAGGGACTGAACGTGGACAGCTTCAAAATACCCTTTTATCAATTCAATATAACAATATAATGATAGAGGCTCACTCCATTAAATCCTCTTTCCCCCTGACTTCTCTCTAGTTCTCCTCACACCAACACTACTAATTTCTCTGCTCTCAGATACAAAGTCCTGCTAAGGAAATCCAGAAACTGATAAATGAGTCTATTATAAACTTCACCTGAGCCTTGACTGCTGTTCAGAAATCCTTTATCTCTTAACTTCATCTCAAAATCTTTCAGTAGCAATTCCCAACTTCATCCCAAGCCATTTAAGTGATTTTCCTCTTGGTCTGCAAGAGCTAAAAATAGTAGCTCCACAGAATTACAGTTTTAAGGATCATGTGAGAATGAGATTATTTCCACAGCCAAATACAAATAAGGTACTTATTAATCATGTTATAGGAGGCCTTGTTATGATTGATTAGATGACATATACCCTTCAAATACTAAAACTGTGAAACGTGTAAAAACTATATTGATAGCTAACCGTACTCACCACTGTAAGCTCTTTACCAGCTGCTTTCCGGAATGCTTTGGTCCACCTAACTTTGCGAGGATTGCGCTTCTTTTTAAAGTTTTTATGACATTTAGATTTGCAAAATCTGAACACCTACAAGAAAAGTTAAAATATTGAGAAGTCAACATTAAAAACTTTTCTATCACAAGACGTTACCCCTGCTAGACAAAAAATACTTTCCCTTCTACTTAAACTGCCATTTAGAAATGTGTAAGATATATCAGATTAAATGGAAACAACTATTTTTTGACTATCAAACATCATCCCAACCAAAGGCTAAGGGCCCTGAAAATATTATTTTAAATTACTAATCATTTATATAGAATAACAGTAAAATTATTTCAAATAAAGGGAACAGTTTTAAGTAAAGTCATTTATTTAAGTCCTTTCTTAATTCAGGATAATTTTCAAAATTCACTGTCTTTATACCTCAATGGGGATAAAAGTTTCAAACAACCATTCTGAAATCTCCTTTGGGTCTTTCCATCTTCCTTGTTGAAAGCACAAAATAATTTCAAAAGCAAGTAAAACTGGTGATATAACAGATTCGTTTTCGACTTACTCACAGATCTGCTAGCAAGATTCTTTACTACTTTAACTCTCCACCTTCATCCTACAAGATTTAATCCTTTAATAGTGCTAACTTACAACTGATGATGCTTCAACATGTCCCTGAAATGTCTTATTAGGACTCATTTTATAAATCTAACAGTATTATTTTGTTACTTTGTAATGCCTTAGAACACACTGCAATTTGTGTATGCCCTGGAGGAAATGGGAAGAGAAAAAGTAATTATTTGGGGTTTGTGGATCTTGGTAAAGAAAATTAAGTTGAATTATCACACCTAAAAGGTATGACAGATAATAGGTCAAAGTAAACAGTACAAACACTTCAAACTAAATAAGCCTGTGTATGTATCACAAATCATAATACTTTTCACCTTTTATATATGTTGCCCTAAGGGGAACTTCAAGTAGGTCACTACATACAGTAGGACAGTTTTCTTAGAAACTGTTGCTATTAGTTTAATCTGATCCAGGCCCATACCTCCTACAGAGCCTTCTCCTAAGACACTAGAGTGAAAGCATGTCTATATCCTTGAGTTAGTTTCAAATAGACTAGAAAATATAAGAACTACTAGTCTCCTGGAGTAGCCTACTATGAAATCATAAATAAAAAATGAATATATGAAAATCATTGTGAAATGAATTATATTTTGAGTATTTTCAGCCCAAAATACTATTATTTTTTAAGCAAAAGCCTCCCACATTTAATATCTACTAGATATCCCTTAGGCAAATTCCTTTTTCTACTATTTATCTAATGGGAGGACTAAATTTGTTTTGGCTCCTCTCAATTCCAAATAGACCCAATGAGGAATCTAGTTGGTTCCTTAACTAATAGGTATTACCTGAAAGGCACAATGAAGGATCTACAGAGACCTGGAACCAGAGGAGGTGCAAAGGGGATTCAATCAGTAAATAAAGAGCATCTATGTGCCTGATGTTGTACTAGTGCTAAGGATACAAGAACAATTAAAATTTGGTACTCTACCTTGAGAAGCTTAGTCTAGCAATGTGATAATCTCACTTTGCAATCAAGAAAGATCAAGATCTGACTAGGATATAAACAATGGGATAAAGTTATAATCATGTATAATGTAATATGTAAACACATATGAGGAAGTGGTTAAATCTATGGTGGGGTAAGAGGTGGATGGCTTATGTGTCAGGCAAAGCTTTATGGTTTCAAGTTTCTCTTTTAATTTAGTCCCCTAAATGCTAACATGCTAACAAATGATCCCCCATACCTTGGACTCAAAGTTCTTCAAACCTTTCTTATTCCACTAATTCAACATTTATTAAGCCCTCATTAAGAATGTATTTTCCCTGTTTGCAAAGTATGTGCAAATATAGAGAATTAGCATTAATTCTACCCTTAACCCATTTATGCCTAAGAAGAGTAAAAGGTGAAGTTTCTATTAATAACAGTCTCAGAAACTAAGAGAATAAAGGCAGAAAGACTAGTTAAAGCCTGGGAAACATAGCAAGCCTCTGTCTCTACACACACACACACACACACACACACACACACACAATGTTAATCTCCCCGTCTCTACAAAAAATTTTTTTGATATTGGGCATGGTGGTGCACACCTGTAGTCCCAGCTACTCAGCATGCTGAGGAGGGAGGACTGCTTAAGTACAGGAGACTGAGGCTGCAGAGAGCCATGATCACACATCTGCACTCCAGCCTGGGCAATAGACAGTGAGACCCTGTCTCAAAAAAAAAAAAAAAAAAAAAGGCTAGATAAGAGGCTATAAAAGTGGTAAGAGCCTAATCTGAACTAGGACAGGAAAGTAGAAAGAAGGCAAAGACACCACTATCTTTGCAGAGGCAGGATAGGTAAGACTTGATAACTAGATACAAAAGGTGAAAAGATTCAGACGACTCTCATGTTTCTAGCAAAACTATCCGGGCACTTAAGAGTGGTATTAATTCACAGAGCAAAAAGATCTGAGGTACTAAGGAATTCTCTTTCAGTAGGCCCACTGTACCTACTGTTAGGTACATCCAATGGAAAATTCAGATTTGGAGCTCAGGAGATTTAGGTTTGGAAATCAAGCATAAAAAAAGATGAGATACTTGTTCTTTGTTAGTGCTTCAGGCCCTCTATCTTTTATTTCCTCCAACAACTCTCTTCTGGATCCACTGGTGACTCCCAACCAACTCAACACTGTCCTTATTCTTCATCAACTTAACTTCCACTGTGTCTACCAAATCAATACCCAGGTCTTGACAGTTCTCACGATCTGTTGTTCTAATTCCAATATCCAGCCGACAAGCATCCTGGACGAAAATCACAAAATCGTAACGACATCATGTATAAAACCATACTGCCTACTCTGAATTAGACCCCAACCTGGCAATCTTTTGGTTCATTTTTATAAACTTCTTATCATGTTCCTGAGAGCAAGTATTCAAAATCTTCTAGGTTCTTTTACGTTATCAAACATGGCTTTGGTCCGTCACTTTCAGCTGAATCCCTTGGATCTAATTAATGAGGTCAATATCTTTGATCTGTTACAGAGATATAAGGTGAAGAAGTCAGACTTGTAATTATTTAGCACGTCAAATTCACCTTAATATACAGATTCTTAGACCCTCTTCCCCTCCCCCAAAGATTCCAACTCAATAGATCTGGTGAAAACCAGGAATCTGTAAACGCCCAGTAATTCAGAAGCAAACGTAAGAGATCAAATTCTGAGAAACAATGTGTTTCTCTGAGAAAGAGAGGAACGGGATTCATTCTGTAATGACAGGACAAATTCATGTACCATTCAAAACGTCTTTCACAACTAGGACTCATATTTATTATTTACGTTTACAGACTTATTATACTTGTAGCCCTACGCCCAAGGCTCTATCATCATTTACAATCCAGTCACTTCCTCAAACAAATGTATTTGCTCCGTTCTCTGCCTTTTCTCAAAATGTTCACTTTCCTTCCACTTAGAAGGCCCCCTCCGCTTTCTTCCGCAAAATTCAGGATCCAAGATAAATATCACCTCTATGCTGAGTCTTTCCGTACAGGACCCTCCCCAACTCACCTGCAGTAACTTAATACATAACTCTACCATTAAGCAATACGGAACACTTCCATCAACCTCTACACTTTAGTATGGACCTTAGTGTAATGCCTGACAGGGTATACACTCAACAAAGTTTACTGGATTCAAGAATTTGGCCCAAGTACATGAGTGGCCAAACAGCCCTCACAGACATCCAAGATTCCTGGTAGGCGCTAGCTGGGATCGCTCCTGAAGTTCCTCGCTGCCAACGCCACCCAAGGGTGGCGTGGTGGCCAGCGCCGCTCGGAAGACGGGCAAGGAGAAACCCCCGAAGCGGAACGTTGAGAACGGAGGCCCAGTTAAGCCACCCTCCCAGGGGAACAACGGGAGGAACCCGGGCCAAACACGGCAGACGCAGAAGCACCCAGCACCGAGCCGCCGCGCCCAGGAACCGCGGGAGCTAGGCTGAAGCAAGAACTGGTGTCGACCGCCTTACCTTGCAATCGTTGCGGACGAACATCATGCCGTGTCCAGGATAGATGGGCCCCGAACAGAAATAACACTTTTCGATACGCATGTTGAACCCGCGTGTAACCCCACCAAACAAACGCCAAGCTTGAGAGGAAGTGATGCAACCCCGTCACCGGAAGTTACCTTCTTCCCCCTTCCCCGACCGGAAAAAGGCAAGCGTCCTTCGTTCTCGCGGGTCTGTTAGACCAGATGCGAACACGACTGTGCCTCCGGCGGCCGTGTGGTCAAATGCGCTGCCGTTTGACGCAGGCGCAGAGCTGCAGACTAGACCTGTTCGCTGTTACTTTGGGGAAATGTGGTTCTGCGCCACCTTGTGAACTTGCTCTCACAGCGCCTAGTTTTTTCTCTCTGTGTGTCGGCATTTATGCAAGTATTATGTATCTTTGGTTTGTGCTTTGCCTCGGAGTGCTCTCGAGAGCACTCTCTTAACTCATTTGTCTACTGCCTGCCCTAGACCAGCCCTCGATTCTCGTCCCACAGTGATTTGCAGGGTGTAAGCGGCGAAGACCCTGCAATCCAGCGTTGCTTCGAACATTGCAATGAAAACGGTTGAGTTGCTGATGCTCCAAGGACTTTACCAGCAATTTTTTTAAATATAAAATCGTGTTATCCGCCTCCCCCCCATTTTAATTAATATGCATATGTAGTAAACAAATATTTTCGCCGGAAACTACGACTCCCTCCCTAGACCTGCGGTCTTCCTCCCCAGGGGCAAAACAGTTCCATTTATTACCTGCCAGAGCTTTTCTGTGCATAGGCAAACATGTATATTTGTGTGTTTGCCTGTCTCTACGTCCTCTTCTTTATAATACTAGTTAATATGCTATTTACTCTTTTCTGCATCTTGCTGTTACCTTGTATCCCTTCATTGGAATGTGAGCTCCATGAGGGGCAGGGATTTCAGTTCGTTTGGTTTACAACTACATCCCAGTATCTAGAACAGTCCCTGGCACATAATAGGCATTTGATACATATTTTACTGTAAAAGGGTATTTAACATTCTTTTTCATATATATATGCCATTGTATGAAAGTATTTTAATTGGTCACTAATCGATGGGCATTCTTATCTTTTGATATAATAAGTATCTGTTGGTACGCTTTTTCAGGAGAGGGTTTATGTAGAACTGCTGGATCAGAGGAGCTGGATATAGATAAATAGTTTTAAAATTTGGCAGATAATACTAAATTGCCTTCCAAAAGTTTTTACCAATTAACACTCAGCATCAACAAATAAGATGTCTGTTTCACTACCCCGCTGTGAAAAGTGATCTTTGCCAACCTGAGATGAAAATTTATCTTATTATTATTTCAACTTGAATTTAATTACAAATGATGTTAAGAATCTTTCACAATGTTTTTCAGCTTTTTTCTGTGAATTGCCTGTTCAGGTCCTACGCAGTTTTCTATTCTTTCGTTGATTTTCAACAGCACTTTACACGTTAAGGTTAGTCCTTTGCTGACATGCATTTAGAAATTATTTCCCTATCAATGTTTTAAGCTTTGCTCATGGTATTTTTCCATGCAGAAATATGTTGTTTATATATTCAGATTTATCCAATTTTTTTATGATTTTGGATTTGGTACTTTCCTTTAAACTGCACTTCTCACTCCAAAATTGTTTTTCAAAATGTTTTCTCTTATGTTTTGTAGTTTCATTTTTTTGCATTTGAATTTTCAACTCGTCTGGAATTTAAGTATAAATGACATAAGACTCCAGTGTCTTTCCCTCAGTGCTGTATGTTGATAAAGCATCCTTTCCCCCACTCACTCATAATGTCACATCTATGGCTCCATTTCTGGACTCAGTTCCATCGTTTTATTTGTTAATGTGCCACTGCCCAAATATTTAAATTATTGTCATTTTTTGAATAACTGGGTTTACCTCCTCTCCCTTTCTATTAGTTTTCATGCTGCTGATAAAGACATACCCTAGACTAGGCAATTTATACAGGAAAGAGGTTTAATGGACTCTTTATGGCTGGGGACACCTCACAATCACAGCAGAAGCCGAGGAGGAGCAAGTCAGGTCTTACATGGATGGCAGCAGGCAAAGAGAATGAAAACCAAATGAAAGGCGAAACCCCTTTAAAATAATCAGATCTCGTGAGACTTATGCACTATCATGAGAACAGTGTAGGGGAAACTGGCCCCATGATTCAATTATCTCCCACCAAGTCCCTCCCACAACACATAGGAATTATGGGAGCTATAATTCAAGATGAGATTTGGGTGGGGACACAGCCAAACCATATCACCCTTCCTTCCTTGTCCTTCTTATTCATTTTTTATCTGGCTATTCTTCAACATTTATCTTTTCATTTTAACTCTAGAATCAGTTTGTATAGTTATAATCTTCAAATACACACATTTTTCCTTTTATTGGATACTTTTTCTTGTCTAGTCATTCGACCAGTAATTCCAGAGTAATGTTAAATAACAAAGGCACATACCAGAAATTTTAGTAATAAACATCTGCCCAATACTTTATTGTCAACCAAGAGACTGAAAATTATTTTACTTTTCTTTACTCTTCCTCTCCTATCCTCCTCAACAATTATGGAAGAGCCTCACCAATCTTTGCAAACTTTACACAGTTCCTTCCCAACTCTGTTTGTTCCTACTACTTCACCAAGAAATTTTATACCCTTCCCATATACATGAACACCCAGGTTTACCCTCTTACCTTTGATGTCAGAGGCCACATCATTTATCTGTGTTCTTAATTTCATACCTTAAGGCTTCATCTGAGACTTTGTTCCCTTCAGTCCATGAACATATTCAGTGCTTCACTTTAGAATGAGTGTGTGTATAGCCAGCCTTAGAAATTGTTTTTTTCTTTCCATCTATTTTAATGGAATACAAGATTGAACTGAAATCTTGGAAATATGATTCCATTTATCCTTCTTAGGATTTATGATTCCTAAATCTAAGGGTATGTGTCTTTTATCATTACTGGAAAATTCTCAGCTATTATCTTTTCATATAGTGCCTCTTCCTTCAGTTTCTCTAATTTCTCCTCATAGAATTCCTACTAGATATAAGTTGGAGCTTTTTTTCTTCCCTCTGTGTCTTTTAACCCCTCCAGGACTTTCTCCTTATCTCTGTCTGCTGAATTATGGGTAATTTCCTCTGACCTGCCTTCTAGAATTTCCTCTTCAACTCTGTCAAACCTGTCATTTAACCTCTAACCATTAAGTTTTGAATATCAATGGCTGTATTTTTCACTGTTGGAAGTTTTTGTTTTTTTGTTTTTTTTTTAATTCAAACCAGTCTGTTATCTTTAATATTGTCTTCTTTTCTGGATTTTTTAGTTCCTTTCATGTTTGTGATTATCTTAAACACTTTGACTTTATGGTCTGCTTCTGATAAGTATATTATTTGAGGTTCTTAAATGCCAAATCCTGCTGGCTGTTTGGTCTGCTGGCCCTTGCTAATGACTGGAGGTAAGAATGAAGAAGAAATAGATTGTAATTTTTCATTGTAATCTCATCCATAGTAGGGTGTTTTTTGGCCTGTGCAGAAATTCCATCTGTAAACATTTTTGCTTTGCTTCCACCAAGTAATCCAGAACAAATCCCTTCTTTAAAATGTTAATTTTTGTTAATTTCTTGATTGAACATACCCAGAAAAATTAGGTATTATACACTTTAACCTTAAACCTGTGTTCAAGCCGACTTGTAGTTGTAAATTTTCACAAGAGATTAAAGGCATAGACTAGGTTGGCCAGGCACGGTGGCTCACGCCTGTAATCCCAGCACTTTGGGAGGCCAAGGTGGGTGGATCACAAGGTCAGGAGTTCAAGAGCAGCCTGGACAAGATGGTGAAACCCCATCTCTATTAGAAATACAAAAATTAGCCGAGTGTGGTGGTGGGTGCCTGTAATCCCATCTACTCGGGAGGCTGAGGCAGAGAATTGCTTGAACCCGGGAGGCAGAGGTTGCAGTGAGCCAAGATCGCACCACTGCACTCCAGCCTGGGCGACAGAGCAAGACTCCATCTCAAAAAGAAGAATAAGAAAAAAAAAAAAACCATAGAGCAGGTCCTGGATTTCTGTGTGTTTGGGGACAGAGGGCTGCAGTTTCATCACCCTATTCTCAACAGGCCCAAGGTTTTCTTTACTAATTCTTTGTAGCCATTATAACAAAGCATCCTGATTACCGATACTGGCAAAACCAAACCAAAAGCAAACCACAATCAGCATCAGGTTGTTTTAAGTTCCATCTGTTGTCTGTTTTTAAGGGGAAGGAGGTGGTCTTAGGGCATTGCCCATATTTTTTTGAGAAATCATCGGTACATTTTTAAAAAATATGTTCATACTTTATCCAGCATTATCTAAGTATCTTATAATGGAAGAGCTTATTAGTTTTATAAATACCTATATTACCAATAACAGAAGAGCTGGAAATACCACCATAGAGATTTCCAATTTATAAAAATACCAAGTGAAACATGTCTTAAATAGATTGTTAGCCATCTTGACATCAACTTCAAAAGATCAGAAATTATCTCTCAGATTTCTTAATTTTTTTTTTTTTTTGAGATGAAGTCTTGCTTCGTCACCCAGGCTGGAGTTCAGTGGCGTGATCTCGGCTCATTGCAACCTCTGCCTCCCGGGTTCAAGCGATTCTCCTGCCTCAGCCTCCCCAGTAGCTGGGATTACAGGAATGAACCACCACGCCCAGCTAATTTTGCATTTTTAGTAGAGACTGGGTTTTACCATGTTGGCCAGGCTGGTCTCCAACTCCTGATCTCAGGTGATCTACCCACTTCAGCTCCCAAAGTGCTGGGATTACAAGCATGAGCCACCACACCTGGCCTAGATTTCTTGATTTCTTGCAATGAATTAGTATGGACTTACTATATGTGAACCTTTTTAAACATTTTTAACGCTGTTTTTATTTTCAAATTGCGTTTTTCTGTCTTTTAACATTAACAGTGGCCTCTTTTGAAAACTCTCTTGACCCTGCTGCCTCTTTAAGTCCTTTACTCAGTCAATTAACAAAAATTTGAGTACCTATTGTGTACCAGGCCTTTTTCTGAGTGACGGTAACAGTTTTGAAGAAAACTACCTAAATCCCTGTCCTTGTTTGTGGAGCTTGTATCTTAGTGGATGTAGACAAATATATAAATATGTCAAGTGAATCACTTGTCAGCCTCTTGGCTAAGAATAATTGTAAATACATCAGGTGGTGAAATATTTACATTGAGTGATATGAAGAAACGCAAAGCAGAACAACAGGTCAAGGAGTGACAATCTGGTTGGGGCCATGAATGGGAGTGACTGCTCTTTTATATAAGGTGGTCAGTAAAGTTCTTTGGACAAAGTGGCATTTGAACAGTCTTAAAGGATAGGAGAGGTATACATGGAACACTAGCATTCCAGACAGAGGGAACTGCAAATGCAAGAGATCTGAGGCAGGAACATGCTTGACTGCTCCAAGGAGGCCAGTGTGCCTGAGAAGAGTGAGTTGGACAGTGGTAAGAAATAAGGTCAGAAGGTCAGAGAAGCCATCTCTCCACATATACCCTCCTCATCCAGTCCATGACTGTACCCTCCCCAGTGTCTCTTGCATCATCTCTCAGCCCTGCATGATCTTAGTTCAGGCCTCAATCATCCTTGTTTTGTTTATCTGAGATTGTCTACTACAACACTTCCCAAATATAGGTGCTCAATATATGTTTGATAACTTTTTTTTTTTTTTTGAGACAGAGTTTTGCTCTTGTTGCCCAGGCTGGAGTGCAACCTCCGCCTCCTGGGTTCAAGCGATTCTCCTGCCTCAGCCTCCCAAGTAGCTGGGGTTACAGTCATGCGCCACCACGCCCAGCTAATTTTGTATTTTTAGTAGAGATGGGGTTTCTCCATGTTTGTCAGGCTGGTCTCAAACTCTCAACCTCAGGTGATCTGCCTGCCTCGGCCTCCCAAAGTGCTGGGATTACAGGCGTGAGCCACTGCGCCCAACCTGATAACATTTTTAATTACTTTTCCAGAATATGTTGTCTTGGCTGGCCCCTCAGTGAGCACCTAATGGAACGTGTATCCCTGAATTTCATTTCCTTTGGCATTACAACCTCTGGTATGAAACTTTGTGATAATAAATACAGTTACGTTCACACACAAATTTGACAGACTAGACCACTTTTTTATTACAGCTTAATTGGCACATGGTTCACTGAAGATACACTTCACTTTTACATAGGCTTGTAAATAGAAAAATACATTGATGCACAAAAAATATAGTACTTCAATACCAAACTTAAATGATTTCCAAAAAGAATACAGGTTATTTCAATAATTAAAGGTGGCTTTTGTGTGTGCACTATATCATGTATACACTTAATTGTATGTTTAAGGCCAGTGGAATCTATAGCTAATTACTCATTTGGTTCTTGAAAACTGAAACATGCAAACATTCTTATTTTTATGTTTAAAGACATTTAATGTGTTATTCTAACACAAATACACCATATAGAATATGCCCTGATATGTAGCTGTAAAATTATGTTGTACTGCACTGAAGTCTTATGGCAACTATATAAGGCACTGCTGTGTGATTATGACCCTGCTCTTTTTTTTTTTTTTTTTTTTTGAGACAGAGTCTCCTCTGTCGCCCAGGCTGGAGTGCAGTGGCGCAATCTCGGCTCACTGCAAGCTCCGCCTCCCAGGTTCACGCCATTCTCCTGCCTCAGCCTCCTGAGTAGCTGGGACTACAGGTGCCCACCACCACGCCCAGCCCATTTTTTTTTTTTTTTTTTTTTTAGTAGAGATGGGGTTTCACTGTGTTAGCCAGGATGGTCTCGATCTCCTGACCTCGTGATCCGCCCTCCTCGGCCTCCCAAAGTGCTGGGATTACAGGTGTGAGCCACCGCGCCTGGCCAACCCTGCTCTTGAAATGTCTAAATCTTTTCCTCACTAGCATATACAATTCAAATGCACAGGCCTCCATGACTTCTTTGGAATTTAAAAGAAGCCTTCATTTCAAGGATAGAAATATGTAAAATTTTACCAACCATGGATAAGTTTGTTATGGGAGTAGTGGAAGGACAGTGGAAAAAAAAATAGGTTTTTTCATGATACTTTTATTTTTCCTTTTTTAAAAATAAATTTAGGGGGTACAAGTACAGTTTAGATACATGAATATATTGTGTAGTCGTAAAGTCTGGGCTTCTAGTGTAACCATCACGCAAATATACTTGTATTTTTCTAATTACAGTTCTACCAAACATTTGCCACCACAAAATACAAGTATTTTTATTCTTTATTTAAATTATGGTGAGTGATATTTCTTCCTATATAGCCATTAAGATCTCTGGAAGTTTTGATCTACTTTATTCAAACCACTTTAATAAATAAGACTTTTCACCTAAATGAAATACCTTTGAATTTTATAAACAACTTCCATGAAACATATATTAAAACCACCTTTAATTTGGTATGAAGACACTTTGGCAATGCAGCGGAATAAATGATCTTGGCAAGACCCAGCAAGTACAGTAAATGCTCATGAGCTCTATGAAAAATATAGGCTACAGAATACTTCATTTTTCTTTTATTGAACTACAGTACAAATGTGACTGCTTCAATATGAACATCTATCTTCCACCAAATAGCAAACAGGCATCTTATGTAATTAAAAACTAATTATTTCAATTCCACCAATGGAAAAGCAAAACAAGTTGCAAATATCAACAATACAGAGCCTGCTGGTAAAGATAGAGATGAGTAAGTTATAAGCTAATAAAGCTGCAGCCTGAGGATGCCAGATCAACATTATAAATATGAAGAAAAAGAAACTAAATATTTACTCATCGCAAATAACTCGGCATAAGCACCAGCTATGTTCAGGTGCGGCCAGCACATAGGCCAAGTATAAATGTACAATCACAGTGAACTAAAGCCATAAAATCTAGTTCCCTGACCCTTCAATCAACCATTCAGAGCAATGGGAATATAGCGGGGAGACAGAAGTCCCACTTTGGTTGCTCATATTACATTAAGCCAGCCTGCCCCACCCCAATCCCCTTCCCACCAATAAAAAAGTCACCGTGAGTGTATAATTGGTCAATCCAGTTTATCCAAGGTCTATAGATATAGCCATGATTTGTCCTATATTCATGTTAAATAGAATGCTTACATAAAATTAATACTCAAAGACATTGAGCTGATGTGCATGTATATTCTTATTTAACATTTAAGTGGCTTTAATGGTATTTTAGAATGTCACCTATGGCATGAGTCTTCAAATCTGGATTGAAGACTGTGGCGGTTTTATAACTGCATGTAAGATCTTAAATGTAAGACTCTGGGCCTACCTACATTAAGGCAGGTGACAGTACCCTCATTCATTCTACATAATAAATACACTCTTCTGTGACTGCAAAATTCTGAATCCTTGAATGATTTACTATAATAGGCTAAGGTTGTATAAGGCACTTTTGGCTCTGAAATATTTCTCCTAACTCTCAGGCTGAATCTTAAAGAAATATTTACAAAGCTGCAACAAATTAATTTTAGAACCGGATGCTTTATTCGTAGGTCTAATGGGGATGGTGAGAAGCAATTTGTACACAATGCCCATTAATCTCTCACTGTGCCATGTATCAATCATAGAGAAGATCCCAGGCATGGGCCACCTGAACTACTATGTCGCTTACTTGACTTCTCAACAGCCACATGCCCCTTTCTCCTTTTCTTCACTTAACTGATCCGTAGAGGCATGACCATTTGATCGCACCACTCCTTCAGGAATCCAGGACTTGTCCACACACCGTTCCATTCGCTTCATTATCAGGTCCAGAAGCATCTCAATTGCTTGGCTTATGTTTGTCCCATTGGCAGCACTAGTTTCAAAGTAGGGGATTCTGGAAGACAGAGACAACTGAGGTAACAACATGTGGAGGGAAAGGAGAGTGACCTTTGCTCTTGATAATTCAAATTAGAGAATCGATAGAATACAAATATACAAGATGACAAACATTTTACCACCCCAGAGTACATTAAAAAGTTAAAAAGACAATAAAATACTCACACTGCATTTCCAGTAGATATGCAAAACTGGAAATTTTAGACTCTTCAAAATATCAATTTTTGGCTGGGCGCAGTGGCTCACACCTCCCAGCACTCTGGGAGGCTCAGGTGGGCAGATCACCTGAGGTCAGGAGTTTAAGACCAGCCTGGCCAACATGCGGAAACCCCATCTCTACAAAAAATACAAAAATTAGCCAGGAATGGTGGCATACACCTGTAATCCCAGCTACTGGGGAGGCTGAGGCTCAAGAATCACTTGAACCTGGGAGGCAGAGGTTGCAGTGAGCCAATATTGTGCCACCGCACTCCAGCCTGGGCAATAGAGTTAGACTGTCTCAAAAAAAATCAATTTTCATTTTTTAAAGGACCATATATATATTTTGGCAATACATACTGATTTACTGTAAAAAATTTATAAAAAGATATAAGTAGGGGATTCTGGAAGACAGAGACAGAATTAAATCTTTTTTCGTTTAAGTTTTTGGAGGGTTTTTTGTTTTGAGACAGAGTCTCTATCACCCAGGCTGGAGTGCAGTGGCACGATCTCAGTTCCCAGGCGACTTCCCAGGCATCGATCCTCCTACCTCAGCTTTCCAAGTAGCTGGGACCACAGGCGCACACCACCACACCTGGCTAATTATTGTATTTTTTTGTAGAGACAGGGTTTTACCATGTTGCCCAGGCTGGTTTCGAACTCCTGAGCTCAAGCTACCCACCCGCCTTGGCCTCCAAAGTGCTGGGACTACAGGTGTGAGCTGCTGCACCCAGCCTAGTTTTAAGAATTTAAAACTTGATTATTGGTATGAAAGCCGTTTAAATTCCTCTAAGTGAAAAGTAAAACTTGAAAACTTTTAGAAGAACATACAACAGTCTTATCTTTTTGACATTGGAATAAGAAAGGATTTCTTAATATAGCTATAAAAGCTCAAACCACAGAGAATAAGTTTGATAATCTTGACAATGTTAAAGTTTAAAACTTTGGTGCCACAACATATATCATAAGCAAAGTTAAAAGATGAGCGACAGGCCGAAATACATGGCATTTCATATAACTTGCAAACGGGTTAGCATCCGAAAAAATAATTCCTCAAATGAATTAAAGTAATAAACAAGATAATACAAAACAGACTAAGGATATGCACGGGAAATTCTAAGAAATTACATTTGTGAAAAAATGTTCAACCTCACCCAAAATAAGGGAAATGCAAGTTAAAATAATGGTATATTAACTCACACCCATCAGATTGGCAAAAATATAGAAATCTCCCAATATTAAGTATTGCCAAGGAGAAGAAAAGAGGAACTTGCACTTACTGCTTATGTAAGTATAAACTGTTAATAACTACTTTGGAAAATAAGACGGTAATATCTGATAAAATTGAAACATGCATGCACTATGACCCAGCAACAGCACTCCTGGGTATACATCTAAAGCAGAGCCAAGGCATGTTGATGGGCAGGAAGTGAGTTACAGGGATACATGAGACATCAGCAATCCCTCAGTCCTTAGGGCAACTGAGAAGGTCTTAGGGCAGCCAGAGTCCCTGAACCAGTCTCCTCCAAACTTGAGCAGCCTTATCTATTTATCCCAGTGAGCTGTACAAATATTATCATTTTCTGCAGGTGCCATCCTATGAAAAATATTCAGAAACCCTGTGCTGGAGCAGCACTATCCAATAGAACTTCCCACAGTGACAGGAACTTTCCATATGTATATCATCCAGTACAATAACTACTAGCCACATGTAGCTATTGAGCACTTAAAATGTGGCTAATGCAACCAAAAATGCGACTTTTTTGTTTTTGTTTTTGTTTTGTTTTGTTTTTTAGAGATGGAGTCTCACTTTGTTGCCCAGGCTGGAGTGTAATGGTGTGATATTGGCTCATTGCAACCTCTGCCTCCCAAGTTCAAGCGATTCTCGTCCCTCAGCCTCCCAAGTAGCTGGGACTACAGGAACAGGCCACCACTCCCAGCTAATTTTATCATGTTGGCCAGGCTGGTCTCAAACTCCTGACCTCAAGTGATCTGTCTGCCTCCACTCCCAAAGTGCTGGGATAACAGGCATGAGCCACCACACCTGGCCAAAAAACCTGAACTTTTAATTTTAACTTAAATAGCTACATGTGACCAGTGGCTATCACACTGGATAGTGCAGCCCTAGAGAAGCTCTCACATATGTGCACGTGGCATCGTCTAATGGAATAGATATTGCAGAACTATTTGTAATAGGGAAAAAATTTACCTAAACGTCCATCAATAAGCGCATGAATAGTGATATTTTTATACAATGAATTATACAATGCTTAAACTGTATCAACATGGCAAAAATTAAACATTGAATTAAAAAACCAACTTGTATGATACAAGATCATTTGTGTGAAGACAACAATTACACATCATTATAAAAACATCTATGTAGTAAAAGTACAACTTCTTGGACTAGAAATATATAATTTTGACTGCTTTTAGCTAAAAGTAACCGAAAATTGTGGCTCAAATTGGCATGAATCACAAGTAGGAATTTATTGTAATGCATAATGAACACAGAACTAGAGAGTTTCCAGTGTTAATTCGGTTGCCAAACGGTAGAAACAAAGAGCCTAGATTCATATCATCCTTCTGTTCTGCCATCCTCCACATGTCAGCTTTCTCCACAATCTGACTCCCTTCATGACCCCAGAAGTTAAAACATTCCAGGCATCACATCTCAACACACCGAAGTTCCAAGGAAGAAAGGACTCTTCCTCTGTGTGCCTCCCTCAGGAGAGAGGAAATCTTTCCCACAAGTCCCTGGAAGACTTTCCCTCGTGTCTCATTGGTCAAAACTGTATCACATGCCAATGCCTAAACCAAACTCTGGCAAGAGGAATGGTACACCACCATCACTGGCTTAAACCAATCAGTCTTCCTGGGCTGGTGGCTGGCACCTGCCTCTCTTAAGTAGCATGTCCTCTAGAAGCAGAGTAGATAGCTAAAGAAAATTGAGATTCTATAAATAAAGGCATGAATATTGTCTAGGCAACCAACAACATCTGCTATAGGAAGTAGATATAGTGTGGTTCCCTCTGAGGAGGTAGGAAGGAGAATGGAATCAGCAAGGAATTTTAAAAGGGACTTCAATTGTATCTGTAAGAAAATTTTATTTTTTATTTATGCATAATATAGTTTCAGAGTAAATATGATCATTTAATACACTGATATAATGTGTAAAGATAAGTATACTTGGGATTGCCATAATCTTAAATATTTGTCTTTTCTTTATACTAGAACGATTGGAATTTTTCCCTCCTAGCTATTTCAAGATATACAATAGATTGTTGTAAACTATAGTCACCCTACTGATCCTTCTAACACTACATCTTATTTCTTCTATCAAACCATATGTTTGTACCTATTAATCAATCTCTCTTCATCCTCCACTCCCTCCTACCCTTCCTGGCCTCTGGTATTCTCCAATCTACTCTCTATCTTCATGAGATCCACCTTTGTAGCTCCCACATATGAGTAAGAACATGCAACATTTGTCTTTCTGTGTTTGGCTATTTCACATAACATAATGATCTCCAGTTCCATCCAAGCTGCTGCAAATGATGGGATTTCATTCTTTTTATGGTGGAATAACATTCCATTGTATATATAAACCATATTTTATTTATCCATTCATCCATTGATGGGTAGATTGATTGCATATCTTAGCTCTTGTGGATAGTGCTGCAATAAACATGGGAGTACAGAGAGCAAATACCCTTTTGATATATCTGATATACATCTCTATATATCTTTTGGGATATATATATATCTCTCTCCTAAGAAAACTTACATAAAACTTTTAAGAAAACTTCCACTAATATATATACACATATATATACACATATATATGTGTATGTGTGTACATATACATATATACACACATATGTGTGTATGTATACATATATACACACATGTGTGTATATATACATATATGTGTGTACACATATATGTGTGTATATACATATATACATATATGTGTGTGTATACATATATACACATATGTGTGTGTATGTATATACACACATATATGTATGTACATGTACACACATACGCATATATGTGCGTATGTGTGTACATGTACATATATACGCATATATGTGTGTACATGTACATATATACGCATATATATGTGTGTGTACATGTACATATATACACATATGTGTGTGTACATATACATATATACACATATATGTGTGTATATATACACACATACACATATGTATATATAGTGTATATATGTATGTGTATGTATACATACACATACATATATACGTACACACATATGTATGTGTGTATACATACACACATGTATGTGTATGTATATATACACACATATATATTAGTGGAGTTGCTGGATCATATGGTAGTTCTATTTTTAGTTTTTTTTTTTAAGAACATCCATACTTTTCTCCACAGTGCTTATGCTAATTTACTTTCCCACCAACAATGTACGGGTTCACCTTTCTCTGCATCCTCACCAGCATCCACTATTGCCTGTATTTAGGTGTGGTTTTTTTTTTTTTGAGGGGGGGGGAATTACTGCCTATATTTTGGATAAAAGTCATGTTAACTGGATGAGAAGTTATCTCATTGCAGTTTTGATTTGCCTTTCTCTGAGTAGTGATATTGAGCATTTTTTCATACACCTGTTTGCCATTTGCAGATCTTTTGAGAAATGTCTATTCAGATCTTTTGCCTATTTTTAAAACAGATTATTTGTTTTTGCTATTGAGTTATTTGAGCCCCTTATATATTCTCGTTATTAATCCCTGATCAGATGGGTAGTTTGCAAATATTTTATCCCATTCTATGGGTTATCTCTTCATTTTGTTGTTTCCTTTGCTGTGTAGAAGCTTTTTAGCTTGATATAAATCCCATATTTCTATTCTTGTGTTGGTTGCCTGTGTTTTGTGGTCTTACACAAAAAGTTTTTGTCCAGACGAATGACCTGGAGTGTTTCCCAAATGTTTTCTTCTAGTAGTTTCATAGTTTCAAGTCCGATATTTAAGTTTTAATTCATTTTGAGTTGATTTTTATATATGGTGAGAGATAGGGGTCTAGTTACATTGTTCTGCATGTGGCTATGTAGTTTTCCCAGCATCATTTATTGAAGAGAATGTCCTTTCCCCTCTGTTCTTGGTACTTTTGTCCAAGATGAGTTGTCTGTAAATGCATGGATTTATATCTGGGTTCTCTGTTCTGTTCCATTGGCCTATGTGTCTGTTTTATGCCAGTACCATGCTGATTTGGTTCCTATAGCTTTGTAGTAAACTTTGAAGTCAGTGTGAGGTCTCCAGCTTTGGGCTTTTTTCCTCAGGATTTTGTCAGTTATTGAGGGTCTTTTGTGGTTCCATATAAATTTTAGGATTTTTTTCGATATTTGTGAAGAATATTATTGGTATTTTGATAGGGATTGCATTGAGTCAGTAAATTGCTTTGGGAAGTGTTATCATTTTAACAATATTAATTATTCCAGTCCAAAAGTATGGAATATTTTTCCATTTTTGGTGTCCTCTTCAATTTCTCTCACCTGTGTTTTATAGTTTTCCTTGTATAGATGCTTCACTTCTTTGGTTAAATTGATTTCTAGGTATTTTATATTCTTTGCAGCTATTGTAAATGAGATTGCTTTCTTGATTTCTTTTTCAGATTGTTCCCTGTTGGTGTATATAAATGCTAATGATTTTTGTATGTTGATTTTGTATCCTAAAACTTTACTGAATTCGTTGATCAGTTCTAAATGTTTTTTGGTGTAATCTTTAGGTTAGAAAAAAACTCTTAAAGCAGGCCTGTGGCAAGAAGGCCCAGAAAAGTTAAGCGGTCTGATCAATGTTATTCAGCTAATAAATGACAGAGAAGCAAGTAGGCTCTTCCTGTTTTCTTATACAGGTCCTCATATACTATACTATGTCTTGTAAAACAAAATAGGAAATGTCTTCTCAGTGTTTAGTTCAAAGAATACTGATTTCCAAAACTACTAACTAGAAGAAAAAAACTGGGTAAATTCAAATTTTGCAACATGCTATTTTATTAAATGAGTTTCCTGGACTATAACCTTTTTTTTTTTTTTTTTTTTAGCTTTTCCCCCTTTTTTGCTTCAGGGATTTCTTGTATATGCTCTTCAGAGTGTTCTGGTTTGCCTGAATTGAAACTAGCTGATATATATGAGTCATTTAAGATTGAAGGAAAAAATAACTAAAATTATTTCTTGAGCTACCCAATACTATGTGTCTTACATACATGATTCACTAAATATAACCACTACTGTATTCAGGTACACAATATTCCCATTTCACAAATGATTAAACTAAGGCTGAGAAAGATGAAAGGAACTTGCCCAATTCACAATGCTAGAAAGTAGCAGAGTTAGGATTTGGGTCCACAGCTAATTCCAATGCAGCCAGTTTAACCATAGGTTCTACTGGTTCCAAACTAGTATGAGGATTTTCAAAATAAATAAATCTTATGCACTGTACAAGAAGAAAACGCTGGCTTTGGGGAGTATTCAGAGGTCACTGGCCATGTTTATCAAAGGCTTTGCCACTTACCAACTCCAGACTATATTTCTGGACCATACACTTGAAGACATTCTGAATTTTACAGCATCAAGTTGCTCAAGAGCAACAAATCTTTTTTTTTTTTTTTTTGAGACAGTCTCACTCTGTTGCCCAGCCTGGAGTGCAGTGGCGCCATCCTGGCTCACTGCAAGCTCCGCCTCCCGGGCTCACGCCATTCTCCTGCCTCAGCCTCCCAAGTAGCTGGGATTACAGGCGGCTGCCACCACGCCCGTTTAATTTTTTGTATTTTTAGTACAGACGGTGTTTCACCATGTTAGACAGGATGGTCTCGATCTCCTGACCTCGTGATCCACCCGCCTCGGCCTCCCAAAGTGCTGGGATTACAGGCATGAGCCACCGCACCCAGCCCATCAAATCTTAAGTATACATTTGTTTTGTTATCCAAAGACCTGTGGTACAGGTGTAATTTTTAAATAACTCACAAAGCATTGCTTCAAAACTGTATAGCTGTTTTTCACATAATCTTGAGAAATCAGACTTCTTGTCGAAGTCATCCTTTATACATTTGAGATGGTCTTTGCAACAGGATTAATCAAGTGACAAATTCACCTTGCTTTTCAATAAAGCCATGAAAGTCGTGATAACATTGTATTTCCTTCAACTGTTGACTTCATTGCCACCACTTGTGAGGAATCTAACCAAAATGTTCTTAGATATCAAAACAACAAAGCAAAGTTATTTTATTATCTCAGGGAGTCCTGCAATTGAATTCAGTAAAGTATTTCTTAAATTTATTAGAACTTTAAAGTCCTCCACGATTACTGTTCTTGAAGAATGTTTTTGTTTTTCTGTATTCTCATAGCATGTTAACAACTACATCAGTTACTCTGATTACAATTTACCTTACTCTTTTATTCTTTCTTGGCTAGTAACAGCTTCTATATGAGAGCTTGGTAAAGTTTTCTTTTTTAACTTGTTAATGCTTTTACAGATCTTTTCAGAACTCTTTCACTTCTGATGTTACTAAGAAGCATATTTAGATCAAGGGTTCCCAATCCCCAGGCCACAGACTGGTACCAATCCATGGCCTGTTAGCAACCAGGCCACACAACAGGAGGTAAGCAGGGGGCCAGCGAGCAAGCCAAGTTTCATCTGTATTTACAGCTGCTCCCCATCACTCACATTACCACCTGAGCTCTGTCTCCTGTCAGATTAGCAGCATCATTAGATTCTCATAGGAGCACAAGCCATATTGTGAACTGCCCATGTGAGGGATCTAGGTTGCACTCTCCTATGAGAATCTAATGCCTGATGATCTGTCACTGTCTCCTATCACCCCCAGATGGGACTGTCCAGTTGCAGGAAAACAAGCTCAGGGCTCCCACTGATTCTACATTATGGTGAGCCGTATAATTATTTCATTATATATGGCAATGTAATGATAATAGAAATAAAGTGCACAATAAATGTAATATGTTTGAATCATTCCAAAACCACCCACACCTCCACTGGTCCATGGAAAGATTGTCTTCCATGAAACCAGTTCCCAGTGCCAAAAAGGTTGGGGACCACTGATTTAGAGGATATATGTGTAGGGACATAAGGCTATTTTTCCAGTATGATTCCTCAGTAATGCTGTCTTATTATTTGATAACTTCCTCCAGGAGGTGATAAGGCCTTGCAACTGAATCTCTGCAATTCTCTGTTTTAGCACAGCTATTAAAAACTGGTTGAGGCCGGGCGCGATGGCTGATGCCTGTAATCCCAGCACTTTGGGAGGCCAAGGCGGGCGGATCACGAAGTCGGGAGATCGAGACCATCCTGGCTAACATGGTGAAACCCCGTCTCTACTAAAAATACAAAAAATTAGCCAGGCATGGTGGTGGACGCCTGTAGTCCCAGCTACTCGGGAGGCTGAGGCAGGAGGATGGCATGAACCCAGGAGGTGGAGCTTGCTGTGAGCCAAGATCACGCCACTGCACTCCAGCCTGGGCGACAGAGCGAGACTCCGTCTCAAAACAACAACAACAACAACAAAAACTGGTTGAGAAACTATCACCTCATTTGAGTGTTTATCCACCCACCTGTGAGTTCTGCAAGGCAGAGTTGCTCCCCTAACTCCACCATGCTCATATTCTATCATCCTTTTATTTCCTGACTCTAAAATATCTTAATCAGAAAAAAGTTTGTTGGGAAAAATGACATGGTCTTCGCAGTTTTTAAACCTCCTGCTTGCCTCTTAGTTACTGTCAATCTTTTTTCCTCCATCTATCACCTTGCACACAAAATGAAGATAATGCATCTCTGTCCCTCACTAGTCACATGTAATATTTGATTAACAACTTGAAGAGGCAATCCTTTGTGACTGGAGTCAATATGTGTTTATTTATCAAGAATCTATAATATTATTGAGCTAAAATCCTGGGGATAGCTTGTGATGCCATTGTTACAAGAATAGAATTTTAGAATGAGATTTTTCAAAATGTAAATTGTTACATTTTCTTCATTATGATCTTTCTCAATTATATCCATTAAAAATCAGTTAATGTCCACAGAACATTTCTTATACTTAAGGAGAGGGTTTGACCATTCTATCACCTTTCAGAAATACATTACATGAAAAAGCAGTTGAAAAACTCAGATCTCCCGCAACAGAATAAATTGGAAATTTCTTAAAAAGTAGTTGAACAGTAAGCTTTTTTAAAATGCTAAATCACAATAATGTATACTTCATTTTAAAAATTCTCTCAAAATCAGTTACAAATATCTTTCCAACTCCAGAGTCTCCAGCCTCATTTGATTCCTTAATTTTCCTCCACAGCTCCTGAAAATTACTTCACCATCATTTTTGAGGAATAAATGAGAAAACATAGTGAAAGTACTTTGAAAACTATAAAACCTGTGCATGGAAGTTATCAACAACATGGATCAATGGTTAAGAGTCATAACCGGCCGGGCGCGGTGGCTCACGCCTGTCATCCCAGCACTTTGGGAGGCCGAGGAGGGCGGATCACGAGGTCAGGAGATCGAGACCATCCTGGCTAACACGGTGAAACCCCGTCTCTACTAAAAATACAAAAAATTAGCCGGGCGTGGTAGCGGGCGCCTGTAGTCCCAGCTACTCGGGAGGCTGAGGCAGGAGAATGGCGTGAACCCGGGAAGCGGAGCTTGCAGTGAGCCGAGATCGCGCCACTGCACTCCAGCCTGGGCGACAGAGCGAGACTCCGTCTCAAAAAAAAAAAAAAGAGTCATAACCTCAGGTCGGGCGCGGTAGCTCACGCCTGTAATCCCAGCACTTTGGGAGGCTGAGACGGGTGGATCACCTGAGGTCAGGAGTTCAAGACCAGAAACCCCGTCTCTACTAAAAATACAAAAATTAGCCAGGCGTGGTGGCAGGCGCCTATAATCCCAGCTACTCAGGAGGCTGAGGCAGGAGAATCACTTTAACCTGGGAGGCGGAGGTTGCAGTGAGCCGAGATCGTGCTACGGCACTCAAGGCTGGGCAACAGAGGGAGACGCCGTCTCAAAAAAAAAAAAAAAAAAAAAAAGAAGTCATAACCTCTGGAGTCATGCTGCCTGGCTTCAAATCCTAGTAGTACATCTTACCAACTGTGATTCTGACAAAAGTTTAACCTCTGTGCCTCCGCTGCTTCATCTGTAATACCAAATAACATCAGTATCTTCTTGTAATGATTAAATGAGTTAATATTTAAAGCACTTAGATCAGAACCTGACACATGTACAAACAATAAATGTTTCTTATTTCCAACACAGAATTGGGTTAGGTGATAAAAGCTTATTTGTAATGATGTTATTTAAAACTCAGAACACAGCCAGGCACCGTGGCTCACACCTGTAATCCCAGCACTTTGAGAGGCCAAGGCAGGGTCGGAGTTGAGGTCAGGAGTTCAAGATCAGCCTGGCCAACATGGTGAAACCCTGTCTCTACTAAAAACACAAAAATTAGCTGGGCATGGTGGCACGTGCCTGTAGTCCCAGCTACTAGGGAGGCTGAGACGGGAGATCTCTTGAACACAGGAGGCAGAGGTTGCAGTGAGCCGAGGCGGTGCTACTGCACTCCAGCCTGAGCAACAGAGGGAGACTCTGTCTCAGAAAAGAAAAACAAAAACTCAGAATACATCATCCCAAAAAAGCAATGTCACTAGCAACATGGTAAACATTAAATTCTCAATCTGTGTGTTGTGTGAAAAAAAAAGAATAAAAAATAAAAATAAATTTGCAAACTAACCCATGAACATTGGTTTAATCCACAATGTAGCTGATCTATAAAATCTACAATACTGCTCTAATTCTGGTACCTGGGACCACGCCTCCCTACACCAGAGATGCTGCACTCAGACCTGTCCTGGCCAAAGTGCTTTGTGCCTCCAAAGCATTTGCCTCCCTTACTCCTCATTAAACTCCTCACTTTCCAAGCAATCTTCATGAAATGCTGGAAGACAATGGATCTTACTCTACTGATTAATACTGACGTATAAATGATGCTTCTAGCAGAGCTGTGAGCTACTGTCCAATGTTTATTAACTTAAGCAAATATTTAATTGGTATAATTTCAAGGTATAAGAGCTCTAACTTTTCAAGTTACTCATGCTAAAAGACACACAATATTAACAAGACATACTTTAGATTTGTAACTCCAAATTCAAGTAACAAACTTCTTTCAATTAAAAGTATACTTTCTTGCCATTTGTAAACCTCTAGGTCATGGGACCAGGAGTCAGGTTAACAACTTTAAAAATCCTTAGACTAATCACTCAGAGTTTTCTGAGCAATTTGAGGCAGTAAGATTTTCATTTCTACAGGAATAAGTGAATAGAGTTCACTCCACTCTCAGCTCTGTGCCAGTAATTGGGCTGTAATCTCATCTAGCAAACTAGATGAGAGCCATAGAAAAGACCCTGAATTAAGACTTTCTTTCCATAAGAAAATGATGTTCCAGGCTGGAGGCGGTGGCTCACCTGTAATCCCAGCACTTTGGGAGGCCGAGACTTGTGCATCACTTGAGGCCAAAAGTTCAGGATCAACCTGGCCAACATGGTGAAACCTCGTCTTTACTAAAAAAAATATATAAAAATTAGCTGGGCACAGTGGTGCACACCTGTAGCCCCAGCTACTCGGGAGGGTGAGGCAGGAGAATCGCTTGAACCTGGGAGGCAGAGGTTACAGTGAGCCAAGATCGTGTCACTGCACTCCAGCTGGGTGACAGAGCTACACTCCATCTCAAAAAAAAAAAAAAAAAAAAAAAAAAAAAAAATTCAAGAGGATGTATTGTTCCCATTTTAACCATAGAAAGAGTGCTATTGTTCCTTTTCTCCACATGGTGGTGCTAATGTAGCACCACCATGGAGCCGTATTGCCAAAGACGAAAAAATTCAGCACTGCTCATCGTTATTACCAGTCTGTAAGTGGCCACTTAAAGGCCATTTGGAGTACATGGAGACCATTAATTATAATGCATTTCCAAAAATAGATTAATCACAAATTTTAAAATAAAAAATTTAAGTAAACAGATTCAAATCAATGAGAGGGGCATAAGCATTTGCAGTTTTTCACCAAGATCTTGCTTGTGGCGTAGGTCAGCATCCTGATTTCTTTTCCATTATTTATTCTCACAAAACTAAAAGATCCTAAATCTCAGTTAGAGGTTGCCAGGAATAACAGCAAGTATGTTTGGTGGTTCTGTCAAATGGCTGTAGATATTTGGCTCACATGTAGATCTAGAAATTATGAACAAACGTCTCACTAAAGTGAGAAGTGAGTTTCACACTACTTTTCACAGTCTGTTGGATGCTAATTGAACAACATTTCCAGGAAATGGCTGGTGTGCTGACTGTTTGAACCTGGGATATTGCAGCAAATGAAATCCAGATCCTCTGCTGAGTTAAATGGAGCTCTGTGAATCAGTCTTGTATGTTTGACTTATTTGTGTACTTTTCAAACATGCCCAATGCTACATCGCTAAGTTATTTCTCAAATCAAGAAAAGATGTAATCAAGTTTTAAAAGACTAAACTATTAGAGATCAAGCTATTTGTACCGCATTTCATCTAGTTCAAACTAGAGAAAACAGTGAGCATGCTGTTGAATTAAGCTACTTGAAATCCCTGAAATGATCCATACTGATATTATTAATGTTGTAAATAAATATTTTTAATTCCTCTTTCATTCCAGAACTCTTGAGCATCTTCCTCAGCAATAACCAGCAGCCTTCAGCAGGGAGAACATCATCTTAAATTTGCTGCCCATTTCTTTGCACAGTACACAAAATATGTACATTCAGTTGTCATTCTTAGTTCACATTCTTTTTTTTTTTTTTTTTAGAGGCAGAGCCTCGCTCTTTTGCTCAGGCTGGAGTGCAATGGTGTGATCTTGGCTCACTGCAACCTCTGCCTCCTGGGTTCAAGCAATTCTCCTGCCTCAGCCTCCCAAGTAGCTGGGATTACAGGCACCCACCATCATACCCAGGTAATTTTTATATTTTTGTAGAGACGGGGTTTCACCATGTTGGCCAGGCTGGTCTCGAACTCCTGAGCTCAGGTGATCCACCCACCTCAACCTCCCAAAGTGCTGGGATTACAGGCATGAGCCACCATGCCCAGCTTTAGATCATATTCACATTTTTCTCTATTTTCCTCAACTCTGAATCAAGAACAAAGGCTTATTATGACCACCAACTATCCTCTGTGAATAAAGTATGGACAGACATTTCAACGCAACCATATTTAGTCACAGAGTGAAGCCCTTGTCTGCTCACTTGTGGTTGGTGCTCCCTCACTACCAATGCCAAGGTCCCTTCCCAGCCTATATCATAGGTGATGTAATTAACTGGGTGAGAAAAAAAATCTTCCTCTCTTTAGCATGGATTTTCCAATGAGAAGTCATTGAGCATATTTCACTCACTCATGCATGGCACAAGTAGACAATTGGTTCATATCCTGTACAAGAATGACTTTGTCCAAAGAAAATATCTGCTAGCATGCTCACCTGTCAAGCAAAATGTTTGCTAGCATGCGTCTTTGATAGGAACTCAAAGTGTTGTCTTGAACCAGCAGCAGCAACATCTAGAAACTGATCATCAGTATACATTTGTGGGCTCCAACCCAGACCTACTGAATCAGAAACTGCGGGACCCAGTGTTCAGGTGATTGATTCTGATGCACACTGAAGCTTGAGATCTAATAGTGTCTTCCAAAAGAGGAATGTTGCCAATATTTCATTCAGCTTTCTCTTCTACTTGTCACTGACTTCGTAGCTATCTTTTTAAAGTGTTTCAGTAACCATGTGAACTGTAATCACTTGGCTGGCAGGAGTGCAAATTTGAACAACTTTCTGTTTTGTTCTCTTCTCCAACTTCATTGACAATATCACTCAATATAATACATTGGAAACCATTATGTTGCATTTGTTCCAGGAAAATTCAATTGGTTTACCACAGAGATCACTTTGATTTGTTAGGAAGTGACCTAAGAGCTTCATATTACAATTTAACCAAGTTTCACAGCAAAAACAAACAAACAACAACAAAAAAAAAAACATGGAAAATTAGCGGTAGACTCTTAGGCCACTACAAATTTTTTTTCTGATATTCATTATCATGCATACAATTTGCCCTTTACATTTTTGTCTGTTGTATGAAGTCCTCATTCTCAAATTTACTTGTCCCAGCACACACAGATTAACATTCCATTTTCGCACTGTAGTGTTCTTTATTAGGCTTACAAAGTTCTTCTGAGACATGGTGTTTGATTCTTTGATATGTCTATTCCAGAGAACCAATTGTAAACCAATGATCTGGGGTTTTTTTGTTTGTTTGTTTGTTTTTGTTTGTTTGTTTGTTTTGTTTTGAGACAGAGTTTTGCTCTTGTTGCCCAGGCTGGAGTGCAATGGTGCGATCTTGGCTCACTGCAACCTCTGCCTTACCAGGGTTCAAGCGATTCTCCTGCCTCAGCCTCCCAAGTAGCTGGAATTACAGGTGCCCGCCACCACACCTGGCTAATTTTTTGTATTTTTAGTAGAGATGGGGTTTCACCATGTTGGCCAGGCTGGTCTAGAACTCCTGACCTCCGGTGATCCACCTGCCTTGGCCTCCCAAAGTGCTGGCATTGCAGGTATGAGCCACCACACCTGGCCCCAGTGATCTGTTTTTATGAATTGAGAATAGAAGACAGCATAATAGTAACAAAAAATGTAAATTTATCAAACAACATACAAATTATATGAAGATATGCCATAAACTTTATCCTGTTTTCTGACTGTTAGCACATGGATAAACTAAACAATATAGTCCTTTAGTGCATGTGTAACCAGTGTAAATGTTCTAAGAATGAAACAAAACATCTGTGAAAATAATCATTAAAGTTATATGCCATATTTGTGAAATGCATGTGAACCAAATTTTTCCATCATATTTTCCTCTAAAAGTGCCAAACAGCCTACCAAACTACATGGTATGCTTTCTGTATCCTAAGGGACTCTGTTTCTAGCCCTTTCCTTTCTTCAAGGGTTTCAATCATTATCTGCTAAATCCTCTTTTCTCATTTTAACCCAATTCAAAAACTATAGATTGAGCTCCTCTCTATGAAATACTCCATAACCATCGTGACCTGGGCACAGGTCAAAGACAGTCCCCCACACCCCTCAGATACCCCATATGACAGAAGGCAGGGTTAGGCTCTGTGAAACCAGACAGGCTGTGGAATCCTAAGACCGAGGGCACAGGAAACAAGCAAAGGGCTGAAAAAGCCCACAGGGGCAAGAAGTCAAGCCTGACCCTCCCCCAGTACTTGAGAATATACTTGAATGTGCTTGTTTGATCTAGCTAACTCCTCTAACTGCCTTTTTCTTTTTTTTCTTTGCATTTACTGACATACTCTCAAAAGAATGCTCTAGGATCCATGGTTTCCATTGCTTCATCACTTACTTCCTCCTTACCCATTGCAACATACCTCACAGCTTCAACACTACAGCATTCTCTGTGGTAATCGTTCTCTCCCTGTTTCTTTTCCACTACGTTACATGAGTGCCTCTCAGGGGAGCAGGGGGACATTTCAGACTGGCCGGTAAGACTCTGTCAGCCTCCCCCTCAGAATCACCTAAGTCACTGGTTCTCAACCATTGCACATGAAGATCACGTGGGGAGATTTTAAAAGATACCAATGCCCAGGCTTTGTAATGAGTCAGCTTGGCTAGGCTAAACAACATTTCCCAGAATGCCCTTTCTGGTTAGGGTGGGCCACAAAAGAGATTTGGGGGCAATTTTGGGGGTAGGAAGTGAAGCAACCTCCATTTCATAGCCCTCATATATTGTCGCTTATCTGCTGGCTCATCTTATTGTCATAAACCTGCAACTAGACCTGCACCTGGGCCAGGTGATGTTGTTAGCCCTGTGACAAAGGGCCCCAGTTTCTGCAGGACACCCACACCAGCCAGGTCAGAGGCAACAGGAAGTGACATGGGTTTTAGTCCCTCATTATGGGCACCAGCTGGTTCTCACTTTTTCCATCCATCCCCCATTTCACATCCTTCTCCCCTTCCTGTCTGACTGTCCTGTCCTTCAGGCTTCAGCATCAGACACAAAGACAACACCTTACAGAGACTACTTACCCAGCTCCCACAATTGCATATGCTCAAATTCCTGTAACAGATCCCTTCATGTATAGGTATGCTTCTTCAAGTGAACCCTGCCTGAGAAACTCCTCCAAACCAATTATGTCTGATGGTCAGAGGTGAAGCCCAGACATGAGAATGTGTTAAAAGTTCTCTGGATGTTTCTAACATGGTTAAACACCATCTGCCCTAGGGTAAAAACCTCTACATGCAATTGCAAATCCTTGCCAGAGTAAGCCTATAGTGGATGGGAATCCTTCAGCTGAGCTAGCCTTGAGAAAAACCTAAAATCCTGCCCTACTCTATGTGTTTTTCCTGATTTATTCTTCCTTTTCCTTTTTCACAAAGCTAGCCTCTGCCCACCTCACAGACCACTGCAATCTATCAATCTCTAGTCTTTCCTCCCTCCCCACCTATAGCCTATAGACTGATCTGGAAATGTAAACATAACATCCCTCCATGCTCAAAGGCTTTCAGCAACTCCCTGTCCTCCAGGGATCAAATCTAATCTCCTTACCTGGTATTCAAACCCCTCCAGAGTCTGGCTTCTTCCTACCTGGCCAACCTATCCTCCCCCTCCCTTCCCACTATAAACCCTACCAGCTTTCTGAACCTCCATCAACCAAAGAAAGAATAAAGCAGTGATCACACAATAAAAAGGGAAAGGTTTTCTCTTGGCCTTCTTGGATTCTGCTAACCACCAAAGCCACAAACTAGGTAACATCCCCTACACCATCTACACCATCTCTATTTCCCTCCCCTCCCTTCTCAACCCACTTGCTTCCTTCCTCTTTTAATGCTATTAAGGGTTTGAATTTACATATGGGTTCTCATTGTGTGAGAGGCAGAAAGAAAGTAAAGTAAAAATTCCTTTTAGAGGCACCCTTAACACTTTAATACTTTAATAAGCAGCAGCTGACCACTTCTTTCATGTCCAGTTCATGCTGCTGCTGCTGCTGCTGCTGCTATGATCCTATTCCCAGAACTCAAGGAGAACGACAGTATTTTGCTGACCCTCCACCACAAGACCATAGACTAAGCCAAAGGAGATCTCACACTCCTCTCCCAGAATAGAAATTTCAAAACCAGCACCTAATCTGCAATAACCAATAAGCCCTTCTTATATGCTAGCATTCTCTACAATAGTACATGAAGTGGCTTTGAAATTTCCTTGCTGAGGCTGGGTGTGGTGGCTCATACCTGTAATCCCAGCACTTTGGGAGGCTGAGGCGGGTGGGTCACAAGGTCAGGAGTTGGAGACCAGCCTGGCCAATATGGTACCAGAAACCCCATCTCTACTAAAAATACAAAAATTAGCCGGGCATGATGGTGGACTCCTGTAGTCCCAGCTACTTGGGAGGCTGAGGTAGGAGAATCGCTTGAACCCGGGAGGTGGAGGTTGCAGTGAGCCGAGATTGTGCCACTGCACTCCAGCCTGGGTGACAGTGTGAGACTCTGTCTCAAAAAAAAAAAAGAAAAGAAATGAAAAAAGAAATTTCCTCGCTCAACATGGAGGATTTCTTTACCCCAGGAGTCTCCTATTTGCATCTTGGAAAGAAGGCCTTACATACTTAAGGCGCCTCTGAGACAACTCAAAGTTGTCTCTCTGCAAATGCCAAGAGTTTGAGAAAATGGGACCAAAGCACTGAAGGAGGCCCTTGCCACATGCATTGTCAATGGATCCTACTATCATATCATATAAAAAGGACACATTCAACATGCCCCAAGGCCTATGGCTGAGGTTTTGCTTTAATTGTCCACTTTTATCTTTTTCATTACCATTCACCTGCTAATGTTTATATTGAAAATGTTTTCTCTAGACTTCTCCACAAAAATACTCACCCATATTTCTCTGCGAGTGCTATGGCTTCCTCCTCTTTCACTACTCTCTGGTCCTCCAGATCACTCTTGTTTCCACACAGCACTATATCTGGGTTTTCACAATATGCATGCATCTGTAGCTGGCCTATTAATATAAGAAAGTTTATTATATATGTAAATAATAATGTAAGTGTATGATCAGTGAACAATACATGCAAAAGTGCTTTGAAGACTATAATGTATATATAGATATTGGGAATTGACATAATGCTTTCAAAGCATCAGTAATCTTATCTGTAAAGCTGAATAGTTGGGGCAGAAATATAAAACCATTCTTAAGCACATACCCCAGTTTATTGATATCGGAGAGTTTATAGGAGAATGTGCTACCTCTCAAGTGTGAGGGCCCACATGTGCACACGCACACATATGCACACACACACATACAAAACACCTTTCTTTTTTATGAAGGCTATTTGAAAAGAAAGTTGCAGGAGTTCCTAGGGTTTACTGCTAATCTTAAAACTGTTTTTATGTGTTTTTTTCTCCATAGCAATGACATTTCTAAAAGAATTGTTTTTCTCCAAACTAATCTATTTCTATCCAAAATGTTTTTCACATTTTTCTATTATCCTAGGGCAGAATCAACTCATTTAAAACAAACAAGATACAGGCTTCAATGAGAAGAAAAGACCCAGAATAAACAGTAAGTGATTCTGTCACCAGAGCCAAGTGGAAGCAGAGGACTATAATTCTTATTCCGCAGCTTTTATTTCACCTGAAAACCTGCAAATAGGCACAATTATAAAAAGCAATTGACTCAAACCAAAGAGCTTCACTAAGCTAAATAGTTTAATCTTTCAAAGTAGGAAAATAACACCTCATTTCTTACCCATCACACCCCAGAATAAAATTAAGGCCTAAACGTTCACAGTAAGACATACTTCAGAGTTTATGGCCTAATTTATTTTTTCATCATGGTTAACCAGAAAAGTGTGGACATTTTAGTTCCTCATTATGAAGTAGTGTTCATCATATCTTATCATGAGAAAGTCAAGTAGGCAGGTGTTTACTGAGCATTAGCACAGGCCTGATACTCTGCATGGAATTTCACAACAGTTCTTTGCCCTCATGGGGCAACTGGGGTAATAAGACCTACAGAGGACAGACTAAACTGTGTACCATTTCATGAAAAGCCATGCCCTTTCTTTCCTCCAGGTTGTTACACATGCTGTTCCCACATCACTGAATACTTAACCACAACCTTCCTTCAAGACTTGCTTCATGGTTACCTCATTATCTTTCTGGTCTCCAGAGTGGCTCTGTGCTCTGTTAATGCCTTATAAGGTGTTATAGGTCCATGCCCAGTGTCATGCTATGAGCACAGACTCAGGATCCAGTGTACCTAGGGATGAATCCTGGCTCTGCCATTTACTAGCTGTGTGACCCTGATGAAGTTATTTGACTGCCTCAATTTCCCCATCTGTAAATGGTGATAATGATACTACTTACTTTATACAGTCAAGGTAAGGATTAAAATGAATTAATCCAGTGATTCTGCAGGTAAAGACTGTGAGCCACCAGCCTTAGCATAACCTAAGAATTTGTTGACATGCAAGTCTCAGGTCCCACTCCAGCTCTACTGAATCAGGAATGCTGGAAATGGGGCTAGAAATCTGTGTTTTAAAAAGTCCTCCAGGTGACTGAGATGCACATTCACATTTGAGAACTACTAAGTTAATATATTAAAGCATTTAGAAGAGCATGTAAGTATCACCAGTAATTATGGTTAACAGTATTTATTTTGGGTAGTCTAGGAAGTGTGATTATTGGTGATTTCTTCTTTTTGTCTCATTTTTCCTAATTTTTCTACTAAGATTGTGCTTATCTAAAAAGCAAATTAATCAGTTATTTTAAAAACTTCACTAAGAAAAAAGTCACCTACATAAACAACTACAGTCTGATAATGGATGTAATAAGGACCCTATACACAGTATAAAATGTAACAGGGGTTAAAAGGAGGGAAAACATCTAACACAACTAAGTTTATTACAGAGAATCTCACAGAGGCCATCTTTGCTAGGTTTTAAAGAATAAGCAGAACTCCAGTTGGTTAAAAAATGGGGGCAGGTGTGGAAAGGGTTTTTCAGACAGAGAGAATAATGGGAATAAAAAATAAAGAAGTAAAAATATGTAAAATATATACTGTTGGGTTTTTGCACCACTTATGGGACTCTACAGAAGAAAGTTTAGAAATGTAGGCTACTTTAAAGTTTCCTTAGGAAACACACTAGCACTGGATGAAGAGTGACTCTGGGCATGACGTGCTTACTCCTCTGAACTCCAGGAAGACAGGACAGTGACTACCACACTACCAAATTCCTTTCAGATTTCAATCCAGGCCCAGAGGACTCAGCCTCTGTTCTGTCTCCTCATCTGAGTGGGGCTTACTTTAGACTTTTATCACCCTTCTCAAGAGGGCATGGAGAGATTGAGTGAGAGGGAGGGGTCTGCAAGGAGCAAAGGGAAAGGGGAGGGTATATAGACCTGCTCTCCTCTCCCAGGCCAATCAGGGCCCACGAGTCAGCTACTTCTTTAATGCAACACTGTGTTCTGGCACTCACCACTGATTTTTATGTATTTGTGTGTGTGTGTGTGTGTGTGTGTGAGTGTGTATTTGTGTGTATTAAGCTATTATTTTTATTAAAAAATAAGAAATGGGCCGGGCACTGTGGCTCACGCCTGTAATCCCAGCACTTTGGGAGGCTGAGGCGCGTGGATCACCTGAGGTCAGGAGTTGGATGAAACCCCGGGAGATGGGTGAAACCCCATCTCTACAAAAATACAAAAATTAGCTGGGGGTGTTGGTGTGCGCCTGTAATCCCAGCTACTCGGGAGGCTGAGGCAGGAGAATTGCTTGAACCCAGGAGGCAGAGGTTGCAGTGAGCCGAGACTGCACCATTGCACTCCAGCAAGGGCAACAAGAGTAGAAACTCCATCTCAAAAAAAAAAAAAAAAGATAAGAAATGAATGATCATTGTAATACTCAAAAGGCTGACAGGAAGAAGAAAAAAATAAAAGTACAGATAATTAACAAATGTTTATTCCTAATTAAGATTTGATATTACCACTTCTGACACTGAACATTACACCTTTTTGTTTAAATGGTAGGGGGTGGAGAATACTTTCTATTAAATATATAAAATCTTCAATACGTATAAGTGTTCTTTACCTAACTGAGCAATAAGGATTCTTTTACTCTCTAAGGAAAACAAAACAAAATACATACATATGTATACATATTTTCACATAATTTTGTTCTTTATCCAACTAGTTAGCCAGGATAGGCAATATTTATCTAATGTCTCAGAGTTTTAGTGTCTACCTATGAAAAACAGGTGCGTTATTTTTTGATGCTAAGATTCTATGCGCACTCTCTAGTGATCCTTATAAAATAGTTGATTTTAAAAAGCCCCAGAACTTGTTCTGATGATGCAAAGGAGGGATGATGAACACGGGCTGAGAGTAAGAGACCATAAACAGCCACTGTCATTCAGCTACAAGGGAAATAATGAGGCAACTTAGCCAGGCATCTAGCGAAGTGAAGCCCCAGTAAGCATTACTATATTTGGGGAACTCATATTTAAAGTAATTAATAGCTCTTCAACTCTTAGTGGCCAACTGACTTGAGAACGGGCAAAAAAAAGGCCATTAAAAAGGAAAGCCAAAGCTTCATATCCTTGGATAAGTCTATTACTTTTTAAGGCTCAATGTCCTTCTCCTGAAATAAGGACACAACACTGACCCGAATCTTTGCCCAGGGTGATTGTGAGGATCAGATACAAAGTATGTGAAAACCACAGTGCACTAAATTATTTTTAAACTCATTTTTAATCTAAGCTTTTCTACTATCAAAACTACAGCCAATTACCCTTTCATAATCCCAAAACAGTAATGTTTAAGTAGCAGATCTTTTTAAATCAGTGTTTTAAAGATTTAGATGTTAAGAATTTAATATTACAGCCTTCCCTAATAGATTCTCTAGGGTTACACTAACATGACCAAACAGGGAAAATATACATTTGAAAGCTGTTATGCAGTCAAGTGGCAGAATTCGAAATGGCTATGAACCAATCATTTAGGAGGTTAAAATCTCTCCAAAATAAAGGTTGACATATATTGCACTGGTGACCACTTTTACCAATGCAGTTGTAGAGTTTTCCATGGCAGAATCCTCCTGAAAGATGCTCTAACCCTAAAAGCTAGAAGGGGACTCTAAGCACAGAAAAGACATGAAGCCAGGGGTATGATCCATTAAGTCTTTAAAAGCTATCTGCATCTATGTAATACCCATTTAATGTCCAGAGATGATAGAAGAATTGATAGCATACAATAGACAAGCAGATACTTAGAGATTTAACTTCTCTAGGCTTCTACTTCCTCATCTACGAAATGGGAATAAGAGTCTCTTCTGTGGGATAGACTGAAGAGGAGAGCACACATAAAGTGCTGCCTTGCACCTGGAGCACAGGAAGTACTCAACAAATCAAAGTTATCAGTACCAGGGAGAAGCAGAGTATTTCAATTATCTTTGTCCCTAAACTAAAAACCTTGCTCCTTAAAATAGTATTTGCACTAAGATCTCCTCCAAAACGATTTGTCACAGAAGTAGAGCATAAGAGGGCATTCTATAAATAAGAGGGGACTGTGTAGCAGGACACTGGGGAACAATAACACTTACTTATCCAGTTTCTGACATTGAGGAAACTTTGCTCATTTGTCAGATCAAAAAGTAGAAGAAAACCCATAGCATCTCTGAAGAACGCTGTCGTTAAGCTACGAAACCTAGGAACATAAAAGCAGAATGGTCAGTTAAACCACGGCCCCACTCCTGAAATATAAAACTACAAGCAATGCCTTCAGCCTCTTACAAAAGTTTACCAATAACAAGCTACATGGTGATATTTCAAAAGTATATAGGATAGTTATTTATCACTTATATCAGTTTAAGTGTTAACAGACCATGTGATTTGAAAACCGAGGCTGCTGGAGAGGGATGACAAGAACCAGCTTGTGATCTTAGTCTCACCCAAGAATTTATGTACAATTATGAGTTAATTTGGCCAAAAGCAATATAGTGTATGTTTTCCTATTGTGAAAGCTTGACTTGACATTACAATGTGTTCCATGATCTTTTAATTTCAGAATATGCAGAGATCTCTTATCTCTGATAGCCATTTGTTTGGCTTGAAGGTAAGAATCTCTTGACTCAGACCTTATTCTGTCTTGGTACTCTGCCTTCCAAGGCTTTATCCTTCTGTCTTCCCTGTCTTCTCTCTCTCTCTCCCCACCCCCAACCCCACCCTATCACCAGTCAGTTTCCTCTCGTCTTTGCCTATATGTAAAACCTGTAACTGACAGGCAGGCTCCAGGGAAGAAAATATTGGTATGAATTTGTCATCTAATCAGCAATATTAGGTTTTTCTCAAATACTTTTAATCAATGTTTTTATTAAAAAGAGTTCTTGGCCAGGGGCCATGGCTCACACCTGTAATCCCAGCACTTTGGGAGGTCAAGGCAGGCAGATCACCTGAAGTCAGGAGTTAGAGACCAGCCTGACCAACATGGAGAAACCCCAACTCTACTAAAAATACAAAATTAGCTGTGTGTAGTGGTGCACATCTGTAATCCCAGCTAATCGGGAGGCTGAGGCAGGAGAATCACTTGAACCAGCAAGGTAGAGGTTGCGGTGAGCTGAGATCACGTCAGCCTGGGCAACAAGAATGAAACTCCGCCCAAAAAAAAAACAAAAAAGAGCTCTTATCTTTTAGAGCTACATTACCACAAGTATTAAAAATGAAATAATATAGTGTCTGGAATTTGCTTCTAAATTATATGGTAAGGGGGTGGGGTGAGAAGAGGTAAGGGGTATAAATGAAATTCTGTTGGCCACAATTTCATAATTGTTGAAGCTGAGTAATGGGTACATAGGTTTATCATATAATCCTTCCACTTTTGAATATCCTTGAAGTTTTCCATAATAAAAAGTTAAAAAACAAAATCCTTCAAGGTGGCTGTGAAAGAAAACAGAAGTTCTAGCTAACTGAAAGCAACTTTATATCAAGATTTCATGTGGCTTATTTTGGTCAAGTAACCCCTGGTCACATGAATTAATTCCAACCAGATATCCCACTAGATTTCAACAGTCAGGTAAGAATAATGCATGTAACTTGGCCACTTTCTTGTGGTTGAGTAAATAGCAAAAGGAAATGGAGCAAAGTATCTAAGCAAAAAAAAATTAAAAGAAGGAAAAGAAAAAAGTCCACAAGTAAGAGTCATAACCTCTCCCTTGACCTTGTATGAAATAAGGCCACCATTCTCATCTCAGACTTGACAAATTTCCTGCTAATTTGGCAGCATTCAAGTGCAAACCAACGAATTGGCTGGCTTTTTCCTGCTCAGGTCACTGTTTGAAGAATGTAACTATTTTTCCCTTTCCTTCAGTAAGGAGCACATAACTGAAGATCTCATACCTCTCCTGCCCTGCTGTGTCCCATAACTGCAGGTGGATTCTCTGGCCTCTGCCAGTGGCTCCATCCGGCCCACTGGCTCTGTACACCTAAAACAGCAAAGTGAAAGAGAAAACAAAAGAGAACTTCTAACACCAGCGAACCTTCTCACCTTTTTGTTCAGTACAAATCCCAAAGGCATCTAAAATTCCAAAGAGAATGCCATCTGGAATACAACCATGTTTGTATTTATGTCAAATAATTATATCCAGGTAATGTAATAAGTTATATTGAAATATATACATATATATCTTATAAATATATTGTAAAATATGAATACAAAACAACTTGTATAAAATATAATAATTAGTTTACCTTTCCTCAAAGTTCTCTTGGGTCACTAGTTTCAGGAAATATTACTTTTCTATGGCTTTTCCCAATCTCATCTTTTTTGTTTGTTTAACCAGGGGGTACATGTGCAGGCTTGTTACGTAGATAGATTGCATAATGCTGGGGTTTGAGCATCTATTGAATTCATCACCCAAACAGTGAATGTAGTACCCAATAAGTAGTTTTTCAGCCCCTCTCCCACTCCCTTCCCCCTTTTGGAGTCCCTAGTGTCTACTGTTTCTGTCTTTATGTCCATGCGTACCCATTGTTTAGTTCCCACTTATAAGTGAGAATGCATGTGGCATTTGATTTTCTGTTTCTGCATTAATTCACTGAGGATAATGGTCCCCAGCTCTATCCATGTTGCTGCAAAAGACATAATTTCACTTTTTTATGGCTGCATAGTATTCTATGATGTATATGTACCACATTTTCTCTATCCAATCCACCACTGATAAGCACCTAGGGTTAGTTCCATGACTTTGCTATTGTGAATAGTGCTGCAATAAACATTTGAGTGCAGATGTATTTTTGGTAGAACAATTTTCCCTTGTCCCATCCCAAATTTTAAAAGTGCTCTTAAAAGAATTTTATAGACAACACTCCTAGAACAGCAGAGAACGGACCATCAAAAATTTCTTCCTCCACAATAGCAACAAAAACAGTGGTAAAAATTGTCCAAATCAACTTTTTCAGTACTCTAGGAATTAACAAAGACTTGCAACATTCCAAGGAGCATTTATTCAAGAAAAACAGCCGAATATCAGTAAAAACAGTAAGCTTTGAGGTGTTTTTTACCTTGCCCTATTCCCATCCCCCTCACTCAAGCTTTTAGAAGACTTAAAAACCATGTGCACAAATGTGGTTGTTGTGAAAACATCAGCCTAGCCACCACTGTGGACAGCAGAGGAACAACAGGTTTGGAGCTCCCTAAAAGTCCCATACTGAGAAAAATTGTCAGGAAGCCCCTTGGAAAGCTCCATGCCCCAGCTTTGTCTTTCTTTGACCTCACTCAAAGCTTGCTCTTTGAGAACAGCCCTATCCCAAGGGCATTTGTTGAAAACTATCAGCAGTAATTATTTAACATCACAGCTACCAGAGGTAGCAATACCAGTTAGGGCTAACAAAAGTCTAACAACAACAACAAAAAAAAAATTTAAAGAAAAAAATAGGAAATGAGATTTCTATAATGCTCCCAAATATTCCTTGGAACCTAAAAGGCCATGTTCATGGGCAGGGCTCTACAAATGCCCAGGAAAGATCTAAAAAGGTCCTAATCTCTCACTTCTGACTGACTTTGAGGTTCTTCTCAGGCAGAAAATAAAAGCTAAGGCAGAGTTGTAAACTGCCTGCAGTAGTATTAAACACATACCCCAACAAACACACAGAGACTCTCAGAAAAAGCTAAGAGACTTATTAGTTCAAGGAATTTAATAAACTCTCTCCACTCATTAGCTGTCCACTAAGTTGACTGAGCAGAGACTTCAGTAGCTGCATACAAAGAATACAGATTTTGCAGAATTATCCCAGAAACATAATTAAACAAACAGCAACGACAAAAATAAATAAATATGCAGTAAAAACAAGAAACCCAGGTAGGGGAAAGAATCTGAGTTTCTAGAATAGACACATTATTTTAAATGTCCAGTTTTCAGCAAAACGTATAAGACACACAAAGAAACAGGAAAGTATGGCTCATGCGCAGGAAAAAAACAACGAATAGAAATTATTCCTGAGGAGGCCCAGATGTTAAACTTATTAGACAAAGACTTTACATCAGGAATTATAAATATATTCAAAGAACTTAAAAATCAGTAACATAGCGGTCCTCTAAAATTAAAGGATAAATTAAGACAAAACTGAGAAAAGTCATCTCTAGCAGACCTATCCTACAAGAAATACTACAGACAACTCTCAAGACTAAGCTGAAAGGAAACTAGACAGTAACTTAAATCCACACAAAGAAATAATAAGCACCAGTAAAAATGTAACTGCATAGTAAATATAAAAAACAGTATAAACGTGGTTTTTCTTTGTAGCCCTTTTCCTCCACTAGATTAAAATTTAACTGCAGGCTGGGAGTGATAGCTCATGCCTGTAATCCCTCAGCACTTTGGGAGGCTAAGATGGGTGGATCACTTGAGGCCAGGAGTTCGAGACCAGCCTGGCCAACATGGCAAAACCCCATTACTACTAAAAATATAAACAATTAGCCGGGTGTGGTGGCGGGTGCCTGTAATCCTAGCTACTTGGGAGACTGAGGCAGGAGAATCACTTGAACCTGGGAGACAGAGGTTGCGGTGAGCTGAGATCTCACCACTGCACTCCAGTCTGAGCAACAGAGAGAGACCCTGTCTCAAAAAGAAAAAAGAAAAAAAAATTAACTGCATACAGCAATAATTGTAAAGCTGTATTGATGATGGCACACAATGTAGAAAGATGTCATTCGTATAGCAATAATGGCACAAAAATATGGGAGAAAACAGAGCCACATAAGAGCAAAGTTTTACACAGTATTAAAATTAAGTTGCTATTAATCAAAATTAGATTGTGAAAAATTAAGATAATTGTAATCCCCAAGGGAATTTTTAAAAAAGAACTCAAAAACATATAACAAAAAAGGGAATTAAAATGATGCACTAGAAAATAGAAAAAGAAACAACAGTATCTATCAACAGACAAATGGATAAACAAAATGGTGTATCAATACAATAGAATATTATGTAGCTATAATAAGTAATGAAGTCCTGATACATGCTACAACATGGAAGATCCTTGAAAACATCAGGCTGAATGTAAGAAGCCAGACACAAAAGGCCATATATTATTCCATTTATATGGTGTGTGCAGAAGCCATTGATAGAAAATTCATGGTGGCTAAGGGGAGGTAGAAAGAGGAATGCCTGCTAATAGGTATGAGGTTTCTTTTTAAAGTGATGAAACTATTCTAAAATTGAATGGCTGTGATGGCCACACAACTCCGAATATATTAAAAACCACCGAATTTTATACTTTAGATGGATGGATTTCCTTTTTTTGTGAATTATATCTCAACAAATCTATTTTTTAAGTTATACAATAAGTAACCAACAAAAATAATCACATACATATATGTAGATTCTATCAACTACACGTCAATACTAAAAATTTCATTAGGGCCCTACTGTTATTCAGTGGGTCTTAATCTCTATAAGCCTCTCTGGTAGTAGAATAAAATACTAGAATGGGCAAAAGGGAATGTTCTTCTGTCTTAAAAGCCAGGGACCTTTCCCCCTGACAGAATATGATCCATTAAAGGACCTTTGTCATTAATTTCCTGACAACTGGTTTACCTGCTTCAGGCCAACAATGGATTTTTCAACAAGAAATGTAGTCTAAGGAGAAAGCCATCTTTCCTCATCTGCAACTGTGACACCATGACCTTCTGCCTTCCCCTCCAACACTAGAATAACTTTCAGTCTCAAAGTCCTTAAAAAATAAATAAATAAAAGTTTCTCCCTTCAACATTCTGCAGAACATCACATTCACTACTGGCATTCCCCACTCCTACTCCAACCTCACCCTCCTGGCAGCAGTGATAAGTTCTGCCAGTTAGTGTTCCATGTGGAACTGCTGAGACTTTATTAGGAGAAATGCCATTAAAAATAATAAGATACCAAAGGTGGAAGACACAGCCCATAAAACAAGAGTATGAGGGGCAAGGTGGTTGGCAGGCTTCAAGACAAAGGTAGACAAATAACTTTCGGAGTTCAGAGGGAAGATACAAGCCAAAAGAGTACCAAGGTGACATTTTAAAGAACTGTCCACTTCCACTTTGTCTGCCTGGTTTTATATGAAGTGCTGTCAGCACAGCCTTTTCAATCATGTTGCCTGGATTGAACATAACTCACTTTCATATGTACCTTTAATTTCAGATCCCAACCTTTGTCCTCCTAATTCCTACAAAGTAAACTAAACAGACCAGCAAATGTTGACTTAACGATTACATTTTTACATAGAAGGATATAGAACTTACCACTCTTTTTTCCCTGAAATCAATGCCCACTGTTGTGATAAATTTGGAGTTAAATTTACCATCTGTATATTGGTAAAGTACACTGGTCTTCCCTACACCAGAGTCTCCCAAAGCTAAAAACTTGATGAGGTAATCATAATCTCCATCAGACATAATGAAGAACTCAGTAGTTCACCTGTAAAATACACACAAAATTTTTTAATTAAAATCCATTAGAAAACATTAATTATCCATTTAAAAAGTGACAACAATATTCAGTTTAACACCTAATGTTAACCTGTATGTCTACGGGTTGTATGAAAAGAGAGTTACATACATATTGTTCACCATCCTTGAAGACCTAATAACTAGCTAGATGAGAAGCTATTGAAATAGTAATTAACAGTGTAGTTTTAATTTAACACACAGGTAATCCCAGCACTTTGGGAGGCCAAGGTGGGCAGATCACCTAAGGTTGGGAATTCGAGACCAGCCTGACCAACATGGAGAAACCCCATCTCTACTGAAAATACAAAAATTAGCCAGGCATGGTGGTGCATGCCTATAATCCCAGCTACTCAGGAGGCTGAGGCAGGAGAATCACTTGAACCTGGGAGGTGGAGGTTGCAGTGAGCCAAGATTGCGCCATTGCACTCCAGCCTGGGCAACAAGAGCAAAACTCTGTCTCAAAATAAAAAAATAAATAAAAATAAAAATAAAAATAAAAACATACATATTATAGTACCATTAGGACAAAAATTTCAAGTGGGAATGATAATCAACAAGAAGGTAACAGTCACTAAGTCTTATCTGTAGACCATATAGAACAAAAACTAATACAAGAAAAACAGAGGAAAGAGAATGTTATAAGGAATAACAGTAATCATTAGAGTGCAAGTGGTTCCAATTTCCCCTCCTTTTTCAAAGTCTCCTAGTGCTAAAATTTGCAATTGCAAACATAAGGAACCAGTCCAAATGCTCACCAGTCAATGAGTAGATAAAGAAATTGTGGTACACCACAATTTTTTTATCTGTATATATATACACACACCACGGAATACTACTCAGCCACAAAAAGGAACGAAATAATGGCATTCACAGCAATCTGGATGGAATTGAAGACAATTATTCTAAGTGAAGTAAGTCAGGAATGGAAAACCAAACATCATATGTTCTCACTCATATGTAGGAGTGAAGCTATGAGGAAGCAAAGGCATAAGAATGATACAATGGACTTTGGGGACTCGGGTGGAAAGGGTGGGAGGCGGGTGAGGGATAAAAGACTACAGATTGAATACAGTGTACACTGCTTGGGTGATGGGTGCACCAAAATCTCAGAAATCACCACTAAAGAACTTATCCATGTAACTAAACACCACCTGTTCCCCAAAAACCTATGGAAATAAAAAAAAAAGAAAGAAAGAAAGTCTCCTAGTGCTAGAACCTTGCCTTTTCTCTCTTTTTACATGGACATCTAGGCAATTTCATTTATTCTATTCATTTTCACATGTTATTACGGTTCCTTCAAAGACACTGTTATTTCACAAGTAAATTTAGTCCCTGCTTCCTTACATATTACTATTAATATGTACTACATATTAAGCCAGACTTCTCTAGAGTATCACTGCTCACTTGGGAACTGAGTTCCAGATTTGAACAGTCACTGCTCAGAGACCACAGTGCCACAACCAAGGGCTCGCTTACCTATGTTTACCTGGGTACTCTATCAAGAACTGCTAAAAATTCAGCTCTTCAGTACCGACTAAAACAAAAGTCCACCTTAAAGAAGAAAAATTCATTTATATCAGCAATACCTAACCACGGCTATTTTTGGTTCTTTGCAATCAGCACTTTTCATGATTTGTATTTACCTTCTAAATAGATTCAAACCCAAAATATCAGTCCAACTAGAAATGGGATCTCTCTCCAGGGGAGGTTTACTTTTTCATTAAAATTTTATTGATACATAATATTTGTATATTTTTATGGGGTACATGTAATATTTTGTTACATGCATAGAATGTAATGATCACATGAAGGTATTTAGGGTATTTATTTCCTCGAGTATTTATCATTTCTATGCATTGAGAACATTTCAAGTCCTCTCTTCTAGCTATTTTAAAATACACAATACATTTTTGTTAACTATAGTCACCCTAGTCTACTGTTGAACATTAGAACTTATTCTTTCCATCTAACCATATGCTTGTACACATTAACCAACCTCTCTCCGTTTCCCCCGCCAATGCCAATAAACTCTCCTGAAAATCATAAAAACAACTAGCTATCTCATTAACACTGACGACTCTACATGACTATTCAAACATACATATTTATCCATCTATACACATGCCAGATGTCCTACATTGGATGCTACTGACTCCCGGCGTTATCCCCTTTTTACCCAGCACCATATCCAGAAACTTGGCTGCCATATTCAGTGCTTCCTGTAGGACTATTTCTATATATCCATAAAATTAATAAAAACTCAGACAAGAATATTTACTGGTTTTCAGTGTTACCTCCCTCACCCCATCCTCAACTTGGGGACTCACCTTATGCTGAAAACTCCTGAATGCTGAGCCCCAAAAGCCACTGCAGTGTGTTTCCTCAGAGTGCTTCAGTGCAGATCTGCAACCTCACGTTTCAGGTATGGCTAGCCCGTGGATAAGGGCAGAGCCTCTACAAACATTCAAAATTCTATTTGCACACTATAAAGAGTGACACTTCACAGATGATGCCTTACCTGTCTTTATAGCTTGGATATTTGCAAGTATAGGTCACCAGTATTAATGACATATAACAGAATTCCTCTCCAAAAAACGACAACTTGGACATCAACATTATAGCACGTCATATCACAGCATCACACCTGGCTCTAAGTTATTGGAAATAAGAGCTAAGAATTGAAAAGCAAGTCCAGATAATGTTGACTCATTTGAGGGCTTCCCCTCAAACTGAATGGAGCAGCAGATAACAATACCGATCCTGCAGTGAGAATGATGCAAGAAGACACTGTGACTACCTTATTTCCTATTTATTTTTAATTTGAAAAAAAAGTTGGTATAACTATGTTTTTTACATCACTTAGGGTACAGGAAAAAATGCTGTCACCAATGGCATCATATTCTAGAATTCTCTAAACTCACTTAAGTGGAATTCAAAGACTTAAATGAAACTATCTCTAATGTGTTTCATTTCCATGGGTAATCACACATGTAAGTCTACAAATGATCTTCGTGAGTTTTGTTTTCTATTCACAATAGCAATACTGACCAAGTAATCATAAAGGGACTGTTAACAAACCAAATACCATAAATTGAAGGTATAGACACCACCATCAATATTAATCATAGTTTGCACTTTTCAGATTGTATCTTTAAGACAATTATCTGCTTTCTTGATCTGAAAATAAATGTTCAGACCTTCCACTCTCTGGGTTCAGTTTTCTAAAGGGTAAAACAGAACCCAGAGAGGTAGACTGATTTGCACGATCTAGAATCTAGATCTCCTAGCTCCAAGTCCAATGCCTATTCTACCCCAAGCTTCATATCCATTATTCATTTTTGTTATAAATGCACATTGGGCTTTAAAGTGACCAGTAGTATGGTATCTTACAAGGTAACCTAATAGGAAACTCACCAAGTCAAGCAGAGCTGGGTTTGAATCCCAAATCTCCCAGATACCAATTACTTGGATGTCTTTGAGCCTTAGATTTCCAGGTTTCTGTTCTATAAAAAAGAATATACACTACCTCACACCATTATTCTGAGGATTCAATGAGATACTGTTTATGGAGTGCCCAGCACAATGGTTGGCATATACTGGGTACTTAACTGTTGGCTCACTTTATTCTCCCCATTGTGGACGTTCAGACTGGGTCTGAAGATCTAGAACAAATTTCAGATTGACTCTGGCCAGCTTAAAACATGTCTTTCTAGCACAAACGATTGCTAACTGGCTCAAAGTGGTCGGCTGAGTCAACAAAGATCACTTTCAAATAATTCTGATCCTTTTTGGCTGGTTCTAACCATTTGCAATTCATTTAATACAGATATGTTTACTTCAAAAGAGTTCTGATCAACTTAAAAAGAGGTTCAAATCCATATAAAATACACCATCCATTTTAGCAAGTTCATAGTTGTTCAAAAGAATCTGGTTCATATTATTTTACGGTGAGTTAAAAGAGGTTCTCCTACAAAACTTTCTGACTTTGGCTAAAACCTGATATATCTAACCAAAATTATTGGAGTCTCATTGTAATTAGCTTTAATTGCTTCAGACTGGTTTTAGCTAGTTCCAATAGGCTCTGACTTGGACATGCAGGTTCTGACAGGCTTCTAAAAGTTTTAGTTGGTTCTGAGTATATTTTACTAAATCAAACTGTGCTGACAAATTAAATCCACTTTCAATTGAGTCACACTGGTTCTACCTCTATCGAACTGCTGGAAACTAGTTTGATAACTATAGTTATCTGTAAAATTGTTTTTACTGGTTTAGACCAATATAGACTGGTTCAAAACAGTCTGAAATGTTTCAAATTAATTTCAGATGTTCAAACAGTTCAAAACTAGAAATGTAAAATGACAATCAGAAGCAACAAAAACAACAGTTTGGTGTTTAAAACTTGTGCCAAACCAACAAACTTAAAATTTTATTTTTAAATTACCTCATTTGTAGATATTCTGTATCCAAAAATTTATCTCCACCATTATATACTGTATAATCACACTCGAACAGCATGTATGTGTTCGAGTACAGTAAAGGATTGGGAGAAAGGAGCACTGGCATAGGAGAAGATGACAGATAACAGGGAAATATGTGATGAGTGACACAGGCTTCCTGGGTTGAGAATTCACCTCCCATTTTACCTGAAAGACCTGGCAGCAAAATATTCACCCATGACCCAACAATGAAGATTCTGATTGGGGAAAACCTTTAGCAAATTTGGAGGCTGTCTAGAGTTTGTTCAAAACTGATCACGCTGACCAGGCTGGTCTGGGTTAAAAGAGACCAGAATTCCAAAGAATAAGAAAATTTCAGAGAAATAAAGGGAGTTGGGGGCAGGCAGGTTTTCAAAATAACAGATCTTTCAAGGTTTGGGCATGGTGTTGAGGGCGACAGCCTTCTTATCTGAGCTTGCAGTCCAGTTAGTGAAAGCCTGGAGTTAGTGGAATTACCCCATCTTTCAGCAGAAAATCATTCTAGTCTATACCAGACTATACTCCCACCTCCATCCTGCAAGTCCATACGTGGCTTTCTCATCACTACTTATCACTACTAGGTGAAGACAATTTAATGTTAAGTCTCAATTGATGGTATATTTTCATATAAACAATTTTTGTTCTCTTATTTATTATTCAAGTCCTGAGTAGTATTCCTAGGGCCTGTTTTCCAGAAAGAAAATACTCCACTCCTCAAATACAGAAATCTAATAACGTAAATGATTTTTGTGTTGGCATTTCATTTCAGGAAGGAGTAAACAGTGAGAACACACAGTACCAGAATTTGACATTTGGGGCACCCAAACAACGTTGTATGCTCACCATTTCCTGCTTGTACTCCAGCCTACTGAGGTTTGGGAAGCCAGTTCACAAGGGCTTCCCTCTGACACTCTCTTGCTGAAAATGGGTCTGAAACCTAGGTCAGATGCCCACATGTCAAGCACTTTACACACATTAGCACAACAATCCTCATCACTGCCCTATACATAGCATATACACTGTCTCCCTCAGAAAGATCTAGAGCTGTTCTATCGTAAGTGCTTCAGTGAGGGCATAAGTAACTGAGTCTTGGCCAGTCTACCCACATATTAGCATGGGCACAATTCCAATCTATTGTTGAGAGACAGGAAAAAAAAATGGAGGTTAAAGGCAGAAACTCTACAACCAAGCCACCTGTATTTGAGTCCAGTCATGTAACTTTGGAAAATTTATTTAGTCTCTTTTGCCTTGGGCTCCTCACCTGTAAAACAGGAAGAGATTCTATTTTATCAATTCTAACATGCTTTCTTATTTTAACTTCTTTAAAATTGGGGTGCATCTTACATTTCAGTCTTACAATCCAAGACATCTTGCAATTGCTATTATTGCAATTGCAATAGAGATACAACTGTGTGAAAGCTTTTTGTTAGCATCTTCTAGCAAGGTCAAGAATGCATCATCAATATATTTTAGACTCAATGAAGCACAATAATAAAGCTATTTCTGAGGGCTGTTGTGAGGACTGAGCTAGTGTATACACACAAAGTTTGGAACAGTGCACAGGACATAGTAAGTTCTATGTAAGTATTAGCTGTTATTAGCAGCAGCATCCAGCAATCTGGCTTCCAAGGGTCAATATGCAGGCAATGTTCTTTTCTTTCCTAGAAGTATAAGAAAGTACATTGAGCCCCTAAACCAAAAATTAATTTTTAAAAATAAGGATCTGCTAAGAGTATTTGAAGCCAAGGTTATATATTTAAACTCTGTACTGCCTTGAGAAAAGTGCTGTCTACCTCAAGGAAATATCTTCTAAAAAGTCAAGAATGACCTTAATTTGGGATATGCAAAAGACTTTCTTATTCAGCTCACTTCTCTCTCTCCTCCTTATACAAATATTTTTTCAAAGTGCTCTCCACCCTCACTATCATCAGATTAACAATAGAAAGCAAGGAACACCCATTTCCTCAACATGTACTATGTGGTGTTAATTGCCTGGTGAGAGAAAGTCTATCATCTTCCTTATTTTTAAAATAAAACATATTTTCACCTGTAATACCAGTGACTGAGGAGGCTGAGGCAGAAGGATGGCTTGACGTCAGGAGTTCAAGACTAGCCCAGGCAACTAGCAAGACCTATTTATATATATATATATATATATATATGTGTGTATATATATTTGTTTTTTTTTTTATAAATTAGGCAGGTGTGGTGGCATTAGCCTGTAGTCCTAGCTACTTGGGAGGCTGAGGCAGGAGGATTGCTTAAGCCCAGGAGTTCAAGGCTGCAGTAAGATATGCTCACATCACTACATTGTAGCCTGGGCAACAGATTAACATCCCATCTTTAAATAAATTTATTTAATAAATAAAAATAACTGCACATGTACCCCTGAACTTAAGTTGAAGGAAAAAACACTTAAAGATTTTTAAATGTTTTTAAAAATACTTTTTAAGTGTTTTTTAGGAAATAAGATAGAAGAGAGTAGATTTAGTTAAGAGGAAAGGGAAAGATCTAGTTCTATTTCTCCCTCTCTCTCTCTCTGCTACACACACACAGACATATCACAGCCCAGATTTTCCATGAAGTGTCATATTAAAGTGAATCATAGACTCCAACCTTAGGATCCCCCACTATTAGGCAGAATCATTCTAAAACTACTCTAGATAGGTCAGCCATTTTCCGAAAGCCAAATTTTCCCTCTATTACTCATATTTAGTACAGAGCAAAAGAAAGGGGAGGAATAATATTAACTGAACAGCAACATGTAATAAATATACTTGATTTTATTTTATCTGCTCATCATCCTTAAAAAGAACTTCATGTCTGGACAAGACTCATACCATATAGAGACTGATGTTTTCTCAGTGTGATGGCAAATAGGCTTGAGTTCAAATTCTGACTTTTCTACTTTGTATGATCTGATCCAAGTTTTTTATACTAAGCCTTATTCTTTAAACTGTAAAATGGAGATAATAACAGTACTAATCTCATTGGGTTGTTTTAAGGACTAAGTGAGATAACCCACAGAAAGCTTTTAGCACATTGTTTGCCCTGTGCTAAGTGTTCAATAATTGAGACTTATTAAAAATACTATTATTAATAGTTTCACCACGTTCTTCATTAGCAAGGCATGTAATTTTATAACCTATTCTTAATGTAACCAGTACCTGAACCTTCAGAAAAATCACAGAAAGAAATTTAAGTTAAGTACAATGATTTTGGGGCGCCCTATCCATCACAAAATCTACCTTGGCATTCCAATCTAAGAATGAGTTGTATCTGGGTGATTTTTGGTAATTTCAGACCTAGGAGTACCCATCAGTTGAATGCTCTAATTTCCAGAAGAGGAAACTGAAACTCAGAGAAGGTAAATGAATAGTCTGAAATAAACCAGCTAGTTAGACATGGGGCTAATCTAGATCTCATGTCTCCTAAATTCTAGTCATGTATGCATATTTTTCTTCTGTCTGTATTCCTTCCTTCAGAGTGAGAAACCTCAGTTACAGCTGCTTGAATTCAAGAATCAAAAGTTTTCTTCAGTGCCAGCAGTTATAGCAGTGATAAAATGCTTTATAATTAAGGCTTGTGCTCTCAGAGAGGTTGGGTTGAGGGATCTGTACTTCTGTGCTCAGAGTCCCTCTATCAAGAAGCCCTTCATCCTGATGGGCTCTGCCAAGGACAGAAGTCATAAATTGGGAGCTTGTCTGCTTCTTGCTGGTCATTGCAAATCCAAGAAAAAAAAATAACTCTTCTTAATACTTGTACCATATCCCATAAATCATCTTTCTTTCCTATGGTTTCAAAATGAAAAGCAAGCAGAGCAATCATGAAATTTTTCATTTACCTGTAGAATTGCTCGGCCCCGTTTTCTCTCAAATAAGTATTTTCCTCTCGAATAAGATTATTTTAGGCCAGGTGCAGTGGCTCACACCTGTAATCCCAGCACTTTGGGAGGCCGAGGAGGGTGGATCACCTGAAGTAAGGAGTTCAAGACCAGCCTGGCCAACATGGTGAAACGCTGTCTCTACTAAAAATACAAAAAATTGGCTGGGCATGGTGGCAGGCACCTGTAATCCCAGCTTCTTGGGAGGCTGAGGCAAGAGAATAACATCGAGATCACACCACTGCACTACAGCCTGGGCGACACAGCGAGACTCTATCTCAAAAAAAAAAAAACATTATTTTCTCTGACATCATGTCTCTGTAAGGACACTTCTGGCCCTCTCTCTTTTTCCTTCATTCAATAAATATTGATTGAATACTTATTATATGCTAGGTGCCAGGGTACAATGGGGATCCAACTCAGTTATATTCAATGTGGAAAATCTCTTACTCTTGCCTACCTTAGACCTTATAGTTTTAGCCATGTCCCAGTCTAACTTCTCCCAACAACTATACCTGCCTTTGGGTTTTCAAATAAGTCCATCTTTCTGAACATTTTAAGCTTCTCTCATAAACATAACACAATATGACATCAAAATTCATATCCTAAGTCACATGTTTGACAAAGATGCAAAAGGAATAAACATGGAAAAGGAATAAAAGTGTGAAGCTTGGGCGGGCACAGTGGCTCACACCTGTAATCCCAGCACTTTGGGAGGCTGAGGCAGATGGATCACTTGAGGTCACGAGTTCGAGACCAGCCTGGCTGATATGGTGAAACCCCATCTCTGCTAAAAATACAAAAATACAAAAATACAAATGGCTAGGCGTGGTGATGGGTGCCTGTAATCCCAGCTACTCAGCGGGGTTGAGGCAGGAGAATCACTTGAACCTGGGAGGTGGAGGTTGCAGTGAGCAGAGATAGCACCACTGCATTCCGGCCTGGGAGACAGAGGGAGACTCCATCTCAAAAAAACAAACAAACAAACAAAACAAAACAAAAAAACACATAAAGCTCAGTAGAGAAGAAAGAGACAGCCTCAACCTCCTGGGCTCATGTGATCCTCCAGTCTCAGCCTCCCAAGCAGCTGGGATCACAGCAGTGCACAACACCATACACCATGCCCAGCTTTTTGTTGTTGTTGTTGTTGGGGGGAGATGACGTCTCCCTATGTTGCCCAGGCTGGTCTCAAACTCCCGAGCTCAAGAGGAGAAATTTTTATAAAGAGAAACATAAGGTATATTATAAAGAATTTTTTATCTGAAAATATTTTGAATTTTTTAGAATGGTTCAATATTTGAGTGTTCCTATGTAGCTTATGGACTTCACTTATTGCAGTGCAAAATTATTTTTGCAGAGAAACAGGAGCAGATGAATATAACTATTACTTTTCAAATAGCACAGAACATCAGCATTTATGTGAATTATAACACCACATGTTCTTTCATATAATTTAACATCCCCTTGTTCAGTGATTGATTTGGAGAAAATGTTCATATACAAATGACTGGCATAGAAATATAAACCTTATCAGTACTTTTATGTTTAACGTTAAAAAGCAGTAGGCTTTTCTTGCTTTTTTTGTTTTATTTTGTTTTTGTTTTAATAATGCCATTGTGGACCCATACCCGGCATTCTGGAAGGAAACACATAACAGAGACACCAAAAGCAAGGAAGAGAAGTCACATGGCATGAGGCAGGCTAGAAGAGGCATTTTATAATGTACCAAGATATATGAGTAGGGACACTTGTATTTACCAAATGAGCCCTGGCCACAACTCTCACAGACCATTACAATTCCTACACCCTGAGGTGGAACACAGCTACTTCCACTTCAAAAGCAAGATGCATACTGCCCAATAGCAGGAACCCCATTTCCATAAGTGGAGACAGCCTATGTCTTCCGTGCAGTTTACTCATCTCAACTTCTGGTCTAGATGTGCGTAGATATGGTTGCGCCCTCCCTAATATGTCAAGAGTGGAAAAAATGATGTTATAAACAAAGAGCTCATCTTGTTTGTGCAAAATCTCAGGCGGAGAGAAGTGGAAATCTAACACCTTTGAAAAGTAGAAGGAAACAGGAATATGATTCTTTCTTGTTTCTTATTAAAAGATGAGTTTGATTTTATCTAAATTCAGAATATTAGATAACTGCATTTTATATTCACCTATAACCTAAGATTCATAAGTGCATTCCTATCAGTACAGTATTTTATAATAATAACATAAGTCCATCCTTAACAGTGATGTTGAGGCAGCAGAGAAGTTCATGGCTAGAAACTGTTGAGATCTTAAGTTCTATAGCATTTGGCTTAATATTTATAAATGCACTTGCTACATAGGAATATTCCATTTCCCTCACCAACTGCTAGAAAACTGCTAGACCAACTTCTAGCAGATGGTGATATTCCACTATAGCAAGTTCTTCAGACAAAAAATAAAATTATCTGTAAATACTGTTGAATTAAATATACATTTCTGGGCCGGGCATGGTGGCTCATGCCAGTAACTCCAGCACTTTGGGAGGCCAAGGCAGGCAGATCACTTGAGGTCAGGAGTTCAAAACCAACATGGCAAAACCCTTACTTTACTAACAATACAAAACAATTAGCCTGTAGTCCCAGCTACTCAGGAGGGTGAGGCAGGAGAATTACTTGAATCCGGTAGGTTCACGGGCGATAATGCCACTGCACTCCAGCCTGGGCGACAGAGTGAGACTTCGTCTAAGATATATATATGATATAGATATATATATAATACATATAAATATATATACACATTTATAAATGCTTCCAAAACACCAAAACATACATCATTTTTAACAGCATCTTCCAGATGTTCATAATTTTTCTTAAAGAGAAAGACCAGGATGAAGAAAAAAATAAGCAGTCATAGCCCAGAAATCCATCAACTATTTCTGAAATGTTACCATCACCTCAGTGGGTGACCAACATAACCCAGTAGGCAAATAACACAAACAACTGTATGTTAGGAAACAAGAGGCGTTGAAATGATTCCTGAAAGCAGAAAACGTTCTGGAAGACCAATGTCAATAACTCAAATGAGATATCGGCTTTTTTTTTTAATTTATTGAAACCATTGACTTCATTTACCCAAAAGACATTATTTGTTGCCCAAGGCTCTTCCAGGATCAGAATATGAATGTTTATAGAGATTTATGGAAAGTAAATTCACCAAAACACTGGGTCTTATAGTACTTATAGTTTGTGACAAGTACCCCTTGCTCCATAGATATAGGGTAATAGAAAAAAAAAAAGCACACATAGAATATATGTCATTGGTAAAACATAGGCAGTACAGTGGAAACAGGTGTGGCTGTTTGATTTGCTTAGTAATATCTCAAATAATGTGACGGCAGTCTCAGAATGGACACAGCCACTCGACACTCCAAAAGTCTGCTCAACCCATAGCTAAACATGCCTCTTACCACCACCAAGAAGCAAGCAGTCTCCAAGAATTTGGAATGAGTGCAAAATCTACAAAGTATGCTCCCACTGAGTGGTTGCTTTTTGTGAGCACATAGAAGACAGTGAAACACAGACTTCGGAGTCAAGTTCTCCTAAATTCAAATAATAGTATACCACCTCCTACCTGTACAAACTGAACAGCAAAATGCCTGATGAAGATCAATGAATCATAGCTATTCTTATGATTATGACAGATTAAGGCTTAAACCAGGCTTGAGCACTGATCCTGGGGCTTTTTCCAGTCTACCTTCAGGATGACACTGAGACTTCATAAAGCTATCAAAGAATGGAGTGGAAATATTTCCTGAAAATGAAAAAGGAGGAACAACTTAAGCTACCTGGAAGGTAGAACATCTGCAAGTCCAACTGGTAAGTACAGGGAATTCTGGTATTAACAAGCTCTGAAGAGGTAAAATGAAAAGCTTTGGTTATCTCAGAGTGCCACCAAACTTGTGGGCCCAAGGCTCAAAGGCAGAAAAAAATAGAAATGATAGCACTGCTACCCCAGCCAGGACTGAGAGAATTACAAATCAGATAGCACTCAAAAGAAAAAAAAAAAATCAGATAGCACTCAAAGGACTTCACATTGCAAAGAGAATTTCCAAGTTGCAAAACACAGACCTAAAAACAGTGTCAAGGAATCTGTCAAGACTCATCTTCCTAGAACATGAAACATGCATGGAAAGCTTTTGACCAACACAGACTGACTCTCCTATTGCATCTCAACTTCCTCAAGTTTTCTGTTTGCTGCAACACAGGAAAGATGTTAATCTGTTAGGGAAATGCACCAACTCAAAAAGCAAACCCTTTGCTTTCTGAAGGAGCAATGATACTTCTTTCCTTCCAAGAAACATGATGAATTAGAAGCAGCCAGACGTGTTAAACATGACTGTCCAAATAATAAAAACAATTAGACAAACATCCATGAGTTGGCAGTAACTGGGGAAGAGACGGGCGCATTTATCATTGACTTTGTACAAAATGAGAATATGAGTACCATCAATTTGACACATAGATACTTACAAAGACTACTAAGAGGCACCAGGTATGGCTTCATGCCTCCCTTGTCCTGCCTACCCAACACCCTCTTCCTCACTAACCACTTTTTTTTTTTTTTTTTTGAGACTCTCACTCTGTGGCCCAGGCGTGAGTGCAGTGGCGCAATCTCTGCTCACTGCAAGCTCTGCCTCAGGGGTTCACGCCATTCTCCTGCCTCAGCCTCCCAAGCAGCTGGGACTCCAGGCGCCCATCACCTCACCCAGACTACAGGCACTAATCACATTTAAGCAGATACATTCTCTGCCCACAGGAATATGTTCTTCAGGTACATGGTGGCATGCTAAAGCACACAGGACTTCCATCTCTTCACAGCTGATTTTCATTTCCATAGTCAAACATCCACCCTACCACACCCCATGCTGTGTTCCAACAGCCTCACTTCCAACCATCATCTGGGTGCCATAACCTCTCTACAGTCTTCTTCCTCTCCTGGCTTTCCTGTCCCTCATCTCCAGGTACTATTGCCAAACTCCGGTTTGCATGTGCAAAAAGTGACATGAAACTAACAATATTAGTGCTTTTCTTGTAACACACTGAGTTGCTATATCAACTTCAAGGTGTTCAACCCTCCTCAATAAATTCATAATGCTGCTGTGTCTTCAGGTACTCCCACTTTTCCAATCAGGAAGAGTTTTTCCCCTGCAAAGTATGGGAAAAGAGCCATTCTGGAAAACCAAGTGTTTCTAATACTATGCCAGTTTTGGTTTCACCATAATGTTAATGAAAAGGTAGCATTCTGATACAAATAGATCACGTGTTTAAAATATTAGTATCTATAAATATGTTTATTATATGCCAACTTAGTTCTTTTAAAAACATTAAACTAGGCTCAGAAAAATCAAGGCTTTTCCTGATGTTTTAATACCACTAAATCAATGATGCCAGGATTCTTAGCTTCTTCCATTTGTTGTCAATAAGCTGTAGACAGCCAGCTATATATAGGTCTTTTTGGTATTTGTCAAGTCTACTGTCTCCATTAATATATATTTACAACACATGTTTAAATGTTTCCCTAAATATCATATTCTTTAACTGAACCAAAAAAAAAGGAAACTCACCTAATGGACAAGGTCAAATCAGATATATTTCTTATTGCTTCTCAAAGTCTTTCCTTATTTCACCTATTATTCAGTATGCAGAGTCTCAGAACTGACTGTTTGCATTTCTATCAGCAGCTGTTTATAGAATGGGGTGTGACTTGCGTTTGCTTATGCAAAATGACTGAGGAACAACAATGCACAGCCATCCAGCCAGTTTCTAACTCAGCCTGTCAGATTACAGTTGGCTTTTTTGCTATTATTGTTGTCCATCTCTAATTTTATTGCATTGTGATCACTAAATGTGGTCTGCTTAACAACAAATTTGGTGGAATTTAAGAGGAATTAAGTGTATTTATTTAGAGGCAGGGTCTCACTCTGTCACCCAGGCTGGAGTGCACTGGCGCAATTATGTCTCACCGCAGCCTTGACCTCCCCAGCTTAAGCAATCCTCTCACCTCAGCCTCCTAAGTAGCTGGGATCACAGGTATGCACCACCAAAAATGGATAATTCTTTTTAATTCTTTTTGGAAGACAAGGTGTCACTATGTTGCTGCCCAGGCTGGTCCTGAACTCCTGGGCTCAAGTGATCCTCCTATCTCAGCCTCCCAAAGTGGTGAAATTACAGGCATGAGCCACCATGCCCGGGCTGAATTAAGTTTTATAAATGTTCCACGATTATGTGAAAACAATCTGTACACCCTGTTAGTTGGATGCAAAATTACATACATTCTAGTCAAGCTAGTTAGTTGTGGTTTTTGATCTGATATATCCTTATTTATCTTTTTGCTACTTCATCTGTTTCTAAGAAAGGTGTGTTGAAACTCCTAGATCATATTCATTTTTAGAAAATAAGCCCAAGGTCATGTCTTAAAGAGGATGAATATAAAGCATAATAAAAGAACAAGCATTGCAGTCCTTATTCAGAGAAGCATTAAATTTGTGCTTTTCAGTCTGTTTTCTATGAAACGCTGGGATTCATGAAAATACTTTAAGAGTTCTGTAAACTTATTAAGATTTTTTTTTCTATGTTTGTTTTTTGTTTTTTTGAGACAGAATCTCACTCTGTCACCCAGGCCGGAGTGCAGTGGCCTGATCTCGGGCTCACTGAAACCACCACCTCCCGGGTTTAAGCAATTCTCATGCCTCAGCCTCCCTAGTGGCTGCGACTAAAGGCCTGCGCAACCACGCCCAGCTAATTTTTGTATTTTTTAGTAGAGATGGCGTTTCACTATGTTGGCCAGGCTGGTCTCAAACTCCTGATCTCAAGTGATCTGCCTACCTCAGCCTTCCAAGGTGCTGGGATTACAGACTTGAGCCACTGCGCCTGGACTCCTTCTATTATGTTTTTTAAAAACTGGAATAAAAAAAAGTATATAGTCAAATAAGTTACATACCAAATTTAGAGACCTCCAAGTTATTTACTTATGCTACTTTGTTAAGCTATTTATGGCTACCTTTAACGTATACATGTTATTTGGAATTCCTATAATTATTAGTTGAGAAGACTGTACTTTGCACTAGACTTCTCTCCTTTGCTTAATCAGAATGGATTAATTTGTCTATTGTGAAATTATTTAAGGAAGTACATGTGAACTACATTCAGTAAACGGCAGTCAAAGCTCAGGCACATGTTTCAGCAGATGTTTGCTTTCATCCTGTTACAACAGTCAATTGAGCAATAAAGAATGAACACAACATGTTGCATCACAACATTTTATTACAGATCACTATAGAGATTATTCTTTGGGAAGTTTGTTGTCTGACTTCTAGAAGCATGAAAGGGCTATTCTGGGTTTGGGCTACTTCTTTTTCATAGCAGATGAGTGTCTTCACAGTCAGTTCCTGCATAGGAAACCTACATAATGTCATTGCAACAAACCTTTCATTGCCTCAGAAAACTGCTCTGGCCCAGCTGGTTGCAAACTTTCTTTAGCAATAAAACTGTTTCTTCAAATAAAATCTTACATGGCACCCCAACATATAAAACAGATGGCAGCAGAGTGATATTCTAATGAAAGGAGTGAAGGTCAAGACACCAACGCCCATAGACCCAACAAGGACATAAGAAGAATCTCACTGTACACATTTAGAAAATCATTGCAGAAAGGTCTACCTACAATGCAGCTCTGAATCGTCTCATTTGCCTTTGGCTTTGTCCCTAAACACTTCCTCTCTGCCTAACCACTTCAGTTGACAGCTCATTTGTAAGATCTGCCACACTCTTTTATTCAGCGTCTCCTAAAGATGCCACCTCTCAGATATCACCTTAACACACTTCTTATCTGGGAGGGATTTGAAATGCTTTGGGTGTCCCTGGTGAGAACTGCAAGAGGAGCTATTTAAAGCTTAAGAGAATGAAAGAAGACCATAGGAAGAGTCTTGAGAACAACCATCATTGCGTCATTCCTGGGGAAAGGGTCCTGGAAATGAGTCCTGGAAAAATCGAGGCCAAACTGCCCAAAAGGCAACCAAAGAAGCAGCATCGACCATGGGATAGGAAACTGGTGTCCTTAAAGGGGCAAGAGAGAAAACTGCAGGGAGGATGTCTGTAACCAGCTACATTGGTGATCCTTTCTTGTATCTAAATGGACACTTTGAGGCCATCAGAAAATATGACCAGATTAGTCCTGATGGGCTCAAAAATCTATATATGGATGAACCCTCAAAAGTCAAGATGTGGTTTGAAGAACACAATGAAATGTTGGTATAGCAACTTTAAGATAACTGAGAATATATTATTTTGTGCTGTATCAGAAGCCACTTTATACTAAATTATAGCACAGAAGGGAATAAAGAGGTACAAAAATTTTTTAAAATACTGATCAAAGTAAAAGTTCAGATTTTCTCTACTAACTTCATTTTCTTTCTATGAATTCAGAAGAAATTTCTAGTATTAGGCTCAGCTAATGTCTGTGTCATGAGGAGTGTTTTACATGAAAGTACCCTTGCTTGAAACCATTACAAAGTTCCAGGGAAGGAGAAAGCGGCATGAGGTAGAGGGGACAGAGAAACCCCTAGCACTCCCTACCTGGCTTCATGTCAAGGCAGCACAAAATCAACTCCAACCCACAGGGATTAAGTACAAAGGGAGTTTTCAGACAGGTGTTCAAAGTCATACCAAGGTCAAACACCAAGAGACTAAGGAGCAGGTCAACAAAGGGGAAGAGTAGTTTATGGATCTGGGAGTCTTGGAGGTCAGCATTCCAAGAATTCAAGAGGACATCTGGGCAGACAACACAGTTCATTAGAGCCCACAGCAACAGTAGCTAGAAAAGACCGGGGGAGGGTGGTGAGGGATATAAAAACTACATATTGGGTACAATGTACACTATTCAGGTGATGGGTGCACTAAAATCTCGGAATTTACCACTATATTATTCATCCAAGTGGCTGGATACAGTGGCTCACACTTGTAATCCCAGCACTTTGGCAGGCCAAGGCAGGTGGATCACTTGAGGCCAGGAGTTCAACAGCCTGGCCAACATGGGGAAACCCCATCTCTACTAAAAAATACAAAAATTAGCTAGGCGTGGGGACACGTGCCTGTAATCCTAGCTACTCTGAAGGCTGAGGCACGAGAATGGCTTGAACCTGGGAGGCGGAAGCTGCAGTGAGCCAAGATCGCACTACTGTACTCCAGCCTGGGCGACAGAGTGAGATTCCATCTCAAAAAAACGTACAGAATAAAATAATAATTCATCCATGCAGCCAAAAACCCCAAAAGCTATTGATTGATAGACAGACAGACAGACAGATAGATACAGATATACGTATCTATCTATCTATATACAAAAAAAAAGACCCATAGTAGTTGTTGCTTTATCAAAAGCCAGAGAAATGTTCTAACCTTCTAAGTTACAGCAATTTATTCAATCAACTTGCTTTCCTCTACTCTGCCAACCAGTTTGAAAGGCTCCCTGGCCGGGCGCGGTGGCTCACACCTGTAATCCCAGCACTTTGGGAGGCCAAGGCGGGTGGATCACGAGGTCAAGAGATCGAGACCAGCTGGCCAACATGGTGAAACCCCAGCCCTACTAAAATTACAAAAATTAGTTGGGCATGGTGGCATGTGCCTGTAATCCCAGCTACTCAGGAGGCTGAGGCAGTAGAATCACTTGAACCCAGGAGGCGGAGGTTGCAGTGAGCCAAGATCGTGCCACTGCACTCCAGCCTGGGTGACAGAGCAAGACTCTGTCTCTGAAAAAAAAAAAAAGAAAGAAAGGCTCCCTAATGGCCAGGCGTGGTGGCTCATGCCTATAATCCCAGCACTTTGGAAAGCCAAGGCTGACAGATCACCTGAGGTCAGGTATTCGAGACCAGCCTGGCCAACATGGTGAAACCCATCTCTACTAAAAATACAAAAATTAGCCGGGCACGGTGGCGGGTGCCTATAATTCCAGCTACCCCAGAGGCTAAGGCAGGAGAATCGCTTGAACCAGGGAGGCAGAGGTTGCAGTGAGCCAAGATCGTGCCACCGCACTCCAGCCTGGGTGACAGAGCGAGACTCCGTCTCAAAGGAAAAAAAAAAAGAAAGGCTCCCTAAGTATTCCAACTAGGTTCCTTCACTAAGTTTCGTTTTCCTACCTAGGCAGATGGAAAGCCAAGCATCCAGGTTAGAACTTAGTCCCCCAAGGCCATACCTTGTCTCTGTCCTCAGCTAAGCCCAGGATAAGGCCATCTATGGAAACAAAGCTCCTATTTTCTTAACATGCCTCTGAGAAAGATATTTGAAGCCTAGAGGTTAAGAACATAAGGGCTAAAATAAGCAGGCAAGAGGGTGACTCAGAAAGAACAAGAGCCTTGTTTAAAAAAAAAAAAGAGTCGGGGAATAAACCTCAATACAGATTTACTAACACAGAAATAAAGACTTTGTGTTAGCAAAGAGACTATGAATCAGCAAGAGAACAACGCAAGAGGATAAAGGAAATTGTAGACAAGAGCAGCATAAACCATGAAGATGTAAGTATCCACGTGTTTATAACATGGATAATTGATAAGTAATAAGTAAGTCTTCAGAAACTATGTTTGAGTGTTCAGGGGAAATCACAAAAACAAGTAACAGTACACTTAATTTTTTAAATGAGGTTGAAATGAGATTCTGCATGAGAGATAACTGTAAAGTAGTAAAAAAGGTTTCAGAAGTCACACATGAAAATCAATCTCATAATTCTACAATCACATTTTAGTATGTCCACATTTTAAAGTATAAAGTTAGACTTTATATACCAACAAATTTGGCTGCAAGGTTTGTAAGTTGAGTTTTGACCTCGAGAAATACCTTCCTATTTTTTAAAGAAAGAAATATTATAATGACATTCCTTTTAAGTTATTACTTTCCTATACATACTTGCTTATCACATAAAAAATATAATTGCTATATAGCCATCAAGCATTAAAAATAAACCAACACATCTAACAATAGGCCTCAATGGTACTAATCTATTTTCCTAGATATATCACTTTAAAACCACATATGAATGTCTAAGAAATAAAAGTTTTTTATTTTTCTTTTAGAATCTACAGCATACAACATGATAAAATTATTTTGTATAAAAATTATAATTTTTAATTAATTTGAAATAATTTCCATTAATTTCTGATGCTTGTAAGCATTTTAGATATACATTCCTTTAGCTCTTATAATATACTTATAAACTGTGAAAAATTCTGAGACAGGAAGGAACAGATATTAAAATTCTATTACTTCTAATCTAAAAGCCCTCCATCTTATGTTCTCTGTAGGAGACAGAAACTCACAAAAGAAAATGTTTGGCTTCTACTATTAAGAAATTGGACATTTTTCACATATATTACAGTGGAAGGGGTTTTACATTTCTTTCAGGCACAAAATATTTATGAACTCGGGAGCAGCCCAAACATAAAGATAAAATGCAGCATGACTTTCCAAACCAAAATCTGCGGCTTATGTCTATGGATTTTTGTGACCCTTTTGGGAAAAGGCAGAGTTGGAAACACAATTTAGTTGTCCAAGTATTAGAACTTTTAAAGCATCTCTTTGATTTATGAAGAAAATGCACAAAAATACGTTAAAGGAGGCAGTACCAGAAAATCCAGCAAGTTGCTCATCACTACACACCTCTATGCACAGATGACATGAGCAATTATTTGTCTTTCCTTCACTTCTGACTGCCAGGGCTCAGGGCTGAGGTCCTATTGACTGCACATAGTATAAGAAAGGGAAGAGAAAGTTGTTTCAACGGCAACATCCTCACCTACTTATGTCTCTTTTCTCCTGGTTCCAGTAATTAACAGAATGATCACAAACTGAAACCAAACTGCAACTCTATCCCTTCCACTCTCACCCTGGAAGCCTGTTCTCATAAATCCATCCTCCTCGGGGTATTCCTTTAATCAATGTTTATTAATATGAATGAATGCTTTGGCTAACTTGTACAGGTCATCTGCCACTTTTAAGTACTCCATTCCCACCTCATGGGTGTGTTTCATCTCTTTGGTACAGTTGCATATTTCCTGAAGAGTCTCATTTTGTGTATTGCTTCTCCACTACCCCTCACCACTGGACAGACAACTGGCCAGCTGTCACTCAAATGCTAATTGTGTCTATCATCTGCTTTCTCTAATAGCCTTTTCCTTCCGCTGGTTCCCTCCATTCCCTGCCAATTTTATTTAGAAGTGACTCAAAAAGTGTTTGGGGACTCCACTGATAGCTGTGCTTTTTTGATAATTAAACCATATTTACATCCAATTCAACAGTATTTGGTAAGCAATTACTACCTTTCCAGTACGGTGCTAGCAACTACGAATGGCATGAAAGAAACACAGGATCCAACTGCTCCCTTCAAGAAGTTGGTAATTAGGGTGAGGTGGAATGATGTACTCATTTACGAAAAAGGACGGATAAGACAATATTATCAGGGAGAAAAACGTCTGGTACACCATGTGCACCAGCCAGCACAAGAAATCAAAAGTGAAAGGGGCTTCAAGTCAAAAGACCTGAACTCTGCTACTTCCTTCCTAGCTATGTGTCCTGTGGTGAGCCAGACAGCTTCCCCACACTGTTTCCTCAATATGGGAATATTTATCTAGCAAGATTATTGGAAGGATTAAAGGGTACATTATGTGAAATGCATTTTATAAACTGTAAACTACTGGGTACATGTAAGATCGTTGTTTTACAAGTCAAGTAGAGGCTGGGAGGTCAGAAAAGGGGAGCAATCTGTCGGGCATGGAGGCTCATACCTGTAATCCCACCTATTCAAGAGACTGAGGTAGGAGGATCACTTGAGCCCAAGAGATCAAAACCAACCTGGGCAACATAATGAGATGCTGTTGTACAAAAATTTTTTTAATTAGCAAGGTGAGGTGGCCTGTGCCAGTAGTCCCGGCTACTCAGAAGGCTGAGGTGGGAGGATCACTTGAGCCCAAGAGTTCAAGGCTGCAGTGAGCCATGACTATGTCACCACACTCCAGCCTGGGTGACAGAGTGAGACCCTGTCTCAAAAAAAGAAAGAAAGAGGGAGCAATCTGACCGTGACTCAAAGCAAGAGCCAGGACCTGAGCTGAGCACCTTCTTCAAAGCCAGGCAAGATTTAGCTAGATAGTGAAGAATAGGATACACAGCATGTTTCATGCAAGGGCATGTTTTGACTTCAATTTAACAAGTATTGAGGAGGCTTGCTAATCATTTCAAAGGATACAAATGTGCCTCAGATATAATCCTCTAAGTACAAAACTGGCTGTAAACTCAAAGGAATGCTTATGAGGTAATGTGACAAATTGAGGAGAGCAGGACGACTAATCCATTGGTATATGGGGTTCCTCTGCCACCATCTGTTTAGACCCAGGATAGGTCACCATCCCTCTGCAGGCCTTGTTTTATCAAATATGAAATAAGAGGTTTGACCACAATGGTCTCTTTCCAACACAGACATTCTATGCTGTATGATTCCAGGTTCAAAGTTCAAAGCTTAGTCATGAGAAATTTAAGTGGGGTCATGGTGACAGTTGTCCCTTCTATCACCTCTCACTCCTTGAAGATGAGAGCCTAGATGAGGGCAGCCGCATGGGAATGGGAAGAAGGGGATCCAAGATACACTAATTTTAAAATAATAGAACAGAGTTCCACATCAGGTGGAAAAGGACACAGCAAAGAGAACACCAAAGAATAAAGCCTAGGGGGCCAGGAGGCCAAAATAATGTTGCCAACAGAAGCAGGACATTTGAAGTGGGGAAGGGAAAGAGTTGGAATGGGCATAAGGTGTTTGTGGGTGGTATCAGATTTTTGGAAGGGAAGGATGATGAGATTGGATCGGGGCAGGTTCAGCATGAGAGATCATCAAAGCCACATGACCAAGAAATGCTTGAAAATCATCCCCAGTCCCTGTGGCCCACATTTACCTCTGCCCTTGAGACAGAGGCAGAGTAGCCAACAGTGAAAGCTCCAAAAAGAGGGCCATGACTGTACAAGCCACAGAAGAGGGAACATGCTGTTAGTTCAGGATGAACAAGACCAAGGATAACAGCAGGGTGCTCTCAGCCAAACTCAATTACACAGGACATGATGGGCAGTCCCTGCTGCTCTGATTAAACTCAGTTTCCAGATACTATCTCCCTGTTGTAAAGTTCTTTATCTGGCAGTGAGTAAAAAGGAAATGTCAGGGAAGACAGCTAGATGTCCTGCACAGCATTCACTCCTCTTAGGAGCCTGCAATAGGCACCTCCTCAGATTCCAAACTTAGGCCTTGCCCATCATCATCCACCACCCATCTGAATGTATCTCAATGAAAACACACACTGGCTGGGCATGGTGGCTCACGCCTGTAATCCCAGCACTTTGGCAGGCCAAAGCTGGCGGATCACCTGAGGTCAAGAGATCGAGACCAGCCTGGCCAACGTGGTAAAACCCTGTCTCTACTAAAAATACAAAAATTAGCCAGGCGTGCAGGTGGGCACCTATAATCCCGGCTACTCAGGAGGCTAAGGCATGAGAATTGCTTGAACCTGGGAGGCAAAGGTTACAGTGAGCTGAGATCATGCCACTGCACTCCAGGCTGAGGCACGAGAATTGCTTGAACCTGGGAGGCGCAGGTTGCAGTGAGCTGAGATCGCACCACTGCACTCCAGCCTGGGCGATACAGCGAGACTCAGTCTCAAAAAAAAAAAAAAAAAAAAGGAAACACACAGTGAGGAGGAGTTGTAGTATCACTTTCCTCCAGCTCCTTCTCTGCACCTCTCACTCTCCTTGAAACCACTGACACTAAGAAATAAGAGGTTAGAACCCTTCTCTTATTACCCTTATCTAATTACTTAATGTCTCTGTGTTTTCCTAGAAGAAGAATTCACTACCTATACCAGGTCTATCCTGTTTTTGGTCTCACTTAACACTGCTATATGTATGTGCCTGTCTCCTAATGCACACCAGCAAGAGTTTCTCTAGAAAATTGCTTTCCAACCTTGTTCATGATATTTGTATGACCTACCAGGGCATATGCTCTTGATCAAAGGCAATAGGTTTTAGGGCCCCAGAAAGGCCAGGCCCTGTCCAGCCACCCTGAGGGACAAAGGGTTCAACATCTCAACACATCTGAACCAATTCAGTGCACACCAGGGGGAGTCACCTCCTCTAGGGTAGGCGTCAAAGCGTGAAATTCCTGGGCTATACCTATGCACACATGTTCAGTAATACAAGATAATGTCAAATTGCTGTCCAATATAGTTGTTTTACACTCCCAACTTCATATCTTCACCAACATTTGGTGCTTGTTGTCAGACTTCTCAAAATGGTAACACATTGTGATCTAAATTCACATTTCTCTGAGTGCTAATGAGTGTGAGCATCTTTTATTAGTTTCTTGGCCATCTAGTTTCCTCTTATTAAAATGCACATTTGTATCTTTCTCCTATTTTTCTATTGGGTTCTTTTTCTTTAAGACAGAGTCTCGCTCCGTTGCCCAGGCTGGTGTGCAATGGCACAATCTCATCTCACTGCAACCTCTGCCTCCTGCATTCAAGTGATTCTCATCCCTCAGCCTCCCAAGTAGCTGGGGCTACAAGCACGCACCACCATACCTGGCTAATTTTTGTAGAGATGGGGTTTTCCCATGTTAGCCAGGCTGGTCTCGAACTCCTAGCGGCAAGTGATCCGCCCACCTTGGCCGTCCAAAGTGCTGAGATTATAGACATAAGCCACCATGCCCAGCCAGGTTCTTTTTCTATGGATGTGCAGTTCTTCATATATTCTGGATACTATTTATAAGTTATGTATGTTGCAAATATATTCTTACTGTTTTTGGTTTGTCTTTTCACTTTTTTAGTGGCTCTTAATCTTAAAATAGTCAAATTTATTCTTTTTTATAGTTATTTATTTTATATCATATCAAGAAAGTCTCTTTTTTTTTTAATGGAGACACGGTCTCACTCCAGTGCAATGGCACAATCATAGCTCACTACAGCCTCAACTTCTCAGGCTCAAGTGATCCTCCCACCTCAGCCTCCCAATAACTGGGACTACAAGCATGAGTCGCCACGCCCAGCTAATTTTCTTTTCTTTTTTGTAGAGATGGGGTCTCACTATGTTGCCCAAGCTAGTCTTGAACTCCTAGTCTCAAGTGATCCTCCCACCTCAGCCTCCCAAAGTGCTAGGATTACAGGTGTGAGCCACCATGCCCAGCCAAGAAATTCTTATCTAAAGCAATAAAGATATTCTTTTATATTATGTTTATAAAGATACTGCCTTTTTATTTAAGTCTTTAATACACTGAGAATTCAAGGTATATGTAGGGATCCAATTTCATTATTTTTCCCTTAAGTATATACAATCGTCATAGCACCATTTATTGCATAAAATTATCTTTTGCCCAGTGATATGCAATAAATGAATGGATCTGTTTCAGGGCTTTACATTTGGTTTCGCTGGTCATTTTGACCATCCCTGGGCCAGTGCCACAATGCCTTAATCACTATGACCCTAAAATATAACTTCATACCTGTTACGACTGGTACCCACCTTACCAAGGACATGAACCCTTCACATTTCCATCTGAGTTCCTCAAAAACCATATGGGGATTCTTATTGGAATTGCATTGCATTGCATTGGGATCACATAAATCTATAGATCAAATTAAGAAGATTGACATGTTCATGATGTTTAATTTACCTACCTAAGTACATGCATATTTCTCCATCTATTTACGTATTTTTAGTGCCTTTAAAAATATTCTCAAATCTCACAAAAGAAGATATACAAATGGCAAATATGCATATGAGAAGATGCTCAATATCATATGTTATTAGAGAATTGCAAATTAAAACAAGAATGAGATATCACTATACACCTATCAGAATGACCAAAATCCAAAACACTGACAACATCAAATGCTGGTGAGGATGTGGAAACCCAGAACTCTCCTTCATTGCTGGTAGGAATGCAAAATGGTACAAGCCCTTTGTTATAGACAGTTTGGCAGTTGTTTACAAAGCTAAACTTACTCTTACCGTACAATCCAATCACATTCTTTGGTATTTACCCAAATGAAGGGAGAACTCATGTCCACACAAAAACCTGCACACTGATATTTATTATAGCAGCTTTATTCATAATTGCCAGAACTCAGAAGCAACAAGATGTTCGTCAGTAGATGAATGGATAAATAAACTGTGGTACATTCAGACAATGGAAAATTATTCAGCACTAAAAAGAAATGAGCTATCAAGCCATGAAAAAACATGGAAGAACCTTAAATGCATATTACTAACTGAAAGAAGCCAATCTGTATGATTCCAACTATGTGGCATTCTAGGAAAGGCTAAACTGTGGAGATAGTACAAAGATCAGTGGTTATTAGGGGTTGGAGTGGGGGAAGTGAAAGAGATGAATAGGCAGAGAACAGACGATTTTTAGGGCAGTGAAACTATTTTGTGTGACACTATAACATAGATAGATGTCATTATACATTTGTATACATACCCATAGAATGTACAACACCAAGAGTGAACTCCAATCTAAACTATGGACTTTGGATGATAATGTGTCAATAGAGGTTCATCATGTGTAACAAACGTACCACTCTGGTATGGGATGTTGATAGTGGGGGAGGCTATGCATGTTGGGGGGTTTGGGAGGGAAGGGAATATATGGAAACTGTACTTTCTACTCAGTATTACTGTGAACCTAAAACTGCTCTAAAAACTAAAACTCGGCCAGGCATGGTGGCTCATGGTGGCCTGTAATCCCAGCACTTTGGGAGGCCGAGGCGGGTGGATCACGAGGTCAGGAGTTCAAAACCAGCCTGGCCAAGATGGTGAAACCCCCATCTCTACTAAAATATAAAAATTAGCCAGGCGCGGTGGCAGGCACCTGTAATCCCAGCTACTCAGGAGGCTGAGGTGGGAGAATTGCTGGAACCCGGGCAGCAGAGGTTTCAGTGAGCCATGATCGTGCCACTGCACTCCAGCCTGGGTGACAGAGTTAGACTCTGTCTCAAAAAAAAATAAAAATAATAAATAAATAAACTCTAAGAAAAGAATATTTTTGGCTGGGTACTGTGGCTTACACCTGTAATCCCAGCACTTTGGGAAGCCAAGGCAGCCAGATTATGAGATCAGGAGTTCAAGACCAGCCTGGCCAACACGGTGAAACCCCATCTCTCCTAAAAATACCAAAAAAAAAAAAAAAAGTTAGCTAGGCTTGGGGGCGTGTGCCCGTAGTCCCAGCTACTTGGGAGGCTAAGGTAGAAGAATAGCTTGAACCCAGGAGGCGGAGGTTGCAGTGAGCCGAGATCACTCACTGCATCTCAAAAAAAAAAAAAAAAAAAAAAAAAAGCATCTTTTTGAAAAGTTTTCGGGCCAGGCACAGTGGCTCATGCCTGTAATCCCAGCACTTTGGAAGGCCGAGGTGGGTGGATCATGAGGTCAGGAGTTCAAAACCAGCCTGGCCAACATGGTGCAATCCCATCTCTACTAAAGATACAAAATTAGCTGGGCATGGTGGCATGCACCTGTAATCCCAGCTACTCGGGAGGCTGAGGCAGAAGAATTGCTTGAACTCAGGAGACAGAGGTTGCAGTGAGCCAAAATGGCACAATTGCACTCTGGCCTGGGTGACAGGGCGAGACTCCATCCCAAAAAAAAAAAAAAAAGTTTTCAATAAACTCTTTTCATGAAGATATTGTACATCTTTCAACTTATTGATACTTTGTTTTTGTCACTACTGTGATAACTTTTAAACATGTATCTTCTATTTCTTACATAGCCATACTAATTCCAGCAATCTGTTAAACATATTAGGTAAAAATAAATTACTTCTTCCTTTCTAATCTTACCTTTTAGTCTAATTATAAAAAGTCGGCCAGGCGCGGTGGCTCATGCATGTAATCCTAGCAATTTGGGAGGCCAAGGTGGGCGAATCACAATGTCAGGAGATCCAGACCATCCTGGCTAACACAGTGAAACCTCGTCTCTACTCAAAATACAAAAAAATTAGCCGGGCGTGGTGGTAGGCACCTGTAGTCTCAGGTACTCGGGAGGCTGAGGCAGGAGAATGGCGTGAACCCGGGAGGCAGAGCTTGCAGTGAGCCGAGATCACGCCACTGCACTCCAGCCTGGGCAACAGAGTGAGACTCTGACTCAAAGAAAAAAAAAAAATAGGTAAGAACAAAACAAAACAAAAAAACAGTGAATAGACATGGTGATACAGGTAGTCTTATCTCTTTTTTTTCTTTTTTTTTGTTTTTTTTTGAGACAAGATCTCACTCTGTTGTCCAGGCTGGAGTGCAATGGCACAATCACAGCTCACTGCAGCCTCGGCCTCCCAGGCTCAGGTGACTGTCCCGCCCCAGCCTCCCTTGTCCAGGCTGGTCTGGAACTCCTGGGCTCAAGCCACCCACCTGCCTCAGCCTTCTAAAGTGCTGGGATTATAGGTGTGAGCCACCACGCCCAGCCCAGTCTCGTCATGTCTTGATTCTAACATTTCACTGTTAAGAATGACATTTGCTGTAGATTTTTGGTACATATTTTTATCAGGTCAAGGAAGTTCATCTATCCTAGTTTGCTAAGTACGAGTATTATGAATGGGTGTCAACTTTATCACATTTTGTTTCAGCATGTATCAAGGAGACTGCTACTTTTTTCCCTTAATCTGTTAATTTACCAGCTTTTATATTTATTCCGCCTTTGATATTTTTCTTTCCTTTCTTCTAGCTTCTTCTCTCACTTTCCTGGTTTCTGCTCTTTTCTCATACTTTCTACCTAGAATTTCTCTTTCAAAGTAATTCTGTTTCTTCCTTTTGCATTCGCCAGGGGGTAGGGGAGAGCAAAGGGAGGTAGTTCTCAGGGTAATTAATAAATATTTGAATGGCTAAAAAGTGAAATACCTAATAGGTGCCAGGTCCTTGAGGTGACCTTACCCAAAACCAGTCTTCAAATGTGCCATATTACATTTATATAAGTCGCTCCCGTCTTGGGCTTAAAAAAAAAAGTTACTTGAGATGCAGTCACTAGAGGAAGAATTATAGTAGAATGCTTTAAACAGAAATGGTGTTTCACCCTCTAGAGAAACATCGAAAATGCATTAGCTATCATCCGAATTTTCTTTTGAACACAGTACTATATTTAATTTTAACTACTAGCACTTGGGTTCCCCCATTTAATACCTAGAAAGTAGGGCACTAGATTATAAAAATGCCAAGTATCTGAAGAGAGACAAGGAATAACGTTTATGCATTCTGTAATTCAACACTGTATGTTAAAGAGGCCAGCCCATGTCTCTTCTTAATTTTAAAATTAAAGAAGCCGAACCCAAATTTCTGAATTCTAGCTAATAATTTAGGACCCACTTAAAAAAACTTTGCCAAGTTTTTCCATTAGTCTGTTTAATTGTCCTAAAGTCTGTATTTCATTTAACTCCATGAAATGCATATATTTGAGGAACGATGTTAGAGTAACCATGATCTAGAAATGAAAAGGGCACTTACACAAAAGAAACAAATCAGCAAACAACTCTGTAACAGAATTCTGGAGTCTTTAGTCTTACAAAAAACCACATTAAACATCGTAAGAGAATACAACATTTAGTCCACACCTGACTCCAAAGAGTCTCTCAACTATAGCCAGGGTTATTTTTTCTGTTTGTTTGTTTGTTTTTGTTTTTTGAGACAAGAGTCTCACTCTGTCACCCAGGCTGGAGTTGGAGTGCAGTGGTCCGATCTTGGCTCATTGCAACCTCTGCCTCTGGATTCAGGTGATTCTCATGCCTCAGCCTCCCAAGTAGTTGGGAGTACAGGCATGCACCACCACATCCGGTTAATTTTTCTATTTTTAGTATAGACAGGGTTTCGCCATGTTGCCCAGGCTGGTCTCAAACTCTTGACCTTAGGTGATCAGCCGGCCTCGGCCTCCCAAAGTACTGGGATTACTTTGGGTGTGAGCCACTGTGCCCAGCCAAAATCTTTATTTTGTGATTTCTACAAACCTTTAATCACGTTTAGATTTTAAACATTTTTCCAACCTCTATAAGCTAGAATAGATGGGGATCTGTTTTTTAACAGAAATTTTAAGCTGTTTTAGAGAAAAATAAACTTGGCTCAAATGACAAATGTGAAATTATCAAAATTACGAAGCATAGGAGGATGTGGGAAAGGGTTGTAGTGTTCACAACACATAGGAAAGTATTTCCCAAAAAATATATATTAAATGTACTTCAAATATAACAGAAGTTAAATGCAGAATAGCATACATATACCTCTCCAAAATCTGTTAATAATTTTAAATGAGGTTTGATAAGTAAATTGGCCTCCACCAATGATCCAAAGATATACTAGTAAAGCTTGATGCCACTGAGGAGGGAGAGAGCCTGGTTTAAATGACTGAAATTCATTCAGTCATTTAAGCAGTAGCTCATGAGCACATCAATTAAACATCTAACAAACAAGAATTGTGGATGTGCCACTATGTTAAGCACCAAGAATGTGGCTCTAGAAGAGCAACAGTCTAATAGGTAAGCTGTTTGTGGAAATGCCCAAGGAAAATGCATGGAAACAAGAACTATAGGGCCCGGCATGGTGGCTCATGCCTGTAATCCTAGCACTTTGGGAGGCCGAGGTGGGCGGATCACCTGGGGTTGAGAGTTCAAGACCAGCCTGACCAACATGGTGAAACCCCATCTCTACTAAAAATACAAAATTAGCCGGGCGTGGCGGCGCATGCCTGTAATCCCAGCTACTTGGGAGGCTGAGGCAGGAGAAACATTTGAACCCAGGAGGCGGAGGTTGCAGCCAGCCGAGATCGCACATTGCACTCCAGCCTGGGCGACAAGAGTAAAACTCTGTCTCAAAGAAAAAAAGAAGAAGAAGAAGAACTGTAACAGAAGTATGCACAAGCCGTTGGGGAGATGGGAGGGCTGGGGAGATAGCACAAGAGGGAGAAGAAGGAGCCCACAATGTCTAAGGAGGGAATCAGAAAAACTTCACACAGGGGCATCTGAGCTAAGGACTAAAGTCAGAATGTGAGTGTACAGGCACACATAAGGACAAGTGACAGATGTGAATGGACAAAAATTACACAGTGCACTAGATAATGTGGGGAACGACTTTACCTCACATGTCAGCCAAATAAGCATTATCCTTTCAAGATAACAGAAACTATAAGCAAATAATTCTTGATGCCAATCCAAAACATGTAACTGAGTTTTGATGGAATTTGGTAAGGAATGCCTGATGCTCAAAATTAAAAAAAAAAAAAAGACCAGGTTTCGAACCGTCAGGAGGGAACACATCTTGGGCTGACTGATGCGGGCAGGTAAGGGTTTGAGGGTTTGCGCTTGCAAAGGTGTAAGAGGCTAAGGTTACTTAGGATGCATTAAAGGACTTCAGCAGTGGATGTGGCTGAAGGGATGCATGGAGGTAGGGGAGAATGTATCCAGAACAGAGGCTGAAAACATGGGAAAGTGTTTGAGACCTGGGTCTAAAAGGACTGTGACATGGCACTAAAAAGTTTGTGTGTTATCCTCTGGGCAACAGAAGGCCACCACGGGCTCTTTATGCAGGAGAGGACCATGAGATGTGTGCCTTAGAAAGATCTCTATGGCAGCCACATGGAGACTGGAAATACACAGAGCATCAGAAGGCTCTAATGTTACCGACTGAATGTTTGTGTCTCCCCAAAATTTGTATGTTGAAATCTAATCCCCAATGTGATGGTATAAGGAGGCAGGTCTTTGGGAAGTAATTAGGTTTTGAGGATAGATCCTTCATGAAGGGGATTAGTGCCCCTATAAGAAGAGGCCAGAGAGCTACCTTTCTGCCTTGTGAGAATACAGTGAAAAGTCAAGTGTCTGCAACCTGGAAGAGAGCTCTCACCAAAATCTGAGCATGCTGATACCCTGATCTCAGACTTTCAGCCTCTAGAACAATGAGGAATAAATTTCCGTTGTTTGCAAGCTATCCAGTCTATGGTACTTTGTTATAACAGTTTGAACTGGTTAAGACATATGGAGAGAGATTTTGAGGGTTTGAATTGTGTTGGTGACAGTAGGGATGAAGAAGAAGTGATTAATTTGAGATATATTTAGGAGGTAGAAATCAATATAACTTCTTAACAGACTAGTATAGAAATTAAAGATAACCAAAACTTTTAGTTTGGTAAATAAATGGTATAACATTAACTGAAAAAGGAAAAGATGGTTTGAGAAGATGATAATTATTATAACTAACACTAAGCACTATTCTAAATCCTTTAAAGCACTAACTCATTTAGTCTTCACAACAACCGTATAAGGTCCCTAAATCTACAGATGAAAAATACCAATGCACAGAAAGGTTAATAAAGTTGCCCAAGGTCACACAGCCAGAAATGGCAGAACCAAGATGTGATCTCAGACACACTCTCAACTACCACATTACACTGTACGGTACACAACCAGTTAAACATCTCTCATGTCTGAGGGACATCAAGGGAGTTGTGTTTAATTTGCATTTGGAAAACAGACCTAGGGCTCACAAGAAGAATATGGCTATGAATTTTAGTGTCATCAACATAATAGTATTTCCTTAGGCCATGGGAAAAATGAGATGGACATTTAGAGTGAAGAGAGAACAAAAATGTAAGGAGCAGCAAGACAGATACAAGAAGGACACTAGGAAGGAGATTTTTCAAGCAGTGATTGTCCACAGGCTGGCTCAGTTGCCACACCACAGAGGTACAAACTTGAAGTGGTCTGGGCCTTCTCCGTGTGAAAATGGCAAATCCATTCACTGTTTGCTGGATGAATGGACTTATCATTGAGCTATTTGCTGGATTTACCATCTAGCTAAAAGATAGCTAAAAGATTCCAGCTTAGACTATGTCATCAAGAAAGGAGGCCTGATAGGGTATGAAACGGGGAAAACAAGAAAAACAAACAAAAATGGATGCTCTCAGCTCTTGAAAGGATGATTTATACCCGTGTTTGAGCAAAGCAGATTCTGCCTTCAGAGAAGCAGCAGCAAAGATAGCTCATTTCTCAAGCAGCACCCCATCTCATCCATCACCCACTTCCCCTACCTGCCCCCCAGCCTACACCACAGGACCTCTGCTCTGCCAAGAGGGCAGGGCCCCAGCCACGCTGCAGCAACACCAGAAGCGCAAAAGAAAATGTGCTGTTGCATAGACAGCGCAAATAAATAATGGTTCTTGTGATAATCAGCTTTTGCTTTTAATGGGCTTCACATGACTCATCAGCTATCACGTATGCTATAGCCTGAGCTCTGGCTCTAAATCAAACAAGTTCAAAGGGAGAAGAAAGGAATAATAGCAAAAGATGAGCAGATATCTCAAGAAGCCTTAATCCTACTGAGGAAAAACAGAAATGGAGGCAGGAAGAAGACAGTTTCCCCTATGAGCACTCAGGTACCGAGGGTCCAGAGAGGGCGGAAGCTGAAACAGCCGCAGAGAGAGGCAGCCTAGTTGCCGTGACGCCATCCTGCCAGCCAGCAAGATTTCACCAGACCGTTCCCTTTCTGCCACAGTTCCTGTCTTGTGGGCAGCAGAAGCACCAAGAAAGAAGAAAAATGGTTGTTTGTATTCTTATGGCTGCAGGGTCATACCTCTGTGACTTAACTATTTCAACAAGTGACAAGGAGAAAGTGGTAAGAGACAGAGAGAGCAGCCAAGATGGGGGTAAACTCCTTTGGAATGTATTAAATCCAACTTCATTCTATGGATAAAATGCCCTCATGAATAAACACTCATCCCCAAAACATCTTTTTTTTTTTTTTGGTATTTATAATCCAAGAACCTTGACAGAGAATGTCAGCTTTTTATCAAGGCTCTTTCCCACAATGACTTCTGATAATGGGGGTTGGGGTTCATTCCCAGGTGAAAAGCATGAGTTTGTGGCAAAGAAAACAGTATTGTTTGGTCACCACACTGGAATGGAAGCCAGGATATTCTGAAGGATGCCTTGGCACTAATACAAATTAGCAAATGACTTTAGCACTTCTGAGCCTCAATTTCTTCATCTGTAAAATGAGAAGAATGGACTGGGTGAATATGAAGTCCTTCCACTCTCTTAATCTATGCTTATGGGTGCTCAGAGCACGGGAACCCTTCCAGGTGTCTCTTGTGGTTAGGCTGTCCATGTGTCAGGACCCTGATTGTGCTCCCAGGGACACACAAGTGTGAGAGTGGCTACAACTCAATGGAAGCAATAAGTAAACACGTACACACTCACAAAGCTAGATCCCTATATTTGATTAAACCATGGGTTAGTAGACAGGAACCATGTCTTATGCATCTTCACACACTCAAAATCCAGCCCAGTCCAGGCACTGGGCTTAACAAATGTTTACTGCATGCATTTTGAGGCAAATCTTTAAAATGTCATATTAAGAAGCTTTTCAGACATGTCGGTTATGGATTGAATTGTGTCCCCCTAAAATTCACATGTTGAAGCCCTAACTCCCAGTACCTCAGAATACAATGTTTTTTGGAGCTAGGACCTTTATAGAGGGAATCAAGTTAAAAAGAGGTCATTAGGGTGGGTCCTAATCCACCCTCATGGTCTCTTCACAAGAAAGGAACTGGGATCACAGACATGAACACAGGGAGGATGGCATGAAGAGACATAGGGAGAAGACAGCCATCCACAGCTAAGCAGAAAGGCCTGGAACGGATTCTCCCTCACAGTCCTCAAAAGGGACCAACCCCGCTGACATCTTGATCTTAGACTTTCAGGCTCCAGAACTGTGAGGCAATAAATTTCTGTTTTTGAAATCACACAGTTTTAAAGCCACCCAGTTTATGGTACTTTGTTATGGCAGCTCTAGTAAACTAATACAATATCCAGAAGTAGAATTATATAATGAAATCTCCCATCACACTCACCACTCAGATCTTTCACTCCGGCATACTTCATTTCGTATTTCTAAAATATATGGACATTTCCTTACATAACAATACCCTTATCAAACCTAACAGAATTAACACTAATTTAAAAGCAGATTTAATTCCCAGAAGAAATAAACCTTATACTAAAACACACACTTACATTCCTCCATTAAAACTATTAACACTTTTAGGCCGGGCACGGTGGCTCATGCCTGTAATCCCAGCACTTTGGGAGGCCCAGGTGGGAAGATCACTTGAGGTCAGGAGTTAGAAAGCAGGCTGGCCAACATGGTGAAACCCCATCTCTACTAAAAATACAAAAATTAGCCAGGCATGGTAGCGTGGGGTCCCAGCTACTCAGGATGCTGAGGCAGGAGAATCACTTGATCCTGGGAGGCAGAGGTTGCAGTGACCCGAGATTGTACCACTGCACTCAAGCCTGGGCGACAGAGCAAGACTCTGTCTCAAATTTAAAAAACAAAACAAAACAAAACAAAAGCTATTAATACTATCAAAAACAAAACACCAATAAGCTTGAATTTTTGTCAAACAACCCTCAGAGGATAAGCAAGACTCTCAGAATAATTCAATTTCCTAATCAGCTCTCATATTCAACAATTTCCTGAAAGTAAAAACCTATGTTTCTTTATTCAAGTACAGAAAAGAAAGGAAGAATGCGGTCAGTATTCATACCCACTCCGTGGTCACTGAAAATGCACTTTTCAAACTAATCCCAAGAAATTTAGTAGACATCATTAAGTCTTTAGTTTAAAAACAGTACGTGCAATGGTATTGTATGTTATATTGCACATAATTTAAGCGCATGAAAATTGACATGACAGAGCTCAAAACCACTACCAAAAAAAAAAAAGATAAATACAAAACCATACCTTTACAGGGTAGAGAACCGCTTGTTATGATTTTCTAAAACGTTAGAGACTGGAGTTACCAATGCTTCAACAATTGACAACTTCCAATCACATGTCCTCTTCAGGAAGGTTACTTTTTGTCTAATGTTAAGACAAAGAGAAATGTTAAAGTCAGAATGGCCTACTTAAAAAGTTTTTCAAAAGAGTCTTTGGAAAAGCAGTTCGCTCCATCAACTTTCAAAACAGGCATCGCTGTAAAAACCCACAATCCAGCTAATTAGTCTCAGCTGTTTGTCATATGGCACTGCAGACCAGTCAAGTGATTTTTGCCCCTTTCAAGCTTACCAAGTTCCAGTTCGACTGGCCACTCAGAGGGCGGCTTTATTAACCTCTTCTGGTGTTAGAAGACTCTGCACTTCAGCTCTTTCTTCCGCCCACCTACCCCGTGAATCAAAACAGTAGAACATTTGTTTTCTTGAGAAAGTGCCTTGTATTCTCAAGGCCCTTAAAGGTTATATTCATATTGTTGCTTACAAATACAATGCCTGATCCAAACAAACAATATGGGGGATCAAATGGAAGTGGCAGGAGGGATGGGGCTAGATTACTTACCAGACCTTGCAGCTGGCCTCCAATTTCATAAGTAAAACTGCCTACAAGGGAGTCCACCCAGATATCTTGCTGGCATCTCAAATCCAGCATGTCCCGTACTCACCTCCTTTGCTTTTCTCCACAACCTTGCTTCAAACCCACTTCTCTTCCTGTGTCTTGAATCACACAATCCCAACACAGCCAGAAATCTGATGGCTCTCATTAACTCCTCCCTCTCTGCCCCTCCCACTTCCAATTGGCCACCAAGTCCTAAGGATATTCATCTTCTTGCTCCTACTCCAAGTTTTTATTATTTCTTAGATGGCTATAATAAACCACTTATTTGGTTTTCTGGTCCCCACGTATTCTTGACTCTGATCCATCCTCCACACCACACCCAAAGTGATCTTTCCAAAAGGCAAATGAGAGTCCATCACTCTCCTGTTAATGGCTCCCCACAATCTCCACAATAAAATCCCTGCTCCTTAAGCTTCTGCCTTCAGTATCACCGCCTCCTTCCTATAAGCTGCTAGAGTCCAGCCATCAGTACGTTTTATAATTCGCTAAGTTAAGTGGTTCTCAAACTGTGGTTCCAAGACCAGTATTATAGCATCTTCTAGGAACTTATTAGATTTGCACATTCTTGGGCCCACCCAGCTGAATCAGAAATTCTGAGGATAGGGCACAGGTGTCTGTGGTTCAACAAGCACTCCAGGTGATTCTGATACACACTAAAGTGTGAGAGCTGCTGCTGTAAATCCACCAAGTTCTGTTCACTAAGAGAATCAGCTCCTTGGCTCCTTGTGCCAGCAATGCTGAGCTGGATACACCTTCCCTGTGCTTACTGTTTCTAGAAATGGTCACCCCTGTATGCTAATTATTCAATTTATTTCTTGGTCTTTGCTGTTGCTTTGTGACAATCTTGAAGACAGGGGTTGTATCTTGTTTTTTGTTCATTCACCCCACAATCACTTATTGAGCACTTATGAATTATTGGGTGAAATGTCGGACATAGAACTAATCAATCTATCCCTTGCCTCTAGGAGAAGCTACGCTTTCATTATGGCAGCTCAACGTGTGACTGAAGACTCAATCTGTCCAATCTAAAAAAACCACCACCGGCCTCAAGAACTGTGGGCAACTAAGAAAAGTCTGAGCACAACCAGTCTGACATCTCTTCTCATGGTAAATGAAATGGAATTTTCGTTTCACACCTGACGAAAATCTCATGAAAATGCACCTCTTTCTTTTTTATATCACACAGCAACCTCGAGAATTTTGAGAACAATTTAGTAAGAAAATGTATCCAGATTTTTAAATCCCAGATTAAAATTCATTAGAGTTAGCTTCCTTTAATTACAAGTTCATATTAGCACTTCTCAACCATCAGGATATATAGGAATCTCCTAGGGATCTTTCAAAATGCTAATTCTGATTCAATATTCCTGTAGGGGGAGATCGAGACCATCCTGGCTAACACGGTGAAACCCCGTCTCTACTAAAAATACAAAAAAATTAGCCAGGTGTGGTGGCGGGCGCCTGTAGTCCCAGCTACCCGGGAGGCTGAGGCAGGAGAATGCCGTGAACCCGGGAGGCGGAGCTTGCAGTGGGCCGAGATCGCACCAATGCACTCCAGCTTGGGTGACAGAGTGAGACTCCGTCTCAAAAAAACAAAAACAAACAAAAAAAATCCTGTAGGGGGCTCAGGAGTCTGTATTTCTCCTAGTAAGCACCCAGGTGATGCCCAGGTAATACTAACATTCCTAACTCTGGAACTATAATTTGAATAGCAAGTAAAATTATGACAATACCAATTTTCATAGTCTGCTTAAAGCAACAAAACCTTTTTTGGATGCTTTTGTATTGAAAGCTTTCTAAAATATCTTTCAGACTTCAGAATAAAGATGGCATGCTCAACATGTACATGTGGTTCTGCTGCCTCCCAAAATCTCACTAATATAGCAATAAAGAATGTTTTATTTCTTTTAGACATAAACTCACAAGGACAAAGATCAGGTAGTGGAAGCAACAAAATGGTAGAAGCTACAGAGTAGATGGACTAGAGGTAACTGATTAGCAGACCTCGGAAAGCTGACTCTTTATCTGCCAGTAGGGAAATCCAAGAAGGAACTCATCACAGAATCTCCAGAAAGTCTCAGGGATTCAGAACCCCAAAACTTCTGGAATTTGGGGGACAGTAACATAGGGACTCAAAACAGACAGAATGGTGGTCATCTGCTTAAAAAGCAGCTCAGCACACCAAGAGAAGAAGAAAAGAAAGAACGAACTACCAAATAGAAAATAATGAACAAAATGGCATAGTAAGTCCCTATCTATCGATAATTACTTTAAATGTAAATGTATTACATTCTCCAACTGAAAGACATAGAGGTTGGGCACGGTGGCTCAAGCCTGTAATCCTAGCACTTTGGGAGGCCAAGGCGGGCAGATCACTTGAGGTCAGAAGTTCAAAACCAGCCTAGCCAATGTGGTGAAACTCCATCTCTACTAAAAATACAAAAAAATTAGCCAGGCATGGTGGAGGGCACCTGTGATCCCAGCTACTAGGGAGGCTGAGGCATGAGAATTGCTTGAACCCGGGAGGCGGAGGTTGCAGTGAGCCAAGATCGCGCCACTGCACTCCAGCCTGGGCGACAGAGCGAGACTCCATCTCAAAAAAAAAAAAATAAAAATAAAAATAAAAAATAAAAGACATAGAATGACAGAATATATATAAAAAATAAGATACAATTATTTGCTGCCTGAAAGAGAGTTGCTTTAGATTTAAGGGCAGACAGACTGGAAGTAAAGGGATGGAAAAAAATATTTCATGCAAATGGAAACCAAAAGAAAGCAGGGGTGACTATACTTATATCAGAATAGACTTCAAGTAAAAAACAGTCCCAAGAGACTAAGAAGGTAGTTATGTGGTGACAAGGAGGTGAATTCATCAAGCAGATATAACAGTTGTAAACATGTAGGCACCCAACATCAAAGCACCTAAATATATAAAGCAAATATTAACCAAACTGAAAAGAGAAATAGATAACCATACAATAATAGTAAGGGATTTGAATACCCTGTTTTCAACAATGAACAGATCATCCAGATAGAAAATCAATAAGGAAATGGCAGATCTGAACAACATTATAGAACAAATGGAATTAACAGGCACATACAGAACTTTCTATCCAACTAGAGGAGAATATACATTCTTCTCAAGCGCACGTGGAATATTCTTCCGGATAGAACATACAGTAGGCCACAAAACAAGTCTCAACAAATTTAAGACGATCGAAATCATATTAATTATCTTTTCTGACCACACCGATATGTAACTAGAAATCAATAACAGGAAGAAAACTGAAAAATTCACAAATCTGTGGAAATTTAGTAACATAATCCTGAACAGCCAATGGGCCAAATAAAATCAAAAGGAATTTTTTTTAAATCTTGAGATACATGAAAATAGAATACAACACATCAAAATTTTAGGGGATTCAGGAGAAGCAGTTTTAAGAGGGAAGTTTACAGCGATAAATGCCTCCATTAAGAAAAAAGAAAGATCTCCAGTAAACAACCTAAGTTTATACTGCAACAAACTAGAAAAAAGGTAACAAACTAAGCCCAAAATTAGAAGAAAGAATGAAATAATAAAAATTGGAGCCAAAATGAAATAGAGACCAAAAAAACAGAAAAGAAAGAAAAGATGAATAAAACTAAGACTGTTTTTTGAAAAAATAAACAAAATTGACAAAACTGGCTGGGTGCGGTGGTTCATGCCTGTAATCCCAGCACTTTGGGAGGCCAAGGCGTGCGTATAACCTGAGGTCAGGAGTTTGAGACCAGCCTGACCAACATGGCAAAACCCCGTTTCTATTAAAAACACAAAAATTAGCCAGGCGTGGTGGCAGGTGCCTGTAATCCCAGCTGCTTGGGAGGCTGAAGCAGGAGAATCACTTGAACCTGGGAAGCAGAAGTTGCAGTGAGCTGAGATTGCACCACTGCACTCCAGCCTGGGTGACACAGCAAGAATCCGTCCTTAAAAAAATAAATAAATTATATATATATATATATATATATATATATATGTATAGAGAGAGACAGACAAAACTTTAGCTAGTCTAAAAAAAAGAGTAAAAACTCAAATAAATAAAATTATAAATGAAATAAGAGGTGTTACAACTGATACCACAGAGGTACAAAGAATAATAAGAGATACTCTAAATAATCCAGTCGGGCGCAGTGGCTCACGCCTGTAATCCCAGGACTTTGGAAGGCCAAAGTAGGTGGATCACTTGAGGTCACGAGTTCAAGACCAGCCTGGCCAACATGGTAAAAGCCCGTCTCCACTAAAAATACAAACATTAACTGGGGCATGGTGGTGCACACCTGTAATCCCAGCTACTTGGGAGGATGAGGCAGGAGAATCACTTGAACCCAGGAGGCAGAGGTTGCAGTGAGTCGAGATTGCTCCATTGCACTCCAGCCTGGGTGACAGAGTGAGACTCCATCTAACAACAACAAAAAAAAAAAGACAAAAAAAAGTGGGATTACATCAAACTAAAGCTGCTGCACAGCAAAGGAAACAACAAAATGGAAAGGCAACTGGCCGGGCATGGTGGCTCACACCTATAATCCCAGCAGTTTGGGAACCCAAAGAGGGCAGATCACTTGAGGGCAGGAGTTTGAAACCAGCCTGACCAACATGGCAAAACCCCATCTCTACTAAAAATACAAAAATTAGCTGGGCACGGTGGTGGGCACCTGTAATCCTGGCTACTCGGGAGGCTGAGGCACGAGAATCACTTGAGCCTGGAGGCAGAGGTTGCAGTGAGCAGAGGTTGTGCCATTGAACTCCAGCCAGGTGACAGAATGACACTCCACCTCAAAAAAAAAGAAAGAAAGAAAAGGCAACCTATAGAAGGGAAAAAAAGGTAAATCTGATCAGGGGTTAATATCCAAAATATACAAGAACCTCATACTACTGAATACCAAAAAAACAACCCCCAAAAGAAAAAAAAATTTAATGGGCGAAAGACCTGAATAGACATTTTTTCAAAGAATACATTAAAAATGGTCAACAAGTATATGAAAAAGTGCTCGACATCACTAATCAGCAGAGAAATGCAAATCAAAACCACAATGATTTTGATTACCTCACATCTGCTAGGATGGCTAATTAAAAAAAAAAAAAAAAAAAAAACAAGAGATAAGTGTTGGCAAGGATGTGGAGAAAAGGGAACCTTGTACGCTGTTGGTGGGAATACAAATTGGTACAGCCACTATGGAAAACATTATGGAGCTTCTTTAAAAAAATGTTTTCAAAAATTTTTTAAATAGAATACCATAGGATTTGGCAATCCTACTTCTGGGTATAATACATCTGAAAGAATTGAAATCAGGATTTCTAAGTGATATCTGTACTCCCATGTTCACTGCAGCATTATTCACAATAGCCAAGACTTAGAAACAACCTCAATGTCCACTGACAATGAATGAATGAAGAAAATGTGGTCTATACATACAATGAAAAAGTATTCAGCCTTAAAAAAGAAATAAATCCTGCCACCTGTGACAATACAGATAGGTGGAAGATATTATACTAAGTTAAATAAGCCAGACACATAAAGAAAAATACTATGTGATCTCCCATATATTTAATATATAGAATCTAAAATGTCAAACTCTCCAAGCATGGTGGCCACTCCTGTAGCCCCAGCTACTCAAGAGGCTGAGGCGCGACAATTGCTTGAGCCTATGACTTCAAGGCTGCAGTGAGCTATGATCACGTCACTGCACTCCAGCCCGGGCAGCGGAGTAAGATCTTGTTTCTAAAAGAAAAAATTTTAATTTAAAAAAAAGTAACTCAAACTCCCAGAAGCAGAGAGCAGAATGATGGTTGCCAGGGACTGGGAGGAGGGGGAAATGGGAAGGTCATAGTTAAAGAGAACAAGTTTCAGTTATGCAAAATAAATAAGTTCTGAAAAGCTATTATACAGTATAGTGTCTATAGCTAATAATACTGTATTATATACTGAAAATCTGCTAAGAAGATAGATCCAGTGTTAATTGTTCTTACCACACACACACAAAAATGCAATAATAATAAAACAGGCAGGATAAAACCTTGGGAGGTGATGGATACATTTATGGCCTTGATGGTGGCGATGGTTTCATGGGTGAATAATTATCCCCAAATTCATCAAGATGTATACATTAAATATGTACAGACTTTTTATCTGTCAATAATACCTCCCATAAAGTAGTTTTTTTAAAAATAAATTGTTAAGTAGGGGAAGGAAAGAATGAACAAACAAACGTAGGAACAAATGAACAAACTCAGGTAAGAAAGAGGAGATGAAAATGGTATACTTGTGGCAGGGGTGGATGGAGCAATGAGCTAAATTCTCTACTTCTGTAATAAAGTATCAATAGATAATGACTAAAACTGAAAAACTGACCACAGAAATATAAATGTGTCATTTAGAGACTAGATGTATAAACTACTGCAAGACTTCAGTGGTTAACTCTGGAGAGCAGGAAATGGGCTGGGGGAGAGGCGTCTACTGGTTTTTTGTAACAGCCCTTGTAAAACAACGTCCACGTATAACTTTGGTAAATTTGGCAGGGCACGATGGCTCATACTTGTAATCCCAGAACTTTGGGAGGCAGAGGCGGGCAGGTCACTTGAGGCCAGGAGTTCGAGACCAGCCTGTTTGTCTCCATAATAAATGGCTCCTGACTGCTGTATTTATTTCGTGTCTTTTGTTAATTTATATTTCCTTCTCCCTCCCCTCACCTTTGCTGTCAGGCAGCTATCCCTCACCACAGTAATCAGTGTGCCTTCCTGGGACAACCCCTACCCCTTCCGATGCACTGTTTTTAATTGACAAGGCACCTGGAAACCAAATAACCAAGCTTATTAGAACTGTGTGTAAAATGAAGAAAAATGGGCACCAAAAAATGTTCTGAAAGTTGCTCTGTGATGCAGGTTGGCAATTTTCAATACATTAACCATTTGTCCAACTCAGAACCGTTTGGCCTTACTATCAACTATGGGTCAGTAGGCTGGGTGACACTCAGTGGGACCAACCATCCCAGTTTAGTGGGGACTGAGTTATAGCACTGAAAGTCATGCATCCCGGGAAACCATATCCCAGCATTGGGCAAGTTACTTCATCTTCTTCAACCTGTTTCATCATCTGTAAAATGAAAGATAATATCTGCTTTGAAAGATTGTTGAGGATTAAATGAGAAAATGTTTGTATAACTCTTGACACATATGGTAGCTGTAGCTATTATACTCACTTGCATATTGTTATTATCAACCCTAGTATCAGGTAGAAAAAGAAAGTATTCTTAGAAACATAACCTGTAATTTGCTTTATATATAGTGGACTTCAGGAAGCTGCAATGTTTGCTTTTGTGAATTTCCTTCCCATTTTGTAACACACATTTTGTTTCAGGGACTAAAACATATTAAAGAAATTTAATAGTTCAACATTTCTGATTTCTCTACTGGACAAAAGCCTGGCAGGTTTCCACTATATTTTCATAGAAATGACTCTTTTACACTATGGGAGCCCTGGGGTATTTATGTCAGTAGCCGCTTCTAAACTTGTGAACAGAAATCAGCCTGCCACCTCACAAAGAAGAGGCATCATATCTGAAATTTGTTTTTAATTTCCATTTCACTTTTTTCCTTCATAATAGCACCAGATTATTCAGTCTTCTAATCATTATTATTTTTTTTTTTTTTTTTTGAGAGGGAGTCTCACTCTGCCACCCAGGCTGGAGTGCAGTGGCACGATCTCAGCTCACTGCAAGCTCCACCTCCTGGGTTCACGCCATTCGCCTGCCTCAGCCTCCCAAGTAGCTGGGACTATAGGCGCCCGCCACCACGTCTGGCTAATTTTTTGTATTTTTAGTAGAGACAGGGTTTCACCATGTTAGCCAGGATGGTCTCGATCTCCTGACCTCGTGATCTGCCCGCCTCAGCCTCCCAAAGTGCTGGGATTACAGGCGTGAGCCACCGCACCTGGCCCAGTCTTCTAATTATTTAGTGAATTCAGTACGTTGACATGGGGCTGAAAAATCTGCATTTCTAAGTTCTAAGTTCTAAGCCAAGTCATTCACTAATTATGTCAATTCTATCCCTGAAAAATAAGGGCTTGTATCACCAAACGGATGAAATACCATTTCTGAACTCAAAAGCTGAAGCAACTCCCTACTCCACATTTATTAATTACAGCCTGAAGGAAATTGCTCACATCTATGCACCCCACAGACAAAAGGGCACAGTTGCTAAAAGAACAGTTCCAAACTTTGGGATAGATAATGGAAAGAATCACAAGTTACTCAAAGCCAAAATATGGCCTAGGAACCCTCTAAGAAGCAGTAGAGACAGCAGAAAGAGCCAGGCAGATAAGACTCTTAATAAAGGCCCCCATGGCCTGTCCTCCCATACTCTTCTATTTCTTCTCCACCCAGTGTCCGAGGCCTGTGACCACAAAACACAGGACAACACAGAACCTCAGAGAAGCCTTGAGGGGCAACTGGTCAACCAATTAGGGCAGGTGAAAATGGATCCAGGACTGGCAGCAGAATCACCTAGGATATGTGATGAAAATCCAAAATTCTGGGTCCCATTCAGGCCTCTGAATTAGGATCTCTGCAAGGGAGGCCTAGGGAATCTGCATTTATATCAAGCTTCCCAGGGGCTTTCTGGTTATACACAATCAAGTTTGTAAGCCACTGTTCTAGGGAGACAACAGATGGCAAAAATGTACAACTACAGTTAGGCAAATAGCCTGTACATCAAGATCATATTTAACTTCTACTAGCCTCAGATACCAAATCTGTAAAATAGGGATAATAATACTGACCTAGCAAGGTGGTTGTGAGAATCAAATGAAATAAGTAATAGCCTCACACACAGTGTCTCACATACAGCAGGTGCTCAATAAAAGTCCATTCCCTCGCTTGTGTATGGCATTCTAATGAAGACTTACAACAATAGTTTTTGAATAAATGTCACCTGTTTTGAATAAATATCACCAAGGAAAGCAGATGGCCAGGAAAGTTAAGGCCTCAATGTTAATGACTCATCAACTACAAAGGCCGAGGTCAGCAGCCTTAACCAGCGATTGAGTCATGAAATGTACTTGTAGACAGTGGTTCTCAAGCTTCGGGGTGCATCAGAGTCACCTAGATGGTTTTAAAACACAGACTCTAGGCCCCACCAGAGTTTCAGATTCAGTAGGTCTGGAGTGGGGCTGAAAATCTGCATTTCTATGTTCCCAGGTGGTGCTGATGTTACTGGTCCTAATCTGACACTTTGCAATAAAAAAAGAAAAACTATGCTGTGTATATTTCCTGTTTGACACTAGACTGGTTAGTTTCATGTAAATAGAGAAAAAAACTAAGAAACCAACAATTTCCGAGGCTGTGCTGCCTCTGTCCCTGAGAATCTTACTATGTTGTTTGAACAATGCATAGAGAGGACAGGGAGATTTGAGTTCTATCTTCCCACTCACTTGCTGTGTGACTCTGCATGAGACATATGATCTCTTCCAGCCTGAGTTTACTCAGGCTGGGAGTAAAGGTGAGCTAGACACTGGTTCCCAAACCAGGTTGTCCACCAACAATCACTAGAGCAGTATTTAAAATAAAACATAGATTCCCAAGCCCTAGCCACAAACCTAATAAATTAGAATCACCAAAGGAGAGACTGAAAAATGTGTTGTTGTTTCTTGTGGGTATGGTTTATATATATATATATATATATATACTTTAAGTTCTAGGGTACATGTGCACAATGTGCAGGCTTGATACATAGGTATACAGGTGCCATGTTGGTTTGCTGCACCCATCAACTCATAATTTACATTAGGTATTTCTCCTAATGCTATCCCTCCCCCAGTCCCCACCCCCTGAGAGGCCCCGGTGTGTGATGTTCCCCTTCCTGTATCCAAGTGATCTCATTGTTCAGTTCCCACCTATGAGTCAGAACATGTGGTGTTTGGTTTTCTGTCCTTGAGATAGTTTGCTGAGAATGATGGTTTCCAGCTTCATCCATGTCCTTGCAAAGGACATGAACTCATCCTTTTTTATGGCTGCATAGTATTCCATGGTGTATATGTGCCACATTTTCTTAATCCAGTCTATCATTGATGGACATTTGTGTTAGTTCCAAGTCTTTGCTATTGTGAATAGTGCTGCAATAAACATACGTGTGCATGTGTCTCTATAGTAGCATGATTTATAATCCTTTGGGCATATACCCAGTAATGGGATTGCTGGGTCAAATGGTAATTCTAGTTCTAGATCCTTGAGGAATCGCCACACTGTCTTCCACAATGGTTGAATCAATTTACACTCTTTTGTGAGCATGTTTTAAACAAAAGCTCCCTGTGCCATTTTCATGTATAGCCAGTTTTGAGGAAGCATTAACATGGTAATCTTTCTCCAGCATTAAAGCTCTTGGGTCTTTTTGATTTCCAATTCACTGGGTCCTGAGTCTATACTTAGCCAGTATAAGTAGCCTTCTCCTTTTATATTTGCTTCACCTGGCTATTCTTCCGAAAGGAAGCATACACTGTCCTCAAAAAAAGGAATCTACTCTGCTTAGCAGTTCCATTTCTCATATATCAATAAACTGGCATTCTGGTTTCATTTAAAAAATAAAGTCCAGGATAGGCACAGTGGTTCATGCCTGTAATCTCAGCACTTTGGGAGGCCAAGGCAGGCAGATCACTTGAGGTCAGGAGTTCGAGACCAGCCTGGCCAACATAGTAAAACCCCATCTCTATTAAAAATACAAAAATTAGCCCAGCATGGTGACATGCTCCTGTGGTCCTAGTTACTTAGGAGGCTGAAGCAGGAGGATCCACTTGAGCCCAGGATGTTGAGGTTGCAGTGAGCTGGGTGACAAAGACAAGAAAGAAGGGAAGGGAAGGAAGAAGAGAAAGGAAGGGAAGGAAGGGAGAAGGGAAGGGGGAATGGAAGGGAGGAAGGAAGGTAGGAAAGGAAAAGAGAAGGAAAAAAAAAGAAACCAGAGGCCCTTACAGACCACAGGTACATATTTGGATCTTATACCTATTACAATGAAAGCAACTAAGGGATTTTAAGCAGAAGGATATGAATTGAATTCCTTTAATTTTTTAAAATTTTGTCTCATGCTCCTCAAGAGTGTGAGTTCCTTTTTTGGGACATCACTGGCTTTGTGTGAAGAATGGGCTATGGCAGGGAGGGGCAAGAATTGGAACAGAAAAGTAGCAGTACAGGCCTTTAACCAGCAGCTGGCACAGAGCAGGCACTTGGATATTTCTGCACTGCTTTAACATAGGGAAATCATAATATACTTGTTTCACCTCCTAATGTATTTCAGAGGAGTTCAAGGAAGAGACTCTGGGTGTTAGCAAAGTTCCATCTAGATGTCACTTCTTTTGAACAACACATAGAATTTTGGATTGTCCACAGTACAACTGGTTCCAATCAAGAAGTATTAGAATAAGAACATAAAAAGAACACACCAGGAAACCATCAGACCAGGCTTCTGGAACCATCCCTGCCATCAATTAGCTATGTGACCTGAGGCACAGCTCTGGATTTCTGGGAGGGGAGCCTGGGCTACAATTTCCAAGGTCCCTACTAGCTCTTAAATTACACAATTCTGTAAGTGTAACAAATGTGGTTTCCTTATCTGGGTGGCAAAATGGGATGATGACTCAGGGTGAGGTTTTTTGTTACAGATTTTCAACCTCCCAGAGAAGCTCTAGTGAAGCTAGAATCAGGGTGTTAATAAAGAAACTGTCCAGTTTTATTATTTCCTTTCCAGGGTATGGTGGTCAGCTGGAAATCTGGGAAGTAGACATTCCTGGCAGCTGCGAGCTTATCGTGCAAAGACTGAGAACCCAAGTCCCTGTGTAACCCTTCAGGTACACGATCTCTGGGGTCCCCTGCTCATGTGGCTTTCGCTCATGTGGAAGCACACAATAGACAGGCACTGAAGACCAGCCTCTCACTTCCTCCTGCTGGTAGGCTGTTCCCAAAGGGTCCACTCCTCTCCTATGGCCAACCTGGCACCTCCACGAGAACCCCATTTCGCATGATCCCTGGGGGCAGTGGTTCTCAGTCTCAACTGCAACTGCCCATCAGAATCCCGTGTGGAGACAATAAATAAATAAATAAACAAACAAACAGCCTGAGCCCTACCCCACATTTACTGACTTAGAATTGGGGTGAGGGAGAGGTTAGAAAGACAACAGCGGTAGTTAGGCTTAGTTAGTTTTACATGATGGACAGAACGTGTAACTTGGGAAACTGTAAGCCAAAGAGGTTGAATGAGTTGTCTAATGCAGGGTTTCTTAGCGTCGGCACTGTTGACATTTTAGGCAGGATAATCCTTTGTTGGGGGCTCTCCTGTGTACTGAGAATGTTTTGCAGCATCCCTGGCCCCCACCCACTAAATGCCAGGAGTAACTCCCCAGCTGTGACAGTCAAAAATGTCTCCAGGCATTGCTAAATGTCCCATGTGGGGTGGGGCAGGGGAGAAAATCACCCCCAACTGACATACACTGGTGTGATATCACATAGTTAATAATCAGGAATATGGAGACTAAAAACCGACCGACTGATTCCTGACTGTGTTGATTCTTCCACATTCAAGCAGGAAGTCCGGAACACAGGAATGAGCCGCCACCTGAGGAAATACCACAACCCACTTCACTACACAACCCACTTCAATACACAGCCTAGGGCAGACGTGGGACCTGGGACAGCTGACCTTGTCCCTAATGAGAAAAGCCACATTAGGTCTCCAGTATTTGACTGTGAGGACAATGACTTATCTTTTCAAGGACTGTTACACCTCTTCACTCATTCTTGGAGTTGTTTCCTTGAAATGATGCGATTTATTATGAAAATCACTATTTTCATAATGATTTCTTAGCAAGAAACAAAGAAATCCTGACCACAATCATAGGTTATATTTTAAAATTCTTTAGTTTTGTAAATGAACATTTAAGTCATGACCTATTTCTGTATGTTTCATTTCTCCCCTTATTAGGGCTAGTACAGCAAGAACAAAAGTATCATATTATTGTGTTTAACTAGCTGATTTAGACCTTGACTTTGCTTTTAACGATACAAATACACAGCAGATTAGTATTTAGCCATACCCTGATAGGACTTGACCAGCCTCCCAGGTGGTGGGATCAGGCCAAGGTAGATAAACTATAGCAAATAAGAATGAACAGACTTTTCAGTCTCGTGGCAACCAATTTTATTATTATGCTTTGACCTGGCAGCTGGTAAGACTTTATATGAATTAACCAATGAAACTATGAAAAAACAAGATTAGTGGTTCTGAAATATGGTATTCAAATAGCAGTTAGAGAAAGCAGTTCATTTTCAAGGCTGCTTTCTTTTAAATAGGTACAAATAATTACAATAAAAAATAATAAAATCTTGTTTAAAAAGAACAGATCTCTAGTGAGCAAGTCACATACACCTGTCTATCTACCTTGGTCCTTGTCATATGTATATCTTCCATATTTATTGTACCAAAATAAAAAGGGGTGAGGAATTTTGTGGGAATAGGCCACTCAAAGCAAGCAGGCTTTCCATAAGACAACACTTAGTTGTTGTGGAATTATACTCAGTAAGACCACCTTAATCAAAGCACCTTATAATAAATACTCCAGAGGGTCAAAAGTGTTAACAAAACCATAAAAAAAAATAAAACCACATTGAATTACAGGCTTTCTGGCATAACAGCAGGGACAAGAACCACATGGGGCTTTCAACAGTTATGCGGCTCTCAGAGAAAAGTCAAAGTGTCTCATGAGAATGGCTTTGGCTGCCACATGTTGGATCTGGGGACTGAAGGACAGTATGATAATGAGGTGATCTTGAGTGGATGGCTAGAGATGTGATTAAAGGTCAACATGAAAACATAAGCAACTTCTTCATGACCTCTTAAGGGAAGGGATTATGCAGCAGAACAACTGCTGGTTCCAGAGTCCCACTTCCAGCTCTGCCACTAACTCTATGTGACTTTGACAAAGTGACTTAACCTCTCTGGAGTAAATTCCATTAACTATAAAAGACTAGAGTAAAATGAAATGTTCTCTAACTTCCTTCTAATTCTAATACTCCTTGGGTTTACAAATCTTCTCTTTTGGATACATGCACAATCACCAAAAATCAGCCATGGCTCAATCATTCTTTGGACATTTTCACCATCGATGCATTTCCTATGCATAAACATAAACTCCAGCTAGGGCTGCCAGACACAAAACAAGACATCCAGTTAAATGTGCATTTTGGATAAAGAACAATTTTTTAGTAAAAGTATGTCCCAAATAATGTATAAGATATAGGAAACAATTATTTAGTGTTTTTCTGCAATGCAAATTTAACTTTTTTTTAGTTTGCTAAATCTGGCACCCCACCTCCATCCCCACATTAGAATCAAAACTCTCACTCCACACACGGGAGGTTGGCTGACTAAAGCACTACATGGTAAACTTCTGTTTAAGGGCAACATATACAGACGAAAAACAAACAACCAAAAAAAAAAAAAAAACAGGAAAGGAGGAACAAAACTTTCAGCATTCCTCGTAAGAGAGGCATCTAATTTTACTTGACAATAAATAAAATATGAGTATTACTAGACCTCAATCATACAAGTACCTGCAAAACCAGAGAGTCCAAACAGAGCTGAATGCTCTCTACTCCACACACCTTACCCTACGAACATAAGTAAATTACAAACCCTTTATCTCTGCCTCCAGTTCAGGGCTCATGTCTGCACCTAGCTTAAGGGAAACCAAATCATAAACTCAAACTTCCTGACCAAGAGGCAGAAGAACAAATACAGTCCAAGAAAATCTGCAAGTGGCATAAAAAGTGAAGGCTATAGAAGGGAAAAATTACTCTCTTCAAGAACCAATCTTGTTTTAGCGATGGCAAGACAATTTCCCTTCTCAGGGGCCTGGCCAACATGGTGAAACCCCGTTTCTATTGAATAAATAAATAAGAAATGAATTTCCATTTTCTCAAATTTCCAAAAAACTTCACTCTTCTTAAATTAGCACAAGAGGCCAACACCCTGGAGATAGGCACTGAATGGCCCTGCCCAGTTTGCCCAGGATATAGACAGAGGGCTCCGGTCTGCCACTGTGGGAGGGACCAAAATCCTCACCTTTCTACTTATTTGACCTTTCCCTTTTTAAGGAAGATAAGACTATTATTTTTGGGAAAGTAGGACAGAAGACGAGAGACTTAGGAGATGTTGGTGTATCTATAGACATTGCTTCTCTTAGAAAAAAATGGATGGAATAGTGGGAAAGAAATAGCAGAACACTCTACAGACATACCATCCTGGATGTGCCCGATCTCCTCTGATCTTGGAAGCCAAGCAGGGTTGGGCCTGGTTAGTACTTGGATGGGAGAAATGGCAGAATGATCCCTATTGCTCTGTCTTCTGTTCCCTTTTTCATTAGTTCAACACATATCTCTTTGAGTGCTTAATATATGTCAGAAACCATTCTATGTGCTATGGACATCACAGTGAACAAGGCAGATTACTGGCCATCCTGGAGCTTGTCTTCTACCAGTGAAAGACAAATGTTGTGTGTGTGTGCTGGTCTGTGTATGACAGTTCTATAAATACTCGAAAGAAAACAAGGCAAGGTAAGGGGGCAGAAAATGATGGGATAGGTGAGGGATACTATTCTAGATGGAGTGGTCTAAGAAGGCCTCTCCAGAAAAATGACTTTTCACCTGAATGAAATAAATAAGAAAGCCATGCAGACATCTGAGGGGAAGAGCATTCCAGGCAGAGGAAACAAGTGCAAAGGTCCTGAGGTATGGCTGGAGCAGAGTCAGCAAAGGCAAGAGTGATAGCAGATGAAGCCGCACTCCATGCAAGGGTTGTATAGACCATGGTGAGGACTCTGTCACTTCTGAGATAAAAAGCCACTGGAGAGTTTCAAGCAGAGTGACATAATAGACTCTGGCTGCTGTGTTAAGAATAGAGTGTGGAGCAGTAAGGGTGGAAGCAGGGAAGCCCTTCAGAAGGCTTTTGCAGTAATCCAGGTGACAGAGATGATAGAACTTGGTGGAAGCAGCAGAAGTGGTGAGAAATGGTTATCATCCTAGATGTATTCTTTTTTTTTTTTTTTTTTTTTTTTTGAGACGGACTCACACTCTGTCGCCCAGGCTGGAGTGCAATGGCACGATCTTAGCTCACTGCAACCTCCGCCTCCTGGGTTCAAGCGATTCTCCTGCCTCAGCCTCCTGAGTAGCTGTGATTACAGGCACCCACCACCACGCCCCGCTAATTTTTGTATTTTTAGTAGATACAGGGCTTCACCATGTTGGCCAGCCTGGTCTTGAACTCCTGACCTCACGTGATCCACCTGTCTCGGCCTCCCAAAGTGCTGCGATTACAGGCGTGAGCCACCGCACCCGGCCTGCTGAGGAATTTAATGTGGGGTATAAGAGAAAGAATCAAGAGTGATTTCAGGGTGTTTGGTGTGAGCATCTGGAAGAGTGAAGTTGCCATTCACTAAGATGGAGAAGACTAGGGGAAAAGCAGCTTTGGGAGAGAAAACTCAAAAATCTGGCTCCTAGAGATTGTTGCTCACTTTAAAACCCTTACATCTATTTTAGAACCAAAACAATAGAAATTGAGAAGCTGACTTTAAATTTCATGTGGAAGGCCAGGCATGGTGGCTCATGCCTATGATCACAGCACTTTGGGAGGCTGAGGCAGACAGATCACCTGAGATCGGGAGTCCGAGACCAGCCTGACCAACATGGAGAAACCCTGTCTCTACTAAAAATATAAAATTAGCCAGGCATGGTGGCACATGCCCGTAATCCCAGCTACTCAGGAGGATGAGGCAGGAGAATCACTTGAACCAGGGAGGCGGAGGTTGCAGTGAGCTGAGATCGTGCCATTGCACTCCAGCCTGGTAAATAAGAGCAAAACTCCATCTCGAAAAAAAAAAAAAATTCATATGGAAATTCAAGGGACTGGATAGTCAAAACAATCTTGAAAAAGAACAAGGTTGGAGGACTCACATATCCTGATTTCAAAACACTATGTAGCTACAATAATCAAGGTAGTATGATACTAGCCTGAGGACAGACATACAGATCAATGGAATAGAACTGACAGTCCAGAAATAAACCTTTACATTCATGGTCAATTTATCTCAACAGAGGTGCCAAAACTATTCAAAGAGGAACAGTCTTTTAAACAAATGGTGCTGAAAGAACTGGATATCCACATGCAAAAAGTTGAAGTCAGACCCCCTGCCTCACACCATATTTAAAAATTAACTTAAAATGGGTCAAAGAATGAAATGTAAGAGCTAAAAACTATAAAACTTTTAGAAGAAAACATAAGTATAAATCTTCATGATCTTGAATTTGACAATGTTTTCTTAACTTTGACATCAAAAGCACAAACAACAAAAGGAAAAATAGGCTCGGTGCAGTGGCTCAAGCCTATAATCCCAGCACTTTGGGAGGCTGACGCAGGTTGATCACTTGAGGTCAGGAGTTCAAGACCAGCCTGGCCAACATAGCAAAACCCCGCCTCTACTAAAAATACAAAAATTAGCCAAGCATGGTAGCACACACCTGTAATTCCAGCTACTCTGGAGTCTGAAGCAAAAGAATCACTTCAACCCAGGAAGCGGAGGTTGCTGTGAGCCAAGATCATGCCACCGCATTCCTACCTGGGCGACAGAGTGAGACTCTGTCTCAAAAGAAAAAAAAGGAAAAATAGATTAAATATACTTCAACGAAATTAAAAATCAAGGCACGTCACAGAAATTAAGGAAGGAAGAAAAAAGGGAGGGAGGGAGGAAGAGAGAATGGTAGAAAGGAAGGAAGAAAAAAGTAGGAATGAAAACATAAAACAACATAAACCAACATAAAATACAGAAAATAATGATCCTCAGTCAAGTTCCTTCAGCATTATATTAACCTTTCTTCACTTCTAACCATCTGCAGAAACTGTTTTCCAGATTGTATTTTCCCTCTAAAGCAAGTTTTTAAGGCCGAAAAAAAAAAAAGAACAAGAACAGTGAGTGGAGAATCAACAAATTTAATTAGCAATGATTACAGAAAACTTAAATAGCACACACAACTCTATAATCCCTCTACCCCCAATTCCAACATCTGACTGATCAACCAACCATAAAATGTGAGAATCCATCCAGAAGGAAAGAACAGCTGTTAAGCTGTAGGGGTAAGGACCCTGTGGCAGAAGACCCTGAGGCCATGTGGGCCCAGGTGGCCAGCAGGAGCGGAAAGGCTGGGAAGGCTCCTCAGTCCAGGGCTCACAAGACTCCCTTCGCTTCAGGCCTGACTTTGCTGAACTGGTGATCTATTGGGACAGAGACAGGCTTTGGCAATAGTTACCAAAGCCTGTCATCATATCTGCACCACCACCAGTCCCGACCGGAGGGCCTGGCTGCCAGGTAGTTTTCAGTCTAACTGACAGGAGAAGAGAGAGCCCCTCCCTCGCAGCTAGTCTGCAGTCCAGACCCTCACCAACCGGAGGGCAACCAGGTTAAACAGTTAAACTGAAAGCAAAAGAGGGAGGAATGAACCGGGGGGCGTGCGGGAGGTCGGGGACTTTCCTCCTTTCCCTCCTGGAAAGTTTCCTACCCCTGATGGGCATCCTCCCACCTGGATGCAACCCGGAGGCGATCTGAGACCCTGGCCGGACCTGGGACCGCACCTGGCCAGCACCAGGCAGTTGTCATCACTGGGGTCTGCGCTGAGGGCCTGGGAGAGAAGCCACTCTTCAGGCGGGCTCGGGCGCCTGGAGGCGGGGAGGAAGGGCGGCGCACTCGGACCCCAGCCCTAGGACGGCCCCAGGGGGACGCCTCGCTCGGCCCTCCCGGAGGGACCGGACCCGCCGCGCGCCTCCCGCTCCTCAGGCCCCCTCACCTGGCTCGCCCCGCCGTCCTGTCCCCGCCTGGCTCGGGTCCTCGCGCGCCGCGTCCACCCGCCGCCGGCCTTTTTTGGGTCGTTGGCGGGTATTTTCCGCCTGGCCCCACATCACTTCCCGTAAAGGAGAGCGAGGTGGGGCGGGACCTTCTCTCCTCCACCTCCCGCCTTCTCCTGTCACCTCGGGAGCGGCCCCCGCCCGGCTGGCGGGGGGCGGGGTGCTGTCGCGCTCTCCCCGGCGGCCGCGCCTCCGAGGGGTCCTCTGTGAGCCCCGAAAAGGCCCCGCTCGCCTCCTTTGTCCCAACACTAGTTTCCGCTGCCCCATTCTGGAAGGCGCTACAAAATATAGGAGTGTTTTCGTTTTGGGACACAGGAGGGACATTTACAAACTGCACCAAGGACCGGTGCGCGGCGAGGTGTCGTTTGGGGACTCTCCCCTATTCACCTCCCCAAAAAGCCATGTTCTAAGGGTGTTTTCCACGGCATCAGTTCGCGGTCGCCACCGTAGCAGCCGGAGGTGCCGGGCGTACTCACGCCGGCCCCGCCCGAGGTTCCCGAGTCCGCGCGGCTCCTGAGGCGGCGTCCCAGGCCCGGCCCTGCCCCCGGCTTCCCGCCCCTGCGGCTCCTGGCTTAGGTCGGCCTGGACACGGCGTTTCCGGGGCAAGGGAATGCCCAGGATTCCTGGAAATAACATGGGAGAAAAATAAGTAAAAAATTTCGCAGGAAAAAAATCAATGTAATTCCGGGAGGAAATGGCAAACGGAGTCTCTGCTCACACTGTGTAATTCAAGAATATAAAACCACTGTAAATTTCTAAGAGTGTTAGAGCAATGAGTTTAAAAAGAAGAAAACTACAGTATGTTAAGGAACCGCCTCTGTCGGAAGAAACCTGCGCGCCTTTGCTGCCACCCAGCGGCTCTCTTCTCCCAGCGCCAACGGTGTCGCTCCGGCCTGCGGGGTAGTGAACCTGGGACTGCGTAGGGGGTCAGACCTCGTGGTTCCCACTCAGAGGCAGCCAAGTTCATCCCTCTCAGTGGCCAGGAGGTGTGAACAGCAGCCCTTGGGCCTGTCCCTATGGAGTCTAAGGCAAAGGCCCTTTGAACCAAATGTTTCCACTTCTAAGCAGAGTAAAATGTTGAGAAGCCTTAGTTCAGCTTCCCTTCTGCCTTCTAAGCCGTCTCGCTGACTTGTGTCTACCTCCACCGCAAATTCCAGCTGTCGCAGGCCCACCCGGTCAACTCCATCACCTTTCCAGTCTGTAGCTACTCACAGTTGGCATTACAGCAGTTAGCTTCTCAGGTGGGTCCAATTTACAAAATCACATATAGGATGAACCATATGAAATTACAAACAGTTGGCAATTTCATACATTTGATATAACATTTCCAGGCAAACATAACACAGTAAACTCGGGTTTAGAGATAACAAATGTCCTAACAGGTTGATAACTTCAAGAGCTCTTCCCGTGTGAGAGAAGGGCCATCAGACTGTTGGTGAGGTTAAGAGAGAAAAAGGCCGGGTTAGGTGGCTCACGCCTGTAATCCCAGCACTTTGGGAGCCCGAGGCCGGCAGATCACGAAGTCAGGAGATCGAGACCATCCTGGCTAACACGGTGAAACCCCGTCTCTACTAAAAATACAAAAAATTAGCAGGGCGTCGTGGCACGCGCCTGTAGTCTCAGCTACTTAGGAGGCTGAGGGCAGGAGAATCGCTTGAACCCGAGAGGTGGAGGTTGCAATGAGCCGAGATGGCGCCACTGCACTCCAGCCTGGGCGACCGAGCGAGACTCTGTTTCAAAAAAAAAAAAAAAAAAAAAAAAAAAAAAAAAGGGAAAAGGTAGCCTCATGTTCATGTCCAGAGGAATAGTCCTGGGAATCACTGATCAGCTAAAATCTGGGAAACCAATAATGTAGTAATTGCTAATGGCTGATATGGCACAGGGAAAGCCTGCCTTCAGCTTTCCCCACTCCTGTGGCCAGGCAAGGCTCTCACCAGGAGTATACCAGACAGGAGATCAGAAAACCTAGGATGGTGCTATGGCCCATTCATCACCCATTCATTCACTCATTCATCAAGTCAGGCACCCTATTAGTAAACAAGGTAAACTGGTCCCTGACGTCAGGACTTACTTGAGAGACCATCGAATAAGTAGGCAACTCCAGTAGTGAGATAAGAGCCTCAATAAAGGAAGTTAAAGAGTGTTATTGGAGCACAGATAAATGACACCAAATCAAGAGAAAGTTAAGGATAAACTTAGAATGAATGAGGGCAAGGGGCAAGGGAGAAGAGAATTCCAGGAAAATGGAGCAGAGGGAAGGCCTGGAAGCAAAAGATAGCATTCAACACTGGAGCAACAGGAAGAGGTTCAGAAAAGCTGAAAGACTGAAAGCAATCAGAAAAGAAAATGGAGAAATAACAGAGGCTGTGCGGTGAATAACCCTGCAATGATGATCATGATCATAACTAACATTTCTTGATCATTTACTATGAGTCAGCCAATATGCTAATAGTTTTGACTACATCACCTCATACGTGTCTTACAACTACTTTATGAAGTAGGTACTATTCTTACCTCTGTATTACAGATGAGGAAACTGAGTCCTAAAGCGATTAAGCAGTCTGACCAAGATCATGCAGCTAATAAGTGGCACAGCCAGGCCTAAAACTCAGAACTCAAGTTTTTAATGGTTCTAAGAATGGGTCTGAGAGGTCAATTAGCACGCTGTAATCCAAGTGAGGGATAATAGCGATCTGATTACGGCAGTGGCCATAAGGATGGAGATGAATGGACATATTTGACATATTTAGGAGAGTGAATCAAGAGGACTGGGATGTAGGGGTGTGAAAGAGAGGCAGTAGTCCATGGGGATGCCCAGTTTCTGGTTTGGGCAACAAGAAACCATTAAGCAACAGGAAGAAAACCTAGTTGCAACCAGGAGGAAGGGTGAAATAGGCCATAGTGATGAGTTTAGGACATTTCCATTTTGACACACTAGCACCAACAGAATATCCAAGTGAAGCTGTTTAGTATGTAGTCAAACAGGCCTATCTGAAGCACAGAAAACATGTGCTGTAGCTATTACCCAAAAGGTACTGGAAGGCATTAGAATCAATGAGCTAATCTAGAAAGTGAGCTGAGAGGGCAATAGGCTTGTTACAGAACCCAGATGAACACCCAGCATTTAAGGCATGAGCAATGGAAGTTCAAAAAGGAATCCAAAAAAAGAGTATCCAGAGAGGTAGGAAGAAAACAAGGAGAGTGTTATTACAGAAACTAAGTACACTGAACACATCTCGTGTGTCAGTTCAAAGTCATCTCTACGCCACTTCTTACTGCAGCCACAGAATCGATCACAGTATACCTCTTGCTTCCCACACTGGGGCTTTTCTGACACTGCTACTTGCAACATGGAGAGTTCTGCCTCCAGTTTTCCTAATAGAATTAAAGTGGATGGAATCAGTAAGAATTCATGGATTTTAATAAATAAATATAGATATATGTATGTGTATATGTATGTATTATCTAGCTCTGTCTGCTAAGAGGTCCTAGAAGCAATTATATCAAAGTAGCTACGAGTACACTTAGCACCTGGATGTTGATTTCTTAATATCCCTTTCCAACAAAAGGAACCAATTACATAATATTATATATGGAAAATCCTAAATAAAAAATCTATTAGTGCTAATAAATGAAATAAGCAAAGATGCAAGATACTAGATCAACACATAAAAATCAGTTGCATTTCAATGTATTAGAAATGAACAATTGAAAAGGAAACTTTAAAAGTTCCATTTACAATAATATCAAAAAGAATAAAATACCTAGGCATAAATTTAACCAAGAAGGTGCAGGATTTATACATTGAAAACCACAAACCACTACTGAAAAAAAAAGAAAATCTAAATAAATGAAAAGACATGGCCAGGCGCGGTGGCTCACGCTTGTAATCCCAGCACTTTGGGAGGCTGAGGCGGGTGGATTACCTGAGGTCAGGAGTTTGAGACCAGCCTGGCCAACTTGGCGAAACCCGTCTCTACTAAAAATACAAAATTTAGCCGGGCGTGGTGGTGGGTGCCTGTAATCCCAGCTACTCGGGTGGTTGAAGCGGGAGAATTGCTTGAACCCGGGAGGTGGAGGTTGCAGTAAGCCGAGATCGTGCAACTGCACTCCAGCTTGGGTGATGAGTGAAACTTCTCAGATAAAAAAAAAAGAAAAGAAAATACATTTAATGTTCATGGAATCAAACACATAATATTGTGAAGATGGCTATATTCCCCAGATAGAGCTACAGATTCAACAACATTTTTGAAGAAATGGAAAAGTGTATGCTAAAATGCATATGAAATTGCAAAGGACCCAAAAATTTAAAAAGTTCATGCTTCCTGATTTCAAAATGTACTACAAAGGTATAGTAATTAAAAAAAAAACCTATGGTATTGATATAAAGACATATAGATAAGTGGAATAGGCTTGAGAGTCTAGAAATAAAATTATGCATCTATAGTCAAGATCTTTCAATGGAGAAAGAAGTTTCCTCAGCAAATGGTACTGGGAGAACTGGATATCTACATGCAAAAGAATGAAACTGAGGCCTGGCGCGGTAGCTCACGCCTGTAATTTCAATACTTTGGGAGGCCAACATAGGTAGAGCCCTTGAGCTCAGGAATTCCAGACCCAACTGGGCAACATGGTGAAACCCTGTCTCTACTAAAAATAGAAAAATTAGCCAGACGTGGTGGCTTGCACCTGTAGTCCCAACTACTCGGGAAGCTGAGATGGGAGGATCGCTTGAGCCCAGGAAGCGGAGGTTGCAGTGAGCCAAGATCGTGCCACTACACACCAGCCTGGGCAACAGAACAAAACCCTGTCTCCGAAAAAAAAAAAAAAAAAAAAAAAAGGAAGAAGAATAAGGAATTGGACTCTTACCAATACCATATATAAAATTACATGATACACAAAAATTAACTCAAAATGAATCAAATAGCTGAATATAAGAACTAAAACTCTAAAACTTTTAGAGGAAAACATAGGCATCAATCTTTATGACCCTGGGTTTGGCAATGATATTTCTTAGATTTGACACCAAAAGCACAAGCAACAGAAGAAAAGAGTAGATTAATTAGACTTCACCAAATTTTTTGTAAATGGTGCATAAAAGCACACTATCAACAGAGTGAAAACACAACCTACAGAATGAGAGAAAATATTTGCAAATCATATATATCTGATAAAATTATAGTATCAGAATATATAAAGAGCTGTAACTACTCAACAACAAAAAGACATAATCCAATTAAAAAGTGGGCATATGAATACAATTGAATATACATTTCTCCAAAAAAGACATAAAAATGGCCAACTTCAAATGAAAAGATGTTTAATGTCATTAGTCATTAAGAAAATGTGAATCAAAATCACAATGAGCTGCCACTTCAAACTCACTAGGTTGGAAAGAAAGAAAAAGCAAGAGAAAGAGAAAGAAGGAAGGAGAAGGAAAGGGAGGGAGGAAAGAAGGGTGATTTGGCAAGGACATGGAGAAACTGGGAATGTAAAATAGTGCAATCACTTTGAAAAAGTTTGGTGAGTCTTCAAAAAGTTAAACAGATGACCTAGCAAGCCTATTCCTAGAACTATGCCTAAAAGAACTGAAAACAAGCATCCAAACAAATATTTAATACTTGTACATAAGTGTTCATAGCAGCATTATTTACAACAGCCCAGAACTGGAGACAAATGGCCACCAAGGAATGAATAAACAAAATGTGGCACATCCATATAATGGGATTTTATTCAGCCATAAAGAGGAATAAAGTATTGATACATGTTACAACGTGGATGAACTTCAAAAACATTACACTAAGTGAAAGAAGTCAAACACAGAAGGTCACATATTGTATAATTCCACTTATATGAAACATCCACAGCAGGTAAATCCATAGAGACAGAAAGCAGACTAGTGGTTTCCAGAGGCTAGGGAGAGGGAGAAATGAGGTGTTGACTGCTTATTGCACACGAGGTTTCCTTCTGAGGTGATGAAACTGTCTTGGAACTAGATAGAAGTGGTATTTGCACAACATTGTGAATGTACAAAATGTCACAGAATTGTACACTTTAAAATGGCCAAGACTAATTTTTTGTGATGCAGATTTTGCTTCAATTTTTTTTTTTTAAAAGAACCAATACTTTTTTTTTTTTTTTGAGATAGAGTTTCACTCTTTCACCCAGGCTAGAGTGCAGCGGTGTGACCTCGGCTCACTGCAACCTCCGCCTTCCGGTTTCAAGCGATACTCCTGCCTCAGCCTCTCGAGTAGCTGGGACCACAGGCACCCGCCACCATGCCCAGTTGTTTTTGTATTTTTAGTAGAGACGGGGTTCCACCATGTTGGCCAGGCTGGTCTCGAACTCCTGACCTTGGGATCCAACCACCTTGGCCTCCCAAAGTGCTGGGATTACAGGTGTGAGCCACCGTGCCCAGCCCCAGTACTTCTTGATTCAAAACTTGGTGTGGGGCCTGACGCGGTGGCTCACACCTGTAAGCCCAGCACTTTGGGAGGCCGAGGTGGGCAGTCTGGAGTTCCAGACCAGCCTGGCCAACAGGGTGAAAACCCGTCTCTACTAAAAATACAAAAATTAGCTGGGCGTGGTGGCACATGCCTGTGGTCCCAGCTACTCGGGAGGCTGAGGCATGAGAATCACTTGAACCCGGGAGGCAGAGGTTCCAGTGAGCCTAGATGCCTAGATCGTGCCACTGCACTCCAGCTTGGGCAATAGAGCAAGACTCCATCTCAAAAACAAAAAAACAAAGAAAAACAAAACTTGGTCTGGGAAGGAAAAAGATGAGCCAGAAAGTAAAAGAGTGCTCAGAAAATGACAGTGACATGCAAAGGACACAGGATCCATCCTGAGGGAGGACTATTCCTCAGTTAAAGACTTATTTATTTTTAATTAGACTATAATTTTGCTTTTTTTTTGGCACAATGGAGCATGCTGAGAGCCTGGAGCCTCTGATGACATGTGGGTCTGAGGCCTGCTGCTGCCTATTCCCTACCGCCGGTCCCATGGTCCCTGCCCAGCTTTGCATTCCCTGCCTTGCTTCAGAGCAGTGACTGGGTCACCTTGGCTAGGGGAGGCCCACGTTTTGTCATCACCTTCCACCCTGGCAGAAACCTAGGTATGGATAGGTGCAGGAGGGTTCAGGGTTGGGCCCATATCCCAGGGCACTGTCAACCTAAAAAAAAGACATCAGAAAAAAATATTTCATAATATAATTATTTTATCTGGGAGTAAGCAAAAAGGATTATAACCTGGGATGCACAGTTATAGCAAGCCACAAATGCATCCAGAGAGGGGAGGGTAAAGGGAAGCCTTTATCGGTACAACAGAGAAGTTCATGTAAGCTACTTAGAAACAGTTTATTGGTACCAGAGGCTCAAAGCCAGAGTTACTAGTAGATCACTGGTAGAGAAGCCATTATCAGGCAAGCCTTCTTTTGAGATCATCTTATCTGAATTGCTGCAGTCCTAAAAAATGTCTAGTAAGAAATTGTGTCAAAGAAATACGTGCATGTGTGTGAAACATGCAAGCCGTGCAAAGCATAAGATGCATGAAGGACATGAGAGAATTTCTTGTGGGTTATTGCCTGGAAACAGCTTTTAGCTGTAGACATGCAAGCATGAGCTCCTCTCCTTTGTGCTCTCCTAGCTCCAATTTGTCTGGGTCTGAGTAAAGTGGACTTTATCCTGTAACTGCAACTTTCATAGCACCATGGGGTGATCAAGAAGGCAGCTGTCCCCTCCCTAATCTGACAGTAGCACAGCACATTCTGCAGGCCATTCAGCTGGGGCCTCTTACCAGTGCCATCCAACAACTGAGAACAAACCAGCATGGAAGGTACAGTTCCCTGGGCATTGTCCATTTGCATTGACTGGAACAGCCAGTTTATGAGAAGAGGAAATTGGCTTCCTTGTCCCCACCCAGGGCCCTGCATTTTCATTTGTGCTGGGCCCCACAAATTACGCAGCCAGCCCTGATAGTAGTAATGGATTGTAACCCACAAAATAGGAATCCATGAATCATGCTAGTACATCATTTCTGTATATTTCTACCAAATTGAATCTATGAAATAATAAAAAACCATCAACAAACCCAATTTAATAGACATTCTACAACACAGCAGGCCAGCATTCTTAAAAAATCCCAGTTGTGGCCAGGCACAGTGGCTCATGCCTGTAATCCCAGCACTTTGGGAGGCCGAGGTGGGCATATCATGAGGTCAGGAGATCGAGACCGTCCTGGCTAACACAGTGAAACCCCGTCTCTACTAAAAAAAATACAAAAAATTAGCTGGGCATGGTGGCAGGCAACTGTAGTCACAGCTACTTGAGAGGCTGAGGCAGGAGAATGGTGTGAACCCGGGAGGCAGAGCTTGCTGTCAGCCAAGATTGCACCACTGCACTCCAGCCTGGATGACAGAGCAAGACTCCGTCTCAAAAAAAAAAAAAAAAAAAGTCAGTTGTGGGCCGTATTGGGGAACCTGCCCCGATAGTCACATAGGTTCTTTTCTACTTTCCCTAAGCATCGGCCAGCTTGAGAAATAAAGGGACAGAGTACAAAAGAGAGAAATTTTAAAGCTGGGCGACCGGGGGAGACATCACATGTCGGTAGGTTCCGTGATGCCCCACGAGCTGCAAAAACCACCAAGTTTTTATTAGGGATTTTCAAAAGGGGAGGGAGTGTGTGAATAGGTGTGGGTCACAGACATCAAGTACTTCACAAAGTAATAGAATATCACAAGGCAAGTGGAGGCAGGGCGAGATCACAGGACCACAGGACTGGGGTGAAATTAAATTTGCTAATGAAGTTTCAGGCACCAGTGTCACTGATAACATCTTATCAGGAGACAGGGTTTTGAGAGCAACCAGTCTGACCAAAATTATTAGGCGGGAGTTTCTTCTTCCTAATAAGCCTGGGAGCGCTATGGGAGACTGGGGTCTATTTCACCCCTACAGTCTACAGGCCATAAAAGATGGGCACACCCAGGGGGGCCGTCTATAGACCTATACCCCCAGGTGCGTATTCTCTTTCCCAGGGATGTTCCTTGCTGAGAAAAAGAATTCAGCAATATTTCTCCCATTTGCTTTTGAAAGAAGAGAAATATGGCTCTGTTCTGCCTGGCTCACCAGCAGTCAGAGTTTAAGGTTATCTCTCTTAATCCCTGAACAATTGCTGTTATCCTGTTCTTTTTTCAAGGTGCCCAGATTTCATATTGTTCAAACACACATGCTGTATAATTTGTGCAGTTAATGCAATTATTACAGGGTCCTGAGGTGACATACATCCTCCTCAGCTGACAGGATTAAGAGATTAAAGTAAAGACAGGCATAGAAAATCACAACGGTATTGATTGGGGAAGTGATAAGTGTCCATGAAATTGTCACAATTTATGTTTAGAGATTGCAGTAAAGACAGGCACAAGAAATTATAAAAGTATTAATTTGGGGAACTAATAAATGTCCATAAAATCTTCACAATCCACGTTCTTCTGCCATGGCTTCAGCCGGTCCCTCCATTTGGGGCCCCTGACTTCCCGCAACAGGGCCGGCCACGGTGCCTCATGCCTGTAATCCCAGCACTCTGGGAGGCCAAGGTGGGTGAATCACCTGAGGTCAGGAGTTCAACACCAGCCTGGCCAACATGGCAAAACCCCGTCTCTACTAAAAATACAAAAATTAGCCGGGCATTGTGGCTCACACCTGTAATCCCAGCTACTCGGAAGGCTGAGGCAGGAGAATTGCTCCAACCCAGGAGGCTGAGTTGCAGTGAGCCAAGATCACACCACTGCACTCCAGCCTAGGTGACACAGTGAGAATCTGTCTCAAAAAAAAAAAAAAAAAAAGTCAGTTGTGAAAGGCAGTGACTGAGAAACTGGCTCCAGAATAAAGGAAACAAGAGACATGACAACTAAATTCAAATATGATTCTGGATTAGTTCTGGGACCAGAAAAAAACAAGTTTATCTTATTCTAAAGGACATTAATGGGACTTGGGAGAATTTGGATGATACATGAAATTAGATAATAATGTTATAGCAATCCTAATTTCTTTTTTTTTCTTTTTTTTTTTTGAGATGGAGTCTCACTCTGTCACCCAGGCTGGAGTGCAATGGCGCGATCTCAGCTCACTGCAAGCTCCGCCTCCTGGGTTCATGCCATTCTTCTGCTTCAGCCTCCCAAGCAGCTGGGACTACAGGCGCCCGCCACCACACCCGGCTAATTTTTTGTATTTCTAGTAGAGACGGGGTTTTACCACGTTAGCCAGGATGGTCTCGAGCTCCTGACCCCGTAATCCGCCCGCCTCGGCCTCCCAAAGTGCTGGGATTACAGGCATGAGCCACCGCGCCTGGCCAATCCTAATTTCTTGATCATTATATTGTGATTATGAAAGAAAGTATCTTTGTATTTAGGAATGAAATACTCAGGAACAAAAGGGCAACCTGCGTATGACTTACTCTCAAAAGATTCATGAAAATTATAATATGCTTGCGTGTGTGTATATATAAGTATACATAGACTGTCATGGGAAGCAAGTCGGGAGTGCAACCAGGGTGTCTTGACCCAGAGAGATCTGTGGTGATGGCAAACAGATACGGTATTCTGAAAGGAAAGACAAAAGGGGTGTTTCTTGGCCAGGCTTCATGGCTCACACCTGTAATTTCAGCACTTTGGGAGGCTGAGGTGGGCAGATCACCTGAGGTCGGGAGTTTGAGACCAGCCTGACCAACATGGAGAAACCCCGTCTCTACTAAAAATACAAAATTAGCCAGGCATAGTGGTACCTGCCTGTAATCCCAGCTACTCAGGAGGCTGAGGCAAGAGAATCGCTTGAACCCGGGAGGTGGAGGTTGCAGTAAGCCGAGAGTGTGCCATTGCACCCCAGTCTGGGCAACAAGAGCGAAACTCTGTCTCCAAAAAAAAAAATGGGGAGGGTGTTTCTTGACTTACATATAGTTTTCATAAAGGCAGGGGGCGAGGGCAGGATGGTAGGAAATCAAGAACTAGTGGATAGAAGGCTGATGTCAGTCTCTACAATGGAAATCATGGTCCCTCACAAGTTTACTGATCTAAGTCATTTCACAGACTTCATAGACTTAGAGCCCAGTGATTTAAATAGCTGTATCCACCCCTGGGGAAGGACTCTTCAATGCCACAAAAATATGCAATAACCATTCTCTTGCTCTTTTTCTCAAGAGACCCAAAGCCATTAACCAGGCAGATGTGCACTGGGGAAAGAAAAATACTCAGACTTTGATGGCCACTGGATACAGGCCCTAAGTTGACACTGGTACAAGCAGACTAGAAAATGCCACCGTGACCTTTCAGTTAAGAGTGGGAGTTCATGGAGGTTAAAGGATGAATGCAGCTTTGGACCAAACTAATCTAACAGGACCCACTTTGCAGGACTTTTTTCTCCTGGGCTCAAGCGATTCTCCTGCCTTAGCCTCCCAAATAGCTGGGATCACAGGCACAAACTACCACGCTCGGCTAATTTTTCTATTTTTGGTAGAGACAGGTTCAACATATTGGCCATTAAAATGTCATTTAAAATGACAATTTAAAAAATAGATGGATTATAGACTACCACAAGAGCAAAAAAACACTGGTCTGCCTTAACTGCAGCTGCTAGTTTGGATGCAGTATCATATTTTAATGACAGCTTTGAGATATAACTCACACACAATAAAGTTCACCCCTTAAAAGTGTACAATTCAGTGGTTTGCATGCAGTGTCTTTATGACAGCTTTGAGATATAATTCACACACAATAAAGTTCACCCTTTAAAAGTGTATGATTTGGTGGTTTTTAATATATTCACAAAGTTATACATTGATCACCACTATCTACTTCCAGAACATTTTCATCACCCTAAAAATCTTTTTTTTTTTTTTTTTTTGAGGCGGAGTCTCACTGTTTCCCAGGCTGGAGTGCAGTGGCATGATCTTGGCTCACTGCATCCTCCAGCCCCCTGGGTTCAAGCAATTCTCCTCCCTCAACGTCCTGAGTAGCTGGGACTACAGGCGTGTGCCACCATACCTTGCTAATTTTTGTATTTTCAGTAGAGATAGGGTTTCACCGTGTTGGCCAGGCTGGTCTTGAACTCCTGACCTCATGTGATCCACCCACCTCTGCCTCCCAAAGCATTGGGATTATAGACATGAGCCACCATGCCCAGTTCATCACCCTAAAAATAATCCCCACGGCCGGGGGCAGTGGCCTGGCCAATATGGTGAACCTGTCTCTACCAAAAATAGAACAATTAGCCGACCATGGTAGTTTGTGCCTGTGATCCCACCTATTCGGGAGGCTAAGGCAGGAGAATCGCTTGAACCCGGGAGGCAAAGGTTGCAGTGAGTCAAGATCACACCACTGCACTCCAGCCTGGGTGACAGAGGGAGACTCTGTCTCAAAAAAAAAAAAAAAAGTCAGAGTGAGACCTCATCTCAAAAACAACAACAACACCCGCCGCCACGCCTGACTGGTTTTGGTGGAGACGGGGTTTCGCTGTGTTGGCCGGGCCGGTCTCCAGCCCCTAACCGCGAGTGATCCCGCCAACCTCGGCCTCCCGAGGTGCCGGGATTGCAGACGGAGTCTCGTTCACTCAGTGCTCAATGGTGCCCAGGCTGGAGTGCAGTGGCATGATCTCGGCTCACTACAACCTACACCTCCCAGCCGCCTGCCTTGGCCTCCCAAAGTGCCGAGATGGCAGCCTCTGCCCGGCCGCCACCCCGTCTGGGAAGTGAGGAGCGTCTCTGCCTGGCCGCCCATCGTCTGGGATGCGAGGAGCCCCTCTGCCTGGCTGCCCAGTCTGGAAAGTGAGGAGCGTCTCCGCCCGGCCACCATCCCATCTAGGAAGTGAGGAGCGCCTCTTCCCAGCCGCCATCACATCTAGGAAGTGAGGAGCGTCTCTGCCCGGCCGCCCATCGTCTGAGATGTGGGGAGCGCCTCTGCCCCGCCGCCCCATCTGGGATGTGAGGAGCACCTCTGCCCGGCCGAGACCCCGTCTGGGAGGTGAGGAGCATCTCTGCCCGGCCGCCCCGTCTGAGAAGTGAGGAGACCCTCTGCCTGGCAACCACCCCGTCTGAGAAGTGAGGAGCCCCTCCGTCCGGCAGCTGCCCCGTCTGAGAAGTGAGGAGCCTCTCCGCCCGGCAGCCACCCCATCTGGGAAGTGAGGAGCATCTCCGCCCGGCAGCCACCCCGTCCAAGAGGGAGGTGGGGGGGGGTCAACCCCCCGCCCGGCCAGCCGCCCCATCCGGGAGGGAGGTGGGGGATCAGCCCCCCCGCCCGGCCAGCCGCGCCATCCGGGAGGGAGGTGGGGGGGTCAGCCCCCCGCCTGGCCAGCCGTGCCGTCCGGGAGGGAGGTGGGGGGGTCAGCCCCCCGCCCGGCCAGCCGCCCCGTCCGGGAGGTGAGGGGCGCCTCTGCCCGGCCGCCCCTACTGGGAAGTGAGGAGCCCCTCAGCCCGGCCAGCCGCCCTGTCCGGGAGGGAGGTGGGGGGGTCAGCCCCCCGCCTGGCCAGCCGCCCCGTCCGGGAGGGAGGTGGGGGGGTCAGCCCTCCGCCCGGCCAGCCGCCCCGTCTGGGAGGTGAGGGGCGCCTCTGCCCGGCCGCCCCTACTGGGAAGTGAGGAGCCCCTCTGCCCGGCCAGCCGCCCCGTCCGGGAGGGAGTTGGGGTGTCAGCCCTCCGCCCGGCCAGCCGCCCCGTCTGGGAGGTGAGGGGCGCCTCTGCCCGGCCGCCCCTACTGGGAAGTGAGGAGCCCCTCTGCCCGGCCAGCCGCCCCGTCCGGGAGGGAGGTGGGGGGGTCGGCCCCCCGCCCGGCCAGCCGCCCCGTCCGGGAGGGAGGTGAGGGGGTCGGCCCCCCGCCCGGCCAGCCGCCCCGTCCGGGAGGGAGGTGGGGGGGGTCAGCCCCCCTGCCCGGCCAGCCGCCCCGTCCGGGAGGTGAGGGGCACCTCTGCCCGGCCACCCCTACTGGGAAGTGAGGAGCCCCTCTGCCCGGCCAGCCGCCCCGTCCGGGAGGGAGGTGGGGGGGTCAGCCCCCCGCCCGGCCAGCCGCCCCGTCCGGGAGGGAGGTGGGGGGGGTCAGCCCCCCTGCCCAGCCAGCCGGCCCGTCCGGGAGGTGAGGGGCGCCTCTGCCCGGCCGCCCCTACTGGGAAGTGAGGAGCCCCTCTGCCCGGCCACCACCCTGTCTGGGAGGTGTGCCCAACAGCTCATTGAGAACAGGCCAGGATGACAATGGCGGCTTTGTGGAATAGAAAGGCGGGAAAGGTGGGGAAGAGATTGAGAAATCGGATGGTTGCCGTGTCTGTGTAGAAAGAGGTAGACATGGGAGACTTTTCATTTTGTTCTGCACTAAGAAAGGTTCCTCTGCCTTGGGATCCTGTTGATCTGTGACCTTACCCCCAACCCTGTGCTCTCTGAAACATGTGCTGTGTCCACTCAGGGTTAAATGGATTAAGGGCGGTGCAAGATGTGCTTTGTTAAACAGATGCTTGAAGGCAGCATGCTCGTTAAGAGTCATCACCACTCCCTAATCTCAAGTACCCAGGGACACAAACACTGCGGAAGGCCGCAGGGTCCTCTGCCTAGGAAAACCAGAGACCTTTGTTCACTTGTTTATCTGCTGACCTTCCCTCCACTATTGTCCCATGACCCTGCCAAATCCCCCTCTGTGAGAAACACCCAAGAATTATCAATAAAAAAATAAATTTAAAAAAAAGAAAAAAAAAAGTCATCTCCACTAGTAATCATTCTCCATCCCCCCTTCATTCAACCCCTGTCAGCCACTAATCTACTTTCTGTCTCTAGACATTTACCTGTTCTAGACATGTCATACAAATGAAAACATACCAATAGGTGCCATCTTGTGCATGGCTTATTTCGTAATGTATTCTAATTTTTTCCATGTTATAGCACATACTTCATTTATCTTCTTGGCTGAATAATATTCCATTATACGGAAATACCACTTATTTATCCATTCATCAGTTAATGGACACTTGGGTTTTTTCCACTTTTTGGCTATTATGAATAATGTGATGAACATTCATTTACCAGCTTTAGTGTGAACATATATATATATATATATGGTGTGTGTGTATTTTGTTTGGTTTTGTTTTTGCAGTTGCAAGATTTCATAGAGTGAAAACGGAGCTCCCATACAAAGGGAGGGGACCCAAAGAGGGTAGCAGTTGCTGGCTGGAATGCCTGAGTTTATATCCCAATCATTGTCCTTCCCACTGTGCTCTCAGGCGATAGATGATTGGCTATTTCTTTTCCTCCTGTTTTTGCCTAATTAGCATTTTAGTGAGATCTCTTTACTACCTGATTGGTCAGGTGTGAGCTAAGTTGCAAGCCCCATGCTTAAAGGTGGATGCAGTCACCTTCCCAGCTAGGCTTAGGGATGCTTAGTCAGCCTAGGAAATCCAGCTAGCCCTGTCTCTCAGTCCCTACTCCACAGGAAAACCCAAGTGCTTTTGGGGAGGTTGGCCGACAACCATTCTAACTGCTTCCTGCTGAACTGGGGCATGGTAGGGGCTGTGCAGTTGAGATTTCCTCGGGAGAGGTGACTTTGATGTCATTAACATTGGAGCATGGGCTAGCAGGCTGGTCCAGGGGTCCACGGTAGATCTTAGTCATGGACTGCATCTGGGGCTCCATTTGAAGAACCATTTGTAGCTTTACAGCTTCGATTCTGGAAGAGACAAACTTAACAAGGAGGTTAAAGATACAGGGTCCAAAGAGGAGTAACAATATTATAGCTGCTAGAGGTCCCAAGAAGGGGAGAATCCAGAGCATCCATTGGCTGAGGAGGCCCCAAGTCCGGTGTTTTGAAGCTCCTCTGCTCTACGTTGTATTTGATCTTGAATTTAACTTTCTTGGTGACAATTCCAGATTGATTAACATAATAACAGCATTCTTCTCCTAAAAATAAACAGATTCCCCCTCTTTCAGTGGTTAGCAAGTCTAAAACTCTTTGATTTTGAAGGACTACTGCTGCTAGGAAGTTAAGTTGATCTTGCTCGGTGACCAGGGAATCGGCGACCTGTTCCATGTCACCATTTATTTCTTGAAATAGTTTGTAGTAGAACTGAGTACAGGTTGTGATACCGCCAGTGCCAGTACCTATTCCGCCTAGCACTCCTGCTCCAATAACAAAAGGAAGAATGGGTACTCTTTTGTTGCAGGGGTTAGGTATGACATGATTGTATGAATCTTGTTCAGTGTAGATGGTCATGGGGGGCACTAAGAATGACAGGAAGCACATAGATTCTGAAGAGCCATTCAAACAACAATAGGCTGAGGTACCACAGACAAAAAATATTCCTGAGGGTAGGCAGACTATTCGTGGGGGGGAGTTACCCACCTGATGCATTGGGAGTTGGTTGTGTCTATCGTATTGCTAAATTTTACACAGGTGAGGTTTGAGGTATGGGTTATTTCCAGATTGGAAACAAGAGGTCCTACTAAAACGGAAGTGGTGTTTATGTGTTGAAGTTGTTCCCTTGTTCAGGTACAGGGATTGAAATGTATGGCCTTAAGTGCAGAGGGAGGCACATCCAACAGTTAGTAGGGTTTTGGGCCGAGACCTCATGAAACCCAGTGAGGGTGGTATTAAATAGGCTTACCAGGCGAGTATGGGTACGGAGGGTTTCATGTAGTTTTGAGAGATCTAGTCCTTTGTAGGGGCTAGGCGTGCTATGTACTCAGGTCAGTTGGGAGATTACTTCCTTTACGTGTTTTTCTCTTGCCTGATCTTGAACTCCACCCCTATCAGACATACCAGTATGGGTGAACTAAGTCCAACAGACAGTGGCTCCAAGTCCTCCAGGACAACTAGGATTAATCATTTTCCCTGTCCAATAATGAGTATTTGCATGCATGCAAAGAGTGGCAGAGTTATAGCAGTTGTGGGGCATATGGGTGTGGGCGGTGAAGGCGGGGTTTCCCTTAGATAAACTCCTATACGATGGGGCATCAATATGTCTGGGACGCCGCATTCTCCATAGAAACGCTTGGTAAGGGGAGCTACTGGTCCTACAGTGGCATGGAGAGGGTGCAGTGAGACTGAAAGGTGGTGAGAGAACAGTAAAGAGAAAAATACAATAAGGGAGGGCCATGGGGATTTACGATTTTAGTTACTTTCCTCACGGTTGTTGCTTGAAGAGCAGGCACAGATCCTCTAGAGGTTCAAAGAAATAGCTAGCGTTGTCTCCTGGATTTTCGGGTTCCTTCGGCAGTATCCAGGGTTTGATTCGAGTGTGATGTATCCAAGACTCCACTCCAGCCACTTTAACCGCAGTTGGGATAGATAAAATGACTGGGTAGGGTCCTCCCCAGGATGTGTCTAGGGATGGGGAATTAGAGGGAAGGGACTTGACTAATACCATGACACCAGGGTGGAATATTTCTTTTCCCTCCTCTCGGGGACAGGCTCCTTGTAATGTTTTAAGAACTTGTTGATATTTGGCTAAGGAGGTGATGTCTGCAACTAAGTTGGCCATCTCTTGGTCAAGCAGAAGGTCATTGGTTAGGAAGGACCGTCCATACAGCATTCTGTATGGGCTAAGTCCTGCTTTTTGGGGAGAGTTTTGGATTCTTAGTAAGGCTATAGACAACAGAGCAGACCATGCGAGGTGGGTTTCCTGGGTTAGCTTGTTTAGATGTCGTTTGAGTGTTTCATTTTCTCAACCTTCCCTGAGGATTGTGGCCTCTAGGTGCAGTGTAAGTGATATTCTATACCTAACGCCTGGGATACTCCCTGGGTTACTGTGGCCTTGAAAGCAGGACCATTGTCACTCTGTAAGCCTCAGGGAAGTCCGAATCTGGGAATTACTTCATGAACTAGTGCCTTTATTACCTCTTGGAACTTTTCTGTCCTACAGGGGAAGGCCTCTGCCCAACCAGTGAAAGTATCTACCCAGACTAGTAGACACTGAAATCCCTGTGATTTTGGCATGTGGATAAAATCTAGTTGCCAGTCTTCTCTTGGGTAATTGCCTGTTCTTTGTTCTCCTGAAGGAGCTTGGCGATAAGGCAGGGGATTATTTCTTTGGCACACTTCACAGGCCCTGACTATCTGCTTGATAGTTTTGAAAAGGCCTGGTCCAGTAAATAATGATTTGGCTATCTGATGGGTGCTATCAATGCCTAAGTGAAAGGTTTGCTGAAGGGTTTTAAGTAATTTCCATTGGTTAGCTGCCAGCAAAAGTATTTTTCCTTCTTCAGTGGCTAGCCATCCTGAGGGGAGGAAACTATGTCCTCGTGAGGTTCCCCATTCTATTTCTTCTTCTGAGTACTGGGGCTTGGTTTCCCGGAGGGGATTACCCCATACTACGGGTCCTTTTATAAGCATTTCTAATGGAGGGTCCTGCCTTGCGGCTCTTTTGGCTTCAATATCCTCTTGGCGGTTCCCTTCTATTTCCCTTTCCTTTCCTTTCTGATGACCCCGGCAGTGTAAGACTGTCACTTCTTTAGGTTGCTGTACAGCGAATAATAATCTCCTAATGGCTTCCTGATGTTTGATAGGTGTTCCCTCAGAAATTAGGAATTCCCCTTCTCTCCATATTGCTGCATGGGCATGGAGGACTAGGTAAGCATACTTAGAGTCTGTATATATATTTACCCTTTTTCCTTCTCCTAATTCTAGTGCCCGAGTGAGGACTATTAGTTCTGCCAGCTGAGCACTAGTTCCCGGAGTGAGGAGATTACTTTCAAGTATTCCATTATCACTGACCACTGCATACCCTGCTTTTTGAAGTCCTTTTTCTACAAAGGAACTTCCATCAGTATACAAGTTGAGGTCAGGATCAGTCAAGGGAACCTCTAAAGGGTCCCCCTCGAGCGGTGTAGGTTTGAGCAATTACTTGTTGACAGTTATGTTCTATCTTTTCTTCATTGTCCGGAAGAAATGGGACTGGGTTAAGAGTTGCACAAATGCGCAGTCGCAGCACTGGCCCTTCAAGTAATAGAGCCTGATATTTAAGTAAACGGTTGTCTGACAGCCACAAGTCTCCTTTAGCAGTCAGTATGCCGTTCACATCATGAGATGTCCACACAGTAAAATCTCTTCCCTGTATTATTTAAACTGCTTCAGATACTAAGACTGCTACTGCTGCCACTACCCATAAACAATGAGGCCAACCCTTTGCCACTACATCAATTTCCTTATTCAGGTATGCCACGGGTTGCAAGCTCGTCCCTCGGACCTGTGTAAGGACTCCTAGAGCTATTCCTGGTTTTTTTATGACATATAAAGAAAAGTCTTGCCCCATCGGCAAGCTTAACACTGGGGCTTGGGTTAGGGCCTTCTTTAGGGCCTGGAAAGCCGCTTCTGCTTCAGGTGTCCATCTTACTAAATGGGTATTGACTTTCCAAGTTTCCTTAATTAGTGTATACAATGGTCTGTCTATTTCACCGTACCTGGGAATCCATATTCGACAGAAACCTGTTATGCCAAGGAACCCTCTTAGTTGCTTTAGAGTTTTGGGATGAGGATAAGCCAGTATAGGCTGGATATGTTCCTCACTGAGGGCCCTGGTGCCTTTGGATAATTTTAGCCCTAAGTATTAAACCTGCTGAGAGCAGAGCTGAACTTTTGGTTTGGAAACCTTGTAGTCACAGGCAGCAAGGAAATTTAAGAGCGCTTGGGTGGCTTGATGGCACAAGGTTTCTGAATGGGCAGCTAAAAGTAAATCATCCATGTACCAAAGGACAAGAGTGTCCAGGTATGAGAACTGGCTTAAGTCTCGGGTTAATGCCTGGCCAAATAGATGGGAGCTATCCCTGAACCCTTGGGGTAAAACAGTCCAGGTGAGTTGAGATGTTGGGTTCAAAGGATCTTCAAAGGCAAACAAGAATTGAGAGTCAGGATGTACAGGGATACAGAAAAAGGCATCCTTAAGGTCCAGGACTGTAAACCACTCTGCTTCCTCTGGTATTTGGGAAAGCAGAGTATAAGGGTTAGGTACAGCTGGGTGTAGATGGACAATGGCCTCATTGATAATCCCGAAATCTTGCACTAACCTCCACTGTCCATTGGGTTTCTGTACTCCTAAAATTGTAGTATTGCAGGGGCTACTGCACGGTTTTACTAGGCCTTGGGCTTTTAGGTCCTTAACAATTTTTTGGAGTCCTTGTTGGGCCTCGGGTCTAAGGGGGTACTGCCTTTGGTAGGGAAAGGAGGCAGAATCCTTTAGTTTAACTCGAACAGGACGGGCATTCTTTGCTCGTCCATATTGTCCTTCTGTTACCCAGACTTCAAGCAGGGGACAACAAACGGGTGTTCCTTCTCCTATGTTCAGGTGTATAATGGCCCCTGTTTTTGCTAGAATGTCTCTCCCTAACAAGGGTGTGGCAATTTCAGGCATAATTAGAAAAGCATGTGAAAAGAGTAAAGTTCTCCAGTCACAACTTAGTGGCTGGGAGAAGTATCTAGTGACTGGCTGTCCTAGGACCCCTCAGATAGTGACAGATCTGGAGGACAGTTGTCCAGGACAGAAGAGTAAGACTGAGAAGGCCACGCCAGTGTCCAGGAGACAGTTAACCTCCTGGCCCTCAATGGTCAAGCACACCTGGGGCTCTGTGAGGGTGATGGCATGGGCTGGCACTTGCCCCGGGCACCCTCAGTCCTGCTGCTGGATCATCTGGCTAGTGGCTTCTGACTCAGAGGACCTTCATCCCCTGGGGCAGTGGGCCTTCCAGTCATTCCCTTGACATAAGGGGCATGGACGAGGGGGTGGCTTATTTCTATTTGGACAATCTTTTTTAAAGTGTCCTTGTAGACCGCACTGAAAGCAAGCCCTATTAGGCATTCGATTTGCCCAGCTTTTCCCTTTTCCAGAGCCTCCAAAGTCTGCTTGCCTGAGGGCCATGACTAAAGCAATGGCCTTTTTTTAAATCCCATTTGTCCCATTCCACCTGCTCCTCCTGATCTCTATTATAAAAAACCGAGGTTGCCAAGTTCAATAGGTTTTCTAAGTTTTGCTCCGGGCCTAAGGCAGACTTTTGAAGTTTCTTTCTAATGTCTGCAGCTGACTGAGTGATAAACTTATCCTCTAAGATTAGTTGGCCTTCAATATAATCAGGTGACAGAGAGGTATGCTTCCTCAATGCCTCCCTTAGTCTCACCAGAAAGGCGGTAGGATTTTCTTCCTTTCCCTGTGTTACAGTGGACATCATTGCCAATAATTCATAGGCTTCTTCCTAGTTTTCCTTAGTCCTTCTAATACGCAGGTTAGCAAATGTCTGCGGCACCAATCTCCATATCCTGATTCTGTGTCCCACTGAGGGTCTACACTGGGAACTGACTGCTGGCCTGTGGGGAATTTTTCTCTTTCCTCTGTTGTCACCCTATCATTGACCTGACTGAGATACCAGAGATCGCCAAACTCTCAGGCTGCAGTTATGGCAGCACTTCTCTCATTTGGAGCTAGTGTCTGATTTAGCAGTAACATTGTATCTCTCCATGTCAGATCAAAGGACTGTCCTAACCCTTGTAAAACCTCAACATAGCCATCAGGGTTATCTAAGAATTTACCTAGGTCTATTTTAATTTGCTTTAAGTCTGAGAGAGAAGAAGGTACACGCACTCTGGCTGGGCCGAATTCTCCTCCCACTGCTTGGAGTGGGCATAATCGGGGAAAATTGCACTCTGTGGTTCATTGTTTACCCCTTTGTCTATCTCCTTTTGGACAGTTTGGGTTGAAGGGGGGTCCTTATTAGTTGGGGAAGGAGTCGAGGGGACGCTGGGGTAGGGAGGTAGACTCTGAGGGCTTCCCGTAGGGCATAAATCACACTTTTTACATAATTGTGAGTTGTCTCTTAATGAAAAGAAAGTTTGTACATATGGCACTTCACTCCTTATGCCTTCTTTTCTACAAAAGAGGTGTAGCTGTAAGCTAGTGTTATAATTTATACTTCCCTCAGGAGGCCAGGTTTCTCCCCCTTGAAGAGGATATCGTGGCCAGGTGGTACTGCAGAAGAATATAAGTCGTTTATTTCTTAGCATGTGAGAGTCCAGTTGGTCCCAATTCTCCAGAATACATCTCAGGGGCGTTTCTGCCTTGGGGGGAACGTTTCCCATTGCTTTGGAGATCCCTTCGTGGTCACCAAATGTTACTGGGGGTCCTTACTCCCAGAGCTCCCGATAGTGGCAGGCTGCTTCCAAGACGGTGGCAAGCCTCGTGTTCTCTGACCTGGGGTTCTTGGCCTCACGGATTCCAAGGAATGGAATCTTGGGCCATGCGGTGAGTGTTATAGCTCTATTAGAAGCCGTGGGTCACGGAAGAGAACCGTGGAACCCAGTGACTAGTGTTCAGCTCGATTAGGACGAACCCAGGCTCTTAGCCGTGCAGGAACAATGGCAAGCCTTCAGTCCGATCAGGAGTGGCAATGGGCGCCTCGCTGGATCAGGAGCACAGCAGACACCCTGCTGGATCCGGAGGGATGGAAGTCAGCGGCGGGTCTGCGACAGCGGCAAACAACAGGGGTGGACGGCGAGCAAAAGCTCAGCTGGAGCCGTAACAAATATGGACCAGAAGACTGCAGAAGCAAGACTTAATAGAGTGAAAACAGAGCTCCCATACAAAGGGAGGGGACCCAAAGAGGGTAGCCCTGAACATATATTTTCAATTATCTTGGGCATATGCCTGTAAGGGGAATTGCTAGGCCATATAGTAGCTCTACGTTTAACCATTTGAAGAACTGCCAAACTTTCCCAAAGTGACTGCACCATTTTACTTTCCAACCAGTAGTGTATGAAGCTTCCAATTGTTTCACATCCTCAACAGCACTTGTAATTTTCCATCTTTTTGACTGCAGTCATCCTAGTGAACATGAAATGGTAACTCAGTGTGGTTTTGTTTTCAACGAATGCAATATCTTCACCAGGAAAAAAAAAAACTCAGCCTCTGGCACTTGGTATGTAACAACTAAACTGGCATCCTTTTCAAAAGGGGGATCAAAAGCAGCTTACTTTAACTTGATGTGTTAGGATTATTCCTCAAATGTATTAACATTATGTATTCCTGTCACGTGACTTGACTGTGCATCCTATGAGAAGAGTCCATGTCCCTTGCCTTGATGACTTTAGGCTTGAGCATGTGACATGCTCTAAGACAAAATATGAGAAGATGTGATAATGTGCCACAATTGAGCAGAAACTTACAACTGCTCTCCATCTCTCTCTCTCTCCTACACTCTGTCATAGCCCTGACAGAGGCTGCTCCTTGAGCCCCGGTCCCAGAATGAGAAGACACAAACAACAGAATTCCAGTCTAGAGCTAAGCAAAGCCAAACCTCTTACCCAGCAGACATTTGGTATTTAAATTAAAATTTTTATAACTACTTTTAAGTGCATAGGAAAAAATCTTGCCAAGCACAGTGGCTGACGCCTAGAATCCTAGTGCTTTGGGAGGCCAAGGGAAGAAGATCGCTTGAGTCCAGGGGATTAAGACCAGACTAGGCCACAGAGTGAGACCCCATTTCTACAAAGATTTGTTTTAAATAAGCCAGATGTAGTTGTGTACAACTATAGTCGATGAGACGAGCGGAATCACGTGAGCCCAGGAGTTCAAGGTTATAGCGAGCAATGATGATACTACACTCAAGCCTGGGTGACAGAGCGAGACCCTATCTCTTTAAAAACAAAAAACACAAAGAAAACCTCAAAAGATCATACTAAATTGTTAAAGGTACTGAATAAATCCATTTATACAACAATAATTTTCACTTTTCACTTTGTTCATTTTGTAATATTAGAATGCTTTAAGGAACATATAGTACTTTTGTAATTTCTTCATTTTCTATTTTTAAAAATTACCTATGCTACGCCAGGCGCAGTGGCTCACGCTTGTAATCTCAGCACTATGGGAGGCCAAGGCAGGGGTATCACTTCAGGTCAGGAGTTGAAGAGCAGCCTGGCCAACAGGGTGAAACCCCGTCTCCACTAAAAATACAAAAATTACTTCGGGAAGCCGAGGCGGGCGGATCACGAGGTCAGGAGATCAAGACCATCCTGGCTGACATGGTGAAGCCCTGTCTCTACTAAAAATACAAAAACTTAGCCGGGAGTGGTGGCAAGCACCTGTGGTCCCAGCTACTCAGGAGGCTGAGGCAGGAGAATAGTGTGAACCCGGAAGGTGGAGGTTGCAGTGAGCTGACATCGTGCCACTGCACTCCAGCTTGGGCAACAGAGCGAGACTCCATCTCAATAAATAAATAAATAAATAAATAAATAAATAAATAAATAAATAAACCGGGTGTGGTAGCAGGCACCTGTAATCCCAGCTGCTCGGGAGGCTGAGGCAGGAGAATCACTTGAACCTGGGTGGGAGAGGTTGCAGTGAGCCAAAATCACGCCATTGCACTCCAGCCTGGGCATCACAGCGAGACTGTATCTCAAAAAAAAAAAAAAAAAAATTACCTATGCTGGTCTCCACCTAACATAGCTGAGATTAAATTATAATGAATTTACATTTTAAGAAAAAGGATATCAATATAAAAACATGTTGATTTAGATAAAGAACTTTGTACATATGTGATTACATTTATAGATCTCATTGAAAACACAAGCTTAATGGAAGCATTCCCTTTGAAAACCGGCATAAGGATGCTCTCTGTCACTATTCATATTCAACACAGTACTGGAAGTACTGGCCAGGGAATCAGGCAAGAGAAGAAAGAAAGGGTATTCAAATAGGAAGAGAGGAAGTCAAATTGTCTCTGCAGATGACATGATTGTGTATTTAGAAAACCCCACTGTCTCCACCCAAAAACTCCTTAAGCTGATAAGCAACTTCAGCAAAGTCTCAGGATACAAAATCAATGTGCAAAAATCACAAGCGTTCCTATACACCCTTAACAGACAAACAGCCAAATCATGAGTGAACTCCTATTCACAACTGCTACAAACAGAATAAAATGCTTAGGGATACAACTTACAAGGGATGTGAAGGACCTCTTCAAGGAGAACTACAAACCACTGCTCAAGGAAATAAGAGAGGACACAAACAAATGGAAAAACATTCCATGCTCATGGATAGGAAGAATCAATCATGAAAATGGCCATACTGCCCAAAGTAATTTATAGATTCAATGCTATTACCATCAAGCTACCAATGACTTTCTTCACAGAATTAGAAAAAAATACTTTAAATTTCATGTAGAACCAAAAAAGAGCCCATATAGCCAAGGCAACCCCAAGCAAAAAGAACAAAGCTGGAGGCATCAAGCTACCTGACTTCAAACTATACAAAAAGGCTATGGTAACCAAAACACCATGGTACTGGTACCAAAACAGAGACATAGACAAATGGAACAGAACAGAACTCAGAAATACCACCATACATCTACAACCATCTGATCTTTGACAAACCTGAGAAAAACAAGCAATGGGGAAAGGATTCCCTATTTAATAAATGGTGCTGGGAAAACTGGCTAGCCATATGCAGAAAACAGAAACTGGACCCCTTCCTTACACCTTATACAAAAATTAACTCAAGATGGACTAATAACTTAAATGGAAAACCTAAAACCATAAAAAGTCTAGAAGAAAACCTAGGCAATACCATTCAGGACATAGGCACGGGCAAAGACTTCATGACAAGGCCACCAAAAAGCAATTGCAACAAAAGCCAAAATCGACAAATGGGATCTAATTAAAGAGCTTCTGCCTAGCAAAAGAAACTATCGTGAGAGTGAACAGGCAACCTACAGAATGGGAGAAAATTTTCGTAATCTATCCATCTGACAAAGGGCTAATATCCAGAATCTACAAGGGACTTAAACAAATTTACAAGAAAAAAACAACCCCATCAAAAAGTGAGTGAAGGATATGAACAGACACTTCTCAAAAGAAGACATTTACGCAGCCAACAAACTTATGAAAAAAAGCTCATCATCACTTGTCATTAGAGAAATGCAAATCAAAACCACAATGAGATACCATCTCATGCCAGTTAGAATGGTGATCATTAAAAAGTCAGGAAACAACAGATGCTGGTGAGGCTGTGGAGAAATACGAACGCTTTTACACTGTTGGTGGGAGTGTAAATTAGTTCAACCATTGTGAAGACAGTGTGGCAATTCCTCAAGGATCTACAACCAGAAATGCCATTTGACCCAGCAATCCCATTACTGGGTATATACCCAAAGGATTACAAATCATTCTACTATAAAGACACATGCACGGCCAGGCGCGGTGGCTCATGCCTATAATCCCAGCACTTTGGGAGGCCGAAGCAGGTGGATCACGAGGTCAGCAGATTGAAACCATTCTGGCCAAAATGGTGAAACCCCATCTCTACTAAAAATACAAACATTAGCTAGGTGTGGTGGTGCACACATGTAGTCCCAGCTACTACGTAGGCTGAGGCAGAACTGCTTGAACCTGGGAGGCGGAGGCAGAGGTTGCAGCAAACCAATATTGCGCCACTGCGCTCCAGCCTGGGCAACAGAGCCAGACTCCGTCTCAAAAAAAAAAAAAAAAAAAGAATTTATGTACTTTGTAGGGACATGGATGAAGCTGGAAACCATCATTCTCAGCAAACTAACTAACACAGGAACAGAAAACCAAACACCACATGTTCTCACTCATAAGTGAGAGCTGAACAATGAGAATACATGGACACAGGGAGGGGAACATCACACACTGGGGCCTGTCGGGGGCGGGTGGGGGGCAAGGGGAGGGAGAGCATTAGGACAAATACCTAATGCCTGCAGGGCTTAAAACCTAGATGACGGGTTGACAGGTGCAGCAAACACCATGGCACATGTATATCTATGTTACAAACCTGCACGTTCAGCACATGTATCCCAGAACTTAAAAAAAAAAAGGAGAAAAAAAGAAAATACAAACTTAACGCTAGAGTAAAAAGTAATACCAATTCTTAGTAACTTCAAAAAAAATTTTAACTATATGAATAATAGCTTCATAATAAATTAACTACTCCCTTAACACAATTATTAATGCAAATTTGCTTAGTGGATTAAAAAACATCTGTGTCATATCTGCCATCCTCTCAAACAACATCTACCTTCTCTAAAACCTCAATTTGATCTGAGCCATCCCAACTCTCAACTACTCCTCCACACTGCCTGAGATGAAAAACGGCTGGGATTGAATGACTGCCAAAATATATTAAACCAATCTAACTGCAGGGTAACGGAGTGGATTTCTGCCTGAGGTAGTTTAAGTTGGTTCACATATCTACAAACACTATTGCAAACACCCTTCCCAATTATTATATACACACTGAGACTGGCACCCCATGATACTGCATATGCTGAATTCCTAGAAAAATAAACCTCAAGTAGAAAATATTCCTAAAATATTCACTTTTGTTTAAAAGGAAATTACTTATCTGTCCTGGTAAAAAGACATAAAATGACAAATATACAATAAACATTAAAATTAACAGTGTTAGGTTAAAAAATCATTATCCATGATTTATTTTTAAGTACATCTATGTTTTTGCTAGATTAGAGTTAACATAATTAAATGGAACTTTAAGCAATTATTACAGTTCATCTCCATGAGGTATTTGTGGGTTTTTTTGCTTTTTGTTTTTTTAGATGGAGTCTCGCTCTGTCACCCAGGCTGGAGTGCAGCAGCGTGATCTTGACTCACTGCCACCTCTGCCTCCCAGGTTCAAGTGATGCTCCTGCCTCAGCCTCCCAAGTAGCTGGGATTACAGGCGCATGCCACCAAGCCTGGCTGATTTTTGTATTTTCAGTAGAGACAGGGTTTCACCATGTTGGTCAGGCTGGTCTTGAACTCCTGACCACCTGATCCACCCGCCTCGGCCTCCCAAAGTGCTGGGATTACAGGCGTGAGCCACTGCGCCAGGCCTAACTCCATGTAGTATTAACTTTTCTTCTCTTCTGATTCTTGTACCAACTGCATCTTTTCTTTTAATTCCTTCTGATCTTTGGCATACTGTTCAAATACTGGTTGAAAAATATATACTCCTCCAGCAATTCCAAGGACAGTGGCAAAAAGCAGTTGTGCAAAAGTCAATCTCCTAAACATTGCTGCAACAAATACAGCTCAAGGAAAAGCTGGTTTTGGAAAGTCACACTCCACACCCAGGAAATCTCTTCAAATCTGCATACAAAAATGGAAAGCAAAGCCATCACTTAGTACAATGTCCTTTTAAAAGATGTTATGTCACTACTTTGCACTGGAGTGAACAATATTTTTATAATATGTTACTAATTAAAACAAGAATATAAATACATAAGGAGTACAGGAAGTGAATTAGGGAAGGGTATAAGACAAAACTAAAACCTTTTCTATTACAGAATGTTCTCAATGGTTTTAAATGCATACTTTTTCTTTTTTTTTTTTTTTTTGAGACGGAGTCTCGCTCTGTCGCCCAGGCTGGAGTGCAATGGCGCAATCTCGGCTCACTGCAAGCTCCGCCTCCTCGGTTAACGCCATTCTCCTACCTCAGCCTCCCGAGAAGCTGGGACTACAGGCGCGTGTCACCACACCCGGCTAATTTTTTGTATTTTTTGTAGAGACGGGGTTTCACCGTGTTAGCCAGGATGGTCTCGATCCTCTGACCTCCTGATCCGCCCGTCTTGGCCTCCCAAAGTACTGGGAATACAGGCGTGAGCCACCGCGCCCGGCCTGGTTTTACTTTTAACAAGAGGAGTGGGCCGCACGCGGTGGCTCACGCCTGTAATCCCAACACTTTGGGAGGCCGAGGCGGGCGGATCACGAGGTCAGGAGTTCCAGACCAGCCAGGCCAATATGGTGAAACCCCGTCTCTACAAAAAAACACAAAAATTGGCCAGGCGTGGTGGCGCGCCTGTAGTCCCAGCTACTTGGGAGCTGAGGCAGGAAAATCACTGGAACCCGGGAGGCAGAAGTTGCAGTGAGCCCAGATTGCGCCACTGCACTCCAGCCTGGACTACAAGAGCGAAACTCCGTCTCAAAAAAAAAAACAAAAACAAAAACAAAAAAAAAACCTAACAACAGCAACAACAACAAAAAAAATAGGAACCATTCGGCCTGTTTCCACATCTGTACAACAAGCTAAATCATCCCTACCCTGCCTACCTCGTTGAACAGGCATTTTTTGTGAGAGCAACGAACCTGAAATGTTAACACCAACACTGACGTCTACAATTACCGTTACCGTTTTTAATAACCACTCAGGTACCTCCGACTGTTCTGCGCCTGCTCCACGTCACTAAACTCGCTACCGCCTGCTCCCCTCCAGAGACCGGGGGCCTTCCAGCAGTTTTCGGACCCCCGAGCACAGAGACCGCCAAGCCAAAGGCGAGTAGCAATCCCTCGGTTCGGAAACGGCGAAAGGAAACCGCAAGGAGGCCACCACGTCGGGTGGGAGCTACGAAGTTGCCCGTTCCCGGTTACTTCCGGGCTTGCGAGCGACGACTGCTCTCAAAGGCCAAACTTAATGGATGGACGAGCAGCGCGCTACTGCAGCTTTCTTCCGCCTTAGGAAGGTGGCGGCCAGGGATGAGGAGGCCCCTAAGCAAGTGCGGAATGGAGCCGGGGGGCGGAGATGCCAGCCTCACTTTGCATGGTCTCCAGAACCGCTCCCACGGCAAGATAAAGCTGCGAAAGAGAAAGTCTACCTTGTACTTCAACACCCAGGAGAAGAGCGCCAGGCGCCGCGGGGGTGAGTGAGGGGACACTGTCTGGAGAGCTCCTACCCCCATCTAAAAGGAACCCCCTCCATTTCATTACCAGCCAGTTGCCCGTTGAGCTCTGTGTTGCCAGATCTTGAGTTTTGAAATGCTGGGAAATGCTGGAAACACAGATTTTAATATAAATTCTGATTTTTAAATGTTGGCAACTAAATTCAATTTTTTAAAAAATACTCTGTATTTGGCCGACAGGCTGTCCATTTGTGGTCAAGAGCAGGACTTTGGAGACATCACACAGACCCGGGTTTGAATCCTGATAAGTAATTTACAACTTTATTTGGACAAGGCAGTTTAATTTCTGGGCCTCAATTTGCTCGTCTGTAAAATGGGGCTAATAATACCTATCCCATAATATTGTTTGGAGGATTAAGTGAGATGCATGTGAAGAAATTAACACAGTGCCTGGCATATATAATAGTAATCATCAATATATATGTACAGAGGACCATTTTATATTGCACATATACAAAGGGCTGCTTCCCAAATTAGTAATTTGTTAGCTGGTTTCTTTCATTAGATACACACATAGTATGACCTAATTAATTAGCCTAAGGCCTTAGTTAACCCACTCTTTTTTTTTTGTATTTATTTTAATATTATCTTTACACAATAAGTTGCAAGAAAAGTTGGTTAAACTAAAAGAGTGGCAGTCACCCAGTGATGACGCTGTGGTGCTTGTATAACCAACCAAGTTGGCTTTAAGAATGGTGTGGAGGGACCAGAGGTCACTACTGTGCCTTACAAGGAGCCAACCAGAGCAGCAGATTTTAAGTTTTGCAAGTGGAACTGCCTGACTTTTGTGCCACTATTACCTGTTTTGTTCTGTTTTTCAGATCTTCTTGGAGAAAATATTTATCTGCTCTTGTTTACCATAGCTTTACGAATATTAAACTGCTTTTTAGTGCAGACAAGTTTTGTTCCAGATGAATACTGGCAGTCTCTTGAAGTTTCACATCACATGGTTTTCAAATATCCTTTGTGGTTTCTTTTCCAGACTATGAGTGTGTATTCATCTTGGAAATTGTGCTCAGTTTCTTTTAGAGTAGTCCCCCTTGCTCCCTCGTCTTCAGTAGATAGTTTCCAAAATCCCTAGTGGATGCTTGAAACTGTAGACAGTACCAAACTCTATATATATTGTTTTTATATATGTAAAAAATACACACACGCTTATGATAAAGTTTATACAAATTAGGTACAGTAAGAGATTAACAGTATTAAAATATAACAAGTATAACACAATACTATAATAAAAGTTATGTGAACTTTTATGTGGTCTCTCTCAAAATATCTTCATATTTTCAGACAGTGGTTGACTCTGGGCAACTGAAACATGGAAAGAGAAACCACAGATAAGGGGGGACTACTATACATATTTTCAGTTTTCCGTATTTTCCCCAAATAATTTTAACTCATCAAAGTATACCATTATTTTATACAAATATTTCTCCTGTATCTTTCTTTTATGTTAATATACTTGACACAGCCGTTAGCATACATTCCCACAGTACTTAGCACTTGGAGGATACAGAGAAAGTAAAAAACACATTACTGCCTTGAAGAAGTTAAGAGTTTAGTTGGCCAATTGAATTTTTAATGCAAATATCCAGTATAAAATGCTGTTTTAAGACTGCCACAAAATAAAATATTGTTTTATAAATGGAAATGAAAATAGATTTTGCCAGGTGAAGTGGTGTGCACCTGTAGAGGCAGGACCACTTGAGCCCAAGTTTGAGACCAGCCTGGGCAAGAGAGTGAGACCCCATCTTAAAAAAAAAAAAAACACGGAAATAGGTTTCAATATTATTGGACATTTACTCCTTAATGTTACTAATTATGGTTATTTGACTTGGGAATGGACAGAGAGACTGAGGAGTTACACTTATCCCTTAATCTTTGCAAGCATTTACAAGATTCTTCATCTTTTAGGGAAAGATAGTGTTCAGTTGCTGGTAAGTTTAAATAAAAGTAACTAAATGATATTGGGGCCATGGAATTTGTTTTTAAAAGGCTACTGTTGCTGAAGTCCAGCCATATCTGGGAAGCCCATGATACTACAGACATACTGTGATGTGTAACTCTTTAGTTTGTGCTGAAATACAAGACTGAGCATGAAAATATCCTGCTATGAGGAATCCTGTTATGATGTGCAGATTTTCAAAATGACTATATTATGTATTATTTGGACATTAGAAGTATACTTCTTTCTTTTTTTTTTTTTTTTTTTTTTTTGGGACGGAGTTTGCTCTTGTTGCCTAGGCTGGAGTGCAATGGCGTGATCTTGGCTCACCACAACCTCCACCTCCCGGGTTCAAGCGATTCTCCTGCCTCAGCCTCCCGAGTAGCTGGGATAACAGGCATGCACCACCATGCCCGGCTAATTTTGTATTTTTAGTAGAGATGGGGTTTCTCTGTGTTGGTCAGGCTGGTCTCGAACTCCCGACCTGAGGTGATCTGCCCGTGCGGTGGCTCACACCTGTAATCCCAGCACTTTGGGAGGCCGAGGCGGGCGGATCACCTGAGGTTGGGAGTTCGAGACCAGCCTGACCAACACAGAGAAACCGCGTCTCTACTAAAAATACAAAATTAGCCGGGTGTGGTCGCGCATGCCTGTAATCTCAGACTTTCTGGAGGCTGAGGTAGGAGAATCACTTGAACCCAGGAGGTGGAGGTTGCGGTGAGCCGAGATCACGCCATTGCATTCTAGCCTGGGCAACAAAAGCGAAACTCCTTCCCCCATCCCCCGCAAAAAAAGTATCACTTGAGAGCACCGTTGTATTTTGTGTTTTTTACCTTGTAAGAAGACCGTGTGATATGATTTTATGAAGTCTGTATACATCTAAACCCACTGAGGATTTAGTGTTGAAATTAAAACTTTAAAATTTTTAATTTGACAAACATTTAATGATCTGCATAATCATCGTCCTATATAGTAATTAGGCATCAACAGTAAGTAGGATTGTAATTCCTAGGCTATTAATTGCTGGGGTCAGTTGCCAGGAGATAGTACAAGGGCAGGACTAATGGTGTAAAAGTTTCTCTAGCCTCACTCCCATGATCTTTTAAGCTGTCATCAGATGAGACTCAGAGTTTGTGCTCCCCCCGATTTCTGTCAGTGGGGGTTAATGGCTCAGCATTCCAAAGGCAGTCCAAATCCTGACGTGTTTTGTGTAGCTTAGAAAGACACAGGTTCTAGGGTATTTGTTTTAAGGTGGGGTTGTACTCTCCCCATTGCAATATTTGCTTCCGTTATTGAGAAATTAGGGTTAAACCAGTGAAACCGATGCTTCAAATGGGAAGATGATGGGGAAGGAGAATTCAGAGCAGTAGCAGAGTTTCTTCCATTAACAACAGGCAGAATTTAGGAGCCGCAACCTGGCTTTTCTTCTCTTACAGTTATCTACTAGTTTATAGATTATGCAAGGTATCCATAAAGTCTGGAATCACAAGAAAATATACATAATCTCATCAATGACAGTTTATATCCCAGGAAGTAGGTCAGATTACAAATGAAGAGGTCTTCAAGATAGAAAAATTTCCTGCTCCTCCAAGACCTATCCACTGCCCTCCATCTGTAGCTGACCCACCAGGTCATTTTGTGATGTGAAGGAAGCCTCCCCTGACCTGCTCCAACCCCTCTAAAAGGAACTCATTGTCGTATCTAGAACTTGACCCTGTAGAGATTCATTAGGATATGATCAGTCATTCATACTCTCATATTGATTATTTTAAGCAAATTATATACATAATTTTGAAGCTAGAAGAGGTTGGAGAAGTGAAGTAAATAGACCAAGGTCACAACGTGTTAAAAGCAGAACTAGAGCTAAATCCCAGGTCTATTTACTCACAGCCTAGTGCTCTTCCCAGATGGCTCCTCTACAAACTGCATAAGGCTTATGCACAGCTAGGCATGGTGGCTCACAGTTGTAATCTCAGCACTTTGGGAGGCTGAGGTGGGAGGATTGCTTGAGGCCAGGAGTTTGAGAACAGCCTGGGCAACATAGCAAAACTCTGTTTCTACAAAAAATTTTTAAAAAGGATAGATGGCTTAGAGCTGCACTGTCCACCATGGTAGCCACTAGCTACATGTAGCTGTTGAAGACTTCAAATGTGGCTAGTCCAATTTGAGAAGTGCTGAAAATGTAAAATACATACTGAATGTCAAAGGCCTAGTACAAAAAAAGAATAAAAATATTTTTATAATTTTTATTGATTAAATGTTCAAATGATGATGCCTTAGATATATTGGGTTAGACAAGATGAAATTAATTTTACCTGTTTTGGATTTGGGGGTCATCTCTGTTGTTACTTTTTAATTTGCCAGCTATAGAATTTAAAATTCCACATGTGGCTCATGTTATATGTCTTTTGGCCTGTGATGGCATGGAACATGTAAAAAGAAAGAGGAAGAGGAGGGGAAACCTGAATGGGGAACCACAGTAAGGTTTGTTGGGTTTTGTTTCTTTTGAAATGGAATCTCACTCTGTCGCCCAGGCTGGAGTGCAGTGGCACCATCTTGGCTGGCTGTAACTGCCGCCTCCCGGGTTCAAGTGATTCTCCTGCCTCAGCCTCCCGAGTAGCTGGGATTACAGGTGTCTGCCACCACACCTGGCTAATTTTTGTATTTTTAGTAGAGACGGGGTTTCACCGTGGCCAGGCTGGACTCAAATGATCTGCCTGCCTCTACCTCCCAAAGTGTTGAGATTACAGGGGTGAGCCACCAAGCTTGCCAACAGTAGGGTCTTTGAATAGTCAGAAGACAACAAAAGGGTATTTGGCTCCTGTAGCTTAGGGGAGGAGTCAGGAGTGTAAAGAACAGAAGTATGGAATGAGGAGCTACCAACATAGGCCTAGTGCTCAAGTTACGCCTGGCATGTTCTTCTCTTTACCTCACTCCACTGCTTTATTTTACTCTTTAGCAGGTCCTTACTGTAACATGGAAAATTATGGCATCAAAAATCTGGAGAAACTGCTAATGACTGGGAGTTCAGAACTCCGCTTATTGTTATGCGAAAGTCTACTTTGTTTTAAATTCAAGATTTCTACTTAACCACCCTTGAAAAACTTCTCTTTATTCGGGGTAAATGTCTCTAGCTCTTAACCTCATAATCATAGATAGTATCCTCTAGACACTTTGTAATTTATTAATATCCGTCTTAAAATGTGGATCTCCAAACTGACACAATAATGAAGGCAGAGTAACTAGTTCAGAATATGGTGGGTCCATTAACTTACATTTCTCAGAGCACAGGAATTCTTTTAGCTTTTTAATAGCTACCTCACACTGTTGGCTCATATTAAGTTTGTAGCCAAATTGACTTTTCATATGAACTGCTTTCAGGGGGCCTGGGAAGTAAGGATGAAGCTTATAGCTCCCTATGCAGAGTAAACAGAAGGTATGTACATGAGTGCCTTTTCCTGTATTTTACAGGGCACAGTTTATGTGAAATTAAGTACTGGGTACCTTTAACTTTCCAATTTTAGCATTTATTTACACATTGTGGACAAAAAGAAAATAAAGTGCTAAAAGCCACTGACAACTAAAAGTAAAGCAGCTCCTATAATGTGGACTTAATGAAGTTTGCTTCAACAAAAATATGAATTAACAGCCGGCGCGGTGGATCACGCCTGTAATCCCAGCACTTTGGGAGGGTGAGGGGGGTGGATCACCTGAGGTCAGGAGTTCGAGACTAGCTGGCCAACATGGTGAAACCCCATCTCTACTAAAAATAGAAAAATTATACAGGCATGGTGGCGGGCACCTGTAATCCCAGCTACTTGGGAGGCTAAGGCAGGAGAATCGCTTGAACTTGGGAGGTGGAGGTTGCCATGAGCCAAGATCGCACCACTGCACTCCAGCCTGGATGACAGAGTGAGACTCTGTCTCACACACACACACACAAAATAAAAAAATAAATAAACTCACGTATAAATTTTTAGAAACACATCTTTTAAACAAACCAAGATTAAATTGTGCTCTACCAGCAGTTGTTATTTTGTTAGTGTTAACTATGACACCTTTTTTTTTAACTCTGAGAGATGCTAGTGCATAGCATTAGCCTTTCTAACTATAATTTAGTTGTAATACATTTAGTCTTTATTTCAGTTTTACACTTAAATTTACTCTTTAATGTCATCTGAATACCATGTTCCTATAATTGCAGAATATTTGTGCTTTTTTAAAAAGTAATTTGTTAGCCAGGTGCGGTGGCTCATGCCTGTAATCCTAGCACTTTGGGAGGCTGAGGCGGGCAGATCACAAGGTCACGAGATCAAGACCATCCTGGCTAAAATGGTGAAACCTCGTCTCTACTAAAAATACAAAAAATTAGCCAGGCGTGGTGGCATGCATCTGTAGTCCCAGCTACTCACAAGGCTGAGGCAGGAGAATCGCTTGAACCTGGGAGGCAGAGGTGGCGGTGAGCCAAGATCACACAGCTGCACTCCAGCTTGGGCGACAGAGCAAGACTCCATCTCGCTGGGCACGGTTGCTCACTCCTGTAATCCTAGCACGTTGGGAGGCCGAGGCAGGCGGATTGCCTGAGTTCAGGAGTTCGAGACCAGCCTGGGCAACATGGTGAAACCCCATCTCTACTAAAATACAAAAAATTAGCTGGGCGTGGCGGCGTGCACCTGTAGTCCCAGCTACTCAGGAGGCTGAGGCAGGAGAATTGCTGGAATCTGGGAGGTGGAGCTTGCAGTGAGCCGTGATCGTGCCACTGCACTCCACCCTGGGCAACAGAGCGAGACTCTGTCTCCAAAAAAAAAAAGACTCCGTCTCAAAAAAAAAAAAAGTATTTCTTATTATCTTATTTTATATCTTATTATCTTATACATAATATTATCTTATTATCTATATTGCAGGATAGAGAAGCAGCATAACTTAGTAATTAAAGTCAGGCAGACCTGGGTTTATAATGCCGGCTTTCATACTTACTAGCTGTGCAGCCTTGGAAAATTAGTTAACCTCTCTGTGCCTCAGTTTCCTCATCTATAAAACAGTTCTTGACTCAGAAGATTGTTAGGACTGAATGAGTTGATACATATAAAATAGCATGATACATAGTACACAGTGCTGCAAATATTTGAATTTTTAAAAACCTGTTGTTGCTAATGAATATAAATATACTTTTAAAATAGAAACTTGGCCGAGCACGGTGGCTTACACCTGTAATCCCAGCACTTTGGGAGGCCGAGGCGGGTGGATCACGAGGTCAGGAGATCGAGACCATGCTGGCTAACATTGTGAAACCCCGTCTCTACTAAAAATACAAAAAAATTAGCCGGGCGTGGGAGGCTGAGGCAGGAGAATGGCGTGAACCCGGGAGGCGGAGCTTGCAGTGAGCCGCGGTTGCGCCACTGGACTCCAGCCTGGGCGACAGAGCGATACGTCTCATAAAAATAAATAAATAAAACAGAAACTTAACACAATTAAATGACTGGCTATTAATATTTACATTAAAATTAGGGCCAGGCACAGTGGCTCACGCTTGTAATCCCAACACTTTGGGAGGCCAAGGTGGAAGTATCATTTGAGGCAAGATTAGCTGAGTGTGGCAGTGCATGTCTGAAGTCCTAGCTACTCAGTAGACTGAGGCAGGAAAATTGCTTCACTCCTGGATTCAAGGCTGCAGCCTGGGTAACAGAGTGAGACCCTGTCAATCAATCAATATAATAAAAAATAATTTAAAAATATATTTATAATATATGTGTGTGTATATATGTCATATATATGCACACATACAGAGAATGAGACTGGTAAATATCATATTTATATATAAATATATATATTTATATTTATAATATATTTTATATATAACATATGTGTATATATGTCATATATACACACACATACAGAGAATGAGACTGGTAAAACTTAAAACTACATTGATTATTTTAATGAGAATATAATTTTTGTAGAAAAGGGGATGTAGGGATGTAGTTTTGTGGAAGAATAGAAAAATATATTGCCTATTTTTGTACTAAGAATGGCTTCCCATAGATAGTTGGATCAGCTTGTTGACTTTTATCATAATTCAGTTTGAACCAACAGATATTTTTAACATCCTGTTCTTCTTTTTAACTGATGAAGATTTGGATTCCTAGACTTGCCCAAGCACTTCTGTCTGCTGTAGCAGATGTGAGACTTTACTCATTAATGAAGCAACTAGAAAATCAGGAAGTGGCAAGATGGGTGGTAAGTCCTAAATACTTTAGAAGCTGTATGCCAGTTATTTCGTTCCTATGGGTATAAAGCACATGGAAACATTGATTCCCAAAACAATTTTAGAAGATAATTCATACAACTTTATAGAGGTACTTCCATAAATAAGAACAGTAATATGCAAGTGGCACCTGCCATATCTTTCCTTCGGATTAAGCCCTGCACAGTGTAAGCCACTGATGCCCTCAAACCCTATGAGAGTCTAAACCCTGGGAGACAACCTTTGGAAGCCCCTTCACTCCTCAAAACTGTCCTTGCCTCTCTTTCCATAGAATTGAGTAGGGATCGTTCTAAATTACCAGCTACCTCACAAAGCATCTTAGCTATTTACAACCCTTGTTCTGTTCCTCTAGCCAGCCTCTATCTGAGGTGCAGCCCGAGAAATCTTTTTGCACTGAAACTCTCACTTCTGAATGGGATGTTGGAAGTATTAGGTTGGTGCAAAAGTAATTGTCGTTTGTGCCACAACAATATTAGGTTGGTGCAATTACTGGACTCATGTAAGGAAGAAAGTATAGTATGCAAGACTATCTTTTGTCGTTTGACTTATTTCAAGGTGGGAAGATAGATTCCTGACATCTCCCACTCCAATCTTGAATGGATTTTTCCCATTTAAACAATACCCTGATGAGGGATTGGATTCTGTAGTACTGTCGTTAATTCACTTGGCTCTTTGTAAAGTTAATAAGCTTATATGAGCCTGTTTGAAAGTCTTAACTACCTTTTTTATATTGTTTCTATTGGAAAATACATTCTAAATTCCAAGTAACCAATTTAGCAACATATTTCTGAAATATAATTTATTAATAAATTAGAAAGGGAACATTTCTGCAGGTATTCTATTCCTTTGCATTAAAAAGAAAGATTGGTTTAGCAACTAAGTCCTTGCTAATTGATTCAGCAATATGGTTAGCCTCATTATTTTGTGCTTATACTTTATGTACATTGCAGAAGGCTCAACATAAAATGGTAGGCAAAAGTCATGATGGCTTTGAAGTCCTTCCTCCAAAGATACAGCACTAGGGCCGGGCATGGTGGCTCACCCCTATAATCCCAGCACTTTGGGAGGCTGAGGTGGGCGGATCACAAGGTCCGGAGTTCGAGACCAGCCTGGCCAACACGGTGAAACCCTGTCTCTACTAAAAATACAAAAATTATCCAGGCGTGGTGGCAGACACCTGTAATCCCAGCTACTCGGGAGGCTAAGGCAGGAGAATTGCTTGAACCCAGGAGGCAGAGATTGTGCCACTGCACTCTAACCTGGGTGACAGAGCAAGAGCAAGACTCCTTCTCGAAGAAAAAAAAAGGATACAGCACTAGGTTCTTCTAGTTTAGGGAAAACCTTTACTTTCATGAAAATTGGGAACATTTTTTAAAGGCTATATTTGGTGAGATGGGAAGCTAGTGCCACATGCTTAACAATTGCCTCAACTAACAAGTTTCTTTTAACACATTTGTTTTGTAGACTTAATGGTGCTCTGTGTGCATGTTCTTCCAAAAACTGATTCATTAATTTAGTCAATCTCCAAATTAAAATTTAATAATGTCTCCTGACTTTTTTTTCCTCTTTCCTCTTTTGTCTTAATTTTTCATCAGCGTTCCAAAACAGGGAGACATTCCAAACAAGTGCAACATTCCAAACAAGGTCAACAAAAAAACAGTCATAATACTTGTGTCAGTACTATAAGACAGTTTGAGAAATATTGATTGGAAGAATCTAGTTATGAATTTCAATCATCTGTAAACTCTACCATCAAAGAATCTGTTTTTTATGTGTTTCATTAATGGAAAGTGGGATTTTAAATCAAATGAAGTGCCATAAAAATGCACCTGAAAGTATAAACTTCTTAACATGAACAAATATAGATCTGCTATTATCATAAACCTGTGTTTCATGTAACTTTCTAAAAACGACGTTTGGGCATGCCTACTTACTTTAACATCATCTACCTTTTGATGTCCTTTTCACAATATTTAGACTTGCTTGCTATTTAGAAGATAATATGTACTAAGGTTTTCCATTTCCAATTTCATATATGTTTGCTCTGTACTTTTTCTTAGTTTTTTTGCCAGTTGTGCTCCTGGTTCACATGGTATTGCTGTACCAGAACCCTTACAAACACCATGGAAACTGTTCTCACTATAATTGCTCTTTTCTACTATCCTTTGGAAGGTTCAAAGTCTATGAACAGGTAAGAAAAATTATTGTTAATAATTATGTTCAAAATTCTACTTTTGAAAAATCTTAAATATCAACATATTGTAATGTCTAGTAGACCCCCTAATTTTCATGAGTCATGAGAACCACAAATTTTCAGTTGATATATTATAGCAGAAAACAGATAATACTCAAACAGGATAATTAAGGAGAGTTTAACAAAAGGAATATTTGCAAAGGTTTAGACAATATTTAGAAAAGCCAATAAGGAAACACCATAGTACCCCCAGCATGGTTATAGTAGGAAGTCTGTATTATCTCTAGGCCCCAAGGAGCAAGGAGAAGAAATGGTTACTGGAATCTATAAAAAGCTGTAATTGTAAGAGAGTGCCCCAGCAGGGACAGGCACAGCCAGCCTTTAGCAATAATGAGGAGACAGCCAGGGAACTAAATAATCCTGACCCAACTCTTCTGCCTCTCAACCCAAAACAGTCAGAAGCCAGAAAGCAAGGTAGCCACTGATGCTGTCCATTCAGGTCAGCTTTCCTGCGTGCAGACTGGATAAAGGCTGGAGGAGAAGAGTTTTGGAAGGGCAAATAGGAAATACTTGGACTTTATTTGGCTTCCTTTAAACTGGGGAAACAAATACCACGCAATGGGAACATGAGTGAAGGCATAGAACTGTAAATGGGCTCCATTTACAGTTACAGTTACAGTATATTCAAGGCAGATTGTCCAGAGTAGTTATAGAGTGTTGTAGGATGCATGGAAGAAGAGAAGAAGAAGGGATGAGGCTGGAATGAGACTTTGAATTTGGATTTTATTCTGTAGGTAATAGGGAACCATTTGAGGCGTTTGAGTAGCATGACATAATCAAATCTGATTTTGAAAAACTTCTTTTGTAATAGCAGTATTTAGGATATACTGAAAGGAGAAAAGCCAGAATTTGGGATCTAGTTAAAATTCTAGTATCCATTCTTCCTACACAAAAGGTTGTTAGGATGATCAAATCAAATAAGATCATTTCTGTCTTAGACTCTCTTAACTACAAGAAAAAGCATTCACTCAAGTTACGTATATGATGAGGACTTTATTTTAAGGCTAAAAGGGAAAATGGGCATCTCAAGCCTTGTGGCTAGGACTGGAAGAAAACTGTAGAATATCTGAGCCACACAAATGAATTGAAATGTTATGCAGAATCCAAGGCAGTTTTGGGGAATGGACTGTTTTGTTGTGCCTTTATATCCCAAATAGCCTATGAATCCTGCCTTAGTCTTCCATCATTTAGGGGCTTAGCTAGTCTCTCCACTTCTGTTTTTGCTAGCAATTACCCAGATTTCTCCATATCTCACGTTCAGCTTGAGAGAATCGAATTAGGTCCATTAAATCTCATTGTCTCTATCTGGACATAACTTTATTTCACACTGGCCAGCCTTAGATTGGCTACCTGGGCCCAGGTGCCCTTCCCTAATTCAGTCAGGAAGCGCAAGGGTCACATGGTACAAAAGGACTGCTATATAAGCATTTTTCCTTGTATAAGCATGACAGATACTATTCCAGACCTGACAATAAAATGACATTTTGCACACTCCTTTAAAAAATGCAACTATTGGCCGGGTGTGGTGGTTCACGCCTGTAATCTCCACACTTTGGGAGGCCGAGACGGGTGGATCACTTGAGGTCGGGAGTTCGAGACCAGCCTGGCCAACATGGTGAAACCCCGTCTCCACTAAAAATACAAAATTAGCTGGATTTGGTGGTGCATGCCTATAATCCCAGCTACTCGGGAGGATGAGACAGGAGAATCACTTGAACCCAGGAGGCAGGGGTTGCAGTCAGTCGAGGTCACACGATTGCACTCCAGCCTGGGCAACAAGAGCAAAACTGTCTCAAAAAAAAAAAATTTGTGGAGATGGGGTCTCTTTAGGTTGCCCAGCTGGTGTTCAACTCCGGGATCAAGTAATCCTCCCACCACGGCCTCTTAAAGCGTTGGGATTACAGGCATGAGCCACCAAACCTGGCCTAAATTTCAAGCTCATGTATCAAAATCTGGATTTCAACTTTCTCTTGAAAAATTGGAAGTTCTAATAGTATTTTGGGCTAGGATTCCTTCATGACAATACCATGGTTCAAACTTAGCCTACATTTCTCATTTTTATTTTATTTTTTTTTTTCGAGACAGTGTCTCTCTCTGTCGCCCAGGCTGGAGTACAGTGGCTCCATCTCGGCCCACTGCAACCTCTGCCTCCTGGGTTCAAGCAATTCTGCTTCAGCCTCCCGAGTAGCTGGGACTACAGGCGCGCACCACCACGCCCAGCTAATTTTTGTATTTTTAGTAGAGATGGGGTTTCACCATGTTGGCCAGGCTGGTCTTGAACTCCTGACCTAGTGATCCAGCTGCCTCGGCCTCCCAAAGTGCTGGGATTACAGGCGTGAGTCACTGCACCCAGCCCCATTTCTCATTTTTATAGTTTACTGGGTCTCTGTAAGCATTTGAATGTGTTATCCTTGAGCTTACATCCTCATCAACATTACAGAATTCATTCTTTTTTTTTTTTCTTTTTTTTGAGATGGAGTTTCATTGTTGTTGCCCAGGCTAGAGTGCAATGGCATGATCTCAGCTCATTGCAACCTCCACTTCCCAGGTTCAAGTGATTCTCCTGCCTCAGCCTCCCAAGTAGCTGGGATTACAGGCACCTGCCACCACACCCAGCTAATTTTTTTCTATCTTTAGTAGAGACAGGGTTTCACCATTTTGGCCAGACTGGTCTTGAACTCCTGACTTCAGGTGATCCACCCACCTCGGCCTCCCAAAGTGCTGGGATTGCAGGCCTGAGCCACCACACCTGGCCTACAGATTTCTTTATAGTTATTTTTATTAGTTAATAGGTATATAATGGTAATATAGGTTGTCTTATTTTGCTTTCTTTTAATTTTTTACAGGACTAAGTATTTTTCCACATAATAATATACTATCCATAGTCCTCATGATTAAATTATCAAATTGTCTCTTTCAACCATTAGTTTAGAGAAGTCCTGTTAATAAAAATCTGTATTTCTATCCATGATCATACAGTTTATACAGTAGGCCTTTTATCAGTTGTATGCATATATATTTCACTTGGCTAAAATTAACTTTCAAAACAAAATTCTAAATACTCTGAGCCCATCACTGCCTAAATAATCCTGTTTCTTTAAATGCTCATGCTTTTTCTTAGAGAAAGCCTCTCTTTATGACTTTCTTATAGCTCCTTAGGAGAAACTTGATCATTTTTTTTTCAATCAAGAAAGTAATTGGCAAAGTTATGAGGTAAAAAGCATGCTTTTTAGCACACAAGACTGGCATTAAGACATATGATAACTTCTTATTTGAAAATACTAGAATTAGAAGATGAGCACTGAAAACGGCTTTAGATATTACCTTTTTTAAAAGATAAGAAAAACTAAGACCCAGAAAGCGTAAGTAACCTGCAAAAGTTAATATAGCTATTTAGGCCAGGCACTGTGGCTCCTGCCTGTAATCCCAGCACTTTAGGAGGCTGAGGCTGGCGGATCGCCTGAGGTCAGGAGTTTGAGACCAGCCTGGCCAACATGGTAAAACCCTGTCTCCCACTAAAAATACAAAAAATTAGCCTGGCATGGGGATTAGCCTGTAATCCCAGCACTTTAGGAGGCTGAGGTGGGCAGATCACCTGACGTCAGGAGTTTGAGGCCAGCCTGGCCAACAAGGTGAAACCCCATCTCTACTGAAAATACAAAAAATTAGTCGGGCATGGTGGTACACACCTGTAATCCCAGCTACTCGGGATGCTGAGGCAGGAGAATCACTTGCACCTGGGAGGCAGAAGTTGCCGTGAGCCAAGATCATGCCACTGCACTCCAGCCTGGGTGACAGAGTGAGACTCTGTCTCAAACAAAACAAAACAAAACAAAAAAAAGTTCATATAGCTATTTATACCAAAAGGAAAATGTCAAATCACAGTGTAAATGATAGATAACTTCAAGTTAATTTCCCACTTGTCTTATCACACATTTTCCTCTTATAGTGTCAAATACTCATCCCTGGTGGCACTTGCCTTCATAATTCGTCCCACAGCTGTCATTCTGTGGACACCTTTGCTCTTCAGACATTTCTGTCAAGAACCAAGAAAGCTTGATCTTATTCTACATCATTTTTTACCTGTAGGGTAAGTGTGGCAATAATCCATCCATTTATTTTAGTAGCCTACAAATCACAGATTACGAACAAGATTTTACATCTTTCAGTTAATTATTTTATCTTCTAATGTCAATGAGAACTCTTAGTCCAAGGAAATAGAATAATGCAAAACTTATATTTTTTATTTATGATCCTGATTATAACTATTTTAATTTGCTTAACTGAGTGCTTTTGTAATTATTTCTAACTTAGTGTTTTCCAATGCTTTATTTCCTAAATATTTCTCACATATATTTTAGAGATACTTGATTCTTTTACATTTGTATAAGGCTTTATAATTCATAATGTGTTTTCACATATTACCTCATAATTTTCATAATACTTCAGTCTAGGCAATATATGTTTTTATTTTGTAGTAGAGAAAACAGGAGGCTCGCAGAAATTTAAAATGTATTAGTCAAAGTCATTGGGCTGGTTGCTATACTGGTATTGAAACCCACATCTTCTAACTACACTATGAGCTCCTAGGATGAGTTGTATCCCAAGTATCTAGTAGACTACCCCGAATAATTATTTACTGAAGGGATGACTGCATTCTGACTCTTACAACAGTAATCTTTTTAATATACAATCATGCACCGCATAATGACATTTTGGTTAGCACTGGACTGCATTTATGACAGTGGTCCCATAAGATTATATTACCGTATTTTAGTGTACTTTAGTTTCTCTGTTTGGCTATATATATTTTTTTATTTGAGACGGAGTCTCACTCTGTCACCTAGGCTGGAGTGCAGTGGTGCATTCTCACTTCACTGCAGCCTCCGCCTCCCAGGTTCAAGTGATTCTCCTGCCTCAGCCTCCCAAACAGCTGGGATTACAGGCGCCTGCCACCACGCCTGGCTAATTTTTTTATTTTTAGTCGAGTTGGGGTTTCACCATGTTGGCCAGCTAGTCTCAAACTCCTGACCTCAGGTGATCCACCCACCTTGGCCTCCCAAAGTGCTGGAAATACAGGCATGGGCCACCATGCCCAGCCTGTTTAGCTATAGTTAGATACACAGATACATAGCATTGTGTTGCAATTGCTTACAATATTCAGCATACTATCATGCTGTATAGGTTTGTAGCCTAGGAGCAGTAGGCTATACCATATAGCCTAGATGTCTGTAAGCTGTACCATCTAGGCTTGTGTAAGTGCACTCTATGATGTTTGCACAATGATGAAACTGCCTAATGATGCAGTTCTCAGAATGTATCCCCATTGTTAAGCAATGCATGACTGTACTAGTATTCACTAGTCACAAGTATTTTTCGGGTAGCAATCTGAAAAGGACTAAATTATCTTGCATCTCAGTTGCTACTGTTGTCATTTCTCAGATGTATTAATAACATTGCATTAAATGTATTCATTCATTCAGGAATTATTTAATCCTACTATGTGCCAGGCAGTGTTCCAGATGTAGGAGATGCATCAGTTTAACCAAAAAAAGTACCTGCCTTCATGAAGTTTACATTCTAGTAGGGAGAGACAGACAGCTAAAAAGATAAGAGTAAATATATATTTGTCAAGTGATGGTAATACAGGGAAAAATAATTGTGGGATAAGAAGGATAGAATGCCAGTGCTTGGGGTAATGGGGGAGCTGTTATTTTTAAATAGGGTAGTTGGGAAAGATCACCATGATAAGGTGACACTGGAGCCAAAACTTAAAGGAGTTGAGAGAGTGAACCATGTAGTTACTTGATGAGAGAGTATTCCAGGCAAAGGGGCCAGCCAAGTACTAAGTATGCTGGGCATGTTCAAGGAACAGCAAGGAGACTGATGTGGCTAAAAGAGAGTGAGTTTGGGAGAATGTAATAATGAGGTCAGAGAGATAGCAGGGGCTCAGTTCCTATCGGCTTTACCACTGAGGGAGATAGAAAGCCTTTTTAATCTCATCAGCAGCATGATAATAACTTATTCATTTAATAAGCATTTAACCTACTTTGTATCCAGCATTTGATAATTCAGAAGTGAGTAAGATACAGTGTCTGCTCTCAAAGTCAAAGTCTGTGGGGGAAAAAGATATAACAATACAGATGCTCCTTGACTCAGGGTTACATCTTGATAAACTCATTGCAGGTTGAAAATATCATAAGTCAGGCAAGGCACAGTGGCTCACACCTGTAATCCCAGTGCCCTGGGAGACCAGGAGTTCAAGAACAACCTGAGCAACATAATGAGACCCCATCTCAACAAAAAAATTTAAAAATTGGCCAAGTATAGGTGGCACTAGGCACGCCTGTGGTCCTAGCTACTTGGGAGGATGAGGCAGGAGGATCCCTTCAACCCAGGAGTTCAAGGTTGCAGTGAGCTATGATCATTCCACTGCACTCCAGCCTGGGAAACAGAGTGATAACCTGTCTCTAAACAAAATAAATAACAAAGAAAATATTCTACGTCAAAAATGCACTTAACACATCTAACGTACTGAACATCACAGCTTAGCCTACCATAAACGTGCTCAGAACGCTTACATTAGCCTACAGTTGAGCAAAATCATCTAACACAAAGCCTATTTCATAATAAAATATTTGAATATCTCATGTAATTCATTGAATACTGTACTGAAAGTGAAAAACAGAATGGCTGTATGGGTACCATTTTAAAGTTGAAAAATCGTAGGTTGAATCATCATCAGTTAGGGATTGTAATTCTTACCCAGTGATTTAAAGTGTTCTAGTGGTTGGGCACGATGGCTCACGCCTATAATCCCAGCACTTTGGGAGGCTGAGGCAGGCACATCACCTGAGGTCAGGAGTTCAAGACCAGCCTGGCCAATATGATGAAACCCTGTCTCTGCTAAAAATACAAAAAAATTAGCTGGGCATTGTGGCACATGCCTATAATCCCAGCTACTTGGGAGGCTGAGGCAGGAGAAACGATTGAACCCCAGAGGTAGACGTTGCAATGAACTGAAATTGCACCACTGCACTCCAGCCTGGGCAACAGAGTGAGGCTCCATCTCAAAAATAAAACCTTACATCCAGATTATATATAAAACTTTTAAAAATCTATAAGAAAAAGATAACTCATAGAAAAATTATTGAAAAGGTTTCATCAGGTACTTCAAAAAATATTAAAATGGCCAATAAATATAAAGAGACTCATTTCATTTGTTATCAAGGAAAAACAAAGTAAAGCCACCATGAAATACTACTATACTATACATCCACCCAAATGGCTAAAATGATGTGGAACTTATATATTCCTGTGGGACTGCAAACTAATACACTATTTTGGAAAACTTTTAAGTACTTACAAAAGCTAAATAAATACATAGTTGCACTTACAACTTAGGGCAGGGGTCACCAGTCCCAAGGCTGTGGACTGGCCCCAGTCCATGGCCTCTTAGGAACTGGGCTGCACAGCAGGAGGTGAGCAAGCAAGCAAGCATTACTGCCTGAGCTCCACCTCCTGTCACATTCTTACAGAAGTGTGAACCCTACTGTGAACTGCACATGCAAGGGATCTAGGTTGTGCTCCGTATGAGCATCTAATGTCCAGTGATCTGAGGTGGAACAGTTTCATCCAGAAACCATGCCCCACTCCCACCCCCGCAACCTGTTTGTGGGAAAACTGTCTTTCAAGAAACCAGACCCTGGTGCCAAAAAGGTTAGGGACCGCTACCTTAGGGCCCACCAATTCCAATCCTAGGTATATGTCTAACAGAAATGCACATATATGGATACCAAAAGATGTGTAAAAGAATGTTCATTGCAGCACTATTCACAATAGCTGGAAATGGAAGCACAGTGTCCATCAATAGAAGGAATACATACAGTGTGGTATACATAGTTACAATACACAGTATTGTAAAGGAATGAACTACAGCACGCAAAAAAACTTGGTTCAATCTCACAAGCACAATGACTAAAGGAATTTAGACATGAGTACATATGGTATGATCCTATTCTTATAAAATTCAAAAAAAGATAAAACTCATCTATGTTATCAGAAATTAGGATAGTGGTTACCTTTGGGAAGAGGAAGGGTTACCTTTGGGTTACTTTTGGGGAGGAGGTAGGGACTGACTGATTGGAGGGACAAGGTGGTGCTGCTAATACTCTTTATCCTGCTCTGTATGGCAGGTACACAGTTGTGTTCATGTAGTGATGATTCATAGAGCTTTACCTTCATAGCGTATTTTTCTGTATATGTGTTTGTTGGAGGCAGTCTCTGAGATGGCCTCCAGTGATCCCATCCTCCTGCTATTTATGTCTTTGTATAATCCCCTCCCCCTTGAACATGGGCTAGATTTGTCGACTCAATTCTAATGAGTAGAATACAGCAGAAGGGATGGGATATCACTTACAAGACTGGGTTATGAAAAGACTATGGTGGCCAGGCACAGTGGCTTATATCTGTAATCCCAGCATTTTGGGAGGCCAATGGGGAAGTACTGCTTGAGGCCCGGAGTTTGAGACCAGTTGGGTAATATAGTGAGACCCCATCTCTACAGAAAATCCAAAAATTATCCAGTCATGGCGGCACACACCTGTAGTCCTAGTTACTTGGAAGGCTGAGGTGGGAGGATCACTTGAGCCCAGGAGGTCAAGGCTGCAGTGAGCCATGATCACACACTACTGCACTCCAGCCTGGGTGACAGAGCAAGACCCTGTCTCTAAAAAAAAGAAAAGAATACATAAATAAAAAGATTATGGCTTCCATCTTGGGTGCCTGTCTCACTCACTCTTGGCTGACTTACCCTGGGTTAAGCCAGTTAATTATGTCATGAGGCAGCTTTAAGGAAACGGCCATATGTTGAGGAACTTAGCCCCACCAGCAACCATGTGAGCAAATTTGGAAGCTGATCTCTCCACCTGTAATTGAACCTTCAGATGAAACTGTAGCCCCTGCTAAGAGCTTGACTACAATTCATGAGCGACCTCGAGCCAGAGGCACCCAGCTAAGCAACACCTAGGTTCTTGATCCACAGGAACTATGAAATGGTAAATATTCATAGTTTAAGTTAACAAGTTTTGGGGTAATTTGTTATACAGCAGTAGTCTTTCAATAATCTTTTTATTAATATATTTTTTACAATATTAATCGATTATATAATCTTATCTACTGATCTTTTTCAGTAGATACCTTTCAAAATGTGTAAATCTATATTCAGTTGGTGAAACTGTAAAGCATTTTTATAGTGGCTTTTGATGCAAGGCACGTACAAAGCCATATGCTAATAGTGGATTTTCAGCAAGCTCCAAATGTGAATCACTATGCTATTTTTGTTTTTCAGCTTTGTTACTTTGAGTTTGTCTCTGATGATTGATCGTATTTTTTTTGGCCAAGTAAGTAAAAGTATATTAAGCTAACAGCTATTTTTATTTTTAATCCATTAATACTTTAGAACAGAGGCAAATGATTTTTTAAATGATATGGGATACATTACAAAAGACTTCTAGGCATATCCTAATAAGCCTTTGGTTCAATTTGTTGTGCTTTCTACATAAAAGAATTAGTACTCCTAGCTAATATTCAGGAGAGTACATTTTAAGGCAGGGAATTATTAAGTGAGCACTGAATGTTACCTGTTGCTGTTTCTGTCATTATTGTCAGCTTTACGCTGTAATTCAAATTGTAATGTTTTCAAAGCTTTATCTTCACAGGTAATATGTCACATTGTAAAGTACCACACAGTCCAAAAAATATGTCTACTATCCTCTTTATCTCTTAACTGGATATAAAACTTGGATGGAGCTGGAGGCCATTATTCTAAGTGAAATAACTCAGGAATGGAAAGCCAAATATCATATGTTCTTACTTATAAGTGGGAGCTAAGCTATGGGATGCAAAGACATAAGAATGATATAATGGACTCTGGTGACTCAGGGTGGGGAAGGGTGAGAGAGGGGTGAGAAATTCTTATTTCGAGTACATATTGGGTACAGTGTACATTGCTTGGGTGATGGGTGGACCAAAATCCTAGAAATCACCTCTAAAGAACTTATTCATGTAACCAGAAGCCATCTGTACCCCAAAAACTTGAAATAAAAACACAAACTTAGACTGCCAAAATATAAGTTTGATTCTCACTTTGAATCTCAAAAATCTAGTTTTACAAATTAACAAGGAACACATTAATACTTAAAGAAGAAAAAATAACAGTTAAGAAGGATTTCATACAGTCATTAATTAAAATTATTAGGCCAGGCATGGTGGCTCACACCTATAATCGCAGCACTTTGGGAGGCCGAGGCAGGCAGATCACGAGGTCAGGAGATTGAGACCATCCTGGCTAACATGGTGAAACCCCGTCTCTACTAAAAATAGAAAAAATTAGCCGGGCGTGGTAGCGGGCGCCTGTAGTCCCAGCTACTCGGGAGGCTGAGGCAGGAGAATGGCGTGAACCCGCGAGGCGGAGCTTGCAGTGAGCCGAGATCGCGCCACTGCACTCCAGCCTGGGCGACAGAGCAAGACTCCATCTTAAAAAAAAAAAAAAAAAAAAATTATTAATGTAAACTATTGCCTGGTTTTTAGACTTCAATTCTGATTTAATGTCAAAATTGTATCAATCCCCTAATGCCAAAGATTACTACTTGGCACTAACACATTTCTATTTATTTTTCCTTCAACGGTGCCAGTGGACTCTGGTTCAATTTAATTTTTTGAAATTTAACGTGCTGCAGAACTGGGGAACATTTTATGGTTCTCATCCATGGCACTGGTACTTCAGTCAAGGATTTCCAGTTATCTTGGGTACTCACTTACCCTTCTTTATTCATGGCTGCTATCTAGCACCAAAGAGATACCGGATACTTTTGGTGACTGTGCTGTGGACACTGCTTGTTTATAGGTAAGATTTTATTTGTTCAAAAGGCTAAAATTTTTTATGTTACCAAGAAATCAAATTAAATTCTTCAAAAAGTAAACTTTATGTTTTGGAGGTGCCATTAACTTTTGTTAGTGGGAATTATCTTAGAAGATACAAGTAGTAGTAATTATGGAGGCACTAGAGTGAATACTTTAGATATGTAGTTTGCTTAATAAGGATTACACTCAATTTTTAAGAACTTGGACTAATTTTATTTGCTTTAAAAAAAAAAAAAACAGACCAGGCACAGTTGCTCATGCCTGTAATTTCAATACTTTGAAGGCCAAGGTGGGAGGATTGCTTGAAGCAAGGAGTTCATGACCAGCCTGAGCAACATAGCAAGACCCTCTCTCTGAAAAAAAATTTAAAATTACCAGGGCATGATGGCATGTGCCTGTAGTCCTAGCTATTGGGGAAGCTGAGGCAGAAGGACTGCTTGAGCCCAGGAATTTAAGGTTGCAGTGAGCTATGATTGTGCTACTGCACTCCAGTCTGGGTGACAAAACAAGACCCTGTCTCAGTCAATCAGTCAATCAATACTACCAAAATTTTAAATTGAAGGACCACAGAAATACATTCTAAAATAAAAATGTATGTATCCTTATTCCAAATTTGACTAATTTCACTTACTTGGATTGAAATAGAAATCCCGTTTTTAGAATGTAACTGTACTTTGTAATTTCAAATTGACATCATATTTTATGATTAGTTTTACCATATCATAATCACCTTATAACTAAAAAATAAGATGAATTTCTGAAGCAAGAAATTCAGTCTGAATACTTAGAAAATAAATAGATCAAGTTAAATATATTTTATATTAAATATATTACTTTCTCAATCTATCATATAACATGATAATTAATATTTTTTAATAATATTTGTTTTTATTACAGCATGTTGAGCCACAAAGAATTCAGGTTTATTTATCCAGTTTTACCATTCTGTATGGTGTTCTGTGGTAAGTGCTTTTGTTTGTTATAGAAAATAAATTATATAGAAATAGTCTAAAGACAACACATCCTCATTAAACTATGTCTATTTTCAACTAGGTTAATAAGGAATTACTTAATTACAGATTAATTATATTACTGCAATATTCCCTTTTTGTAGTCCAAATATCTTTTTTCCTATATCCTCTAAAGTGAGATAAAAACATAAAGATCCTAGCCCAGTGCAGTGGTGTGCACTTTTAATCCCAGCTACTCAGAAGCCTGAGGCAGGAGGATCACCTGAGCCCAGGAGTTTGAGACCAGCCTACCATATGGCAAGTCCTTCTCTCAAAAAACAGACAAACAAAAAACCCACATAAATATCCAATACCCAAAGCAGTTTTTGGTGGTGGTGTTTCTATTTGGTGGTGGTGTTTCTCACTAAAAAGTAAAGTAACATGTCTGTTTTTAGATTAGCTATTTTAAGTTTATGGTTAAACTGTAAGGGTCTTCATTTTCACAAAGGAAAAATGTATTTACTGCTGTTGAAACTAGTTTTTAATGCTTTTACACACAAAACATTTACACTTTTAAAACTCACTCTAAGGCATATGCAATTATTATTATTATCTTTTTAGACAGAGTCTCACTCTGCTGCCCAGGCTGGAGTGCAGTGGCACGATCTTGGCTCACTGCAACCTCCACCTCCCTGTGTTCAAGCAATTCTCCTGCCTCAGCCTCCCGAGTAGCTGGGATTACAGGCATCCGCCACCATACCCGGCTAATTTTTGTATTTTAAGTAGAGACAGGGTTTCACCGTGTTGGCCAGGCTGGTCTCGAACTCCTGACCTCAGGTGATCCACCCGCCTCAGCCTCCCAAAAGTGCTGGGATTGCAGGCGTGAGCCACCGCGCCCAGCCTGGCATATGCCATTTTTTAAGTAATTAACTCCTGATTTTATTCAGGCCTTTTCTCCATTTTTCCACAGTCTTAACATGTATTTTTTTGTCACTTACAAAAATCCTTACATGACTCAATTCAGGAAAATCTGGGTTTTTACATTGGTTGGTTTGGAAAAATTACGAATTGAAACTTTATTAACTTCAAGTTTAATTCGGAATAAATGACTGTTGACTTCCTTCAAATATTAAGACCTTAAAAAAAATCACAGCGTTGAGAGAGAAGAAATGACTAGCCAACTGGAACTGGAGGCTGGAAAAAACCTAGGGAGTTACAGTTTTCAAACTTATTTTTTACTTAAAAAAAAAGAAAAACATTGAGTTAGGCAATGTTTGACCAAGTATACATCAACTCCTACAGATCTGAGATGTATAATCTCTTCAATTTAAGAAGATAAACATACAAATATAAAATCAAATATTAAAAATCTGTATTTTTGATACATCTGAAGTTCTGAAATCAAAGCCTCAGTCTGTCATTACTTTACAGTGTAACCACATACAAACGCAGGCACATACAAAAATTTAGACATCTAACAGCTATTTGGCAAGCCTTAAGAATAGCTGGCCCCATTTGTCAGAGGAAATCTGTTCATAAATCACTATTCAGATGTTAAATGGTTTCTGTTCTGTTGGGTTTTTTTACAGCCACTTGAGTGTGTATTATAATTAAATCAAGCATTGGCAGAGTACAAAGGCAAATGTTTTTGTGTGCCTGGAGGGGACGGGGAGGTTGGTTAGTAACTTGGTTTGATTTCTGTTTTCATAAACCAGATTTTTCCAGCATTCCTCTTCTGTGTCCTGTTGCTTTACCAAGTATTTACACAAAGATTGAGTTGTCTGAATCCTCATTGCCAGTCTAAAAGATTGAATCTTTAAGTGGCAAGATCCCTGTAACCAGGGCCTATTCACAGTTTATTGAGATAAAATGCTGATGAGGGGTAAAGAGAGCCCCTTCTAATAGGTAAGAATCACCCCTTCTTCCATCCTCTGTCTACTTAGAAGGATCCCTAAAAGACAGCAACCTAGAAAACCCCTTGATCTCCTCACAGGATGCATTCTTTTCCTCCACACCCTACCTAAGGTTCTAGAGTGGGTCAAAAAACTCTAATTCCTAGGAGATTTGTACTTCCACTAACAGTCAGGGCTGTTTAATGCCAAGAGGTTCCAACAGTAGGATCAGTTCTGTCTAGTGATGTCACCTAGACAGAAATCTCTGGACATTTAGAACAGTTCTCTTTGGAGCTCTTGATGTTTTAGTGACCCAGTTTGAATCTTTCCTAACTACTTGAAATCTTGAGTTATACCACAAATTTCAGCCTTATTCTGCTTTGTGTGACTTGTTTTAACCTATTTTTATGTAAACATGACAACTCTGTCAGCCATTGCTGTGTAAAAGGCCACCTCAAAACTGTAGTGGCTTAAAACTCCATTTATTATAATTTACAGGTCTACATTTCAACTGGGCAGTTCTCATCTCCACTGAGCTCACTTACACAGCTGCAGATTGGGTAGATAGCTCTATTGACCTAGGCTGGGCTCTCATGTCTGGGGTTCAACTAGCTGTAGGCCAAGTCTTCTCAGCTCTTCTGAGTTTTCTCTTCCTCCAACAGGCCAGCTAGGGCTTGTTCACTTGGCATAGGCCGGGTTCCAAGAGAGGGAGCAAATATGCAAGGCCCTTTGAGACAAGGGCTTGGAATTTGCATACTGTCACTTCCACCACATTCTTTTCATGAAAGCAAGTCACTGGGCCAGGCCAGATTCAAGAGGTGGGGAAATAAATGCCAACCTCATAGTGGGATGGGACACAGGAAGAAAAATAATTGCAGCAGTTTTTTCAGTCTACGGTAACTTCTCTTGCCTAATTTGAATTTCCCTTAGTCCTATAAAATAGGACTCAACTCTAGAAAATATATTTTGTGACTGGCTCTGATCTTTAGTGAATTGTTCAACAATGTGCCTCATTTTCCTTATCTGTAAAAGAAAGGTGATATTTTAGCAACACTAATTAAATTCTTAGTTTGAATCTCTCATTTGTGCTGACAGAGTTCAGCACCCACTACTGATTCTGAGTTGAGTGTCTGCTTATCTGTTTTTACCACAGTGGCTAATATAGACTTCTCTCTTACTGGGCCACTTTGTTTTTCCATATTCTTATCTTTTTTTTTTTTTTTTTTTTTTTGAGACAGAGTCTCTCTCTGTCGCCCATGCTGGAGTGCAGTGGCGCAATCTCAGCTCACTACAACCTCCGCCTCCTGGGTTCAAGAGATTCTCCTGCCTCAGCCTCCAGAGTAGCTGGAATTACAGGCCCATGCCACCACAGCCAGCTAATTTTTGTATTTTTAGTTGGGGCTTGACCATGTTGACCAGGCTGGTGTCGAACTCCTGACCTCAGATGATCCACCTGCCTTGGCCTCCCAAAGTGCTGGGATTACGGCATGAGGCACCACAGCTGGCCCCATATTCTAATCTTTTTATCAAAATTGCATATGTACATTATTTCAGAAGACATTCCACAAGGAATTAAAAAAAAAAATTGTTCCCCTGCTCTCCCTATTTCCTCTCCCCAAAAACAATCAGTTAAGCATTCTTTCAGCTGGTTATTTTGGTATTTATCTCGATATCTCTAAAACATTTATAATGCCACTTAAAGGTCTTTGTTTTAGGCATTAACTGTTGAATTCTATCGAAGATGGAAAGATGGCTTTACTTCCTTAACAAAATAGCAACATAAAATTCTTCCTGGCCAGCTGCCAGTGGCTGACGCCTGTAATCCTAGCACTTTGGGAGGCTGAGGTGGGTGGATCACCTGAGGTCAGGAGTTCAAGACCAGCCTGGCCAACAGGGTGAAACCCTGTCTCTACTAAAAATACAAAAATTAGCTGGGTGTGGTGGCACGCACCTGTAATGCCAGCTACTTGGGAGGCTGAGACAGGAGAATCACTTGAACCCTGGAGGTGGAGGTTGCATTGAGCCGAGATCGGCACCACTGCACTCCAGCCTGGGTGACAGAGCGAGATTCTGTCTAAAAAAAAAAAATTCTTCTTGATACCTTCATCTGTGCCCAGTACCCTCATTATGGTTAGTAGTTCAAAGTCTCTCTTTCCCAGCCCCATTCTACTGTATGTCCCATTCCAGAATTGAACCACCTTTTGTTGTTCTTATCTAAACACTGAAACTAAGCTTTCTCAAAGAGTATTTAAAAATAGAAACAGTAACTCAGATATCTCTCTAATTGGTAAAATGTGGTAGGGATTTTTTTTCTTAACATTAGGTTTCCTGATAATTCTTGTCAAAACCAGGATGGAATCAGCAATGTACAGTCTCAGATACTCCCATCCTCTCTATTACCGTGAACCTTACCTTGGTAAGAAGGAACGTATTAGTGATTGCTGGAAAATACAGAATGCCACGCTAGATATCCAAAATTTTTAAAGTGTGTATATCAAGCTAAATAATACATGATGATTAAGAGATATGGCTTTATAAAGGAACCACCTCATGAAGTATCTTCTTATATGCTCAGGTTTTTAGATTTTATCCTGAAGAGTAGTCAACTGAGATGTAATGGATTTTAAACATTTCTGTAACAGTAGTCTGATGAACATGATCTGATAGGAGCCCAGTGTATTTTTTTATTATAAAAATAAATGCCGATGGTACAAAAATAGTGTGTCATCCTCAAGTCATCTAGTCCCATTCCCCAGAGGTAACTATTGTTATCACTTTCTTAAGCAGTTCTTCCAGAAATTTTCTGTATACCGACTTTCAAGTATCTTTTTGTAGGCCCAGATAACAGGAGCAAATTAAGTATTTAGGGGTGATGTTTAGCATCCAGTTAGCAATGGGTTGTTACTATGTGAAAGGAAGGAACCTATACTTTAGTCACTGGGGTACACACACAGTCTTAAATCTTCAGTGATTGGGATACACATCATTTACGTGGTGGGGATGATCACTTTCTGAAGCTAGGTCATTTGAGGGTGGATTATTTCAGTGAGAACTCCATCTCCAAATTTGTGCGTGCCATTAAGTAGACTTACTGGATGTCACCTACTGGAATCTTGTTCATTTGTTTTAAATATTGATGAAACAATACTACTGGTCTATAAGAAAACCATGGACCTTAGGCTTCTCTTGTGGTTCACTCAGTCTAGCATTGGAACTGGAAAATCTTTCCAACCCTTCCTTTAGCAACTCATTTCTGAAATCCCCTTTGGAAGCTTTCAGTGCCAGAAGGTTTAAAAACCCCTCAGAGGCCTTAAATTCAGGACTCTTGACTTATACTCTAAAGTTGGGTTCTTTTCTAACATGTGCACAAGTCATTTGATGATAACTGAAATTATAAAGATATTTTCTTTATATGTCAAATGCATAGTAATGCTTATAGGATGCTAAACATGTAAATAAAGGCAGTTCTGGCTGGGCGCTGTGGCTCACGCCTGTAATCCCAGCACTTTGGGAGGCTGTGGCGGGCAGATCACCTGAGTTTGAGACCAGCCTGGCCAACATGGTGAAACCCCATCTCTACTTAAAATACAAAAATTAGCCGGGCATGGCGGCAGGCACCTGTAATCCCAGCTACCCAGGAGGCTAAGGCAGGAGAATCGCTTGTAACCCAGGAGGTGGAGGTTGCAGTGAGCCGGTATCATGCCACTTGCACTCCCGCCTGGGCGAAAGAGCGAGAGTCCATCTCAAAAAAATAATAATCATAAAGACAGTTCTATTTTAAATAAGGTTTTATCCCCAAACTTCATTTTTAAGTTGGAACCTGAAATATTTTTTTCTTAGAAATAATACTGTGACATGTAGTAAGGCTCCCAGAATATTACACAAAAGCTCATCGGATCCATAATACTGTTGAAGACAATTTTGAATGGCAACTGTTTCAGTATCCACTGTCCCCAAGAAAACTAAGCTATCACCTGACTCTCCCTGGCATTGTTCAGCTGTTCCTTCTCTTCCCAGCATTTTCTTTATATTACTTCTCTAAGTAATATGGAGATTCAGTTCTCACTAAAATGATCCATCCTAAAATGAGCTAAGCTCAGAGAGTTAAAATCACCATCATGTAAGGCAAGCATTACCTAACTTAAGAGACGCTCTGTCTCACCAGTACTGAAGATGCTGGAAACACAAGCATGTTATCTTCCAGCATTCTACCCAGAGTGCTATTTTCACAGTCTTGATCACCAAGTATTCCCATTTTGTGTCACCCACCTATACTATTGTATTCCTAGTGCCATAGTTTCTTTTTTTTTTTTTTTTTTTTTTTTGAGACGACATCTCGCTCTGTCACCAGGCTGGAGTGCAGTGGCACGATCTCAGCTCACTGCAACCTATGCCTGCCGGGTTCAAGTGATTCTCCTGCCTCAGCCTGCCTCAGCTGGGACTACAGGCATGCGCCTCCACACCTAGCTAATTTTTGTATTTTTAGTAGAGATGGGTTTTCACGATGTTGGCCAGGATGGTCTCGATCTCTTCACCTCGCGATCTGCCCGCCTTGGCCTCCCAAAGTCCTGGGATTACAGGCGTGAGCCACAGCCCCCGGCCTTGAATGAACAAATTATTAATAAGTGAATCACTTTACACATGCTCACCTTGTAAGTATCTTCAAATAATTGAGAACAAACTGTATCTTCTCGGGCCTTGCTGTAGGATGGGCTTGCTGTAGTTTGGACGTTTGTCCCCTAAACCTTAGTTGAAATTTGATCCCCACTGTTGGAGGTGGGGCCTAATGGGAGATGCTTCGATCATGGGGGTGGAGCCTTCATGAATGGCTTGGCACCATCCTGGAGTAGTAAGTGAGTTCTCCTTATATTAGGTTCCATGAGAGTTCCCCCGAGTGCTGGCTGTACAAAAGAGCCTGGCACCTTCCACTTTCTTGCTTCTGCTCTCTCACCATGTGATCTCTGCACAAACTGACTCCCCTTCACCTTCTGCCATGAGTGGAAGCAGCCTGAAGCCCTCACCAGTGGATGCTTCTTGTACAACCTGCAGGACCATGAGCCAAGTAAATATAAATTAGCCAGTCTCAGGTATTCCAGTATAGCAGTACAAACAAAGACAAGGCTTTAATGTAGCTTTTTGTATTTGAGCCTACTAAAATAGATGTTGTTTTAGCCTACCAACCTAAGTTAAGTGCTTCAACTTATATTTGGGGATCTGCTGTGTCTGTGATTGGGGTTATTACAGATGGTTGAACTTTTAGAATCCTATTTTTTAATTTATTTTGAGACAGTTTCACTCTGTTGCCCAGGCTGGAGTGCAGTGGCGTGATCTCGGCTCACTGCAACCTCTGACACCACGCCCGGCTAATTTTTATATTTTAGTAGAGATGGGGTTTCACCTCTGTTGGCCAGGCTGGTCTTGAACTCCTGACCTCAAGTGATCCGCCTGCCTTGTCCTCCCAAAGTACTGGGATTACAGGTGTGAGCTACCGCACCTGGCCCTATTTTATTCATTTTTATTTTCGTAGAGACAGGGTGTCACCCAGGCTGGAGTGCAGTGGCGTGGTCATAGCTCACTGTCCCCTCAAACTCATGAGCACAGGTGAACCTCCTGCCTCAGCCTTCCCAGTAGCTGGATCTACAGGTGCGCACTATCACGCCTGGCTAATTTTTTTTTATTTTAAATGGAGTCTCACTATGTTGCCCAGGCTGGTCTTGAACTCCTGGCCTCAAGCAATCCTCTCATCTCAGCTATTTTATTTCAAATAAAGCTAGTTCTAATTATCATTCCTTTTAGTAGGTTCCTCATTTTACCATTTCAAACATCTTATAAATGTAGATTTAAGTGATAGGCTTAGTTTTCTTAATCTTGCTACATTTTTCACCACACCACTTTTCAGATTATTCTTTAATCAGAACTATTTCAAGTAGATTAAAAAATACTAGGTGACATGGACATGTGATATTCCAACTCATGAGGTATGAACTGTGGATGATATTAACATATTCATAGGAGGAACAAAATAAAAAACACTGCCTTGGTCCCATTCAGTATTGTACTAACATTTTGGGCAAACCAAGGTTTGGATGAAGAATACCCAAGTTCAAAAAGAACTATTATCTAGTTCTATAAAAAGAGTGTATGTAAATTATGAACAAAATGTCATGCTTACTAATAAGCTTAATCTTTTCCAGTGGAAAGGCCTGTTCTTTGTATTCTCAGTAGATCCTAATATGTCCATTAATAGTGGCTGTTGCTGAAGAAAAGGACTATCAGAGGGGAGAGAGACTTTTACTTATCCTTTTATACCCGTCTATTCATTCTACTTGGTTTTTTCCTTTGGTTTTTTGTTTTGTTTTGCCCCACAGAATAATCCCTTTCATAAATCAAAAAAGAAAAATTGTTCAGCATCTCCAAATTGCCTGACTGTAGTGGGAAAACAAAATTTCCCACTGTTGTGGGAAAAAAAATGTAAGACATAGCACCTTTTCTTCCACTCATATACTTACGGAAAATCTCCCAGGTGCCCAATGGCTTATTTTCCTAAGAGGACACATTATTGAAACTCGTATTACACACTAAAATACCAATTATTAGTGCTTGGGAGATTAAAGAGGTAGGTAAATGGAATAATTAAAAGTCCTATTTATTTAGCAACTACTATGTACCAGGGCAGTCACTGGACATTTTTTCTAACACTTGAATAAGGTACTATTATCCCAATGACCAGCAAAGTAAAACGACTTGTGCTAGAACTGGAATTCAAATCTGGACCTGTTGGACTCCATAACCATCATCTTTCCACTATACCTCAATACCTTTTACTAGAAAAAGTCAAGACCTAGATGACAGTAGTGAATGGTGAATGGTCAGAGATATGACTTATTGCTTATTTCTTATTTGTCTATAACAGTATTACAGTTTTTGCTATTTCCATTAAAAATTACAGATGTATTTGCAGTTAACATAACAAAAGATTGTCAGTGTTAAGGTTCAATATGTCTATCTTCATATAGGATACTCATTAACCCACCTGAAAACATGGAAGAAACCAGCTCTAAGTTTCCTGTTTTTATCAAATTTGTTCCTCGCCCTTTATACTGGTTTAGTTCATCAACGAGGTACTCTTGATGTCATGAGTCATATTCAAAAAGTTTGTTACAACAATCCCAATAAATCTTCAGCTTCAATATTTATAATGATGCCTTGCCACTCTACTCCTTATTACAGGTAATAAAAGATGTTCCACTATATGCTGTTAAGAAACTGAAACTGACTACTTTAAAATTCCCTTTCAGATTCCTGGATTTGAATTAATTGGTCACTGATCAAATGATAAATTTTAAACTCCCACATATTTATTCACTGATGGATTTTAAAAACCACTTGAACTGTGTCAAAGAAAATGTTTTAAATAAACTTTTTTTCTTTTTTTTTTTTTTTTGAGACGGAGTCTGTTCTATTGCCCAGGCTGGAGTGCAGTGGCGCGATCTCGGCTCACTGCAAGCTCCGCCTCCCAGGTTCACGCCATTCTCCTGCCTCAGCCTCCCGAGTAGCTGGGACCACAGGTGCCTGCCACCATGCCCGGCTAATTTTTTCTATTTTTAGTAGAGATGGGGTTTCACCGTGTTAGCCAGGGTAGTCTCGATCTCCTGACCTCGTGATCTGCCTGCCCTGGCCTCCCAAAGTGCGGGGATTACAGGTGTGAGCCACCGTGCTCGGCCGTAAACTTTATTATTCTTTAAAAACAATTTACTTACACCTAATTCTGATTTAAATCAGTATAAAACAATTTGTAGGTATCTGATAGTCTTCTTAGTAAAGAAACTCATGTATTACTTACCTTACTACAAATCTCTGTGATACATCTTTACACAATTTGAATTAATCTTAAAACATGGATTTTAGGCCGGGCGCCGTGGCTCACGCCTGTAATCCCAGTACTTTGGGAGGCCGAGGCGGGTGGATCACAAGGTCAGAAGATCGAGACCATCCTGGCTAAGCTGGGTGAAACCCCGTCTCTACTAAAAATACAAAGAATTAGCCGGGCGTGGTGGCAGGTGCCTGTAGTTCCAGCTACTCGGGAGGCTGAGGCAGGAGAATGGCATGAACCCAGGAGGCGGAGTTTGCAGTGAGCCGAGATTGCACCAGGTGCACTCCAGCCTGGGCAACAGAGCAAGACTCTGTCTCCAAAAAAAAAAAAAAAAAAAACATGGATTTTAGTCCAGATTTACTACTGGATTATTGCCCTCATCTTAAACTAGACTTCTTTTTTTTTTTTTTTAGATGGAGTTTTGCTCTTGTTGCCCAGGCTGGAGTGCAATGGCGTGATCTTGGCTCACTACAACCTCTGCCTCCCGGGTTCAAGCGATTCTCCTGCCTCAGCCTCCTGAGTAGCTAAGATTACAGGAATGTGCCACCATGCCCGGCTAATTTTGTATTTTTATTGGAGACAGGGTTTCTCCATGTTGGTCAGGCTGATCTCGAACTCCCGACCTCAGGTGATCCGCCCACCTCAGCCTCCCCAAAGCGCTGGGATTACAGGCGTGAGCCACCGCACCCGGCCTTAAACTAGATTTTTAATCTCTTTGGACATCAGTTGTCTCACCTGTAAAAAATTAGGGAATGCGACTAGATGATATTCTAATGCTTGAATTAAGTGTTTCTGGGAAATATACTAAAATTGCCTCAACTATGTATGGCCTTTAAAAAGACATCCATTTGTTCCTGTGCTTTATTTCAGGAAGCTGTATTAGTTACTAATTACCCAGTAATGGTATAGGGGCAAAGGAGCCAGATTTCCTACAGAAAATTATATACCAGGCTGGGCGTTGTGGCTCACGCCTGTAATCCTAGCACTTTGTGAGGCCGAGGCGGGCAGACTGCCTGAGCTCAGGAGTTTGAGACTAGCCTGGGCCACATGGTGAACCCCTGACTCTACTAAAATACAAAAAAAATTGGCCAGGTGTTGTGGCGCATGCCTGTAGTCCTAGCTACTCGGGAGGCGGAGGTTGCAGTGAGCTGAGGTCATACCATTGCACTCCAACCTGGGCGACAGAGCGAGACTCAACCTAAAAATAAATAAATAAATACATAAAATCTATAACTATTTAACTCAGTCTGGCTTTAAACAATCTGGAGTTAATGTCTCCTATGCACGTTCAATTAATTTAATTACAGTGGTTATCATTTTAGGGGAATTTAACACTTGGAATACTCCTATTTAACTAATCATTAATGCCAGTAATTAATATACAGTTTAGAAAAATGGAGATCCTAGCAAAAACCACAGGCTAAAAGGAAGACATCAAGTATCCTTTCAACTTGAGGATTCCCTACTATATGTATATGTGGCTGAAAAAGGGACATTCACTCTCCGTGCTCACATTAGGGATAATACTGAGGAGAACAGGAATCCTAGATGTACCAAGATGTTCTTTATACTTAACTGTAGTCAGTTGATGTCTTAGGCTTTGAATAGTTCACCAAGTTCTCCACACCTTTTCAAAGCACACAAGAGAGGAAAGTCTGATGCCTATTTTGCATCAGACTTGGAAGTAGAGAGCAACATCTGTCCCTTGATTAACATCCAAATAAGTAATGGCTTTACTGTGGCATAGAAAGACTAGAGTAGGCCGGCAGCTTTTTCTGAGGAATTTCTGCTTCCCTTTGAAACAAGACCTTCATTTCCAATAAATAAATCACTATTAGGTCTTGTGTACATTTAATTTTTATGCATTTCATAAATAAACCTCCTGCATAATTACTAACTCCATTTCTAACTGGAAATTTTAAATGTTTGTATCAGTGAGGTTTAATTTTTCCTAAGGCAATTATAAACATGGCTTTTTGCATGACCTAAGTAACTGGCTTAAATTGTCATAACTGGTATTAGAAATGAATCCATCTTTTTTATACTCTAATCTTTTTTTTGTTTTGAGACAGACTCTTGCTCTGTCGCCCAGGCTGGAGTGCAGTGGCGTATGATCTCAGCTCACTGCAACCTCCGTCTTCTGGGTTCAAGAAATTGTCCTGCCTCAGCCTCTTGAGTAGCTGGAACTACAGGCACATACCACCATGCCCGGCTAATTTTTGTACTTTTAGTAGATACAGGGTTTCACCATGTTGGCCAGGCTGGTCTTGAACTCCTGACCTCCAGTGATCCACATGCCTTGGCCTCCCAAAGTTCTGGGATTACAGGCATAAGCCACTGCACCCGGCCTACTCTAGTCTTTCTATGCCACAATAAAACCATTACTTATTTGGATGTTAATCAGTGGACATATGTTGCTCTCTACTTCTCAATCATCTTAAATAAAAAAAAAAAACACTTCAAACTTGCCATGTGGCTGGGCGTGGTGGCTCACACCTGTAATCCCAGCACTTTGGAAGGCTGAGGCGGGTGGATCACCTGAGGTTAGGAGTTCAGGACCAGCCTGGCCAACATGGTGAAACCCCATCTCTACTAAAAAAATACAAAAATCAGCCAGGCGTGGTTGGCGGGCGCCTGTAATCCCAGCTACTTGGGAGGCTGAGACAGGAGAATTGCTGGGAGGTGGAGGTTGCAGTGAGCTGAGATTGCGCCATTGCACTCCAGCCTGGGTGACGAGAGCGAAACTCTTGTCTTCAAAAAAAAAAAACTTGCCATATAAGTATGTGATCCATCCCCTATCAGAGCAGAAAGGGAAGAGAGAAAGAATCCTTTCTGATTATGATCACAGTTTCCTACTTTATCAAATACACCTATGGAGAATTACTCTCCTATTAACAAGTTAACTTACCTGGTCCTGAGGACCATTTATGTTTCCGGAACAGAATACCAATGCTACAGAATGTTGAGTCCCCCTACTGACCTACTTCCCTCCTTGAAATGGACTTCTATGCACTAGTTTGGGCTTATAGGTTATACTGCTGCTGCTGCATAGGTACATGGTATAAGAATCATGTTTTTTTTATCTTTGAGAAAATGAGTTAAAGGCTTGCTTCTTCACTTAACTGCAACACAGTTTACAGATTCAGATTTCACATTTTGCTAAGTATAAATGACATATCTTAAGACTAATGAAAACTTTCATGTTTTACTTGTATTTATTATGGTAACTTTTCTTTTCATAGCCATGTTCACTGCCCACTTCCCATGAGATTTCTCCAGTGCCCGCCAGACCTGACTGGAAAAAGTCATTATCTTGATGAAGCAGATGTATTTTACCTAAATCCCTTAAACTGGTTACATAGAGAGTTTCATGATGATGCATCATTGCCTACTCACTTGATCACCTTCAGCATTTTGGAAGAGGTAAGTAAACATGAAAAAGAGGAAAACTCAGTATTTTAATTTTACCCCAGGTTTAGGAAACCCTCAGGTAAATAGATAATATAACCTTTTTATGGTCTGTTTCAACCCACATTTCATAATTAGTCTTTTCTCCAGTCAAAATTAGCCCCAGTTCTGTAACTATCAAAGTATTTTACTTCCTATAAGTTAATTCTTTTATTAAGCAAAAAGTTGTAGACAGCAATTAGAATAGGCAATTCTAAAATTGACTGAAACAGTACTCAGCAAAATGTAGCCTTTATTTACTTAAACATTTATTTGCTTCTAGGAAATAAGCGCTTTCCTAATTTCAAGCAATTATAAAAGAACTGCTGTTTTCTTCCACACTCACTTGCCAGAGGGTCGAATTGGAAGTCACATATATGTCTATGAACGGAAGTTAAAAGGGAAATTCAACATGAAGATGAAATTCTGAACTTTCCTAGATAAATTAACATTGCTGGGTGGAAATATTCAGATGCTGCTTAAATACTTCGGTAAACACTGGGTAAGATTCATGGAACTTAGAAAAAAGCTGTATGAACTGCTTTACCAAATATCACTACTGAGGAAATGTATAAAATACCACATAGTATAAAATTACATGTTAATACAATGCCAGATTTTAAATAAAGACCTTTAGTTTTCCTCATGGTGTAGTTTTATTGTTTCTTCCACGATATTCAGATGTGCAAAAAATTTCACAAGAAAACAAGTCAGCAAGCTCTTAAGAGGGCAGCAAATTCTTCACAAGTCAGAGGGCTCTTGAACCCACAAAAAGACAAGAAGTGAGTGTAAGATTATAAAATGTTAATGATGAAATTCCAGAACAATGTACTTTTCTCAAGCTCTGCTGCAAATTTAACACAAACATCAGTGTTAATTACACTTTGTCATGTATGACTGAGCTTGCTTTAAGCTCTTACACTGAAAGGAAGTCTCATTTCATGCACAAAATCTGTTGCATGCCTGGCTTCCTTAATAAAACTACAGTTGAACATTTCCAGTGTCAAAAAAAATTCAACGAAGCTAAACTACAGGAAAATGCAGGTTAGTAGACTTTTAACTAATGCTTCTGAGGAATAATATAAAGTTATCAAACTGATACTTAGAAACAAAAGAAAAGACATTGTCATCTTGGTAATTTCATTAGTTTCAATACCAAACATTATACAAAGCATAAATTTTTCTCTTACAGTTGTCTAATTTAACTCAATTGTGAATCAGTATTGAGGATCAAAAGGTAATTGCCCCAATTCTATTTCAAGATTTGCCATTTGTCTTCCATTAGTGCGACCATATTTATGCCATTTACCTTCCCTTTTATAAGGCTGTGGCTGAAGGTGCTTCTGCTCTTGTTTTCGATGCCTGGAGTTTTCAATATTTACCATACGTTGCTTTTTATCAGGTCGACTGAAAGCAGTAAACACATTTTTCATCTATGTTAGAGTTCAATGTATTTAAATTTAAAACAATTTTAAATGTTTTCTCCATTAATCTATGATCTGAACACTGATAAAAGATATTAAATATCTGAATTACAATCCTAGTATATCCATATAAAAATAAAGGAGTCTGTATTAGTTTTTTTGTCCTATAGAAAGAAAAAATAGACAATAACTCTACTGGCAAAAAAGGGAAACACTCAAAAGATAACAAAGAAAAGAAATGTGACAATAAAATAATGAGATGTGTTTCCATTATTTTTCCTCCTTTCCTATAAAAATCAGTCCCTCCCCGCTGGCTTTATCACTCAGCAGAAATACATACACATCTCTCACAAACAAAGCAAAACAAAAGTCTCAACTTTTTCTTACAGCAAAAGCTCACAACACCTACACCGCTTTCCTTAATGTCTATGATCAGGCTTCCGTCACTACTTCACTGGAAGTCCATACTGTCATCCCCTGGCCGCCCAGTTTCCAAGCCAAGAAAACATTTTCCGCACATCAACTTTTTAAAAAGCATGACACATTTATTCCTTTTACTTGAGATGGCTTTTGGATTTTCAAGGTACCACTCCCCACTCCTGTCCTTAGCCTTCCCTACAACCCCATGGATGTTGGTGTTCTCCCAGGAGTCTGATAAATATACAGTCTCGGCAAAAGAGATGACCATAGAACTAACTGCCAACTAACCCTCTCCACTTGAATGTCAGTAGTTACCTCCAAACACAATTCTCATCTCCAATTACCCTTGCCCCAAACCTTGAATTCCCTATCTCAGTGGTACTACTATCCAACAAGATGACCCAACCCAGAAATCTAGAAGTCACTGTTACTTTCTACTTCTCCTTCACAAGAAATATCAATGTTACTATTTTCCAAATGTTTTTTCCTTTCCTCTCCTACTAGTATAGTCCCAGTTTAGATGTTCATCAGCTCATGTCTGTATTATATTGACCACCTTCTAGCTTCATACCTTTCCCATCAATCCTCTAGGCTGCTACCAATACATTAGTCCCACCGTATCCACGGCTTTACTTTCTGTGATTGAGGTTTCCGTTACCTGTGGTCAACTGTGGTCTGAAAATGTTAAATAGAAAATTTCAGAAATAATTCATCAGTTTTAGGCGGGGTACAGTGGCTCACGACTGTAATCCCAGCACTTTGGGAGGTAGACATGTGTGGATCACTTGAGGTCAGGATTTCAAGAACAGCCTGGCCAACATGGTGAAACCCCATCTCTACTAAAAATATGAAAATTAGCCGGGTGTGGTGGCACGTGCCTATAGTCCCAGCTACTTGGGAGACTAGGGAGGAGAATCACCTGAACCCAGGAGACAGAGGTTGCAGTGAGCTGAGATCGTGTCACTGCACTCCAGCCTGGCTGACAAAGCAAGATTCCATCTCAAATAATTAAAAAAAAATAATTCATAAGTTTTCAATTATATGCCTGTTCTGAGTAATGTAATGAAATAATGCAGTTCTGCTCCATCCCACATGGGATGTGAATCATCCTTTTCTTGTGTATTTACACTACCCACCCATTAATCACCTAGTAGCAGTCTGTTAATCAGATATACTGTTATCCTACCACAGTGTTTGTGTTCAAGTATCCCTAAGATAAGGATTAAGGATGATTAAGTAACTTAATAATGACCCCAAAATACAACAGTGATGCTGGCATTTGGATATGCCAAAGAGAAGCTATAAAGCGCCTCCTTTAAGTGAAAGGGTGAAGGTTCTCAAGAGAAATAAAAGTATGCTGAGATTGGTAAGATCTATAGTAAGAACAAACCTATGTGTGAGATTGTAAAGAAGGAAAAAGAAATTCATGCATAGTATATATAGAATTATGTTCTATCCCTGGTTTCCAGCATCCACTGGGGGTCTTGGAACATATATCCTGAAGATAAGGGGGGACTACTGTAATCTAAAATACAATATAATCTTATCCCACCCGCCTTGAAAATTCTTCAGAAGTTCTCCATGTCCTACAGGACAAAACCTTTAGCATAAAATGGGGCCCTTCATGGTCTGCATCTCTTATCCTCCAGCTCTACCCTGCTTCCTTAAAGCAGTGTATCTTCACATCTCCAAATGACCTTCCTTTTAAGTGAAATTCCCTTCCCTGTCTGCATAGCAAATCCTCATTTCTCTTCCAAAAGCTACTTTAAAAACTAAGTTCAGTTCAAAGGCCACCTCACTCAAGAAGCCTTTCCAAACACCTCCAGACAGCCTGAGGCCACCATGCCCCATACCTTAATTTCATTTATTTACTTAGCTTGTGAGCTCCTTTGAAGCAAAAATTTTTCACTTGTCTCCTCAAGGCAGCTTCACCTTTGTTCATTATAGGACTAGATACCAGCTTAATGACTAAAGACACCAGAATCAGTCTCATTATTTTATAGACACATTATATTTATTCAGAAAGATTAAGTATTTCAAAGGTAAAAAATGAAGCTAACATTTGAAGATTAGGTAAGTTTCATGTTACAGAATATAAAGATGAAAATGGATAAAAAATTATTATGAAGTACACACATTAGAATTTGACTTGCTTAGTTTGCCTCTTTGTGCCTCTACCTTTATCAAAGATAATTATGTGACTAAGTATCATAACTAAGCTGGTACATGGAATGGACAAGTGAAAATAGGTGGGACATTAGAATTATTATATATGAGCTCTTCTGACTTCAGAGTAAAATTTGTGTTGCTCATTCCTAGCTTCCAAAAGTGAATAAATACATAAAAGATTAAAGGAAAATAATTTCACTTAAGGTGATCTTTTCATATAAACTATAATGAAAAGAAACAAACTTGGCCAAAGTAGGATTTTATATATTCTTAACTGATTTTTAAGATAAAAATTAAACCATTTGCTCAAGTCAAAGTGATCACGTTATAATGAAATGTTCCATTTGTAACAGCTAATAATTTTTAGACTCCATCTTTCAATTTATTCTGAATTCTCTCAGTGGCCATAAAGCACAACTCTTAGAAACGGTAACCTTACAAGAAACTCATCAAATCATAAAAATGCTATCCAATCTACAAATGTTACAAACTACTGTAATGACACGGTTTTATGTAAACCGACCTGGGTCCATATGGAGGGGAAAAAGTGTGACCAAAGAAGTGTCTATATATATATTCATCCAACTTCTCAAATACTCCATCATTATCTACTTCATATTCCTTCATGTTTCTAAGATAATCTTTAACATCATTAACAAAGTCAGTGAAGAGCTTCTGATCATGTATAAAGACACCGTTTAGGAAAAACTTATTGATGAACTGATCAAGTTCGTTCCAGTGACAAAAAGTATCCAGTTCTTTTAACATGTACCTTTGAATTATCTGTCTAAATTCATCCATCCTTATAGGATTCACCACTGTGTTAAAAAGGCTCATGGACTCTTGTTGAGCACAATCAAATACACCAGAACAAGCCTTTCTGAAAGAATGAGAATTTTCTCTACAATCATGCCCAGGACTGCATTTCTTTGAATTTGTATTTTTTCTGAATTCTTTAAAGTGAACTGGCTTTTCTTTCCTTCCATCATTTTGCATAGTAGGGCCTCTATTATGATGGTTTTCTGTAGGTGCCTTATACTGTGGATGTAAATAGTCACTAAAAACTGTTCTTGGTTTTTCAGCTGCTTCTTTTGTAGCACCAAATCTTTTATTACCCTTTTCATCAAAGATATTCTTGGTGGTATCTTTAAAGTGTCTGAAAGTGGATTTAACTGAATCTGAGAATTTTTTCAGATTTTCCTTCACAGCTTCTTTAGCCTGCTTAATTTTCTCTTTATGATGCCTTACAAACTCCTTGGTAGAATTCTTCATGGCATCAAATGTTTCCTTAACTGAACCCAAAAATGTTTCCTTTGACTTATTTTTAGCCCTGTGGCTTCCTCTGCCCCCTTTCTTTTTTCCATCTGTTCCTTGTTTTCCATTTTGATCTTTTGCCTCAACATACAATCTTTCCCACAAATCAGAACGCTGCTGTTCGAAGGTTAGCTTCCGTTCCAGCTCAGTGAGTCTTTCCCGTAAGATTGCTATTTCCTTTTTTTCAGTATATACATTGGGAGAATCTGACTTGCCATGTAACTGACTACCACTTAACTGCTGGAGTTCCCCCCTTAAAGCCGTAGTTACTAGTCGTTCTCTCTCCAGTTCTCTCTTTAGCATCTTTGCTTCTGTCAACAGAGTCTCCCTTTGACTAAGAAAGCTGTGTTTTTTCTGCTTTTCCTCTTCCAAATGCTGCTTAAGTTTCTGATTTTCTTTAACTAATTCAGTACTTGTCCCTTTATCTTCCAATATTCTAATCTGTTCTCTTAGTTTGTTTAACTCTTCCTGTAATGAGGATAAGGCTTTTTCTTCCTTCTCCAAGGATACTCTTAAATACTGATTTTCTGTAGCAAGGTTCGTTTTCTGAGTTTCAAAGGACATCTTCTCTGCTTCAGTAAGTGTCCAACACCTTGCAAGATTTTCTTTCAATGACTACATTTTTTTTTGAAAGAGAAGAAATAAAATGTCAAATGCTTTAAAAGCTGAATTTAAATCTTCAAGATATAATACCCCATAAGCTTTTGTGTCTTTACTTCTACAGATACAACCCCCCGGGTAGTATTTTCAATAGTATAAACATTGGGAAATACAAGGTTCATATGCAAGAAAACGCAGAGCAGAGAGCTACATCAAATTGAGAACTACAGCATGGTGTAAGAATTTTTTTTTTTTTGAGATGGAGTCTCACTCTGTCGTCCAGACTAGAGTGCAGTGGCGCAATCTCGGCTCACTATAACCTCTGCCTCTTGAGTTCAAGCGACTCTCCAGCCTCCCAAAGTGCTGGCATTATAGGCATGAACCACCGCGCCTGGCTGGAAGAATTTAAAAGACAGAAAGTTAGCTAGAGCTTGCAGGACTAAAGGCTTTTCTGAATCAGGAAAAGAGATTACCTTTTATAAAAGGTAAAATTATTAGCTGGGCGCGGTGGCTCATGCCTGTAATCCCAGCACTTTGGGAGGCTGAGGTGGGTGGATCACGAGATCAAGAGATCAAGACCATCCTGGCCTACGTGGTGAAACCCCATCTCTACTAAAAATACAAAAATTAGCTGGGCATGGTGGCATGCACCTGTAGTCCCAGCTACTTGGGAGGATGAGGCAGGGGAATCGCTTGAACCCGGGAGGCGAATGTTGCAGTGAGCCGAGATCGCACCACTGCACTCCAGCCTGGCGACAGAGCGAGACTCTGTCTCAAAAAAAAAACAAATAAAAAATAAAAGTAAAATTACATCGAGAGCTGACTTACGGCTTCAAAAATTGTTTGTACTCAGTGTACCCTTCAAAGGATGAAATTCTAACAATCTTAGTCCTATTTGAAACATTTTAGTCCTATGCAATTAACATTTCTAAGTAAGTACAGATAAGCCATAAATTCTATAACCATGTTAGAAGACAGACTGAATCTTGAACATTTATAACTAACTTATCCAATTTTATGGTAAATTTTTGAAGTTCTGTAATCTGTACAGATTAATATAACTCTGAAGATTAATCTATAGATTACTATAACTGAAAGTCAGCACCCGTGGTAGAAATCATGGTCAATTCGGCTTATAGAATTTTACTGCTTCAATAAGGGTATCCTTGACTGATTTGAATTTTCTTTTACACATATGCATTAGTAACAAAATCTAACCAAAAACAGTCAAAACTTAAACAATATGGTTCAACAGGTTCTTAAAGCATTATACATCGAGTTAAAAATATCCTATGTATAAATCTGCAAAATGATACTTAAATTTGGCTTAATTTATCACAAACGTTATGGTTACCCCATTTGAGTCAGAGCAGTCAATTACCTGGATTCAGAAATAAGAAAAAAAAAAAAGGAAAAAAAAATACAAGTCCTTTAAGAGAATGACACTAATATACACTTGAAAAATAACTATCTGAAATGACTGCTTCACGTTCTGGCTCATTAATCTTCAGAGAACAAATAAAGATTTAAAATTTAATCACAGTCATTTCATCTGCTCTACCTGTATGAGAGAAAAGAAATTTCTTCTACCCAACAGCAGTGGACTGTGGAGTAGAAGAGACTGATGCACTGGTGTGGCATAATCTTGAAATGCACAAGCCCAGGAAGCCACAGGATGAAAGAAGAGTACAGCATTCCTCGTGCAGTAAATATGATGTTGACATAAGTGATTGATAAGCAGATCCTGACCAGGTCTTCCAAAGAGCTTCAAAATCTATCTGATCCACACTTAACAGCCAGAAATAAGAGATCTGTAAAAACTGACTCTCTAGCTGGGCACAGTGGCTCAATCCTTTAATCCCAGTATTTTGAGGCCAAGGTGGGAGGATCACTTGAACCCAGAAGTTCCAGAATAGCCTGGGCAACATAGTGAGACCCCATCTCTATGAAAAATTTAAAAACCAAGTTGGACATGGTGGCGTGTGCTTGTGGTCGCAGCTACTTGAGAGGCTAAGCCAGGAGGATTGCTTGAGCCCAGAAGTTAAGGCAGCAGTGAGCCATGATCACACCACTGCACTCCAGCCTGGGCAATAAGAATGAAACCCTGTCTCTTAAAAAACAAAAACAAAAAAAACAGGCCAGGCGCAGTGACTCACGCCTGTAATCCCAGCACTTTGGGAGGCCGAGGCAGGCAGATTACCTGAGGTCAGGAGTTCAAGACCACCCTGGCCAACATAGTGAAACCCCATCTCTACTGAAAATGCAAAAAATGAACCGGGCATGGTGGAGGGAGCCTGTAATCCCAGCTACTTGGGAGACTGAGGCAGGAGAATCACTTGAACCCAGGAGGCAGAGGTTCCAGTGAGCTGAGATCATGCCACTGCACTCCAGCCTGGGCAACAGAGCGAGGCTCCATCTCAGAAAAAAAACAAACAAAACAAAAAAAAAACCCAAACCCAAACCAAACTACAAACTCTCTCTAGAGGTTAATGCGTGGTGAGTTTTCCAAAAGCCAATGTTATCCTATGGAACCAGAAAACACTGTGGTGAAGAAGAAAATGGCATCTTCTAATACAGGTAGGAAAAACTGAACTATTTATAATTAACTTCAGAAGTACCTCCCTGTGTCTACAGCCATAACACCCTAAATGCCGCCAGTCTCCTCTGATGGCAGAAGCTAGGCAGGGTCTGGCCTGGTTAGTACTTGGATGGGAGAAGTACCTCCCTGAAAGATACAATTTAGTTACAAAGTAGTATTTTTGTCTTTTCAAGAAATATAACCTGTAAGGGAAGCATACATAAATTAAGTGTGAGAATTGGGGGTGGAAAAATGAAGGAAAAAACAATAGCTTACTTTTCTTTCCTTTTCCTTTTTTTTTTTTTTTTTTTTTTTTGAGACAGTCTTCCTCTGTGGCCCAGGCCGGAGTGCAATAGTGTGATCTCAGCTTACTATAACCTCTGCCTCCTAGATTGAAGCAATTCTTGTGCCTAAGCCTCCCAAAAAGCTGGGATTACAGGTATGTGCCACCACACCAGGCTGATTTTTGTATTTTTAGTAGAGACAAGGTTTCACCATATTGGCCAGGCTGGTCTTGAACTCCTGGGCTCAAGCAATCCACCTACCTTGGCTTCCCAAGGTTACCAACTTTGGGAATTTGGGAGGTTGCCACCACACCCAGACATAGCTTATTTTTCTACCCTGCATTTCTCTCTACAACCTTCTTAGGAAAAAACTAGATAAGAGACCAGCTATTTTGCTGATCCTCATAAACCCACAGAGGTGTTAGGTAATGACAGAATGGACAGTACAGTCCTGTGAGACGAGATCTAGGTGAGTTATAGGCAGAAAAAGATAACATGCTCTCCCTTCCATCAGAATAAAAAAAAACAATGGAAAGGAATAGCTATGTCCCCTGATCAAGAGAAGATCTTAGAGAGGCTATAAAACCAAAACTCTCCTCTTTCCCTCCTGCCAACTGAAAATGTTTGCTTCGCTCTGTGAAAATAATGTTAATAAAAATGTCTATATACACATATAAAATGTCACTTATAAAAGATGTTAACTATAAAATAGCAGCTAGGGATAAGAGTTCTTAAGTCAAATCCTTAGAATCAATTAATTAGCTCTCCCAAACAAAACAAAACAAAACAAAAAAAGGCCATGGCCGAGCATGGTGGCTGACACCTGTAATCCCAGCACTTTAGGAGACTGAGGTGGGTAGACGGAGGTCAGGAGTTCAAGACCAGCGTGGCCAACATAGTGAAACCCCGTCTCTACTAAAAATACAAAAAAATTTGCCGGGCATAGAGGTGCACACCTGTAATCCCAGCTACTTGGGAGGCTGAGGCACAAGAATCGCTTGAACCCAGGAGGTGGAAGTTGCAGCAACCTGAGGTTGCACCACTGCACTCCAGCCTGGGCAACAGAGCGAGACTCCATCTCAAATAAATAAACAAACAAACAAAAACAAACTAGCTCTGCCAGTTGCTACCTTGAGAAAGTCACTTAACTTTTCTAAACCTCTTTTCCACCTATAAAAGTTAGTAATTGCTTAATTCACATATTGTGAGAATAAGAGAAATACTCTATATGGTACACTCATGACAATGACTAGGACACACTAAATACCCGTACTCAATTCAACAATGATCAGCATTATTACTGATTTACTAATCTGCACTAATAAGCACAATAAGCTCTAACTAATAAGCAAAATAATTACTAACAATTATTTTAAATACTGTTAGTGGTACATACCTTATAATCTATAAAAGATTCTTGTTCCTGTTGACACTGGGAAAGATAATCCTTCATATCATTCAATTCATCTTCATGTATCTTTCTGACTAACTGTTGACGCTTCTGAATCTGAATTGTGCCTAAAATAAATATTTTTATTAAAGGTATGTAACAAAAATATTATCATTAAATGTTTTATGTATTTTTTAATATTGGTAATCTGCATATAAGCTATGTAGTCTTTTTTTTGTTTTTTTTTTTTGTTTTTTTTTTGTTTTTTGAGAAGAGTCTTGCTCCATTGCCCAGGCTGGTATGATCTCAGCTCACTGCAACCTCTGCCTCCCTGGTTCAAGCAATTCTCGTGACTCAGCTTCCCGAGTGTCTGGGACTACAGGGAAGCGCCACCAGGCCCAACTAATTTTTTATAGAGACAGGGTTTTGCCATGTTGGCCAGGCTGGTCTCAAACTCCCGGCCTCAAGTGATCCACCCACCTTGGCTTCTCAGAGTGCTGGGATTACATGTGTGAGCCACTGTGCCTGGCCATAACCTATGTAATCTTGACAATCATTTCATTCAGAGTATCAGCATTTCACCGTTCTTTAAAAATTCTGATTACATAAATAGAGAATAAGTAACTGAGGCTGGGCACAGTGGCTCACGCCTGTAATCCCAGCACATTGGGAGGCCAAGGCAGGTAGATCATTTGAGGTCAGGAGTTCAAGACCAGCCTGGCCAACATGGTGAAACCCTGTCTCTACTAAAAATAAAAATAAAATAAAATAAAAAAAGAAAAGTAAATGAAAGCCCATGATCAATCATTCATCAAATGGTGGTGAACGTTAACGTAATATAAGTAAGGCCAAGTAGGCTAGTTCTTAAAAACATTTATTTACATACACCCAGGAACATTTAAGCAGTTCACTATCTTTTGTATTAAAACACACAGGCCAGCCCATATGGCTCTAACCAAGAGAACAATTTATGTAATGTTCTTATCTTACTATATTGAAGGCACTCAGCTTTGTTGTTTTGGGGTTATCTTTTAAGTACAAAAAGTGTTTCAGCCTCCCTTATACAGAGAAATGAACAAACCCTGGTATTTTTTCACAGGTCGTAAGTCAATAAGGAAAAATGAAAATTTTTTTTTTTTTTAATATTTTGCCTTAAGGATACAACAAAGCCCAAAAAGTACAGCACAGAAAATAATTGGCTAATGGTGATTGTGCACCATTCTCAAGGCCAAATTTGTTAAGAATTCTGCAATGGTTAAATCTGTACTGGAGTAGCACTGTCCTTATCCCAACAGTGATAAAAGAATTGGACAGGCACAGTAGCTCACGCCTGTAATCCCAGCACTTTGGGAGGCCAAAGCAGATGGATCACCTGAGGTCAGGAGTTCGAGACCAGCCTGACCAACATGGAGAAACCCTGTCTCTACTAAAAATACAATATTAGCCAGGGAGTGGTGGCATGTGCCTGTAATCCCAGCTACTCGGGAGGCTGCGGCAGGAGAATCGCTTAAACCCGGGAGGTGGAGGTTGTGGTGAGCCAAGATCGCGCCACTGCACTCCAGCCTGGGCAACAAGAGCGAAACTCCGTCTCAAAAAAAGAATCTTAAACCAACTAGGATTCTTCATATTTTCATCCTAAAAATCAAAATGTTACTTTACTCAGACATGCTATTCACATGCGTCATGTATGGGGGGAAAAAACCACGAAATCAAAAATAAGGCAAAATGCAGTTAGCAACCTTAACATTACATCTACTGAGTATAGATACTATAGAATTTTACAAAGAAAGGATGCAGTGATCACTATTTCTTCCCTTACTGCTATAAAAATTATTTTAAATGTCTTCAATACATCTTGAAAAACACCAAAAACAACTTTTGCCAATTTACAGGTAACTGTTACATAGTCTAGCTATGATATTCTGTGTTAGAATTCATTTCCTCTCTTTAGATTTCTCAATTTATAGAAGCACGGCAAGCTTGTTTCAAAATTACTCAGCAGAATCCCAGATTTTTTTCAAATGTTGAAATTTATCTATAGTTCCCAGAGTAACAGAAAACTTCTGCAATTTCTATTTCAAACTGCTGAGATTAATTCCTTTGCCCACTGGAAAATAATCTAAAACTGTGTTGAGGTCTGAATTCAAGATAGTATAATATAGCATATGCTTGATTACTGTCTTAATGTGGCCTTTTACAATATTACTGACTAATCACTTGGGGGTTTTTCCTGCACCTTCAGCTACCTAAAGTCTTATCCTCAAGATACAATCTTTGGCCTAGTCATGTCTACAAATGCTGCCTATTTTACCATGTTGCAGCGCTGTCAGATTTTGCTATCACTCCTATTAAGAATTCCAAGCTACAGATCTTGTCCTAACTTCTCATCAGAGCTTCTAGCCAACACATCCAGCTGTGTAGGGGGCCTGTTTGTAGGGTGGAAAAAAAAAAAAAATCAAACCTCAACACCTGCCCCAAACCAAATTTGTCTAGAACAAATTTGGGTAAAACCAAACCAAACTGTGCTTACCATCTATTTATCATCTGGCAAAACTTCCCCAGTAACCCCAACTCCAAAAGTGAAGCAGCTAGCACATTTTCTACAATTTAATAAATTGCCATTATTTTCCATTATTCCTTCAATGTCCCTTATTCCATTCCCACTGTTATTCCAATTGTCAAGGTCCTCCTCACCAAATATCCAGATTACAGAACTCTTAACTGACTGACTATTCTACATTTTTCCATACCACCTTTTCCACACCAGCAAAAAGTTCCGGCACTTTTTTCTCTAACCTGATAGCAGGTTACTCAATAAATCAAACTTTCCTATCTAGATTCCAAGACGTTTTACAATACACAGTTGACCCTTGAGCAACATGAGTTTGAACTACATGGCAGGATGCAAAATCCAGGTATATGGAGAGGTGACTTTTCATATATGTGAGGTCCGCAGTCAAGGGACTTTAGTACGTATGGATTTTGGTATGGGGGTGCATCCTGGAACCCATCCCTCATGTATATCAAGGGATGACTATAATAGCACCCCACCTATTCCATTATTTCTAAATACCTACACTCTGCTGTAGTCCAAGCAGTCTTTTCACTGCTCCCAAACCCAAGATTACGTCTTCCTCAGGTTATCAGATTCTCTGTCGCTGGAATGTTCCACCTTCCCTTGAGTCTATCATAAACTTACTATGATTAGACACAACTTAAATCTTACCACCTCCAGGATAATTCAGTAAGTGTACCCTTTGAGCTGTAATTCATTCTGTGCTCTATAACTTAGCATCTAGATATCTTGTTATATAATAGTCTGCCGAAGAGCCGGGTAGTCTATCAATACTTAAAGCAACTCGAGGAGAAAACCAAATCAATTGAACTCCATTGATGATTTGGAATGTTGATAGTCACAAGCAAATGTAAGAATAAGAAAGACTGCTTTCTCATGAAACTTTTTAATAAAACTTCTGGAAGCATTTTCAGAACCAAATACCTGGAGTACACTGCCTCACTATCCTTAGTCATGCTAGCTTTCTCTTCCCTGCAGTATAGATCTGCCAATTCAAATCTGTATGGCACCAGGGCTGGCAAACGCAGAATGATTCAATTAGTAATATGGTATTGTTAAATTATTATAAAGCGGGCCAGGCACGGTGGCTCACGCCTATAATCCCAGCACTTTGGGAGGCCGAGGCAGGCGGATCACTTAAGGTCAGGAGTTCGAGACCAACCTGGCCAACAGGGCGAAACCTCATCTCTTCTAAAAATACAAAAAGTAGCCAGGCGTGCTGGCGGATGCCTGTAATCCTAGCTACTCAGGAGGGTGAGACAGAAGGATCGCTTGAACCTGGGAGACGGAGGTGGCAGTGAGCCAAGATCATACCACTGCACTCCAGCCTGGGGAACAGAGCAAGACTCTGTCTCAAAAAAAAATAAAATTATAAAGTGAATGAATGACTATGGGATGCAATGACCGACTTTACGGTGAATAGAAAATTCAAAACGGCTCTGAAATCAACTCCAAAGAATGTTGAGATCAGTGCTGAAATTAAAAAATGTGATGTCTTGCCAGGTGCGGTGGCTCACGCCTGTAATCCCAGCACTTTGGGAGGCCGAGGTGGACAGATCACCTGAGGTCAGGAGTTCGAGACCAGCCTGACCAACATGGAGAAACCCCATCTCTACTAAAAATACAAAATTAGCTGGACATGGTGGTGCATGCCTGTAATCCTAGATACTCGGGAGGCTGAGGCAGGAGAATTGCTTGAACCCGGGAGGCGAAGGTTGCGGTGAGCCGAGATCACGCACTGCACTCCAGCCTGGGCAACAAGAGCAAAACTCTGTCTCAAAAAAAAAAAAAAGTGATGTCTTTTAAGTAGTGACTTGGAAAAGTCATTTAGGTCAGGTCTTGTATGTTAATTCAACTAATCTCATTACTATGTAGGCCTACTTCATAATATGTTATCCAGGCTTTTCATAGCCTGAAAAGGCTAATATCAAGTAAAGGACAATGTTTTATTAATTAACTATTAAGGTAAATTTTACTAATAACCAAAATCCTACATAACAGAGAAGTAACTTCTCATTTTGAAAGCACTTCTGTAAAATTATTTTTCTACAAAATATTCAAAGGTCATGTAAATGGTGAAGTTTTAATGCAATTTGGATTAACACTTTAAATCACTATCCAATTTTTTTTGAAGTAAGAAAAAAAGATTAAGATAAGATCTTCTCCATTGTTACCCTCATGTTTACTTGTGGAGGGAAAATCATACTCAAATACTTATTGATTGTTTCAGCTAGATAGTCTATAAAGGTAAATATATATTTCAAATCAAATCTTATTACAACAAATTTCAAGAAAGGATACAAATAATAGTATCTCAGTATTAAATTCAAGCAGGTATCCATCAGAAATCTAAATACATATTTTTATTAATATAAATACAAGAAACATCTTGCAAGCTCTGACTTTAAACAGGTATTGTCTTCATTAAGTTTATTCTAACATTACGCTATGTTGAATAATATACCTTTTCCACAAATCCACATAGGGTACATGTAATTCTTCAATCTTTGCATAAGAAATACATTTTTCGAATGAACTAGCAAAACGAAAAGTTAAGACTGTGGATTATGCAGGCAAAAAAATCTAAAAGTAGTTAATGTAAAGCAAGCTAAAATTTGGGAAGTTGACAAGATCTAAGACATTTCCTTTTAAAGTGTCTCTACCCCAAATTCCAATATAGCAAAGAGAGTCAAAGTTCAGGTTTCAAATACTCCAGTCATTGTACAAACACATACCTTAAATAAGAGACTCAGGCCAGGCACGGTGGCTCATGCCTATAATCCCAGCACTCTGGGAGGCTGAGTGGGGTGGATCACCTTAGGTCAAGAGTTCAAGACTGGCTGGGTGCGGTGGCTCACGCCTGTAATCCCAACACTTTGGGAGGCCGAGGCGGGTGGATCACAAGGTCAGGAGATTGAGACCAGCCTGGCCAAGATGGTGAAACCCCGTCTCTACTAAAAATACAAAAAAATTAGCTGGGCGTGGTGGCAGGCGCCTGTAGTCCCAGCTACTCAGGAGGCTGAGGCAGGAGAATCACTTGAACCCAGAGGCAGAGGCTGCATTGAGCCAAGGTCGCACCACTGGACTCCAGCCTGGGCGACAGAGTGAGACTCCGTCTCAAAAAAAAAGAAAAAAAAAAAAAAAAAGACTTCGAGACCAGCCTGGCCAACATGGCAAAACCCCGTCTCTACTACAAATATAAAAAAATTAGCCAGGCATGGTGGCGGGCGCCTGTTATCCCAGTTACTCCGGAGGCTGAGGTAGGAGAATTGCTAGAACCCTGGGAGTGGAGTTTGCATTGAGCTGAGATTGTGCCACTGCACTCCAGCCTGGGCGACAGAGTGGGACTCCGTCTCCAAAAAACAAAGGAGAGAGTCAATGGGTGAGGCTCCTAAATGAAAAAGTAAAGTAACACCAATAGAATACCTTCCTCTTCTCACCCAAAAGGCATTTAAAAGCTTTGAATTGATAAGATAATCAACATATATAAACAGTATCAATCATAATAAAGAGCAAAGTATAAGAACAAAGATGACAAACTCTCAATTCATGTGAATCACAGAAGCAACAATGAAAGTTACAAAGTATGATACTTACATGAAACCTCAAAGTAGAAATAATGAACACTTATTATTTACACATTTCAAATGTAACTATTTCAACTGGGATTTAAATAATCTTCCTAATAAAGTCACACTTCAACTTAGTTTAAGTGTGATTCTAAATGTAAATGATTTGCCTCATGGTGAGCATTTCAGATTTTTAATCTTCCAATCTTTTAACTTTAAAAGAGTCACAAACATATATGGTTATTATCCTTACATTTCTTAATAACTACTACCTTATTTAAATAAAAAGCTTTGTGAGATAGGCAGCACCCACTTCCCGAATGAGAAAACTGAGGCTCAAACAGGCTTCAAGTTTTCAAGGCCACACATTTAATAATGGCACTGAAAACAGATCCCAAGAGTCCTCACTCTTAAGTTCCTCTACACTATCCCATCAGGTTATGTATAACACATTTTTGAGTACTTACCATAGAAATGGCCAAATCCCATGCTGATTGCAATCACCAAAGCAAGTATAACACACTTATTGAGACCACTACTGAACTGACGTTTACTCAACTCCTTAGAAGGTTCAGTTTCTTGTTCAGCAACTAGCCGGTCTTCAGATTCTGAAGCAGAAACGGTCTTCTTCCTAGCACGGCGTCGTCTAAAGGCAGGACTGGGCTGATTACTGGTTTCATCACTACTTGATTCATCGTCACTAGGCTGAGATGAAAATACTATTAAGAAAAAAGTTGACATTTAGCTATTCAAAATCTTGGAAAAGCTTTCCCAGTAAAAATTATTTAGAATAATCAATGCCATCCCTTACATGCCTTTCTACATAAGATAGCCAAAAACAAAAACCAAACAACATAAACAAAAACACGGGTTTTCAACTCATCAACATAAAGCCAAAACATAAAGCATTTCAAATGTGATACACAAGAATCTGTTAATCATACTATTTGGTGCTTTGAGAGCCTATCTCTGTTTTTTTATTTAATCCTCCTCGCCTTATAGTTTACACTCTTAGAACAATCCTTCATTCGCATAGCCTCAAGTTTCATTGCTGGCCAGGAGCAGTGGCTCACGCCTGTAATCCCAGCACTTTGGGAGGCCGAGGCGGGCAGATCACCTGAGGTCAGGAGTTCGAGATCAGCCTGGCCAACATGGCGAAACCCCTTCTCTACTAAAAATACAAAAATTAGCCGGGCATGGTAGTGCACCTATAGTCCCAGCTACTTGGGAGGCTGAGGCAGGAGAATCACTTGAACCTGGGAGGTGGAGGTTGCAGTGAGCTGAGATCCTGCCACTATACTCCAGACTGGGAGACAGAGCAAAACTCTGTCTCAAAAGAAACAAAATTTCATTGCTATTACAGGTATAAACAAGTATTATTTCTGGAAAGAAAAAAAATACTCTCTGTCTCTTCATTCAGTTTCAAAGAGGTAATTTAAGTGCAACTATTTAAGGAACACAGGAAAGTACACAAGCATTTCCTGTGACTTATAAAGTAAAATAACTACCAAAAGTTTCCTTGGGTGTATCTGGTCTCTAGTTTCATTTCCAACCTAATTAGCCCATGATCAAGGTTCAAAGCACTGTATTTTAACATAGGTTTCCAGAAGTCAGATGAGCCCTTCCCTTCGACTGCCACTCTTACTAGAAGGTTATTAATTTTACCCTCTAGTAAATATGTCAGCATGAGGAAGTGACACAACAGCTATCTCCGATATTAAGGACTATTCTGGTGCTGCTCCTTTATGAAAATAATAGTAGAGAAAAACAAACTAGTGGGGAAAATTTGCACAAGAAATCCCAAGTCCAGGAAACAAATTCCCTGGAAAAAATCACCTTCAGTTTTTTCCAAATGCATAATTTCTTAACACTGTTTCTTATGTCAACAAACTATTATGTTGACACAGAAGCTTCAATTACTCAGAAATAATTTCCACAAGCTACTTAGAGGAAAAGCACTAAAAATAAGGATAAAATATGAACTCGAATACAAAGAGCTCTAAAACAACAAACATTCATGCTCCAGAAAAGCAAAAACAGTTCTTCAGAAGACAGGATATCCATGCCACAGGAAAGCTGGTGATTTAGGTTAGGCAATATTTTTCAGAGATGGATCATGGAGTATTCAGTTCACTTTCACACTTACAACAATAAACACAAAGACAGAAGGCACTACTGAAATGAATGAATATTCCTAATATTTAGTGATACAGATGCCACTGAGAGATCTTTTTGGTCATGACCCTTATGCCCATCATGTTTATCTGGTTATTCTTGATCACTAGTTTTTCAAAGATGCCGTCGCCTCAGGTGTGAGATTATATTTCTTGGACAAAGAGAAAGAAAGGAAGACTTAAACAAAGCATTACATAATACAAAGGCATTCATGATCATGGTTAGAGTATTTAAGTCAGGCTTTCTGACATAAAATTAAGATAGGTAAATGTAAAAACAAACCATTTGTAAAACTTATTTAAATAATTGTTCAATTCTACATTAACATTACCTTCATTATATATTCTAACAAAACAGCCTAACCCACATTAATATATTCATGTCCTTATCTAATGCTTCCAACTTTTTTAACCCATACATATAATAGCTGAAATATTTTGATTTTTAACTTCTTTTAAAAAAGCTTAATTTGGCCCATAGATGCAAGCAATGCAAAGGCATGCAATAAGCTTGGCCAGCTCCTTTACAAGAGATTCTGAACACCTGTTTAGAGTATTGCGGATGACAACAGGTATCTTTAAAGCACTCGGTAAATAGTAAATGTGACTAGGCACACTCAGCTCTAGAGAAGCTGGTCAGATTTAGTCACACCACCTTGGAAAGCGAGTTGGCTAGGAACATGGTGTTTCAGCTGATCATCCCATCCCCATATGCACTCAGGAATCTTCCACAGCTTCTCCCACCACCTTTCTTTTGTGAATAAACAGGAAAAAAAGAGGCATAAAGCTATATTATAAAGACTAAAAAGAAAAAAAAGAATTAAAAATACTTAATTATCACTTAACATTGTTATCCGTACAAAATTAAAACGTAATAACCATGCCTTCTTAAAAACACACAATACAAACTTCTCTACACTACCAACTTTGCTTTTTGTCAGGGAAGAGAGTTCATAAAGAGGAAGCAGGCAGTGTTCTTAACCCAACAAAACGTACACTGCCACAAGAATATAAGTCAGGAGAAGAAAAAATTGAAGTTGAAATCCTTAAGGATGAAGAAAGGGAAAGGAAAAAACAAAATTAAGCAATGGCTAGCACAAAATTAACAAACTAAAAGGGAAAAACAAAAACCATCTTTTTTATTTTTTTGAGACGGGGTCTCCCTCTATTGCCCAGGCTGGAGTGCAGTGGCGCAATCTTGGCTCACTGCAACCTCCGCCTCCTGGGTTCAAGAGATTCTCCTGCCTCAGCCTCCAGAGTAGCTGGGATTACAGGCCTGCGCTACCACAGGCAGCTAATCCCAAGTAGCTGGGATTACAGGCACCTGGCTAAATTTTGTATTTTCAGTAGAGAAGGGTTTTTGCCGTGTTGGTCAGGCTGGTCTCAAACTCCTTACCTCAGGTAATCTGCCTGCCTCAGTCTCCCAAAGTGCAGGGATTACAGGCATGAGCCAAAGTGCCCGGCCCCAAAACAAAAACTTTTGGCAACTGGTTTATATGCAGTGTTTTCAGTATAGTCCAAAATTTCGTCTTTAAACATTTGGTTTATTGAAACAATATCTTTAGGAGGAATAACAATGGGTAAAAATACAGTTAATCAAATATTCCTCTTAGTCCACAAAAATCTCAAGAAGTCAGAATTCAGAAAGAAGATAAATATTAGAAGAATGGTCTTAGAACTATACAACTTCCTGAAAAAAGTTAATATGTAATTTCTTTCTTTTTTTGAGATGGTGCTGGGATTACAGGCGTGAGCCACCACGCCCAGCAACAGTATGTAGTTCCTTTTACGTCTATGTCAGTTTCTTATATATCTGACCATTCTATAATACTCTGGCTTCAATTTGACTTTTCTGGGCCATGAATATTCTCTAATTAAACCAGAGGCAGGAAAGGAAGCGGGGGTGGGGAAACTACCTGAATACAACACAAATCCTGGAGTTTAAAAAAATAATAATAAAATTTGATGACTAACAAGGATTCTAAAATCAATTACAATACCCCTCCATAAATAAAGATACTATGAATGCTATTCTAACAAAGCCTGAAGTTTTCCTCTGAACATCAAGAATGTCACATGAATATTCAAATAGCTGGAAAAAGTGTTTTCACGTTCATGTTTATAGGCAAACCACTGATATACTAACTGAAAATAACTTCTCATTAAATGAGATAGCCAAGAATCTCTACTTTTTTTTTTTTTTTTTGAGACAGGATCCTGCTCTGTCACCCAGGTTGGCAATCTGGGTGCAGTGGCGCAATCTCAGCTCACTACAGCCTCAACCTCCCAGGCTCAAGCAATCCTCCCACCTCAGCCTCCCAAGTGGCTGGGACCACATGCGCACGCCATCATGCCTGGCTTTTTATTATTTGTAGAGATGAGGTCTCGCTATGTTGCCCAGGCTGGTCTCGAAATCCTGGGTTCAGGTAATCCACCTGCCTCAGCTTTACAAAGTGCTGGAATTACTGGCATGAGCCACTATGCCCAGCCAAGAACCTCTACTTGACATTTTATTAGCTTAAACTGGAATGACAGAAATTCTATTGTCTGATTCTGGTTGGCAAATGTAAATATTAAAGAATGGTAAAATCTAAAAAAATTATCTAAAATAGATACTACCTGTTTCCTGTTTCTTCGTCAAATTAGGAAATTTTTAGAATCACTAGCAGTGTTTCAAGTTGTCTCTGCCATAACTCACGCTTAGTTATAATTGTGGCTTAATAACTGATATATCCAGGAACTTTATACCTACATACTTACATCACATTAAAAGATGTTATACATACTGCTAAAACTGAGCTGAAGCATAGCAGAAAGAAATCAAGCAACTCACACTTTAATCTCTGAATGAGTCTGTCTGTACAACGGGCATTGATTGCATTAAAAATGTGGCTTACACTAGTGACATTTTCATAACAGAATCTAAAACAAAAGATCTGAAGGTCACGAGCTTTGGAAGACTAGCTGTATTGATAGCACCTTGAACTCTGTTTCACATATGGTAGGTACTCAATAAATGTTTGTTGCATGATTAATAATTGAATATATCTGAAGAGACTTTAATAACAATTTTTTTCACTATTTCTATATTACAAAATGTACACTACTGCAAGCAAAAATATTAACATCCCCAATCTCCCACTCTTAAAGATCTAAAAAGCACCAAAAGAATTTTGGAGCATTTGTGATTTTAACAAATCTCACTGAAGCAATTTTGTCTTCTATTTAATGGCAAAAGATGGTTACTGTTACAGTAAAAGATTGCTATGCTCCAGAACAGTCTAGCGAAACACTAGGTATTAATAGATTTCACACACAAAAATAGTCTTGTCTTGAGTTTTACCCAAACATATTCAAAACTAGAGACTAAATTATTAGGGGTAGAAAACAAGCCTTTATATAAAATGTGGTCGTACATGTCTTTAAGTCTCTTATCAGTGTATTCTTACCAGTTTCTGGCTGACAGAAAGTATACTGGCTGCTAGAGGAAGAGCCCATGTTAAAGTCTTCTGAACTCTGTGCTTCTTCAACAATGACAACTTCTTGATTTCCAATTTCTTCTAACTTAGGTGGCTCAAGGGTAACAATATCAGAATCATCACTGGCAGTTCCAATATAGATACTGTCTTCGGGTATCTTTTGTTCCTCTGCCTGAAGAATCATAATTTTAGAGATGGTAAGTTCAACAATCATTTAAGGGTCTTACATTTTCTTAGAATACAACAGTAGTAAGTATTATAGTCATCTGAGTTAAAATAAAAGATATGATTCCTACTATTAGTAAAGAATTATGCAATAGCAGGCTCATCATATAGCTTGAGAACACCATCAGATCCCTTGACAACTCTCAGAATTAGATCAGACCACTGCATTCTCCTAGTGGGCTGCAGAAGCTGAGAAGCCCATCTTTGCCCCCTCAATAACCACAGAAAAAAGAGCTCACTTCTCTCACGAGTTCCATGGTTCTATTCGAGCACAACTCTGTAGTGTGGAAGCCCAAAAAAGACTCACTGAACTTTTTAGGTTATGTACGTAATAAACTTCAACAGCTGTATCTTGTACTGAATGTATCTGAAGGTGTCCCCACAAATTTCTACGCTGGAATGTAATCGCCAATGTGATAGTACTAAGAAGTGGGACCTTTAGGAGGTGACTGAGTTATAAGGGATCCTCCCCTAGGAATATGATTAAGGTCTTTATAAAACAGGCTTCATGCAGCATCCAGCCTTTTTTTGCCCATCTCCTCTTAAAGATGTAGCAACAAAATGCCATTTGGAAACAAGACAGCATGTCATCAGCAAACACTGAACTTGTCCACACTTTGATCTTAAACTTCCCAGCCTCTATAATTGTGAGAAATAAATTTCTGTTTGTTATAAATCACCCAGTATCAGGTATTTTGTCAGATCAGTACAGACTAAAACACCATGTAAAATGATCATCTAGCTATCTAGTTTTATACAGAAGTCAAGTAAAACCCCAAAGCATAAGTCTCAGGTTGTTACCAAATTTTAAAATGAACCACCATTTTAGACATGAAACCTAACAGTTTAATTTTTCAATATAATTCAAGAATGCAATCTACTTCCAAAAAGAATTATATTAGAGGTGAAAAGATAGATCTTTAACACAATACCAATAAAATACTTTGCTTAGATGTCCTCTAAGACATCTAACTTAGAAGTCAAAATTGCTTATAATTCAAAATAGGAATAGAATGCATAAATAGAATTAGAGGCTTTAAATAGTATTCTAAGGATACTATTTAACATATATCCACAGTGTAAAATACAAGTTTACCTCAATTGTTGAGCTGGTTTCCTCCAAAGCTGGATAAGCAGTTTCTTCCATAAGCACTGTGCCATTTTGGCTGCTTTCTGATATAAAGCAAAGATCAATATAATTATTTCTTAATTTAAAACTCTCTGTTGACTTTCTGCAGCCAACATATAATCTGGGTAGATAAAAATCTCTTCCTAATATGTTAGGATAGATTTAATGAAATGTCACATACAATTATAGAAGTCACTCCACTGTTGCTAATGAACTTCATTTATTTGAAACTGTCAGGTGATAATTTTGGATAAGAAAATGCAATCATTTAAGATTTTTTTTTTTTTTGGAGATGGAGTCTTGCTCTGTTGCCCAGGCTGGAGTGCAGTGGCACTATCTTGGCTCGCTGCAACCTCTGCCTCCTGGGTTCAAGTGATTCTCCTGCCTCAGCCTCCTAAGCAACTGGGATTACAGACATACGCCACGGCTAATTTTTGTATTTCTACTAGAGATAGGGTTTTACCATGTTGCCCAGGCTGGTCTCGAACTCCTGACTTCAAGCGATCCGCCCACCTTGGCCTCCCAAAGTGCTGGGATTACAGGTATGAGCCATCGTGCCCAGCCACAAGATTTATTAAGAACTCAAAGCTACCTTGACTAAGTAAATAAAACCTCTACCTTACATTACCAAATTACTTGATCCAGTATGTTCATTAATACCTAATATGAAAAAATCTATCATTAGATACCTAGTGATACATTTCCTGAATTCTTAAAAGTTTATTCGAAGTTTCTAAAGACCATTCTAATGGCTGTCAATGCCTGGTACCGTAAGAATAAAAACCGTGGCTTCAAACTATGATTTATGAAAGTATGTATGTATATGTACGTGTGTGTGTGTGTGTGTGTGTGTGTGTGTGTCTAAATGCCTTATAAGAAAACATAAACTATAAAAAACAAGGACTCAGGCGGGGTGCAGTGACTCATACCTGTCACCCTAGCACTTTTGGGAGGCCAAGGCTGGAGGACTGCTTGACGCTACAAGTTCAAGACCAGCCTGGGCAACACAGCAAGACCCTGTCTCTACAAAAATAAAAATTAAAAAATTATTTGGGCATGGTGGTATGTGCCTATAGTACTAGCTACTCAGAAAGCTGAGGCAGGAGGATTACTTGAGCCTAGGAGTTGAGGCTGCAGTGAGCCATGATCATGCCACTGCACTCCAGCCTGGACAAGAGAGTGTGACTATGTCTCAAAAAAAAGTCAGAGAGAGGGCAGTCCAGGCACAGTGGCTCATGCTTGTAATCCCAGGACTTTGGTAGGCCAATGTGTGAGAATCACTTAAAGCCAGGAGTTCAAAACCAGCCTAGGCAACATAGCGAGACCAGTTCTACCAATAATTTTTTTTAAAAAAGAAAGAACTCAAAACACAGAAAAACTAAATGTCACTACAGAAGATATATTTTATAAGAACCTCCTCAAAGAAAATGTGTACAAACAGAATGATGACTTCACAATATATTTTTAATGAAAAAGAGCATAAAGGCCGGGCACAGTGGCTCAAACCTGTAATCCCAGCAGTTTGGGAGGCCAATGCAGGTGAATCACCTGAGGTCAGGAGTTTGAGACCAGCCTGGCTAACACGGTGAAACCCCGTTTCTACTAAAAATACAAAAAATTAGCCAGGTGTGGTGGTGCGCGCCTGTAATCCCAGCTACTCCAGAGGCTGAGGCAGGAGAATTGCTTGAACCCAGGAGGCGAAGGTTGCAGTGAGCCGAGATCATGCCATTGCACTACAGCTTGGGCAACAAGAGTGAAACTCTGTCTTAAAAAAAAAAAAAAAGAAAAGAGCATAAAATATTAAGAAAAGTTAAAAATAATATAACATATAAATTTATGAGCAAAGTACACCAAATATCAACAGTAATTATTTCTAGATAAAAGAATTATAGACCATTTTAAATTTCTTTTGCTTACTATTTTTTTTTCCCTATCATGAACATGCATTTCTTTTTGTTTTTTTTTTGTTTTGTTTTGTTTTGAGACGGAGTCCCCCTCTGTCGCCCAGGCTGGAGTGCAGTGGCGCCGTCTCGGCTCACTGCAAGCTCCGCCTCCCGGGTTCACGCCATCCTCCTGCCTCAGGCTCCCAAGTAGCTGGGACTACAGGCGCCCACCACCACGCCCGGCTAATTTTTTGTATTTTTAGTACAGACGGGGTTTCACCGTGTTAGCCAGGATGGTCTTGATCTCCTGACCCCGTAAGCCGCCCGCCTCGGCCACCCAAAGTGCTGGGATTATAGGCATGAGCTACCGCGCCCGGTCGATCATGCATTTCTTATGTAATTTAAGTCCTGCAAAGAACAGGGAAAAAAAAATATTTTTCAGCATTATATACCCTCTAACAGAAAATTAATTAATTTAGAGGTGAGATTCCGCCACAGTACTCGGCCGGGGTGCTGGGGCCAGGCGCGGTGACTCATGCCTGTAATCCCAGCACTTTGAGCGGCTGAGGCAGGCAGACCACGAGGTCAGGAGTTCAAGACCAGCCTGACCAACATAGTGAAATCCCGTCGCTATTAAAATGGCCGGGCGCGGCGGCTCACGCCTGTAATCTCAGCACTTTGGGAGGCCAAGGCGGACAGACCACGAGGTCAGGAGATCAAGACCATCCTGGCTAACACAGTGAAACCCCGTCTCTACTAAAAATACAAAAAATTAGCCGAGCGTGGTGGTGGGCACCTGTAGTCCCAGCTACTTGGGAGGCTGAGGCAGGAGAATGGCGTGAACCCGGGAGGCGGAGCTTGCAGCGAGCCGAGATCCCGCCACTGCACTCCAGCCTGGGCAACAGAGCAAGACACCATCTCAAAAAACAAAAAAATTAGGCCGGGCACAGTGGCTCATGCTTGTAATCACAGCACTTTGGGAGGCCGAGGCAGACTGATCAGGAGGTCAGGAGTTCGAGACCAGAGTGGCCAACATGGTGAAACCCCCGTCTCTACTAAAAATAAAAAATAAAAAAAAAATAGCTGGGCATAGTGGCAGGCACCTGTAATCCAAGCTACACAGGAGGCTGAGACTTGAACCGGGGAGGCGGAGGTTACAGTGAGCTGAGATCATTGCGCCACTGCACTCCAGCCTGGGCAACAGTGCGAGACTCTGTCTCATAAAGAAAAAGAAAAAAAAGAAAATTTTCTTTAACATATGCAAGTAAATGCATTTCTTGGAAGAAACTGTCCATAGCTTTCAGATTCTCAAAAGGATCTCTGACACAAAAAAGATGAGAATCACTTTTCAAATGAGAGTAGTAATAATCAACGTGTAGGCTTAAAAAAATTAACAGCTATAATCTCTTCTATTTCTGGCCTTGACACATCCACTTTTTTCTCCTGAGGGGAAATGTTCTGTATGCATTTTACTGTAATTTTTTTAAAAAGTTAATGAAGTAATTTAAATATGAACATAAGTGTATGCAGTAATTGTTCAGGAGTCCTATTTCTCTATATAAATAATGTGTGCATCAAATCCCATGTGAAGTATACATAATACAGATTCCATTTTACCAGATTGGAACCAGAGTACAGGCATATCTCAGATATCTGCAAGTTCAGTTCCAAACCAATGTAATAAAGCAAGTCACATGAATTTTTTGGTTTCCCTGTCCATGTAAAAGTTAGGTTTACACTATGCTGTAATCTATTAAGTGTGCAATAACATCATGTCTAAAAAACTGTACATATCTTAATTTAAAAATACATTATTGCTAAAAAGTGCTAGTGATCATCTGAGCCTTCAGTGAATTGTAATATTTTTGCTGGTGGAGAGTCTTACTTCAAAGATGATGGCTGCTGACTGACCACTGTGGTAGCTGCTGAAGGGTGGAGTAGCTGGGGCAATTTCTTGAAGTATGACAACACTGAAGTTTCCCACATGGATTGACTCTCCTTTCATGAAAGATTTCTCTGTAGCATGCAATGCTGTTTGATAGCACTTTGCCCACAGTAGAACAACTTTCAAAATTGGAGTCAATCTTCTCAAACCCTGCCACTGCTTTATTAACTAAGTTTGTGTAATATTCTAAATCCTCTGTTGTCATTTCAATAATATTCACAGCATCTTCACCAAGAGTAGATTGCATCTCAAGAAACTACTTTCTTTGCTCATCCATAAGAAGCAACTCCTTATCTGTTCAAGTTTATCATGAGATTACAACAATTGGATCACATTTTCAGGATCCACTTCTTTTTTTTTTTTTTTTGAGACAGAGTCTCGCTCTGTTGCCCAGGCTAGAGTGCAGTGGCGCGATCTTGGCTCACTGCAAGCTCCGCCTCCCAGGTTCACGCCATTCTCCTGCCTCAGCCTCCCGAGTAGCTGGGACTACAGGCGCCTGCCACCACGCCCAGCTAATTGTTTGTATTTTTAGTAGAGATGGGATTTCACCGTGTGAGCCAGGATGGTCTCGATCTCCTGACCTCATGATCCGCCCACCTCAGCCTCCCAAAGTGCTGGGATTATAGGCATGAGCCACCACACCCGACCAGGATCCACTTCTAATTCTAATTCTCTTGCTACTTCTACCACATCTGCAGTTCCTTCCTCCATTAAAGTCTTGAACCACTCAAAGTCATGAAGGTTGAAATCAACTTCTTCCAAACTCCTGTTAATGTTGATATTTTGACCTTTTCCCACAAATCACAATTGTTCTTAAAGGCATCTAGAATGGTGAATCCTTTCCTGAAGATTTTCAATTCACACACATTGCCCAGATCCATCAGAACAATCACTATCTATAGCAGCTACAGCCTTACAAAATGTATTTATTAAATAATACAACCTGAAAGTCAAAACTACTCTTTGATCCATGGACTACAGACTGGATGTTGTGTTAGCAGGAAACAAAGTAACATGAATCTCCTTGTACATCTCCATCAGAGCCCTTCGGTGATTGACCAGGTATTGCTATACAATGTCTAGTATTTTGAAAGGAATCTTTTTGTTCTGAGCAGCAGGTCTCAACACTGAGCTTAAAATATTCAGTAAACCATGTTGTAAACACATGGCTGTCACCTAGGCTTTGTTGTTCCATTTACAGAGCACAGGCAGAGTAGATGTAGCATATTTTTTAAGGGTCCTAGGATTTCTCAAGGCATGGTAAGTAAACACTGGCTTCAACTTAAAGTCACCAGCTACATTTGCCTCTAACAAGAAAGTGAGCTTGTTCTTTGAAGCCTAGAAGCAGATATTGACTTCTCTGTAGTTAGGAAAGTCCTAGATGGCATCTTCTTCCAATAGAAAGTTGTGTCATCTATACTGAAAATCTGCTGGTTGGGGTAGCCACCTTCATCCATTATCTCAGTTAGATCTCCTGGATAACTTGGTGCGCCTTCTACATCAGCACTTGCTACTTCACCTTGCACTTTTATGTTACGGACATAGCTTCTTTCCTTAAACCTCATGAACCAACCTCAGCTAGCTTCCGCCTTTCTTTCTACAGCTTCTTAACCACTCTTAGCCTTCATAGACTTGAAGCAAGTTAGGAAGGACTTGTTCTGGATTAGGCTATGGCTTAAGGGAATTTTGTGGCTGGTTCAATCTTCTACCAAGACCACTAAAATTTTCTCCATGTCAGCAATAAGGCTATATGGCTTCCTTATCATTCATGTGTTCACTAAGAAGGACTTTTAATTTCCTTCAAGAACTTTTCCTTTGCATTCACAACTTGGCTAACTATCTGGCCCAAGAGACTTAGCTTTTGACATGCCTTCCTCAAATAAGCTTAATCATTTTTAGCTTTTGATTTGAAGTGAGAGACACACAACTCTTCCTTTCACCTGAACACCTGGAGGCCACTGTAGGGTTATTAATTGGCCTGATTTCAATATTGTTGTTGTCTCCAGGAACAGGGAGGCCAAAGGAGAGGGAGAGAGATGGGGGAATGGCAAGTCAGTAGAGCAGTCAGAACACACACATTTATTAAGTTCACTGTCTTTCATAGGCACGGTTCATGGTGTCCCAAAGGAATTACAATAGTAAAATCAAAGATCTCTGATCACAGATCACCATAACTGATGTAATAATAATGAAAAAGTTTGAAATATGACAATTACAGGCCAGGCGCAGTGGCTCACGCCTGTAATCCCAGCACTTTGGGAGGTTGACACAGGTGGATCACCTGAGGTCAGGAGTTCGAGACCAGGCTAACCAACATGATGATACTCCGTCTCTATTAAAAACACAAAATTAGCTGGGCACGGTGGCGCATGCCTGTAATCCCAGCTGAGAGGCTGAGGCAGGAGGATAACTTGAACCCAAGAGGCAGAGGCTGCAGTGAGCCAAGATCATACCATTGCACTCCAGCATGGGAAACAAGAGCGAAACTCCGCCAATTCAATTCAATAAAATAAAATAAAAATAAATGAAATATTATAATTATAAAAATGAGACACAGAGACATGAAGTGGGCATATGCTATCGGAAAAATGGCATTAATAGACTTGCTCAACACAGGGTTGCCACAAACTTTCAATTTGTAAAAAATGTAGTATCTGCGAAGTACAATAAAGCAAAGCAGAATAAAATGAGAGGCATGTCTGTAACTCCATCAACATGATAATAACTGGAAAACAGGTTAGTAAATCTCTTGTGATCAATGAATAATTTTTTTCTTAACTTTAATAATGACAAGTAAATACAAACTACCAAACAAATGACAAGGAAATAGAAACTACCAAACAAATTCAGATTAAACCATGAAACACTTTTTTTGTCACTGGTTACCTCTGTAGCAACAAAGTGTATCTGAAAACCCAAAAATATACTACAGCTGCAAATAAACCCCTGGGGCAGGCTGATGACTCTGGGTTCTGTGGGCCTTCACCAAATCCACACTGAAGTTTTTCTTTGTTTGTTTGTTTTAAATGGAGTCTCACTCTGTTGCCCAGGCTGGAGTGCAATGGCACAATCTCGGCTCACTGCAAACTCCGCCTCCCAGGTTCAAGCGATTCTCCTGCCTCAGCCTTCTGAGTAGCTGGGATTACAGGCACCTGCCAATACACCCGGCTAATTTTTTGTATTTTTAGTAGAGACAGGGTTTCACCATGTTGGCCAGACTGCTCTTGAACTCCTGACCTCAAATGATCCGCCCACCTCAGCCTCCCAGAATGCTGGGATTACAGGTGTGAGCTACTGTGCCCAACCTACACTGAAGTTCTAATCCTCCAACGACCCCTTAGATTAGCCAGAAAGGCCACCCACCTGGAAAGAAGGCAAGACTCATAATATCACTCATATATCATATTAAAAAAAAAATTAGAATTTGTGAACAACTTACCTCCTTGCTCTATCTGCAATGCTTGAAGCTCCTCTTGCTCTAAAGATGAACATTCTGGGGCGGGCTCACAGCTGTCAGTGGGGGTCACAGAATTCAACATTTCTATATCTGACCCCTAAGGAAAAGTGATAATCTTTCAGTTATTTGCCTATTAGCTCCTCAAAGCTAGATTTGACTACATGTAAATGCTTCTTCCATTATTAAAAGTCTCAGATGCTGCCATACTCCAAAGGAACAGTATCTAATTAGACAAGCTTTTGTTCAATTTAGTCCACAAAGGCCTATGGCAGGAAAATGGCACAATGGAGTCTCAGGTTTAAATTCTAAGTCAGGTCAGCCCAAAAGTGGAATGCTCTATTTTATGAGCTCAAGCAATAAATTTGAATTCCAGAGAATAAGGGTCTAAATTTGGTTATTTCTATAATAATTTGTTTCTACTTAACATTTATGGAACTACTCTAGACAAGGCACTTCGCTAGATGCTGTGGGATATAAAAAATTCAAATCTGGCTGGGCACGGTGGCTCACGCCTGTAATCCCAGCACTTTGGGAGGCTGAGGCCGGTGGATCACAAAAAAAGCAAAATTCCGTCTCAAAAAAAAAAAAAAAAAATGAAATCCAAAATTCAATTTTACAACATATTCAGAGAAACACCCATATGCAAATAACTACTTATTATGGCACTATAAACTAAAAATGGCTAAAGCTTTAATGACATGGATTAAATAAACCTATAGGGTTAATGAATACTCTCCTCACACAATTTTAGACTATCTTTTTATTCTGAGGTTATCTTTCCTACTTTGATGTCAGACTGTCTTTTCATTAATAATAGCGGATCATACAATTTTTCTTTGTGTCTTAATTGTAAAACAAAGTTAACCACTAAGGTGATTCCGTCTTTCCCTATGTCCCCACTATAGTCTGCTGACACATGGAATCGAAAGGTCTGCATTCTCTTGCGTATACATAACTCAAGACAGCAAAAATTAAAAGAATTCATGAAAAAAGTAGGGCCGGGGCAGTGGCTCACGCCTGTAATCCCAGCACCTTGGGAGCCTGAGGCGGGCGGATCACGAGGTCAGGAGATCGAGACCATCCTGGCTAACACGGTGAAACCCCATCTCTACTAAAAATACAAAAAAAAAATAGCCGAGCGTGGTGGCGGGCGCCTGTAGTCCCAGCTACTCCAGAGGCTGAGGCAGGAGAATGGCGTGAACCGATGGGGCGGAGCTTGCAGTGAGCAGAGATCCTGCCACTGCACTCCAGCCTGGGCGACAGAGCAAGACTCCATCTCAAAAAAAAAAAAGTAAAGAAAAAAGTAGCGTTTAAGTTGAGCCCTAATGAGAATTCGGAATGCAAGACTCCGAGGTTGTCTATAGTGGCAGGAGAATGGTAGAGGCTAAAGCAAGGTTATGTATTAGGAATTGCTGGGGAAACCAATTCTGGCCCAAATGAGAATGGCAGTAATGGGAGAGGAAAAGGAGACACATGTAAGAGAAATTAGCAAGAAAGAGTAGAACCTGGAAAGCAGATATAGAAGAAGAGAGATAAAAGTACAAATATGATTCAATCTGGGACATAACATCCAGTACAGAACACCCTAATGACACACTTGACTGAGTGCCAGACAGAGGTCTGCTGTCATACTCCACCCTGCAGACTAACAGGTAAGACTCCCATAGCTGCCTTGCTCCTATATTGTTAATTATCCTTGAAGGAGAAGTTGCTATGGGAGTTGATCTAATCCTTTGAAGAAAACAAGCTAAAAATAGAAAAGTCACTGAAGATTTTAAAAAGAAGAATCATCTCAATCTCAAATGATAGATGCTTTTAAATTTTGAAATTTTAATGCAGAAAAGGCAATCTTGTTTTTTTCTGTTAATGTTTTCTAAACATAACTACCTGAACCTTAACTAATAGTTTAAAAAACAAAAATTTTTTAATTTTTTTTTTCTTTTTTTGAGACAGTTTCACTCTTGTTGCCCAGGCTGGAGTGCAATGGCACGAACTCTGCTCACCGCAACCTCCGCCTCCCAGGTTCAAGCGATTGTCCTGCCTCAACCTCCCAAATAGCTGGGATTACAGGCATGTGCGACCACGCCTGGCTAATTTTGTATTTTTAGTAGAGACCGGGTTTCTTCCATGTTGGTCAGGCTGGTGTCGAACTCCCGACCTCAGTGATCTGCCCCGACCTCGGCCTCCCAAAGTGCTGGAATTACAGGCGTGAGCACCACGCCCGGCCTATAATTTTTATTAAAAAAACAAGTGGCCGGGCACGGTGGCTCACGCCTGTAATCCCAGTACTTTGGGAGGCCGAGGCGGGCGGATCACCTGGCGTCGGGAGTTCGAGACCAGCCTGACCAACATGGAGAAACCCCGTCTCTACTAAAAATACAAAATTAGTCGGGCGTGGTGGCACATGCCTGTAATCCCAGCTACTCCAGAGGCTGAGGCAGGAGAATGGCTTGAACCCAGGAGGCGAAGGTTGCTGTGAGCCGAGATTGCGTCACTGTACAAGACAACAAGAGCGACAGCCTGGACAACAAGAGCAAAACTCCATCTCAAAAAAGAAAAAAAGAAAACAAGTGAGGCTTACAATACCCTAAAAACAAATGGGAAAATTATAGATGTCCATTAAAACCTGGAGTAAAACCTGGAGTAAGTATATTTCTGTTTATCAATATACTGCCATTTTTCTACAGTGAACATATATTACTGGTATGAAAAAATAAACAAAATGTACAAGTTATGTATACTTGTTGTATGTATATCAATCTTCTATTATAAAATTCATTTTGTGATAGGGTTCTGGCCTTTTCCCTGTGAAGTTCTGCTATAACGTAAATGGAACACATGTTCTCCATTCTCCTTTCTGATCTGTTCAAATCCAGGATCTATTTTCTAGCTGCATAATCTTGACCAAATTACTTAACCTCTCTAAGCTTTAGTTTTCTCAACTATAAAATAAGAATGAAAACAGTATGTATCACAGTGAAATATTCAAAATTATTTAAGAACAGGGTATGGTGGCATATGCCTATAGTCCCAGCTACTTGGGAGGATCACTTGAGCCCAAGGAGTTAAAGGTTACATGGTACTATGATTGCACATGTGAACAGCCACTGCACTCTAGCCTGGGCAACAGAGCAAGATCCTGTCCCTTTAAAAAAAAAAAAAGACAAAATTGGCCAGGCACAGTGGCTCACATCTGTAAGCCCAGCATGTTGGGAAGCCGAGGCAGATGGATCACGAGGTCAGGAGTTTACGATCAGCCTGGCCAAGATGGTGAAACTCGTCTCTACTGAAAATACAAAAATTAGCTGGGCATGGTAGCAGGCACCTGTAATTCCAGCTACTCAGGAGGCTGAGGCAGGAGAATCATTTCAGTCCAGTGGGGCGGAGGTTGCAGTGAGCTGAGATCACGCCACTGCACTCCAGCCTGGGCAACAGAGTGAGACTCTGTCTCAAAAAAAAAAAAAAAAAAAAAGACAAAATTATATGAAAATGAAAGTAAAGCACAGGGCCTGAACAATAACAAACCTTCAATAAATATTTGCCTAATGTCTCAAAGCTATGTACAATAATGTAGAAGATGCTGGCTCATGAAGCGTTTTCAGCAGTGAAGTTTAATATGAGAGGGAAAATGTCCATTGGAACTTTTTGCTTAAAGGTAGAAAAAGACTGATCTTCAAAGAACACAGTTTACATCACTGGTAACATTAATATTACAAATTACCTTATAAAAAGTATTAAATATCATACCTCATGACTGATGACAGTCCAACCACAAGATGAATCACTGTCACTGGAATTTTCAGACATCTTTCAGGTCTACAAATACAAAAACATATTGACTCATGAGACACATTTTTTTTAATTCTATAGGAAGCACTATATGTGACACTAAGTTTGAAAAGTGGTTTACTGTCTTCCAGGTGAAACAGAGACAAGCCACCCATAGATTTACCATACAGAACATGACAGGACTGCATACCTGTATGAACAGATAGAAGCAAACTTCTAAGATAAGGAGACCCTCCTGGACTAGAACAGTCTCAACAGTTATATTGTTGGAATGAAGGAGAAAGTTATGTCTAAAAGAAAATGTAGCATTTGGCCAGACAGAGGTGAAGGAAAAGGATAATCGTGAATGGGGAGCAGGCAGCAACAGTAAAGGACTCTATTTTCAATGAACAGTAAGGTGTGAAAAACATGACTGCAGAAACTGAGAAGCACAGGGAAACTGAAAAGCTCCTATGCCAAGAAAATGAAGTCTGTATGTTGGCAACATGAAGTAATTTACATTTTCAAACATAGAAGAAACATGATGAAACTGTTTTGAGACGGAGTCTCGAGCTGTCGACCGGTTGGAGTGCGGTGGCACGATCTCGACTTGCTGCAACCTCCGCCTCCCGGGTTCAAGTGATTCTCCTGCCTCAGCCTCCCGAGTAGCTGGGACTACAGGCGCGTGCCACCACGCCCCACTAATTTTTGTATTTTTAGTAGAGACGGGGTTTCACTATGTTGGCCAGGCTGGTCGCGAACTCCTGACCTCGTGATCCGCCTGCCTCAGCCTCCCAAAGTGCTGGGATTACAGGCGTGAACCACTGCGCCCGGCAATCAAACTGTTTTTATGAAAATAACTGTGTCAGCAATACTTCAGTTGTGTTAAAGTTGGGGCAGGGGGGAAGACACCAGAGGTTGGTTACAAACATCTGGTCACTGGCAACAACCTGGACTCAAGCCCTAAGCCAGCATACAATGGTCACTCCACCTGGTTTTTTCTTTTTGTATCTGAAACTCCTTTAAACTTCAAAACCCAACTTAGTAAAGCAAATAGTACTCCTACTGATTTATTCTACATGTGTCTTATGCTTCTGTTATTGGACATATACTGTGAACACATTAGATCCAAGTTCTAATAGAACTCTACTGAAGACAATATGGAACTAGTGCTCAAATGAGAACAGGGCAAAAATACAGATCTATATAATCTGTTTTTGGGGGTTTTGTTTTGTTTTTTGGTATTTTTAGTAGAGACGAGGTTTCACTCGTTGCGAATGTTGGCCAGGCTGGTCTCAAACTCCTAGCCTCAAGTCAGATCTATATAATCTGTTAATTATTCTGAAAACTCCTGTACATTAATATTTCAAAAAGAGAGGATACAAAAAGGTTGGTCGCTAATAGTATAAAAATTAACATGTTTCAAATGAATTATTCAAAACCTGAAATAAGGTATCAATTGTATGACTTTTAATGTTATGACAAGAGCATTTTGTAATAGGCTCACCTGAGGTCATCTAATTGTTTTATTTCTAATTTCAATTAAGGCCCAGGCAGTTTATAACTCTACAAATTTAAAAGTAAACTTACAGAAAACTACTACGGTAAAATAAATTTTTTCTGTCCAGTCAGTAGAGGTTATCCAAAAAGCTACAGTTTAAATACCCTGTAGGATATTAACCACGTTTATATCTTAGCAATTTTATTTCAGCATTCTTTATTAAACTGACTATATTTCTTTTCTTTATTTTGAGTGTGACAGGGTCCCGTTCTGTCATACAGGCTTGAGTGCAATGGCGTAATCATGGCTCACCACAACCCTGACCTCCCAAGCTCAATCGATCCTCCTGCCTCAGCCCCATAAGTAGATGGGCATGTGCCACTATGCCCAGCTAATTTTTTGTATTTTTTGTAGAGACAACGTTTGGCCATGTTGGCCAGGCTGGTCTGGAAGGCCTGGCCTCAAGCAATCCGCCCTCCTCAGCTTCCCAAAGCGCTGGGATTACAGGCGTGAGCCACTGCACCTGGCCTAAACTGACTATATAAATCCCAATTTCTCATTCCACTATTTTTCAGGACTTTCAAAAAAGTTTATGATATGTATCAATGTCTATTTGTATGAGAATCATGTTTATAATAGCTTGAAAATTATGCAATGACAGAAATACACAAAGACTGAGCAATTAAATTTGCAGGGGGAAAGGAGAATGATCAAGGAAATCTCTATAAATGAGGCTGCAAATTTGATAGCATTTTTTAAAGTAAATTAACAGTTGTCAAAATTTAAAAATTGAGATACTACATTAAAATGAAGATTTCTGGAGCCGGAAGCAGTGGAGAGTGCCTATTAATCCCAGCTACCTGGGAGACTGAGGAAGGAAGATCCCTTGAGGCCAGGAGTTCAAGGCTGTTAAGAGCCATAATGATCATGCCTGTGAACTGCCATTGCACTCCAGACTGGGTAATACAGTGAAACCTTGACTCTTTAAAAAAAAAAAAAAAGGGGGGGGGGGGCTAGGTGTGGTAGCTCACGTCTGTAACCCCAACACGGAGAGGCCAAGACGGAAGGACCGCTCAAGTCCAAGAGTTCAAGATCAGCCTGGGCAACATTGCAAAAAACAAACAAAACGATTTCTGATTCCTAAAAAAAAAAAAAAAAAATCAAAAGATCTGATGACAAGGAAAGATGTCCCAGTGAAAAAGGAAAAAGCATCACACAGGAAAAACAAAGGCAGAAAAATGTAAAAGAATATGAAAGTTCTTTAAAAAAATAAAAAATAAAAAAGACAATCTAGTACAAATATAGTTTAAAAGATCAGATTTGATTTTTTTTTTTTTTTTTTTTGAGACGGAGTCTCACTCTGTCACCAGGCTGGAGTGCAGTGGCGTCATCTCGGCTCACCACAACCTCTGACTCCCTGGTTCAAGCGATTCTCCTGCCTCAGCCTCCCGAGTAGCGGGGATTACAGGCACGCGCCACCATGCCCAGCTAATTTTTGTACTTTTAGTAGAGACGGGGTTTCACCATCTCTACTAAAGGCCAGGAGATTCTCCATCTCCTGACATCATGATCCACCCAACTCAGCCTCCCAAAGTGCTGGGATTACAAGCATGAAGCCACCGCACCTGGCCATGATTTTTTTTTTAATTTTTGAGACAGGATTTCGCTTTGTCACCCAGGCTGGAGGGCAGTGACATGAACACAGTTCATTGCAGCCTTGACCTCCCAGGCTCAAGCTACCCTCCCACCTCAGCCTCCTGAGTAGCTGGAACTACAGGTGTGCGCCACCATGCCTAATATTTGTATTTTTTGTAAAGACAGGGTTTTGCCATGTTGCCCAGGTTGGTTTCACACTCCTGAGCTCAAGTGATCCACCTTTCTTGGCCTCTCAAAGTACTAGGATGACAGGCATAAGCGGTTGTATCTGGTCAGATTTGGCCAGGTGCAGTGGCTCACGCCTATAATCCCAGCACTTTGGGAGGCCAAGGCGGGTAGATCATAAGGGCAGGAGTTCAACACCAGCCTGGCAAAGATGATGAAACCCTGTCTCTACTAAAAATACAAAAAATTAGCCGGGCATGGTGGCAAGCACCTGTAATCCCAGCTACTCGAGAGGCTGAGGCAGGAGAATTGCTTGAACCCAGGAGGCGGATGTTGCGGTGAGCCAAGATGGCGCCATTGCACTCCAGCCTGGGCAACAAGAGGGAAACTCCGTCTCAAAATAAATAAATTAATTAATTAAATTAAATAGCATATATTAAGATGGCAGGGCCAAGAGTGGCGGCTTGCACCTGTAACAGCACTTTCGGAGGCTGAGGTGGGAGGATCACTTGAGGCCAGGCGTTCAAGACCAGGCTGGGCAACATAGTGAGACTCCCCATCTCTACCAAAAAAAATTTTTTAATCAGCAGGACATGGTGGCCCACACCTGTTGTCCTAGCTACTTGGGAAGCCGAGGCAGGAGGATCATTTGAGCTCAGGAGTTCAAAGTTGCAGTGAGCTATGACTGCATGACTGCACTCCAGCCTGGGTAACAGAGCAAGACCCTGTCTCAAAAAAATGTTTTTTTTCAAGATAGGGAAGCAACTCAACAACCCTAGACCTGTGGGATGCAAGGAAGCAACATAATATTCCATGAAAAATATGAGCATCTGAACTTAACCAGTGTTGATGAGGGAAAGGGTTTAGAAGATAGCGGGAAGGGTTTTGAAGAGATCTGAGAAGACATGAAAGGTTATTTTATTATTTTTATCATTATTTGGATGCAAGGTCTCACTCTGTCACTCAGGCTGGAGTACAGTAGTATGAACACGGCTTGCTGAGATGGGAAAATAGGGTCTGGAGGCAGGGAACATTAGGCCGATTCACACTTCAGCTATGACAGGAAATATCCTCTCCATAGGGCATACACCAAGTAAATGACTTTGTAACTTTACTTCACCTCTCCATTCACATAGGGTATACACCAAGTAACCAATGGAAGCCTCTAGAGGGTATTGAAACCCCCACAAATTCTATAACGGTGCCCTTGAGCCCCTACGCTAGGGCCCGCCACCACACTGTGGAGTGTACTTTCATTTTCAATAAATCTCTGACTTCATCCCTTCCTTGCTTTGTCTGTGTGTTTTGTCCAGTTCTTTGTTCAAGATGCCAAGAACCTGGACACCCTCCACCAGTAACACAGCCTCAAACTCCCAGGTTCAAGTAGATGCTCCCATCTCAGCCTCCCAAGTAGCTAGGACTATACAGGTATGTGCCACCCTGCCCAGCTAATTTCTTTTTAAGAGTCGGGGTCTTGCTAGTTTGGTAGGCTGGTCTCAAACTTCTGGGCTCAAGTGATCCACCCACCTCGGCCTCCCAAAGTGCTGGGATTACAGGTGTGAGCCACTGTACACAGCCTAAAGATTATTTTATTAAAGGACTGAATAACCAACTATATAAGGGAGAAAGTGTAGGATAGCTCACAGGTTTCTGGTTTAAGTGACTGGGTAACTGGAAGAATTCTATATGAAACAAGAAGTAGGTGAGGGCTTTGTGATAAGAAAAACTGGCTGAAGCCTAAAAAGCATTCTTTCTCCACTGTGTGAAAGCTTCCCTCCTTCCCTTTGCCTGCTCCCATCTTCTAACAGATTACAAAAAAAAGTAAAATACATTACTGACTTGGGACAACTTACCATACTTGAATTTCTCAAATCAATAAGCCCACTTTAATCAGGCCCCAGTTTAATGCTTTGTTTACTTCCTTCAAGGAAAGATAACATTGAAACCAGCCAATTATCCCACAGAACTGATCTTTATGGTTTCTCTGAATAAATACAGAAATTGATCCTCACAGTCTTAAAACTTGAGAAAGTTCTATTTGTGTTATCTAAGCTCCTTTCTTAGGAAACAAACCATCAGGCCTCCTAGATAGTATTAAGAAGCTGAAACTTACTTAACAGATCACTGCAACTGGACAATGAGAAGCCAGAGCCTGCATGATTGCTTAACTGACCACCTGCTGCCTGTTGACCAACTTCTCTTCCTCACCCCTCTCTAATTCCTGTTTGCCCACACATGGTTACATTTCTTCTCTGCTATATAGACCTCTAATTTTAGTCAGTCAGAGATGGATTTGAGACTGAGATGGATTTGAGACTGATCTCCCATGTCCTTGGCTGCAGCACCCAATTAAAGCCTTCTTCCCTGGCAATACCCGTCTCTGTGATTGGCTTTCTGTGCGGCAAGCAGCAGGACCTAGACCAAACCCCTGGTGTTTTGGTAACACCATCCAGCCCAAAAGAGAAAAAGATTTCCCGCTGGCCCTAACACCACCATGACAATTTGGATAAGCAAAACTAACAGGCTTACTAAAGAACCCTATTAATTCAACTGTTCTCAAAATGTTGGGCGTGTACTACAATCAAAGGAAAAAAAAAAAAGTAACTTTTTAAGCCCTATCCTAGACACAGTGAATATGAAAGCCCCCTGGCAGTTTGAACCTCCCCATTATAGCTAGAGATCTTCAAATGATAATCTCATTATGTAATTCCTTTAAAATGTTAAGATTTTCTTCAAGATAATGCCCCAAAGCCTTGAATATCAAGTATTTTATCTCTAGCTCTCATCTCTTTTAATTCATTCCCGCTTTGCCCAACCTTCTCAGTTCCCCTCAAAATGCTTGGCTTTGTCTTTACTCCAGGGCTTTACATATTCTGATCAGTTGCCCATCCCCTTTACCTCCACCGAAACTCCTCTGCTTGTCTCAGCTAACGGTTCATTTCCTTTGAGAACCATCCCTTGACCCCATCCCTAAGACTCTTATTATTTTCTGCATCTGGCACTTAATATAGAATATTGTGCTGTAATTGCTTGTTTACCAGCCTATAATGTATTCCCAACACATATTGAATGAATGCTAAATACATATTAAGCAATCAATAAACAAGAAAGGTAACCACGTCTGGGTGATAGTGCAGTTAATTGTTCTTTACAGAACTCAAAATTAGGCTGGGTGCGGTGGCTCACACCTGTAATCCCAGCACTTTGGGAGGCCAAGGCAGGCAGATCAGGAGGTCAGGAGTTAAAGACCAACCTGGCCAACATAGTGAAACCCCATCTCTACTAAAAATACAAAAATTAGTCGGGCATGCTGGCGTGCGCCTGTAGTCTCAGCTACTCAGGAGCCTGAGTCAGGAGAATTGCTTGAAACCAGGAGGTGGAGGTTGCAGTGAGCCAAGATCGCACCACTGCACTCCAGCCTGGGCAACAGAGCAAGACTCCACCTCCAAAAAAAAAAAAAAAAAAGAACTCAAAATTCTGGAGAAATCCATGAGCTTCCTCTCCCATTAATCTGACCATTGGTAAATGTATAAACCCTCCCCATTTTAAGAGCTTTACTAATAGTAATTTAGAAATAAGCAGAATTTACAGGACAGTTACAAAGGCTAAGAAATCATACGGTTATAAAAAGAAGAATACTTTGTGAAGACAATAAACTTGAAGCTCTGTTTAGGCTCAGGCTTCCTTTTATTCCTCAGAGTAGTTTCTTTAACTCGATCTCTAGTCATATATTTCCAATTGCTTTTGATGTCCCCTTGCAGGTTTCTCAAGTGTTTAACACACAACAGCTACAATACTGAAATCATCTTCCTGCTGCTCCTATTTCTGCTAACTCACAGAATTGCAGTAGCCAAAAACAATACAGCCATTACAAGCAAGAGTCACCACACATTCAGGTCAAAAACCTTAGACTTATGTCGACAAAAACAGTCAAACCCTGTAAAATATTTGAGGAGATTTATTCTGGGATAGATTTATGCTGGGATAGAGAAGCTTAACTCTAAAAACGATGGTCAGGGCAAGCTTCATTGCTGAAGTATATGTGAGCAAAGATTTGAATGAGTGAGGCACCATTATATACAGTTAACTGGAGGAAGAGCATTTAAGAAATAGTAGCTATAAAGCTGAGATCAGAGCTCTACCTCTGAGAAACAGCAAGGAGGCCTGTGTGGATCGCCTAGCAGGAGAGAGGAGGAAAAGATTAAACACAAGATAAGCCGGGCGCGGTGGCTCACGCCTGTAATCCCAGCACTCCAGGCCGAGGTGGGCGGATCACGAGGTCAGGAGATCGAGACCATCCTGGCTAACACAGTGAAACTCTGTCTCTACAAAAAAACACAAAAAATTAGCCGGGCGATTAGCCGGGCGTGGTAGCGGGCGCCTGTAGTTCCAGCTACTTCGGACGCTGAGGCAGTAGAATGGCGTGAACCCGGGAGGCGGAGCTTGCAGTGAGCCGAGATGGCGCCACTGCACTCCAGCCTGGGCGACAGAGCGAGACTCCGTCTCAAAAAAAAACAAACAAAAAAAAAAACCCACAAGATAATAAACAGAGTGGTGGCAAGGGGACAGACTGAGTAGGGCTTACAGATCCTAAGACTCCTTTTAAAAAGCGTTTTAGCTTTACACTCTGAGAACTAAAAGTCACAGAAGCGTTTTGAGAAAAGGAATAAAAGATCACTCTGGCTACCTACTGGGACAGCATTGTGGGGGAGCAAAGGCAGAAGCAAGAAGTTCATTTGCATGGCTACTATGATAATCCAGGTGAGACATGATGGTGGTTTGGACTAGAATGGTGGCAGTGAAGACAGTGAGAAATGGACAGATTATACACGGATTTCAAAGGTACAGCAGCCAACAGGACTTCCTGATGTATTGAATATGGGGTATAAAGGATGACTCCTGGCCTCACCGAGTACTAGAATGGAATAGCTACTGAGGCAGAAAGACTTCAAAAAGAGCAGGTTATGAGAAGAAAATCAGTAAATTGGGCCGGGCATGGTGGCTCACACCTGTAATCCCAGCACTTTGGGAGGCCGAGGTGGGCAGATCACTTGACGTAAGGAGTTCATGACCAGCCTGACCAACATGGTGAAACCCTGTCTCTATTAAAAATACAAAAATTGGCCAGGTGGTCTGGTGGATGCCTGTAGTCCCAGCTACTCGGGAGGCTGAGGCAGGAGAATCGCCTGAACTCGGGAGGTGGAGGTTGCAGTGAGCCGAGACTATGCCACGGCACTCCAGCCTGGGAGACAGAACAAGACTCCATCTCAAGAAAAAAAAAGAAGAAGAAAAGGAAACCAGCAAATTGGTTTGGGGCATTTTAAATCTGAGATAGTTATTATCACATCCAAGAGGAAACATAAAGTAGGCGTCTGGAGACTGAATTCAGGGGAGAGTTAGAGGCTAAATAAGTCATTTAAAAACACTTTGGTGGAGCCTGTCAAAATCTGTAAGAACAACACAACAACAGTATCAATTTTACCTCATAAAATATAACTGGAATGAATATTACCTGATATGATGGTGCCCCTCATCATTCCTGGGTAGCTACATTTTACTATGAAAAAGGTGAGGTTTCCATTACCATTATATCTTCTAGAACTAGATAAGATGGAGAAGAATGGGAGCATTATTCTCCCACACGTCTACAATTCCGAAGTAAGGCAACCAATAGGCTATAGGCAAAGGCCTCAAAGTGCAGCTGTACTGTCATGTGACCAAAGATAAGCGAGTCAGTCTGGAGTGCTTTCAAGAACGTATTTGTAAAATACTTTTCAAAAGGTCTGGGTCTTTCACCTCCGCCAAAGGATATGAAAATGTCTGCTTTAAAACACATCACTTGAGAAAGGGAAGAGGATACAAGATCCCAACTAATGAAAACTTTTTTTTTTTTGAGACAGAGTCTCACTCTGTCTCCAGGCTGGAGAGCAGTGGCGCGATCTCGGCTCACTGCAACCTCTGCTTTCCGGGTTCAAGAGATTCTCCTGCCTCAGCCTCCCAAGTAACTGGGATTACAGGTGCGCACCACCATGCCGAGCTAATTTTTGTATTTTTAGTAGAGATGCGGTTTCACCATGTTGGCCAGGATGGTCTCGATCTCTTGACCTCATGATCCGCCTGCCTTGGCCTCCCAAAGTGCTGGGATTACAGGTGTGAGCCACTGCGCCCAGCATGAAAACTTTTTTGAAGGCTACTTTTTGTCTAATAAACATATGAAAATATTTTAAATGAGCCTATCCTCATCCGGAACATGAAACTGCATTCATTCTTTCAACATATGCTTATTGAGTACCTACTGTGTGCCATGAACTCTTCTAAGTGCTGAAGATACAGGACTGAAAGAAAGAAAACAAAAACAAAAGAAAAACCTCCCCCAAAGAAAAGTACTTTTTGAAGACAGAGTTAGCCAGCTGGTGCCCAGTGCCATGGAGAAAAAAGTGAGGGCAGAGTAGGGGTGGGGATGGTGCAAGAACTGGAATGTTAAATAGGGTGGTTAGGGAAGGCCTCCTTGAAGTCCTGAAAACAGTTCTGAAGAATGAATGAGTAGTTTTCCATCTTTTTTGTACCTGAACACAACTGAGATTTAGTTCTATGGATGAAACACCTAGAGATAAGCTAAGCTAAATATTAAAAAGATCAACTGTCAGGTCGGGTACAGTTCCAGATTAGCCTGGCCAACATGGTGCAAACCTCATCTCCACTAAAAATACAAAAAAAAAAAAAAAAAAAAAACTAGCCGGGCATGGTGGTGGGCACCTGTAGTCCCAGCTACTTGGGAGGCTGAGGCAGAAGAATGGCTTGAATCCAGGAGGCAGAGATTAAAGTGAGCCAAGATTGTGCCACTGCACTCCAGCCTGGGTGACAGAGCAAGACTCTGTCAACCAAATTGAATTCACATCTAAAATATCAAAATGAAACTGATAAAAAAAGATCCTTAAGAAGCAAATATCTGTAACTCATGAAAAGTAGGTTGAGCCTTCAGAGAGTAATTCAAATTATCTAGGTAAAAGGGACTGGAAAGTGAAGACATTCCAAAAGGTAGAGAAAGTAGAAGGCACAACAGCACAGAAAACTTACGTTCTAAGAACTCCACGAAAAGCCACAGGCCGGGCCCGTTGGCTCACGTCTGTAATTCCAATACTTTGGGAGGCCAAGGCAGGCAAATCGCTTGAACTCACGAGTTTGAGACCAGCCTGGGCAACATGGTGAAGACCCATCTCTACTAAAAATACAACAAATTAGTAGGGCGTGGTGGCTCACACCTATAATCCCAGCACTTTGGGAGGATCACTTGAGACCAGCCTGGCCCGTGGCAAAACCCCATCTCTACTAAAAATACAAAAAAATTAGCTAGGCCCACATAGTGGCAGGAGCCTTTAATCCCAGCTACTCGGGAGGCTGAGGCACAAGAATTGCTGCTTGAACCCAGGAAGTGGAGGTTGCACTGAGCCGAGATAATACCACTGCACTCCAGCCTGGACAAGATACTCTACCTCAAAAAAAAAAAAAAAAAAAAAAAAAGGCCAGGGGTGGTGAGTCACACCTGTAATCCCAGCACTTTGGGAGGCCGAAGTGGGCGGATCACGAGGTCATGAGTTCGAGACCAGCCTGGTCAACATGGTGAAACCCCACCTGTACTAAAATAGAAAAATTAGCCAGGCATGATGGTGCGTGCCTGTAATCCCAGCTACTTGGGAGGCTGAGGCAGAAGAATCGCTTGAGCCCAGGAGGTGGGGGTTGCAGTGAGCCGAGATCACACCACTGCACTAAGGCCTGGGTTACAGAGCCAGACTCCATCTCAAAAATAAATTAAAAAGGCCAGGCACACTCCAGTGAAACTCCATCTCAAAAAAACAAAAACAAAACAAAACAAACAAAAAAAATTATAGATATTGCTAAATTGCTCTCCCAAAGGTAGTACAAAGTTGCTGCCAACAACATATGAAAGTACCTATTTCTCCACAATCCCACCAACAGAGTAACAACCATCTTTAATTTCCGCTCATCTCATGAGCAAAATAATAAATTCCTTAATCTGCACTTCCAGGAAGACTTCAGTGGGGCTGTGCATCTTGTGTTTACTGGCTATCCTCATCTCCTTTTCTGTGAAGCATCTATATTCATATGTTCACTTTCCTATTAGATTGTCATTACTGATTTGTAGTTCCTTATAAGTTGGGTCATGAATTAATGTTCTAGCATGCCTCAAACATTTTTAAAGTATCTTTATTATGTTTCAAATTTTATACAGTCAATGTAGAGGCTGGAAAACAGGGTGTCCTTTATAGTATCTAGATTTTGTATCTTGTTTTAGAAAGTTTTTCCTGCTCCCAAGACTATAAAATTATTCTCCTGTATTTTCTACTAATACTTCCACAGTTTTTGGCTTTTACATTTAGCTGTTTAATTCATGCATTTGGATTTTTTTTCTTTTGGTGTGAAGTGGAAATTAAACCAAATATTGAATATTCCACACTTTTTCTATAATTTGAAATGCCACCTTTTGTCATATAAAGTCCCACACATTTATTAATCCATTTCTGTGTTCTCTATTCTGTTCCACTGATCTATTTTCTATTCCTGAACCACTACAACGCTGGTTTAATTGCTATGGTACTGATGGCTTTCTACAGTGCCATTTTTCAACCTTCCCTGTCCCTCCCTAAAAACACACTACTGCTGGGCGCAGTGGCTCATGCCTATAATCCCAGCATTTTGGGAGGCCGAGGCGGGTGAATCACCTGAGGTCAGGAGTTCAAGACTAGCCTGGCCAATATGGCGAAACTCCGTCTCTACTAAAAATACAAAAATTAGCCAGGCATGGTGGCCCATGCCTGTAATCCCAGCTATTCGGGAGGCTGAGGCAGGAGAATCACTTGAACCAGGAGGTGGAGGTTGCAGTGAGCCGAGACCACGCCATTTCACTCCAGCCTGGGCGTAAGAATGAAACTCCGTCTCAAAAAAAAAAAAAAACCACTACTACCCTATAAACATAGAGGCAAAGATGAAAGAGACTGCAGGTTACATACACTTATACCCAGTGCTAAAATATTTTTCTTCCCACTCAGAGTCTGCCCAACTTTAAGAGTAAGTATTCTGTACAATAAAGACACACTCCTTAGTGTGACACTGAAAAACTCCCACTATCTGGTTCTCACCTAATTTGCAACTAATCTGATTAGCTTTCCTCGTCATATGGCTGAAGTAATTTAATTGCTGTCTTCTGAACACAAAATGGACAACCCTAACTCCATGTCTTCACTTCCTGAAATGCTTTTCTTCCTTCATTCTGATTTCTGTATTTAAAGCTGTCTTCTCCCATGAAATTTTCCTAGATCACTGTTTCTGACATACAGATTTCATTTTCCCCTGAATCTATAGCACTTACTATACTTCTCAGCATAATTTGCCTAATGGTAGCTTACACTACTTACTTTTTTCCTTGAGCTACTTTATTAATTAGTATTAAGTTCAAAGTTTTGATAAATAGCTCCAATTTTATTTGTTAATGTCTTTATTATAGCTTTATTTTTAGAGACAGGATCTCGCTCTGTCACTCACCCAGGCGGGAGTACAGTGGCACCATCACAGCTCACTGTAACCTCAAACTCCTTGGCTCAAGCGATCCTCCCACCTCAGCCTCCTGAGTAATTGGGACTACAGGTACACACCACCAAGTCAGGCTAATTTTTGTATTTTTAGTAGAGACGGGGTTTCACCATGTTGGGCCAGACTGGTCTCAAACTCCTGACCTCAGGTGATCCACTCTCCTCGACCTTCCAAAGTGCTGGGATTACAGGCATGAGCCACCACACCCAGCCAATATGTACTTGTTTCTAAAATACTTTTTCTTTATCGTAAATATTCTATATATCAACCTAACTTGAAGTTAATCTCAAGGGTCAGATCCTCTCATAGCCAGAGATAACTTCCCCAGAAGGAAAAATCTAAACTCCATTATTTCTTTGGCTCAAAGACTAATGCTTTAAACATGAAATGTATTTCTCAGAGGACCTGAGATTTCACATTCAATGTAGTCTCATTGTTCATGAAATAACTTAAAGATCCATTTGAGAATATTAAAAACAATAGCTACTTCCTATTGTCAAACTAGACTGATGACCATTCTTACACTTATAGAAGTGAGATTAAAACAAATCAAAACCAAAATTAAAAGCTCAACCACAGAAGTACACTGCAGTTTCAGGACATTTGATGCAACAGAGTGCAAAGTCACAGTCAGGAGAGGAGCCAGGTTTCCTTCAGTCTGGAAAAAGCCACCAATCTCTACCAAGAAATCAAATGAATAACCCATTTGACTTTTTTTCTTCATCAAACTTCCCAGTCAAAAAGTATTTATCACATCAAGGCATCACACTTCAAACATATAAGTGCTTTATGTAAATGCACTTAGTACAATAATACTTCATATGAGTAGATAACTCCACCACTTACAAAGCAATTTCATTTTCATATCTGATTTAATCTTCACAAATACCCCCATAAAGGCAGCTTGCTATTATTTACAAATTCCAAATGAAAACGAACAGAAAATTATAAATAATAACTTCCTCAACATCATTAAAAATCCTCTGATTTCCAACCTAATGCTCTTTTTACATTTCAACATGCTGGCAATATGAACCAGAAGTAAGATTTTGTAAGATTTTAAAAGAATAGTGATTTGGATAAGTACTTAAAAAAAAAAAAAGATTTCAGGCTTCCTGTGATGACAGAAAAAAATACTTAACTCCCACTTCTTATTTTCTAATACTTCCTCAGGTAATTCTATAGACCCTTAAAGAGGTTTCCACACATTAAATACCCTTTGGGGGAAAAAATCCCTTTATTTATCACTTAATTACAATCCTTCCCATATCATAGGGCTGAATTTCATCTTAGAACTCAAATTGAGAGAAAATATGGCCAAGTTTATCTGATGCAATACATTGCAAATGACCTTTGAAACCAAGTGTTTTAGTCTAGTTACAATTATGGAACTGTCAGGAAGGAAATTTGTGAAAATGTAATCCTTTATCACTTACAATACTGCAACTTCCTCATCTTCACCACAAAGAAACACAAACATAATTCAGCCTCCAGCAGTTCTGCACTGTTAGATGAGTCTGCATTTTTTGTTTAAAGTACCTTGGACTTAACAGGCCTTGCTGCTGTGTTCATGTTCTTAACATGTTCAAAAACTACTACTTCCATGATTTTAGCAGTTCATATGCACCTAATTTTTAAAAGTCTTTCTTTAACTTGCATAAGAATATAATTATACAACCCATACAATAATACTGTGGAATGAGTTAGTAAATCAGACATGTTAATCAATTATGAATTTTTCTTATGCCCTGTGAATAGACCCAAAGCCTAATAACATATTGAGCCAACTCAGTACACAGAATATACAAAATTATAAGGTAAAAAATATTGAAAAGAAATTGACATTTGGAGTAGGCAAGCTCCAAAGAAGACAACCTAAGAAAATAAAGTATGAACACCACAACCTGAAAAACAACGTGTTACCAGTGTTTTTTGTAAAACACTTTAGAATAGATATTTTATCCAGTGTTAATGGACACTTGGTGTTAAGGTAAACCCCCTTAATTTTTAAGGGCTGATAGTAGCCAAAAAAAAGAAAAATGTACTGTATATTACTGTGGAAGAACAATGTAGCCCTTTACAACAGAAAGCAAAATGTGGGCTAATGATTGATTATACTACTTACCAGTCCATATCCAACATAACCATAACAAAAAATAAAAACAAAAATAGACATAAGCCAAAATATCAGACATATAAAACATGGTTCTGAACGTGATTCAATGTTGACAAGTTTAAGATTTTCCAGGCTTAAGTGAAGAAAAGCTAAGTACTTTCACCTCTGATTTAACTGTACAAAGTGAAAAGAAACCAGATCAAAAGATGGGATGTACAGGCCAGACATGGAGCTCTCATGCCTGTATCCAGCACTCTGGGAGGCTAAGGCAGGAAAATCGCTTGAACCCAGGAGTTCAAAGAGACCAGCCTGGGAAACATAGCGAGACCCTGCCTCTACATAAAATTTTAAAATTAGGGCCAGGTGCGGTGGCTCACGCCTGTAATGCCAGCACTTCGGGAGGCCCAGGCAACCGGATCACGCATTCAGGAGATCGAGACCATCCTGGCCATTATGGTGAAACCCCATCTCTACTAAAAATACAAAAATTAGCCGGGCATGGTGGTGTGTGCCTGTAATCCCAGCTACGTGCCTGTAATCCCAGCACTTTGGGAGGCCAAGGCGGACAGATCACTTGAGGCCAGGAGTTCATGACCAGCCCGGCTAACATGGCAAAACCCAGTCTCTACTAAAAATACAAAAATTAGGTCAGGGGCAGTGGGTCACGTCTGTAATCCCAGCACTTTAGAAGGCTGAGGCAGGCGGACCACCTGAGGTCGGGAGTTTGAGACCAGCCTGACCAACATGGAAAAAACTCTGTCTCTACTAAAAAATGCAAAATTAGCCGGGCATGGTGGCACATGCCTGTAATCCCAGCTACTCGGGAGGGTGAGGCGGGAGAACCACTTGAAACCAGGAGGCGGAGGTTGTGGTGAGCTGAGATCTTGCCATAGCACTCCAGTCTAGGCAACAAGAGCGAAACTCCGTCTCAAAAAAAAATTTAGTGGGGCATGGTGTCACATGTCTGTGACATGTGACAGCTACTGGGAGGCTGAGGCAGGAGAATCACACTTGAACTCAGCTTGAATCACACTGTAATCCCAGCTACTAGGAAGCAGAGGTTGCAGTGAGCCGAGACTGAACCACCATACAATAGAGCAAGACTCTGTCTCAAAAAAAGTAATAGCCAGGCCTAGGCCTGGTGACATGTGCCTGTAGCCCCAGCTATGTGGGAGGCTGTGTTGGGATCACTTGAGCCCAGGAGGCTGCAGTAAGTCGTGTCCAGGCCACTGCACTCCAGACTAGGTGACAGAGCAAGACATCATCTCCAAAAAATAAAATGAGATCTACAAATGCTACAAATTGTCGGATCTGTTATTTTCTTCGAGTCCAACTATTTCATTTATTGTCCCTACTCTCCAAATAATTTACACTTAAATTCATATAGTCTACAGATGCAGCAACAGGGACTTTGCCTGTGTTTTTTACTGTTGTTGCTTATTTGGTGTTTTTGAGACAGTCTCACTCTGTCACCCAGGCTAGAGTACAGTGGCATGATCTCGGCTCACTGCAACTTCTGCCTCCCGGGTTCAAGCGATTCTCCTGCCTCAGCCTCCTGAATAGCTGAGATAACAGGCATCCGCCACCATGCCCAGCTAATTTTTGTATTTTTAGTAGAGACGGGGTTTTGCCACGTTGGCCAGGCTGGCCTTGAAGTCCTGACCTCAAGTGATCCGCCTGCCTTGGCTTCCCAAAGTCCTGGGATTACAGGCATGAGCCACTGCTCTAGGCCTTTATTTTCTTTTTAAAGTAATGTTCATAGAGTCCATAACTGGAATTGCTGCTTTTTTTTTTTTTTTGCATAAGGGTGGGGCTTTCCACTAGAAAGTGAAAAAAATGATATAGAAACTCTCAAAGTGCTGTTAATACTTGCATCCTTTTTTAAAAGTTTTTTCTACAGAAAACTTGAAAAATACAGGAAAGTACAAGAAAAATCATTTCTAGTTTCACTATCTACACTTTTATAACTGTGAATATCCTTTATTTCTTTTCTTTCTTTTTCTCTTTTTTTTTTTTTGTTTTTTTTTTTTTGTTTTTTTGAGATAATCTCACTCTGTCACCCAGGTTGGAGTGCGGTGGCCAGATCTTGTGGCTCACTGCAACCTCCGCCTCCCGGGTTCAAGTAATTCTCCTGCTTCAGCCTCCCAAGTAGCTGGGTTTACAGGCTAATTTTTGTATTTTTAGTAGAGACGGGGTTTCACCGTGTCGGCCAGGCTGGTCTCGAACTCCTGACCTCAGGTGATCCACCTGCATGGGCCTCCCAAAGTGCTGGGATTACAAGCCTGAGCCACCGCTCTGGACCCTTTAAGTCATTTCTAAAAGAAGTTATGTTCACTTTTTGTTCCATGGTTTACAAAATTGCAATTACACTATTTTCTAAACTGTTTTCATCTAAGAAGGAGTATTTCCCACACCTTTAAATTGTATTTGGGCTGATTTTTAATCAGCTTTTTTGACTGAAATTCCGCCCTCAGCGTAAAAGGTTAAAAATTATGAATTAACGCCCGCGCGGTGGGTCACGCCTGTAATCCCAGCACTCTGGGAGGCCGAAGTGGGCGGATCACGAGGTCAGGAGTCCAAGACCAGCCTGGCCGACACGTTGAGACCCCCCCCCCCGCCCCGCCGTCTCTACTAAAAATACAAAATTTAGCTGGGCGTGGTGGCGGGCGCCTGTAATCCCAGATACTCGGGAGGCTGAGGCAGGAGAATCGTTTGAAACTGGAAGGCAGAGGTTGCAGTGAGCCGAGATCGCGCCACTGCACTCCAGCCTGGGCAACAAGAGCGAAACCCTCTCTCAAAAAAAAAAAAAATATGAATTAAAATAATACCCTCACCATCTCCATCTTCTGCTATATGACCTGAACTCAGAAAATAAAAGTAAACCATTCACACTGGATGTGTGTGATAAATATCCCCTGAGACGTGTGGGACCCAATATGATTCTAATCTTAAAAGATACGATGCAGTAATAGCGATATTTCAAGCACTATCCTGTAGATTGGAGGAGACAAATCTAAAATTCATAGTACTATATAGTTAGCTATTCTAACTACAAGAATGCCCAACTGTGTTTTTCAATAAAAGTAGAGCAGAACAGTGCAAACTTCACCACTCAATAAAATACCTTACTTGGCGCTCCCAATAGTGCTAAACATAAACAACGCGTACAAGGCACTGCATGGGACAGCTGCTAATGAGGACAAATCGATTAGGGAGACCAAAGCTAAAGGAGGCCACTGGAACTGGAGAAGGATATGGAGAGGTATTTGATCATCATCAGGCTGGCGTGCTAGCGGAAGTCTCCGGGCATTATTTAATATTTAATCTTTCTATTCCTGACATCACGGGGGCTCAAATGTCATCAAAAGACAGGCTGGCATTAAACCCGGCAGGGTGACGCACATAACATCTTACCATATGGATTTTCATCAGTCCAGACCGACAAGCACCTCAAAGCCTGCCCAGTGAAGGAAGAAGGGTGGCCCAGGCCGTCAGCTCTCCCACCCTTGGCGCGCAGTTCGGTATAGCACTCGGGGTTTGGAGGCTGCAAGACCACCGGACCGGACGCCCCAGGGTCGGCTCGGGCCTCCGGAGCTGTGCACTCGCGCACGGCCCGAGGAGGTCGCCCGTGCGGCCGCTGACACCAGGCGTCAAGTCCCCGCCCGAGCAGCCCCAGCCTAGGAGGCGGACCCCGCCACTGCTCCTCTACTGAGCCGAGCGTGTCGGCCAGGGACTCAGACAGTCGGCACAAACCCCCTCCCGGGGTCTAAGCCCGCCTAGTACAGTACCTGAAGGGGCAGCGCCACCTCCGCCCGATTGTGCTGGCTGCCCCAGTGGCGGCGGTCACAGCTCGGGCGCCAATGACGCCTCTTATAAAAACAACCTGCTCGCAGGCGTCTGCAGCCGGCAGGCGGTGACCGGCTGGGCGCCGCAGTGCATGCCGTGACGCGTAGTCCCGCCTGCGCCTCCTGCCCGGCAGCGGTGAAGAGAAGAACTACCACTCCCGAAGTGGAGCGCAGGCCGCCGCCGGGCGGCTGCGGGAAGCTGGGCCAGGCGGCCGCAGATCCCCACAACATCCGGGAGCCGGCGACCACTTCCAGTTGCTATGGTTACGAGTTGCAACCTCCAGAAAGAATTCGTGGTTTCACCCGGGAAAACAGCTCCCCGGATTAAACGGATAGGTTTACACATACTGATCCACCCAGCTATTCATCTTCTGTTTGCTGCTTTAATTGGGTGCGGTTAAAAGGCCACGTCCCTAGGCGTTCACCGGCTTTCTTGCCATCTGCTGCATGAAAACTGACTTTGCCGAAAAAATTAACAAAGAAGAGCGAAAATGACAGACCGCAACCGGGTGAGTTTAGGCAGAGGGCTAGATGTTTGGGAATGTTGGTATTCGCTAGTATAATTTGAGGCACCACCTACTCCTACCACCCCCAACCCCACAACCCCGAAAAGCACTTTACAAGGCAACTACTGAGCTTTTACATTTACACTTGTAAATGCACGTTTCCTTAAGTCCGAATAGCCTCTGAAGGTGTAAAGACCATCGAGATTGTATGCATTCATACCCTACTGTTGCAAACTGTTCAGTGATGGTTTTGAACAAGAAAAACGTACTTTGTTAATTGTATACTTATTTAAATTGCACTGTGTCAAAGAAGGGAGTTGTTTTGAAAAAGGATTTGGTGGCCGGGCGCCGGGGCTCAACGCCTGTAATCCCAGCAATTTGGGAGGCCGAAGCGGGTGGATCACCTGAGGTCAGGAGTTCGAGACCAGCCTGACCTACATGGTGAAACTCCGTCTCTACTAAATACAAAAAATTAGCCAGGAGAGGTGGCGCGGGCCTGTAATCCCAGCTACTTGGGAGGCTGAGACAGCAGAATTGCTTGAACCTGGGAGGCAGAGGTTGCAGTGAGCCGAGATTGCGCCACTGAACTGCAGCCTGGGCAACAAGAGCAAAACTCCGTCTCAAAAAAAAAAAATCTTACATTTATATTCACTCTTTACAGAAGCAATAAAAAGTTTAGGTTTCATTCTCTGTCCCCTAATTGTGGTAAAAGTAAATAAATAAATGGAAAAATTAATAATAAACGTAAACATTAGCAAGGAAGACGGTGGACCTGAGCAGAGACAAAAGAGTGCCTCAAAATTAGACCTTTTTTATTTTTTATTTTTGCTTTTCTATTAACTATATTCAACATCAACAGTGACATCAAAAAATCTTAATTTTATAATTACAGCTTCTGCGATGGGCATTATTAATCAATGGCTTGTTTTCATTTATCTTTTTAAATGTATATGTATCTATACCAAAGGACTTCGAAAGGTCAAAGTGGTCTGGCTTTCTCTAACTGAAAATTAAATTACTAAGAAAGCTAATACCAGCTACTGGTAGATTTTTATACCTTTCAAGCCACTTTCACAGGCCAATTTTAAGATGTAATTTCTTCTGAAAAATCATTTACAATTTTAATTAACCTTTTTATCATTTAATAAAAGTTGATGACATGTGGCAGATAATTTGAACTCATCCTTTTATTATTCTTTGTATTGGCTATTTGTTTCGTTCTTAACTATAGTCAGTTTGAACTCCACATTTTAAGAATATCAGGTTTGAAGAAGGTGAAACCCATATTAGAAAACTGCAGTGGTTGTCTATGATGTAAAGTATAAAGCAATGGACCTTTTGTTTCTGAATCTATAAACATTTGTGAATTATCCTGGAAATCTAAAAAATTTTTAATTTAAGATTTAGCTTTTCCAGATTTTATGGTACTAATTATGCCAACAAAGTTTATCAGCTAATTTGTCTTCTGTTTTTACTAGATTTCGTTTTCTGCATTATGTTTTGAGCCAAAGCTGAACGAAATTCTAGAACCAGTAGTAAAGAGGGTCATTTGATAACAAGAAGAGTTCTCAGCTGGGCGCGGTGGCTCATGCCTATAATTCCAGCATTTAAGGCCCAGTACTCTGGGAGGCCGAGGCAGGCGAATCGCCTGAGTTCAAGAGTTCGAGACCAGCCTGACCAACATGGAGAAACACTATCTCTACTAAAAACACAAAATTAGCCGGGCGTGGTGACGCATGCCTATAATCCCAGCTACTCGGGTGGCTGAGGCAAGAGAATCGCTTGAATCCGGGAGGCGGAGGTTGCAGTGAGCCAAGATCACGCCACTGCACTCCAGCCTAGGCAACAAGAGCAAAACTCCATCTCAAAAAATAAAAAAATAAAAAAGAGTTCTCAGTGACTGAAGGAGATAGTATTAACAACAACAACAACAAAATCTACAAGTTGCCCTGGGCAACCTGCTTAGGTGCCCATAAAAGTAAATTACAGTGGTACTTTTCTGCGCAAGTCACAGGGCCTCCACCTTCCACCTATAAAGCTTTCCCCTGTGCTGAGGAAACCTAGAAAATTTAAGAAAAGCTGATCAGTTGAGATACCATCAAAATTTTAAAATTCTTATGATTTACTATTATCCAGTATCTGTGTTGTTAATATTTAAAGCAAATTAATAAGCAGTTTCAAAAAGAATAAACAGCAAGATCTGATGAGAATAACATTGATGACACTCAGTGAACCTGAGTTCTATTTCCAGCTTTGCCAACTACAAACTTATGAGTATTAAGTGAATATTAGCAAACCATATTATGCTAATACAAGGTCATTAACCTGTAGGTTTCAGAACTGTTTCTGGAAGATCATACATTGAGGTAAACCTGCAAAAAAGAAAATAATAAAATTTGGTGAGGCATGGTGGCTCACGACTGTAGTCCCAGCACTTTGGAAAGCTGAGGTAGGCGGATCATCAGAGGTCAGGAGTTTGGGAACAGCCTGGCCAACATGGTGAAACCCCATTTCTACTAAAAACACAAAAATTAGCCAGGTGTGTTGGCAGGCACCTGTAGTCCCAGCTACTCTGGAAGCTGAGGCAGGGGAATCACTTGAACCTGGGACGCAGAGGTTACAATGAGCTGCGACTGCGCCACTGCACTCCAGCTTAGGTGACAGAGCAAAACTCCATCTCAAAAAATAAAATAAAATAGTGATAAAAATTGATTCCATTTGGCCAGGCGCAGTGGCTCACACCTGTAATCCCAACACTTTGGGAAGCCGAGGCAGGTGGATCACTTGAGGTCAGGAGTCCAAAACCAGCCTGGCCATCATGGTGAAACCCCATCTCTACTAAAAATACAAAAATTAGGCTAGGCACGGTGGCTCACGCTTGTAATTCCAGCACTTTGGGAGGCCGAGGCGGGCGGATCACCTGAGGTTGGGAGTTCGAGACCAACCTGACTAACATGGAGAAACCCCATCTCTACTAAAAATACACAATTAGCCAGGCATGGTGGTGCATGCCTGTAATCACAGCTACTCGGGAGTCTGAGGCAGGAGAATGGCTTGAACCCAGAAGGCGGAGGTTGCGGTGAGCTGAGATTGCACCATTGCCCTCCAGCCTGGGCAACAAGAGCAAAACTCCTTCTCACAAAAAAAAATAAATAAATTTAGCTGAGCGTGGTGGCGCACGCCTTTAAGCCCAGCGATTTGGGAGGCTAAGGCAGGAGAATTGCTTGAACCCAGGAGGCAGAGGTTGCAGTGAGCCAAGATCACACCATTGCACTCCAGACTGGGCAACAGAGTGAGACTTTGTCTCCACAAAAAAAAAAAAAAAAAAAAAAAAATTGATCCCATTCATATAGTGATTCACCATTTACATCAAATTTTCTTTCATTTAATCTCCACAACCATAGGAACTATGGCAGATTTTTATTTACCAGTTTTACAGATAATATACAAATAAAGGTGAAATGATAAAGTATGAGAACCTAGGTCATAGTTGCTGCCTTGTGCTACTCTTCCAATATATCACATCCAGCCCTCTTTCGCTTATGATTCTCATTAAAATAAAGCAAAACATGAAAACATAGTATACTACACTGTGATTCTGCCTCAAGTTTATAAGGTTAATAAATTCTGTGGAGTTGGTAGAAGAGATCTGAGAGGTCAAATAATCCAGGCTCCACTGTTTTACAAACAAATTTTAGGCACAGAGAATCTAAGTGACTTGTCCAAGTTTAAATTGCTTTATATTTGATTCATATTTTCAGTCCCCTTATTCATGGAAAAATACTTTCAAAAACTTTAGTAGGGACACTATTCAGGTAGAACATTAATAATTGACTGAAAGCTGGACACTGTGGCATGTACCTGAAGTCCCACCTTGAGAAGCCAAGGCCTGAGGATCACTTCAGCCCAGGAGTTCCAGGTTGCAGTGCACTATTATCCCATTTGTGAACAGCCAGTGCACTCCAGCCTGGGCAACAAAGTGAGATCTCTGTCTCAAAAAAAAGAAAAAGTTGATGAAGAGTAGATTGAATATGGTTTTATAGTACTTTTAAGTTAAAAGCTGGGGATTGATATGGTAGCTTATGCCTGTAATCCCAGTGCTGTGGGAAGCCAAGGCAGGAGGATTGCTTGAGACCAGGAGTTCAAGACCAGCCTGGGCAACATAGCAAGACCTCATCCCTACAAAAAAATTATAAAAATTAAGGCTGGGCGCGGTGGTGCGCACCTATAATCCCAGCACTTTGGGAGGCCAAGGCGGGCGGATCACGAGGTCAGGAGATCGAGACCATCCTGGCTAACACGGTGAAACCCCATCTCTACTAAAAATACAAAAAATTAGCCGGGCACGGTGGCTGGCGCCTGTAGTTCCAGCTACTCGGGAGGCTGAGGCAGGAGAATGGCGTAAACCCAGGAGGTGGAGCTTGCAGTGAGCCAAGATCGCGCCACTGCACTCCGGCCTGGGCAAAAGAGTGAGACTCCGTCTCAAAAAAAAAAAAAAATTATAAAAATTAGCTGGGTATGGTGGTGTGCATGTAGTCCTAGCTACTTGGGAGGGTCACTGGAATCCAGGAGTTTGAGGCTGCAGTGAACTACGATCACTACTGCACTCTAGCCTGAGTGACAGAGAAAAACTTTCTCCCTTCTCCACACCAAAACAGTTAATTAAAAGCTGCCCTTTAAGAATGTTTTTAAGGGCCGGCCGTGGTGTCTCACGCCTGTAATCCCAGCACTTTGGGAGGCCAAGGCAGGCAGATCACTTGAGGTCGGGAGTTTGAGACCAGCCTGACCAACATGGAGAAACCCTGTCTCTACTAAAAATACAAAATTAGCTGGGCCTGGTGTGGCACATGCCTGTAATCCCAGCTACTCGGGAGGCTGAGGCAGGAGAATCGCTTGAACCTGGGAGGCAGAGGTTGCAGTGAGCCAAGATCGCGCCATTGCACTCCAGCCTGGGCAACAAGAGCAAAACTCCGTTTCAAAAAAAAAAAAAAAAAAAGACTGTTTTTATGGGGAAAGCATTTTAAATCAGCTTCATTTCAACTCATTAGGACTTTTTTTATTTTTCAGCTCTAAGTACATTTAAAATATGAGTAGATATAAGATATTACATAGAGAAATGCTTTTTTTTTTTTGAGACGGAGTCTCGCTCTGTCGCCCAGGCTGGAGTGCAGTGGCAGGATCTCGGCTCAAGGCAAGCTCCATCTCCCAGGTTCACGCCATTCTCCTGCCTCAGCCTCCCGAGTAGCTGGGACTACAGGCGCCCGCCACCACGCCCGGCTAATTCTTTGTATTTTTAGTAGAGACAGGGTTTCACCGCGTTAGCCAGGATGGTCTGGATCTCCTGACCCTGTGATCTGCCCGCCTCAGCTTCCCAAAGTGCTGGGATTACAAGCGTGAGCCACCGCGCCAGGCCTGGTTTTTTTTTGTTTTTTTTTTTTTTGAGACAGAGTTTCACTCTTGTTGCCCCGGCTGGAGTCAGTGAGTGGCATAATCTCGGATCACTGCAACCTTGGCCTCCCGGGTTGAAGCAATTCCCCTGCCTCAGCCTCCCGAGTAGCTGGGATTACAGGTGTGTGCCACCACGCTTGGCTAATTTTTTGTATTTTTAGTAGAGGCAGGGTTTCACCATGTTGGCCAGGCTGATCTCAGACTCCTGACCTCAGGTGATCCACCGCACTCGGCCTAGAAATGTTCTTATATTTGTAATTTTCCCAACTAGAAATGCAAATGAAATTAAATTTATAAAGGATTAGTCATTGTAAGTCTTCCAAAAAAGTTAGTAAGTGAAGTCATTAACTTTTAATAGATTTTCCAGCTGGGCATGGTGGCTCACGCCTGTAATCCCATCATTTTTGGAGGTTGAGGCGGGTGGATCACCTCAGGTCAGAAGTCCGAGGCCAGCCTGGCCAACATGGTGAAACCCCATCTCTACTAAAATACAAAAATTAGCTGGGCATGGTGGCGCACGCCTGTAATCCCAGCTGCTTGGGAGGCTGAGGCATGAGAATTGCTTGAACCCAAGATGGGGAGGTTGCAGTGAGCCGAGATGGCGCCACTACACTCCAGCCTGGGCAACAGAGTGAGACTCCATCTCAAAAAAAAGAAAAACAAAACATTGATTGTTCATCTATTAACTTTTAATAGGTGAACCATCTCAAAGTGAAATTTATTAAACAAAAAGTCTATTTATACTAACAGCACTTTAGAGAATACCCAGTTTGTAATTATTCTGACATAATTATACCAGGGCTGGGTGAACGTTTATCTTACATCAATGTAAGGTTGCAGAAGAAACTTAACTATTTAAGAAAATAAGCTATTTTCAAGTACTTCTATTAGTATTGTAGCAGGACAAGCCGCAGACAAAACCCCTCAGACACCGAGTTAAAGAAGGAAGGGCTTGGCCGGGCGTGGTGGCTCACGCCTGTAATCCCGGCACTTTGGGAGGCCGAGGCAGGTGGATCACCTAAGGTCAGGAGTTGGAGACCAGCCTGGCCAACATGGTGAAACCCTGTCTCCACTAAAAATACAAAAATTAGCCAGGTGCCTGTAATCCCATCTACTCGGGAGGCTGAGGCAGGACAATCGCTTGAACCTGGAAGGCGGAGGTTGCAGTGAGCTGAGATCCTGCCATTGCACTCCAGCCTGGGGGACGAGAGTGAAACTTCGTCTCAAAAAAAAAAAAAAAAAAGAGGGAAGGGAAGGAAGGGCTTTATTCGGCCATTCGGCAAGAATCCCGTCTCCAACAACCTAGCTCCCTGAGTGAGCAATTCCCGTCCCTCTTAAGGGCTTACAACTCTAAGGGGGTCCGCGTGAGAGAGTCCTGATCGATTGAGCAAGCAGCGGGTACGTGACTGGGGGCTGCATGCACCAGTAATTAGAATGGAACCGAACAGGACAGGGATTTTCACAATGCTTTTCCATAAAATGTCTGTATTCTACAGATAACATAACCGATTAGGTCAGGGGTCGATCTTTAACTACCAGGCCCAGGGTGTAGTGCCGGGCTGTCTGCCTGTGGATTTCATTTCTGCCTTTTAGTTTTTACCTCTTCTTTCTTTGGAGGCAGAAATTGGGCATAAGACAATATGAGGGGTGGTCTTCTCCCTTAGTATTTTTGGCATTAGCATTAGAATTAAAATTAACTTCCATCTAAATCAGTACACATTTCAGTTCTTTTGTAAGTAATGCTGTGAATTAAATTTTTCTACAATAAAGTTTCTTAGGATAGAATTCACAATCAGAATTTCAGGATTCAGTCATGACATTTTTTAGAGTTTTTCATGCAGTTTGTTGGTTTTTTTAAACATTGTTATATATATAGAGAGAGAGAGAGATAGAGTCTTTTGCTCTGTCACCAGGCTGGAGTGCAGTGGCGTGATCTTGGCTCACTGCAACCTCTGCCTCATGGGTCCAAGGGATCCTCTCCTGCCTCAGCCTCCCGAGTAGCTGGGACTACAGGCACATCCCACCACAACCAGCTAATTTTTGTATTTTTAGTAGAGACGGGGTTTCACCATGTTGTCCAGGATGGTCTCAATCTCTTGACCTCGTGATCCGCCCACCTTGGCCTCCCAAAGTGCTGGGATTTACAGGTGTGAGCCATTGCGCCTGGACGAAACTTGTTATATTAATTTATCAAGCCATCATCAATGCAAAGTGCTTTTCAGTGCCAAAATTATGTATCATCTATATATAAAACTACATATATATATTTAATTTACATATTACATTGTAGTACATTGTAGTAAATGGCACCACCATCCGCCCAAGTGTTTGTCCAGAAACCTGGAAGTTATCCTAGATCTGTCCTTTTCCCTCACCACCCACCTCCAATCAATCATGAGATCCTGTGAATTCTACTTCCAAAATATATTTCAAATTTGCTCCATAGGCTGGGCGCGGTGGCTCACACCTGTAATCCCAACACTTTGTGAGGCCAAGGTAGGTGGATCACCTGAGGTCAGGAGTTCGAGACCAGTCTGGCCAACATGGTGAAACCCTGTCTCTACTAAAAATAAAAAAAAATTAGCTGGTTGTCGTGGTGAGCTCCCATAATCCCAGCTAGTTGGGAGGCTGAGGCAGGAGAATTGCTTGAACCCGGGAGGCGGAGGTTGCAGTAAGCCGAGACTGCACCATTGCAGTCCAGCCTGGATGACAGAGCGAGACTCTGTCTCAAAAAACAAACACACAAAACAAAACAAAACAAACAAATTTGCTCCATCTCCATGCTACCACCTACTATATATTGTCATCATTACTCACATGGACTACTGCAGCTCCTCACCACATTCACACAGGCCCTAACAACAGCCAAAGTAATTTTACTAGAATTATATTACCTCATGTCACTCCTCTCCTTAAAACCCTTCAATAGTTTTTCATTGCTTTTACAATAAAGATTCAGATTTTAAACACAGTCAACAAAACCCTAAGAGATCTAACCCCTGGCTCTCTATTCTGATCTCATGATATTTTCACCCTAATTTACTTGACTTTTGCCATACTTTGTCCCCACTTCTATCTTTTACTTCCTTGCCTTATAGTCAATCTTAGATTGAATGGTACTTCAGTGGAATGGCTTTCCCTAACCCCCAACACTAGATAAGAACCCCCATTCTGTCTTCATTAATATCTTGTATTTTTTTTTCTTCATAGCAGTTATCACAATTGTAATTATTCAGTTAGCTATGTAATTAGTTATTTAATGGCTGCCCACATACCCAGGCTAACCCTGGATGTTTATCTTGTTCCTTTCTCACTCTAAAATCAAGCTGTACTTCCTCTTCTAACTATGACTTTTACAGATTTTTCCCTATGATTTACAGATTTTTAAATAAATTCTCATAGTTCTAGTACAGAATGTTTAAAAAGGTAACTTAGCATATTTTTGACAACTTTGCTCTGTGTACAGGTGTATGTGATTTTAAGGGTAGTCTTCAACGTCAAGAGAAGAGACCACCAAACAGGCTTTGTGTGAGCAATAAAGCTTTTTAATCACCTGGGTGGAGGCGGGCTGAGTCCGAAAAGACAGTCAGCGAAGGGAGATAGGGGTGGGGCCGTTTTATAGGATTTGGGTAGGTAATGGAAAATTACAGTCAAAGGGGGTTATTCTGTGGCGGGCAGGGGCAGGGGTCACAAGGTGCTCAGTGGGGGAGGTTCTGAGCCAGGAGAAGGAATTTCACAAGGTAATGTCATCAGTTAAGGCAGGAACCGGCCATTTTCACTTCTTTTGTGATTCTTCACTTGCTTCAGGCCATCTGGATGTATACGTGCAGGTCACTAGGGATATGATGGCTTAGCTTGGGCTCAGAGGCCTGACATTCAATGCCCTCAAGAGAACAGAATTCCTGAAAAAGGGAAGTGGGTGGGACTGAATTAAATTTTTTTTTTTTCAGAACTTTATAATGGAGAATGATTTTATGTGTTTATCTTTTAGGATAAGAAAAGTACTTCACCTTCAAATTCAGACACAGAAATGAAATCTGAACAACTGCCTCCTTGTGTGAACCCTGGCAATCCTGTGTTTTCATGTATGTTGGATCCAAAGACACTCCAGACAGCCACCTCACTATCAAAACCTCAAATGATTATGTATAAAACCAATTCAAGTCATTATGGTGAATTTCTACCTATTCCACAGTTTTTCCCCTGCAATTATACTCCAAAGGAGCAAGTATTTTCAAGCCATATCAGAGCAACTGGATTTTATCAAAATAACACTCTAAATACTGCACCTGACAGAACCAGAACTCTTGATTTTCCTAATATTCAACACACTCTATGAAAATATATTCCTTTGTATATTGAAGAGAAAATATACTCGGGAAAAATGAGTGTTAAATCTAAGGGTAGAATACCTAATAAAGAAGATAAAAAGTTTTGAATCAATTTTTAAAATAAGTTAAATAAAGTATTTCAACTGATAACTACATGACAGTGACTTTTTAAATGAAAATATGTTCAAAATAGCAAAATAAAAGGTAGAAAGTGTTTTAGTCCATGTAATCCAAAAGCTTCAAAAGCCTTTCATATTTTATTTACTTATCTATTGAGTATACTTATCAAGACAAAGGAACACAGGAGCTGTAAGGAAAAAAAAATTGATTTAAGGAAGCTTCTGACCAACAATTTCACACTTTTTTTTTTTTTTTTGAGTGAGTTGGAGTCTCGCTCTGTCGCCCAGGTTAGAGTGCAGTGGTTGCTCACTGCGACCTCCGCCTCCCAGGTTCAAGCGATTTTCCTGCCTCAGCCTCCTGAGTAGCTGGGATTACAGGCACTCGCCACTACACCCAGCTAATTTTTTGTATTTTTAGTAGAGACGGGGTTTCACCCTGTTAGCTAGGATGGTCTCAATTTCCTGACCTGGTGATCCGCCTGCCTCGGCCACCCAAAGTGCTGAGATTACAGGTGTGAGTCACTGTGCCCAGCCAACACACTTATATTTTTTATTTTTGGAGAAATGGTTTCACCTTATCTCACCCAAGCTGGAATGCAGTGGCATGATCATGGTTCACTGCAACCTTGGACTCCTGGGCTCAAACTATCCCCCACCTCAGCCTCTCGACTAGCTGGGACTACAGGCACCAACAACCATGCCCCTAGCTAATTTGTGGGGTGTGTGTGTGTGTGTGTGTGTAGATGGAGTCTCACTGTGTTGCCCAGGCTGATCTCAAACTCCTGTCCTCAAGCAGTCATCCTGCCTCGGCCTCCCAAAGTGTTGGGATTACAGGAGTGAGCCACACTGCCCAGCCAATTTCCCACTTTTAACATTGTGTTAGTTCCCACTGCTAGGCTGGTGGAAGAGAGAACTTGTAATTTATTGATAGATTGAGCAAATATTTTTTGAACCCCGACTGATGGCAGACTGTACTATGCAAATAGAGATACAGAAATAAAAGACAGTGATTTTTGTTTTAATTAACAATATTGGCCGGGTGCGGTGGCTCACACCTGTAATCCCAGCACATTGGGAGCCCGGGGCTGGTGGATCACCTGAGGTCAGGAGTTTAAGACCGACCGGCCTGGCCAAAATGGTGAAACCCCATCTCAACTAAGATACAAAAAAATTAGCTGGGCATGGCGGCGGGTGCCTGTAATCCCAGCTACTTTGGGAGGCTGAGGCAGGAGAATCACTTGAACCTGGGAGGTGGAGGTTGCAGTGAGCCAAGATCACGCCATTGCACTCCAACCTGGGCAACAAGAGCAAAACTCTGTCTCAAAAAAAAAGAATAAAAAAAAGTATTTTGGGAGAATGAGATTAGCAAATTAATATGTGATAATTTTTGTAATGTAAAGTAGGCAGTATGCACAGGCCTTTCAGACAGACACAGAATTGCTCAAATTGAGACCAGAGAGATCAGGAGAAGTGTCCTGGAGAAGATAAAGCTAAATCAAAAGAAGGCTATTCTAGGGAGAGGAAACTATATGGATAAAAGTACAAAGATGTGAGACAATGTGGTATATTTTTATAAATGCAATTAATTTTATATATCTTCAACACAGTGTGAGCAGTGGCAGGTGACAGGCTACACAATTCTTTAAAATCTTTGATTCTACTACACACAGATTTATTTCAGCTGCCATCTGTTTAAACCATATGTTGATAATTGGGTCTGAGTATCTTTCTGGAAAAAAAAAAAATCATTGTTATTTTCCCCTGTTGGTTTCAGTTCAGGATATTACCATCAATTAGAAAGAATAAATTTGTGAGTCATAAGGGGATTATAAAAGTTGAATCTTCTAATCATAAAATTTGCTTGATGTAAGGAAACAGCTCAAACTCTGCAGACTCATCAACTTCTTCCAAATACCCCCCCAAAACTGATATTTAGTAATGGCACAAGCAAGAAGAAAAATTAATTTTTTTCACTTCCTCAAAACATCAAATAGTGGGGCACTGCACAAGATGTCCAAGTGAATTATGCAATAACATTTTAGTTTATTAGCCTGTTCTTGCAGTATAAACCATACAAACCATTTTCCCCCTTCACTGCAGGTGCCCAATTCATGGCAAGTGAATTTACCTTTTTATATGTAGAATCTAGATACTAACCTAAAATTCCTACCTATGGCAGTGGTGCACTGTTCGGTCATTTTTGTTGTTGCTAAATTCTCAGGATTGGCCGGGCACGGTGGCTTACACCTGTAATCCCAGCATTTTGGGAGGCCGAGACGGGCAGATCACTTGAGGTCAGCAGGTCGAGACCAGCCTAGCCAACATGACAAAACCCCGTCTCTACTAAAAATACAAAAAATTAGCCAGGCGTGGTGGTGTGTGCCTATAGTCCCAGCTACTTAGGAGGCTGCGGCAGGAGAATCGCTTGAACCCAGGAGGCAGAGGTTGCAGTGAGCCAAGATCACACCACTGCACTGCAGCCTGGGCAACAGAGTGAGACTATCTCAAAAAAAAAAAAAAAAAAATTCTCAGGATACTCCAGGCACAGTGGCTCACACTTAAAATCCCAGCACTTTTGAGAGGCCGAGGTGGTCCGATTACAGGAAGCCAGGAGTTCAAGGCAAGCCTGGGCAACATGGTGAGACCACATCTCTACTAAAAATACAAAATGCTTAGCCAGGCATGGTGGTGCATGCCTGTAATCCCAGCTACTCCAGAGGCTGAGGCACAAGAATCTCTTTAACCTGGGAGGTGGAGGTTGCAGTGAGCTGAGATCATGCCACTGCACTCCAACCTGAGTGACAGAGGGAGACTTCATCTAAAAAATAATAAAATTATCAGGATAAGTAGCTGAAAATCAAGCATATCATCTGGAATTTCATTATATACACAGTCATTCAGTGCCTATTAAAGTCCCAGGACTGGCTGGGCATGGTGGCTCACGCCTGTAATCCCAGTACTTCGGGAGGCTGAGGCAGGCAGATCACCTAAGGTCAGGAGTTCAAGACCAGCCTGACCAATATGGAGAAACCCCATCTCCACTAAAAATACAAAAAAAATTAGCTGGCATGGTGGCGCATGCCTGTAATCCCAGCTACTTGGGAGTCTGAGGCAGAAGAATCTCTTGAACCCCAGAGGCGGAGGTTGCGGTGAGCCGATATCACACCATTGCACTCCAGCCTGGGCAACAAGAGGGAAACTCCGTCTCAAAAAAATGTATAATAATAATAATAATAATAATAATAATAATAATAATAATAATAAAGGTCCCAGGACTATACTAGGCACTAGAAGCTAGTCCTAATGGAGTTTAGATTCTAATGAATCCCAGCAGGAGAAAACAGACCAAAAAGCATGTATAAATACATATTTTTATATATTTACAAATAAAAATACACATGAATATATGCATAAATAACATGATAACATACATAGGTAACTATGTAAATATATATGGCTAGATGTATAGAACATGCCAAGTGATAAGTGTTACGGGAAAAAACATAAAATAGAGTTAGGAGGAAAGTGAGTACTTCAGCAAGGAGTTACTTTAGGTAGGTGGAAAGGGAAGGTTTCTGATAAGGAGATGTCTGACCACACCCTCTAAAGGAGGTTAAGAGAACATCTGAGGAAAGTCAAGTTGATGTAAGGCAACTGAATATACAACTTGAATTCAAGGGAGTAGCCCAAATTGAAGATTATCACTTGGAACATGTTATTTAAAATGATTAAACCAGATAAGACTACAAAGTGTAGGTAGAAAACAGACCTGAGGACTATGCTTTAGGGAAAACCACCATTTAGAGGTCAAGGCAAAGAACAAGAAGAAACAAATGAGACCAAGAAGGAGTGACTACTGAAGAAAGAGGAAATTAGAAGACTGTGAGGCCTGGAAGCCCAGCTTGTTTCAAGGAGAGGGAATGACCCAGCAGTGTGAAATTATCTTGGGAGATATAGCATATGAATTGAGAACTGACCTTTGATTAGGCAAATCAGAGGTCATGGATGACTTCAAACAGAATTATTTCAACAAGGCCAGGCTCGAAGGCTCACACCTGTAATCCCAGAACTTTGGGAGGCTGAGGTGGGCAGATCGCCTGAGGTCAGGCGTTTGAGACCAACCTGGCCAACATGGTGAAACTCCATCTCTACTAAAAATACAAAAATTAGCCAGGTGTGATGGTGGAAGCCTGTAATCCCAGCTACTCGGGAGGCTGAGGCAGGAGAATCGCTTGAACCCAGGAGGCAGAGTTTGCAATGAGCCAAGATCACGACATTGCACTCCAGCCTGGGTGACAAGCAAAACTCCGTCTCAAAAATAAATAAATAAATAAATAAATAAATGTATTCCTCTCTACAAGAAGAAGCGGTAGAGAGGAAAACTTTATTGGAATAAGAAAGAACAGAAAAACTCAAAACTAATTTTAAGTAGTTTTGCTGCACACTGAACAGATAAATGGGGCAATAGCTAGATGTAGAGCCAAAAGTTTTTTTTTTTTTAAGATATGATATAATATAGCATATTTTGTATTCTTTTTGAGTCAGGGTCTCCCTCTGTCACCCAGGCTGGAGCGCAATGACACAAGCACAGCTCACTGTAACCTCAACCTCGACTTCCCCGGCTCAAGCGATTTTCCAACCTCAGCCTCCCAAGTAGCTAGGACTACAGTCATGCACCACCATGCCTGGCTAACTTTTTTTCTATTTTTTGTAGAGATGGGGGTCTCGCTATGTTGCTTAGGTTAGTCTTGGACTCCTGGGCTCAAGTTATCCTCCCACCTCCTCCCAAGTGCTGGGATTATAGGCATAACCCACCACCTCCCAAAGTGTTGGGATTATGGGTGTGAGCCACCATGCTGACCAGAGTATTTGTATTCTGATTAGAACACATTTTGAGAACTGCTGACCTACAGCAATCAGATGTAAATATAGCTGAAGATAACTAGAGAGTCATGTTAGTCCTTAATATGGACTAAAAAAGCTAAAGTAAAGCCAGCGCGGTGGCTCACACCTGCAATCTCAGCACTTTGGGAGGCTAAGGCCGGTGGATCACTTAAGATAAGGAGTGCGAGACCAGGCTGGCCAATATGGTGAAATGCTGTCTCTATTAAAAAATACAAAAATAGGCCAGGCACAGTGTCTCACACCTGTAATCCCAGCATTTTGGGAGGCCAAGGTGGGCAAATCGCCAGAGGTCGGGAGTTTTGAGACCAGCCTGGGCAACATGGTGAAAAGCCATCTCTACTAAAAATACCAAAATTAGCCGGGCATGGTGGCGCATGCCTGTAATCTCAGCTACTTGGGAGGCTGAGGCAGGAGAATCACTTGAACCCAGGAGGTGGAGGTTGCAGTAAGCCTACATCACACTACTGCACTCTAGCCTGGGTGACAAAGCAAGACTCTGTCACACACACAAAAGAGACTATTAGGTCATGGGGACACCATACTCTTGAATAAATTAAAGTTGTTAATACAGAAGTGAGTTAGTTATTGCAGGACTGGGTTTAGTTATAAAAGAGGGGAGTTCAGCCCCCTTTTCCTTTCCTTTCTTCTTGCATGCTGTCTTACTATGTGATACATTCTGCCATGTTATCATATAGCAAGAAGGTCTTCACCAGATGCATGTAGTCCCTTAATCTTGACTGCCCAGCATGCAGAACCATGAACCAAATAAATCTCTGTCCTTTATAAATTACCTAGTCTGTGGTATTCTGATACAGCAGTGGAAAATGAAGTAAGGCACCTACTTTTTCCCTAGATGGCATGTGCAAAATCCTTTGCCCTTATTTCCCACATGGATGAAATTTGTTGGAAAGCAGTTGGCTTGCTAGTGATTAAGAGGTCTCTCCTTGACCAAACTCTAGATAGGCTCCTGTGAACCACTTTTTTGACTAGGCCCCATCCTTGCACCTTGCTCTTTATCCAGGCTAGAGTGCAGTGGCACGATCTCAGCTCACTGCAACCTCTGTCTCCCAGGTTCAAGCGATTCTCCTGCCTCAGCTTCCTGAGTACCTGGGATTACAGGCATGCGCCACCATGCCCAGCTAAGTTTTGTATTTTTAGTAGAGACAGGGTTTCACCATGTTGGTCAGGCTGGTCTCCAACTCCTGACCTCATCATCCACCTGCCTCAGCCTCCCAAAGTGCTGGGAATACAGGCGTGAGACCCCGTGCCCGGCTGTACCTTGCTTTTTTTTTGGAGATGGAGTTTTGCTCTTGTTGCCCAGGCTGCTGGAGTGCAATGGCGCATTCTCGGCTCACCACAACCGTCACCTCCCAGGTTCAAGCAATTCTCCTGCCTCAGCCTCCTGAGTAGCTGGGATTACAGGCATGTGCCACCACACCTGGCTAATTTTGTATTGTTAGTAGAGATGGGGTTTCTCCATGTTGGTCAGGCTGATCTTGAACTCCTGACCTCAGTTGATCCGCCCACCTCGGCCTCCCAAAGTGCTGGGATTACAGGCGTGAGCCATCACGCTCAGCCACATACTTTGCTCTTAAGAGCCCAGTCATGGCAAGAATCCTGCCAAGTTCCTTTAGCCAGAATCCCCACCATCAATATCTGATCACCCTTGATATTTGACCAGATTCCTCATTCCCTACCATCCCCCCGGTGATAACTGATCAACCTGGCCTGTCTTCAGCAAGAATCCTGTTAGGTCAATTTAACCAGAATTCCTCTAACCCCTAATGTTTTCTCTTGGTAATTTTCCATCCACTGACCACCTTCATTACCCAACCTACTCCTTGGCTATAAACCCCTACTTGTCCATGCCATATTTGGAACTGAGCCTAGTTCTTTTTCATTTTTTATTCTCAGGCCTCACAGGAATGAAAAGAACTAAGCCTCGTTCCATGCTGAGGTCTCTTTTTCCTTATTATAAGTTACTGAGTAAAAGCATTTTTTTTTTCACTTTACTGTTCAACTCTGATTTTCTTCTACACTAGGGAACCAAGACAGAATAGGTTTATATAACACTAAACTATTAGACAATATCTCTGTATTAGGACTAATATTTTGACCTCTGTCAGCAAAGAGCTAACGTGTGGAAAATAAAAATCATCCCAAACCTGGTGTAGGACAGAACCCTTTTGCTTGATGTAATTCACAACCTCTTTCTGGGATGTGTTAAATAAAATGTATGGAAGGCCACTGATTTGGACTGAACCTCTTGCGCTAGTGTAACTGCCCAATGGGTTGACCTTGCCTGCTGCCTAGACAGAGCCAATTTATCAAGACAGGGGAACTGCAACAGAGACAGAGTAATTCACACAGAGCCAGCTATGCAGGAGACCAGCGTTTTATTACTAATCAAATCAGACTGCCCAAGCATTTGGGAATCAGAGTTTTTAAGGACAACTTGGTGGGTGGGGGGAAGCCAGTGAGCCAGGAGTGCTGATTGGTTAGGTAGATGAAATCAATAGGAATTGAAGCTGTCCTCTTACACTGAGTCAGTTCCTGGGTGGAAGTCACAAGATGGGATGAGCCAGTTTATTGAGCTAGGTGGTGCCAGCTGATCCAGCAAGTGCAGGGTCTGCAAAATATCTCAAGCACTGATCTTAGGAGCAGTTTAGTGAGGGTCAGAATCTTGTAACTTCCAACGGCATGACTCCTAAACCATAATTTCTAATCTTGTGGCTAATTTCTTAGTCCTACAAAGGCAGTCTAATCCCCAGGCAGGAAGGAAAAGGTTTTGGAGAAAGGTTGTTAACATCTTTGTTTCCAACTATAATCTATAAACTAAGTTCCTCCCAAAGTTAGTTCAGCCTATGCACAGGAAGGAACAAGGACAGCTTAAAGGTTAGAACCAAGATGGAGTCTGTTAGGTTAGCTCTCTTTCACTGTCTCAGTCATTGTCCTGCCTCAGACTCCTGAGTAGCTGGGATTACAGGTGCTTGCCACCATGTCCGGCTAATTTTTGTATTTTTAGTGGAGCTGGGATTGGCCAGGCTGGTCTCGAACCCCTGACCTCAGGTGATCCGCCCATCTCAGCCTCCCAAAGTGCTGGAATTACAGGCATGAGCCACTGAGCCTGGCCCAAAATTTAGTTGTTTATCTGATCTTCTGATAAATCATGAGAGAGAAGATAGCCAAATACCCAAACAGGCCCCTTTTAGCTGGCAGGATAGGGAAGTCCTCACTGTTTTAACTCTTGCAAGGAAAGTGATCTGAAGTTACATCAACCAACCCACTTTTTGTATTATGCTGTTTCTTGTTCCTGCTTCAGCTACCCTATAAATACCAATTGTTTTTGTAACCCCCAAAGGGGTTTACTCTGCCTGCTGCCTAGACAGAGCCAATTTATTAAGACACGGAAATTGCAACAGAGAAAGAGTAATTCACACAGAACCAGCTGTGCAGAAGACCAGAGTTTTTTTGTTTTTTTTTGTTTGTTTGTTTGTTTTGAGACAGTCTCGCTCTGTCGCCCAGGCTGGAGTGCAGTGGCCCGATCTCAGCTCACTGCAACCTCCGCCTCCTGGGTTCAAGCAATTCTCTGCCTCAGCCTCCCGAGTGGCTGGGATTACAGGTGCCCGCCACCACACCCGGCTGATTTTTTTGTTTTTTTAGTAGAGACGGGGTTTCACCATCTTGGCCAGGCTGTTCTTGAACTCCTGGCCTCGTGATCCACTCGCCTAAGCCTCCCAAAGTGCTGGGATTACAGGCGTGAGCCACCGCGCCCAGCCAGGGAGCAGAGTTTTTAAAGACAACTTGGTGGGTGAGGTGAAGCTGGTGAGCCAGGAGTGGCTCATTGGTTAGAGATGAAATTAAAGATTGGAGCTGTTTTCTTGTGCTAAGTTAGTTCCTGGTTGGGGGGGCCACAAGATTAGATGAGTCAGTTTATTGATCTGGGTGGTGCCAGCTGATTCATTAAGTGCAGGGTCTGCAAAATATTGTAAACACTGATCTTAGGAGCAGTTTAGGGAGGGTCAGAATTTTGTAGCCTCCAGCAGTATGACTTCTTTTTTTTTTTGAGATGGAGTTTCGCTCTTCTTGTCCAGGCTGGAGTGCAATGGCGCCACCTCAGCTCACCGCAACCTCCGCCTCCCGGGTTCAAGGGATTCTCCTGCCTCAGCATCCCGAGTAGCTGGGATTACAGGAAAGCGCCACCAGGTCCAGCTAATTTTGTATTTTTAGTACAGACAGGGTGTCTCCATGTTGGTCAGGCTGGTCTCGAACTCCCGACCTCAGGTGATCCACCCGCCTCGGCCTCCCAAAGTGCTGGGATTGCAGGCATGAGCCACCGCGCCTGGCCTCCAGCAGTATGACTTCTAAACCGTAATTTTTTTGGAGATGGAGTTTCACTCCTGTCACCCAGGCCGTAGTGCAATGGCCCAATCTCCGCTCACTGCAACCTTCACCTCCCAGTTTTAAGTGATTCTCCTGCCTCAGCCTCCCAAGTAGCTAGGGATTACAAGCACCTGCCACCATGCCCGGCTAATTTTTGTATTTTTAGTAGACACAGGGTTTCACCATGTTGGCCAGGCTGCTCTCTAACTCCTGACCTCAAGTGACCCACCTGCCTCAGTGTCCCAAAGTGCTGGGATTATGGGCATGAGCCACCATGCCCAGCATAAACTATAATTTTTAATCTTGTGGCTAATGTTAGTCCTACAAAGGCAATTCCGTCCCCAGGCAAGAAGGAGGTCGGCTTTGGGAAAGGACTGTCACTGTCTTTGTTTAAACTATACACTAAGTTTTTTAAAGTTAGTTCAGCCTACACCCAGGAATGAACAAGGACAGCTTGGAGGTTAAAAGCAAGATAAATTCAGTTAAGTTAAATCTCTCTCACTGTCTTTTTTTTCTTTTTTTTTTTTTTTTTTTTTTTTTTTTGAGATGGAGTCTTGCTCTTTCACCCAGGTTGGAGTACAGTGGCACAATCTCGGCTCACTGCAACCTCCGCCTCCCGAGTTCTCGCCATTCTCCTGCCTCAGCCTCCCGAGTAGGTGGGACTACAGGCGCCTGCCACCACGCCTGGCTAAATTTTTGTATTTTTAGTGGAGAGGGGGGTTTCACCATGTTAGCCAGGATAGTCTCGATCTCCTGACCTTGTGATCTGCCTGCCTCAGCCTCCCAAAGTGCTGGGATTACAGGCTTGAGCCACTGCGCCCAGCCTCTTTCACTGTCTTAATCATAATTTTGCAAAGGCCATTTTATTCTGCCACCTCTAGCAGTGTCTCTTCTAAATCTTTATATAAGATGCTGCTTGATTCATGAGTCACTGATAAAGGCCAATTAGACCTTTAAACTAAATTTGTTAGGCCAGGCGCGGGGGGTCTTGCCTATAATCCCAGCACTTTGGGAGGCTGAGGCAGGCAGACCACTTGAGGTCAGGAGTTCGAGACCAGCCTGGCCAACATGGTAAAACCCCGTCTCTACTAAAAATACAAAAATTAGCCAGATGTGGTGGCACGCACCTGTAATCCCAGCTACTTGGAAGGCTGAGGCAGGAGAATTGCTTGAACCCAGGAGACGGAGGTTGCAGTGAGCCGAGATTGCACCACTGCACTAAAGCCTGGGTTACAGAGCCAGACTACATCTCAAAAATAAATAAATAAGGCCGGGCGCGGTGGCTCATGCCTGTAATCCCTGCACTTTGGGAGGCCGAGGCGGGTGGATCACCTGAGGTCAGCAGTTCGAGACCAACCTGGCCAACATGATGAAACCCTGTCTTTACTAAAAATACAAAAAATTAATCAGGCGTGGTGGTGCCTGTAATCTCAGCTACTCAGGAGGCCTGAGGCAGGAGAATCCCTTAAACCTGGGAGGTGGAGGATGCAGCGAGCTATGATCAGGCCACTGCTCTCCAGTCTGGGCAACAAGAGTGAAACTGTGTCTCAAGAAAAAAAAAAAAAAAGGCTGGGCGCGGTGGCTCACACCTGTAATCCAGCACTTTGGGAGGCCAAGGTGGGTGGATCACGAAATCAGGAGATTGAGACCATCCTGGCTAACATGGTGAAACCCCATCTCTACTAAAAATGCAAAAAATTAGTCAGGCGTGGTGGCAGGCGCCTGTAGTCCCATCTACTCGGGAGGCTAAGGCAGGAGAATGGCCTGAACCCAGGAGGCAGAGCTTGCAGTGAGCCAAGATCGCGCCATTGCACTCCAGCCTGGGCAACAAAGGGAGACTTCCTCCGTCTCAAAAAAAAAAAAAAACCTTTAAAATTTAATTAGAGAATTACAGTAACTACAAGCAAAAGGGAAGCTGTGCTATTGTGCTTAACACTTGCATAATCCCAGTGATACAACACAAATGATGGTGCAGTCCAATACCAATACCATAATATTCCAGGTTAATATCTTACACTTTGCTGTCTTTTCTCCCCCTTGTCTACTTGGAGGTACTAGAAAACTATTTCACTCAAAAATTTATCTTCACCAGATAGTGTTATGAAATATGATCAGTTTTCAGGTGCACAGCCTATAAATGAAGTTGAATATAAGGTTTTCTAAACAGTTGTTTTATACTAGGCTGAACTGGTCTAATCTTGAACAACAAGCATTAGAGAAGTATTAAACAAAAAAATAAGGTTCTGTGCAGTTGGAAACTAACGGACAACCTGTCAATATTTATTATACCAAAGTCAACCATTCAGTCAATTAAATGGTATATTAATACAAACAAAAGTTATTTATAAATCTTTTATTTTAAAATTCTACCTTGTTAAAAATTAATCAGTAAGTGTCCTGGTAACTATACCAAAACATATTTTGTTACAAGGGCAAGCTTAATTCAGTAACACAAAAAAGTATACATATGTATTAATATGAAGAAATAAGGAATTAAAATAGATTCTTATTTAGATTTACTTATTCAGAAATGATTCAAGTCAAACAGTTTATTTTCTATAGATTTATAATATTTTGCCCTCAACAGAACTAAAGTACTAAACAGAAAGCGATTCTGTACAACTGGCCATAATATGTACAAAGATGCCTCCAGTTGTTTTTAAAAAACTTATAACAATACTTAGTTACTTCTAATAGTCATTAAGATTTTAGTTCTGTTCCTTGAATTACATTCCGAATCTTCTCAGCATCAATTTGTACAATTTTGTTGGATGGATCAATCTTAAGTGCCGCTTCATAATCCTGTAGGCCTGTGTTTATATAGCAATGATGATTAATACAATAAATATTTTATTAGCACTTCTTTTATCTAGACAATAGTTGTTTAAAATAAAAATAATCACTAGTAGCATGGTTCAGAACAAGTACCAAGTTTTAAATTAGATTCCCATCTTTTTTTTTTGAGACAGAGTCTCCTTCTGTTGCCCAGGCGGGAGTGCAGTGGCATGATCTCGGCTCACTGCAAGCTCTGCCTCCTGGGTTCACACCATTCTTCTGCCTCAGCCTCCTGAGTAGCTGGGACTACAGGCACCTGCCACCACACCTGGCTAATTTTTTGTATTTTTAGTAGAGATGGGGTTTCACCGTGTTAGCCAGTAGGGCCTCGATCTCCTGACCTCATGATCCACCCACCTTGGCCTCCCAAAGTGCTGGGATTACAGGTGTGAGCCACCGTGCCCGGCCCCTAAATCTATCTAAAATAAAATAAAATAAATGCTATATTTTCTGTATACATAGAGCTAAATTACAGAACTTAATACAATCTAACAAATATAAGCAATGTGCATGCACTATGGTGGATCAGTTATTTCCGAGCTTAGGTGTGTGTATACACACACACACACACACACACACACACACAAATACATACATACATACAGGGATGACCGAAGAAGCTCTCTGAGATAAATATCCATGATATCTCAAATCATTTATATATTTTATCTTTTTTTTTTTTTTTTTGGAGACAGAGTCTTGCTCTGTCACCCAGGCTGTAGCGCAGTGGCGTGATCTTGGCTCACTGCAAGCTCTGCCTTCCGGGTTCACGCCATTCTCTGGCCTCAGTCTCCTGAGTAGCTGGGACTACAGGCGCCCGCCACCACACCTGGCTAATTTTGTTTTTGTATTTTTAGTAGAGACGGGGTTTCACCGTGTTAGCCCGGATGGTCTTGATCTCCTGACCTTGTGATCCACCTGCTTCGGCCTCCCAAAGTGCTGAGATTACAGGCATAAGCCACCACACCCAGCCTATCATGTATTTTTTTTTTTTAAGAGACAGGGTCTCACTATGTTGCCCAAGCTGGTCTCAAACTCCTGGCCTCAAGCCATCCTTCCACCTCAGCCTCCCCAGTTCCTGGGATTATAGGCGTGAAGCACCACACCCAGCATTTATCACACGTTTCTATGAAGAGTTGTCTGGTAATATAGCATTTTTTTTTTTTTTGAGAAGGAGTTTCGCTGTTGTTGCCCAGGCTGGAGTGCAATGACATGATCTCGGCTCACCACAATCTCCGCCTCCCGGGTTCAAGGGATTCTCCTGCCTTAGCCTCCCAAGTAGCTGGGATTACAGGCATGTGCCACTACGCCAAGCTAATTTTGTGTTTTTAGTAGAGGGTTTCTCCATGTTGGTCAGGCTGGTCTCGAACTCCCGACCTCAGGTGATCCACCCGCCTCTGCCTCCCAAAGTGCTGGGATTACAGGCATGAGCATCTGCACCCAGCTAATATAGCATTTTTCTAGACTGAAACTTGTTGTTTACACTTATTTTAATTCTCTTCTACAATGAATTTTTTAAATATAATTTAGAAATCATGTATTGTCAGATATACTGCAGACATTACTAAGAATAAATTAAATGCTAAAAATATTTAAAAATGGAGTCCTTAAAAGTCACGATCTTAAATAATTCCAATGACATTTTTTTCAGAGTATAACTTGGGACTTAAACCATTTCTATCAATTCCTTACCTTCTACATACAATTCTAGTTGACAGAATGCTGTTCCACGTCGTACATGTGCCTTCATTCTTGCATTAGCATTGTCTGTAACAGGTGGCATCAATAATTCCAGTGCCTTACAAAATATATATAATTATTACAAGAAAGTTATAGTTTCTTAATTTAAACAAGCAAAAGGCTGGGCATGGTGGCTCACGCCTGTAATCCCAACACTTGGGGAGGCCGAGGTAGGTGGATCACCTGAAGTCAGGATTTTGAGACCAGCCTGGCCAACATGGCGAAACCCCGTCTCTACTAAAAAAAAATACAAAAATTATCTGGCTGTGGTGGTGCACACCTGTAGTCCTAGCTACTTGGGAGGCTGAGGCGGGAGAATTGCTTGAACCAGGGAGGCAGAGCTTGCAGAGAGCCGAGATCGCGCCACTGAACTCCAGCCTGGGTGACAGAGCGAGAATCCGTCTCAAAAAAAACAAAAACAAAAAACAAACAAGCAAAAACATGGTAAAAATTCTAATTTTAAAATAAGCCTCGGGTGGGCCTGGTGGCTCACGCCTGTAATTCCAGCACTTTCGGAGGCTGAGGTGGGCAGATCACCCAAAGTCAGGAGCTTGAGGCCAGCCTGGCCAACATGGCAAAACCCTGTCTCTACTAAAAATACTTAAACTAGCCAGATGTGGTAGCGGGCACCTGTAATCCCAGCTACTCAGGAGGCTGAGGCAGGAGAATCACTTGAATCCGGGAGGCAGGGGTTGCAATAAGCCAAGAACGCACCACTGCACTCCAGCCTGGTGACAGAGTGAGACTTTGTCTCACACAAACACACACACACACAAAAGGCCTCGGCCGGGTGTGGTGGCTCATGCCTGTAATCCCAGCACTTTGGGAGGCCCAGGCGGGCGGAGGCCCAGGCGGGCGGATTACGAAGTCAGGAGATCGAGACCATCCTGGCTAACACGGTGAAACCCCGTCTCTACTAAAAATACAAAAAATTAGCCGGGTATGATGGCGGGCGCCTTCAGTCCCAGCTACTCCGGACGCTGAGGCAGGAGAATGGCGTGAACCGGGGAGGCGGAGCTTGCAGTGAGCCGAAATTGTGCCCCTGTACTCCAGCCTGGGCAACAGAGCAAGACCTCGTCTCAAAAAAAAAAAAAAAAAAATGGCCTCAAGCACTCACCTAAATTTTTAGCTTAGCTGGTACAGGAATTTAGCAAATATAAATATATTATATATATAAAACAAATATATATATAATTATTTGTTTTTTATATATAAATATATATAATTGTTTTTATAAAACAAATATATATATTTGTTTTATATATATAATATATATTATATATATTACATATATTATATATTATATATATTATAATATATATTATATATATTACATATATTATATATATATTATATATATTATATATAATTATATATATTATATTATATAAAATATATATAATATATATAATATATATAATATATTTTATATATTATATATAATATATATAATATTATATATATTATATATATTCTTATATATAATATATATTATATATATATATAAAACAAATAATTATTATCAGGTTTTCCAGAAGAGATATGTTGAACAACTTAAGGAATTTTTCAGTTGTTCCTATATGGGATTCATACCCCTCCAAGGTTATTATTCAGCTTATCATTTCACATCTCCACAGCTTTATTTTTACCAGTAGGAATTATTAAATAGCATTTGTGGGCTTTTGTATTCAGATTGGGTGATTCAGCTTATTCATTCATTCAACAAATATTTGTTTGCATTGTGAGAGTCAAAGAAAAACTGGATCATAAAAGTAGTATGATATCAAAGTGATGAAGACTTGGTTGTGTCCTCCATATCCTCAATCTCAAGAAGCTACCTAAGAGATTTTGCACATGATATGCCCTTAAAACAAGTTATCTTGACATGGAAAAAAGAAAAAGCTGTAGAAGTTCAAGACATACACAGTAAATATTAGTAATGGAAAGTAGAATATACTAAGTTACCCTGCAAATGAGAAAATGATTGTAGAGATATCTGGGCTGGGTGCCGGGCGCGGTGGCTCATGTCTGTAATCCCAGCTCTCAGGGAGGCAGAGGCGGGAGGATAGCTTGAGCCCAGGAGTTCGAGACCTGCCTGTGCAATATAGCGAGACCCACTGCGCCCGGCCAGTAACAGCTGATTTTTAATCTAACTAACTATTCATAGAAGTCACAAAAAAACACCAGTTCCTTGTCCATTAGTAAAAAATCAGTTAAAAAAAAAAAGATTCAATAAGAAAGACAATCTTTAAAATCTTTGCATCTCAATTATTTCAACTGAACAGAAAAAGATCATCATTTAAACCAATTAATAGAAGGATATATTTAAAGCACCATATATCATACATAGATATCCATACCTTAGAAGAATCTTCAATAGCCTTGTGTAAGTTTTTTAGTTTTAGGTGGCAAGCAGCCCGGTTCAAATACAATAGTGGCATCTTATTATTTAGTCTTATGGCTAAATTATATGCATTGATAGCTGCCAAATAGTTTTCCGTTGCAAACAATTTGCTAATGAGACAAAAACAGAGAAGAAAAACAATTTAACATTGAAACAGAAACACAGAAATAATATCTAATTGTATTTGACAAAGAGGATGGCTTACCTCTTTTTGCATTCTCTTTAGGGTAAACGTTGCCTGCACTGAATCCATCTCTTTTCACATATACCAGCCTGTCATTTGAATGGAATGGACCTCACTCCCACCTCCAAGGGTAGACATTAGTAATTTAAGCCAGTAGGGCATATTTGCATTATTTTTGCTCCAGTAATTGACTCAGGGATGGGCTAGTGTGACCTATATTGTTCTACTTAGGATGAAGCCTGTGGGTTGGTTTCAAAGTTGAAGAATGAAAAGTTGGGCAAATTTCTCCCCCTGCTGGATATAAGTGAAGAAGTCACATAGCCCACATTGTTGCTGACCGTTTTTAAGACCGTGGGAAGAGCTGGCATTAGAATAAAGCTGATACTATGGAAATATGAAAGGAATAAAAAGGCAGAAAGAAACCGAGCCCTTCATGATACAGTTAAGCTGCTGGATCAAGCTTTACTTGAAATAGAAAACACCTTTAGCTGTTTAGTTATATAAGACAATAAATTCCTTTCAATATAAAAAAATTGGGTTTTTTGGTTACTTGCAATGGATATACTCTTTCAGTTTAAATGTTCCAAAATTCTCTTCAAATAAAGAGATGTACACGATTAAAGGATTTCTTCAAAATGCAAAGTCTTTGCTTTTTTTTGTTTGTTTGTTTTTTGAGACAGAGTTTCACTCTTGTTGCCCAGGCTGGAGTGCAATGGTGCGATCTTGGCTCACCGCAACCTCTGCCTCCCAGGTTCAAACGATTCTCCTGCGTCAGCCTCCTGAGTAGCTGGGATTACAGGCATGTACCACCACGCCTGGCTAATTTTGTATTTTTACTAGAGATGGGGTTTCTCCATGTTGGTCAGACTGGTCTCGAACTCCCGATCTCAGGTGATCTGCCCGCTTCGGCCTCCCAAAGCGCTGGGATTACAGGCGTGAGCCATTGCGCCCGGCCCTATTTTTACTTTTTTGGGAACCACAATAGTGTTTTCCATAGCAGCTGGATCATTCAACACCTCTACCAACAGTGCACAGGATTCTAATTTCTCCACATCCTCACTAACACTTGTTATTTTCTGTTTTTTTTCTGAGTAGCCATCCTAATGGGTGTGAAGTGGCATCTCATAGTGGTTTTGATAAGACATTTCCCAAATGGTTAGTGATGTTAAACATCTTTTTATATTTACTAGCCATTTGTCTCTCTTCTTGGAGAAATGCCTATTTAAGTTCTTTGCCCATTATTATTATTTTTTTAATTATTATTATTTTTTTGAGCAGTCTTGCTAAATTGCCCAGAATGGAGTTCAGTGGTGCCATCTCAGCTCACTGCAACCTCTACCTCCCAGGTTTAAGTGATTCTCATGCCTCTGAGACTCAGATTAGCTGGGATTACAGGTGTGCGCCACAATGCCTGACTAGTTTTTGTATTTTTAGTAGAGACAGGGTTTCACCATGATGGCCAGGCTGGTCTCAAACTCCTGGCCTCAGGTAATCCACCCACCTTGGCCTCCCAGAGTGCTGGGATTATAGGAGTGAGCCACCGTGCCCAGCCAATTTTTACATTTTTAGTAGAAATTGGGTTTCACCATATTGGCCAGGCTTGTCTCAAAATCCTGAACTCAAGTATCTACCCATCTTGGCCTCTCAAAGTGCTGGGATTACAGGCGTGAGCCACTGTGCCTGGCCAGAAATTTTCTTTTTATCTTGAGATGGAGTCTCACTCTGTCGCCCAGGCTGGAGTGCAGTGGCACGATCTCGATTCACCGCAACCTCCACCTCCCAGGTTCAAGCAATTCTCCTGCCTCAGCCTCCCGAGTAGCTGGGATTACAGGTATGCGCCACCACACCCAGCTAATTTTGTACTTTTAGTAAAGACAGGGTTTCTCCTTGCTGTTCAGTCTGGTGAACTCCCAACCTCAGGTGATCCGCCCGCCTCAGCCTCCCAAAGTGCTGGGATTACAGGCGTGAGCCACCGCACCTGGCTCTATTACCTTGTTCTTATCCATGTTATTGTACTTCCCACACAGTGTTTTAAATATTTGTGTACGTCTCTCTCCTCCTGATTTCTGTTGTTAAGTGCCTATAGTCTGGCAAATAGCAAGCAATCAATAATTGCTTATTTAATGGCTGAATAAATGAATAGGAAGGAAGAAAGGAAGAAGAGAAAGAGGAGGAAAGATTATATATGGTTTTACTCTTGGGAGTTAGAAGAACCAACCTGTCAGTTCCAGGCTTCTAACCTTCAGAAAAATTGCCAACTCCAGCTAAACGCCACAAAACAATCCCTGGTGTTGTAACAGACAAGAGAAAAGACCAAGAAAAAGTAGAAAGAAAGGAAAAATATAGATATTGTGGTAGACAGATAATGCCCCCCGCCCCCCAAAAAAAGATGTCCATATTCTAATCCCAGAACCTATGAACGTTACCTAACACGGCAAAAAGGACTTTGCACATGTGAATAAGTTAAAGAGTTTGATGGAGAGAGTACCCTGGATGATGTAGGTGGGACTTACATAAACACAAGAGGCCTTATAAAAGGTAGAAGGAGGCAGGAGAGTCAGAAAAGGAGATCACGGAAGCAGAGGTCAGAATAACGCAATCAGTGGCTGGGGAGCCACAATTCAAGGAATGCAAACAGCTTAGAAGCCGGAAATTTAAGAAAACAGCTTTTCTCCTAGAGCCTTCAAAAGGAAGGCAGTTGACACCTAATTTTGGCCCAGTGAAACTCATTTTGGACTTCTGAATTACAGAACTATAAGATAATAAATTTGTGTTGTTTTAAGCCACTTGGTGGTAGTTTGTTATAGAAGTAATAAGTAATAGGAAAATAAACACAGAAGTGTATATGATGAAATACAATAAATAATATCTATAGCCGCCTCAAAATATGAACACAAATTGCCACTCAGAATATGCCAGAATTCACTGTTTTTGATCAGTATGTTAAAATATTCACGGCCGGGTGCAGTGGCTCACACCCGTAATCCCAGCACTTTGGGAGGTCAAGGTGCGCGGATCACCTGAGGTCAGGAGTTTGAGACCAGCCTGGCCAACATGGTGAAACAAAAATTAGTTGGGCGTGGTGGCAGGCGCCTGTAATCCCAGCTACTGAGGAGGCTGAGGCAGGAGAATCGCTTGAACCTGGGAGGTGGAGTTTGCATTGAGCCAAGATTGTGCCATCACACGCCAGCCTGGGGACCAAGAGCGAGACTTTGTCTCAAAAAAAAAAAAAAAATCCATATACAAATGAATAAAATGACTGCCCAGATATAAGATAATTTCTGGGATAATATGGTAATCTTTTTTGTGTTTACATCACTGACCTGGAAGGCAGTAAGATGGTAATCTTTAGAAATGGATTTGAATAGGTCCCACACCAGGGCTCATGCCTGTAATCCCAGCACTTTGGGAGACTGAGGTGGATGAATCACTAGAGGTCAGGAGTTCAAGACCAGCTTGACCAACATGGTGAAACCCCGTCTCTACTAAAAATACAAAAAAAATTCGCCAGGTGTGGCGGTGGATGCCTGTAATCCCAGCTACTTGAGAGGCTGAGGCAGAAGAACTGCTTGAACCTGGCGGGTAGAGGTTGCAGTGAGCTGAGATTGCACCACTACACTCCAGCCTGGGTGATAAAATGAGACACTATCTCACAAAAAAAAAAAAGAAAAAAAATGGATAAGAATAATCAAAACAGCTGTAGCTTTGCAAAAAGCCCGTTTTTATGGGAGACATCAGAAAGGACTTATGTCAAATGTAAAACGGATTTTAAAAGGAATTTTAATAAGCATTCCAAAAGATGTAATTTTTTTCATTTTTATGACATTTAAATAAAAAAATAAAATTAGAGCCTCATTGCCTTGTTATCTGACTTTTAAAATATGGATGCCCTGTCTACCTTATTTGCTTATTTGCATTATCTTTCTCCAACAACACACAAACAGACAAAATATCTAGAGAATGTGATAACTACTTTGTTTGTTCAAAGACAGGGTCTCACTCTTGTTGCCCAGACTGGAGTGCAGTGGCACAATCATAGCTCACTGCAGCCATGAACTCCTGGGCTTGGGGGATCCTCCCGCCGCAGCCTTCTGAGTAGCTGGGACTACAGGTGCTCACCACCACACCAGGCTAATGTTTTATTTTGTTTGTTTTTTTGTAGAGACAAAATCTCGCTTTGTTGCCCAGGTTGGTCTCAAACTTCTGGCTTCAAGTTATCATCCCACCTCGGCCTCCCAAAGGGCTGGGATTACAGGCATGAGCCACCATACTCGTCCTATGATAACTGCTAATGTCTTCATACATGATAAAGCTCATGATCAGAGTTCAAACAACTTACTTTCCTTTATCCTTCAACCATTCTGGGTTCTTTTCTTCTTCTTTTAAATCGCAAAGTTCAGCTATGTCAGTATTCATTGCTCTTCGTGCCTCAGCTTGTTTGTGTAGCCACTAGAATGAGAAAGAAGTCTTATGAAGAATAAAAAGGTCTTTTTTTAATTAACATTTCCTTTTAGATTTTCCATCTTCCTCCAGTGGATTGAAATATTATTTGCTATGCACTGAGTGTTTGTGTCTTCTCCACCTCTCCTCCAAATTGATATACTGAAGCCATAACCATCAATGTGAATCGGTATTTGGTAGTGGGGCCTCTGAGAGGTAATGAGGTTTAGGTCATGAGAGGAGAGCTCCCAAAACGAGTTTATCCTTTTAAGAAGAGAAAGAGATCAGAGCTCCCCCATGTGGACACAGTGAGAAAGTGGGTGTCCGCAAGTTATGATGAGCACCCCTACCAAGAATCATGCTGGCACCCTGATCTTGGATTTCCCAGCCTCCAGAACTATAAGAAATGACTGTTTATTGTTTAAGCCACCCAGTCTATGGTATTTTGTTTATAGCAGCCAGAGCAGATTAACGTACTACTTGATGGTGGTAATTTTTTTTTTTTATCTTGCTCTGTCACCCAGGCTGGAGTGCAAGTGGAGCAATCTCAGCTCACTGTAACCTCCACCTCCCAGGTTCAAGTGATTCTCCTGCCTCAGCCTCCCGAGTAGGTGGGATTACAGGCGTGTGCCACCATGCCTGGCTAATTTTTGTATTTTTAGTAGAGACAGGGTTTCACTATTTTGGCCAGGCTGGTATTGAACACATGACCTCGTGATCCACCCACCTCGGAATCCCAAAGTGCTGGGATTATAGGCGTGAGCCACCACGCCTGGCCAATGATGGTGATTTTAATCTTGCAATATTTATATATATATATTTTTGAGACGGAGTCTTGCTCTGTCACTCAGGCTGGAGTGCAGTGGTGCGATCTCGGCTCACTGCAAGCTCTGCCTCCCAGGTTCACACCATTCTCCTGCCTCAGCCTCCCAAGTAGCTGGGACTACAGGCACCCACCACCACACCCAGCTAATTTTTTGTATTTTTAGTAGAGACGAGGTTTCACCCTGGTCTCGATCTCCTGACCTTGTGATCTGCCCACCTCGGCCTCCCAAAGTGCTGGGATTACAGGCGTTGGGCCACTGCACCTGGCCATATTTATACATTATTAAACTTTTTTTCTTTTTGAGACAGAGTCTCACTCAGCTGCCCAGGCTGGAGTACAGTAGCACAATCTCGGTTCACTGTACCCTCTGCCTCCTGGGTTCAAGCGATTCTTCTGCCTCAGCCTCCCAAATAGCTGGGACTACAGGCACACGCCACCATGCCCAGCTAATTTTTTGTATTTTTAGTAGAGATGGGGTTTCACCATATGGGCCAGGCTGGTCTCAAACTCCTGACCTTGTGATTCACCCACCTTGGCCTCCCAAAGTGCTGGGGTTACAGGCTTGAGCCACCGTGCCCGTCCTTAAACTTTTTTTTAAACCTCAATAGCTGGTGGAAATACAATAGATAAAATTTCTAGCCAAATTTCTTGCTTTCTGGGAGTTCATATGATATTATTAATTTTTTTTTTTCTGAGACAGTCGCACTCTGTCCCCCAGGCTGGAGTGCAGTTGCATGATCTCAGCTCACCGCAACCTCCGCCTTCTGGGTTCAAGCAATTCTCCTGCCTCAGCCTCCTGAACAGCTAGGATTACAGGCGTGTGCCACCATGCCCGGCCAGTTTTTGTATTTTTAGTAGAGACGGGGTTTCACCATATTGGCCAGGCTGGTCTCGAACTCCCGACCTTGTGATCTGCCCACCTCGGCCTCCCAAAGTGCTGGGATTACAGGCGTGAGCCACCATGCCCAGCCCATGTGATTATTATTTTATCTTTCTGGGTTATAATATTTTCATTTTTCTTTTTTTTTACTATACTTTAAGTTCTAGGGTACATGTGCAAAACATGCAGGTTTGTTACATATGTATACATGTGCCATGTTGGTGTGCTGCACCCATTAACTCGTCATTTACATTAGGTGTATCTCCTAATGCTATCCCTCCCCCCTCCCACCACCCCACAACAGGCCCCGGTGTGTGATGTTCCCCTTCCTGTGTCCAAGTGTTCTCATTGTTCAATTCCCACCTATGAGTGAGAACATGTGGTGTTTGGTTTTTTGTCCTTGCAATAGTTTGCTGAGAATGATGGTTTCCAGCTTCATCCATGTCCCTACAAAGGACATGAACTCATCCTTTTTTATGGCTGCATAGTATTCCATGGTGTCTATGTGCCACATTTTCTTTTTTCTTTTTTAAATGGCACAGTGGTTTAATCTCTAGAATCCCAGACAACAGATTTGAGGTATTCATTCCTATAGAATTTGGCTGTGCTTCCTACTCTGACCAAAAAGATTCATGTGTTCAGATACAACAAAGCTAGCTTTCTAACTTACTAACTTATAATGTATATGCATATGCACATGTCTGTGTCTTCCCTGCCATGTATTTATTCTTCATGCTTGGTTTTCTAGCATTTTCAAGTTTGCAGGAAAAGTTTCAATACACATTTATTTCTCCAGTCCGCAGTGGAGCAGGTAACACATCCTAAGGAGACAGAGTTTTTTTTGTTTTGTTTTGTTTTGAGATGGGTTCTCGTTCTGTTGCCAAGGCTGGAGTGATGTGGCATGATCTTGGCTCACTGCAACCTCCGCTTCCCGGGTTCAAGCAATTCTCCTGCCTCAGCCTCCTGAGTAGCTGGGACTACAGGCACACGCCACCATGCCCGGCTAATTTTTTTTATTTTAGTAGAGACGGGGTTTCATCGTGTTGTCCAGACTGATCTTGAACTCCTGAGCTCAGGCAATCCACCCGCCTTGGCCTCCTAAAGTGCTGGGATTATAGGCGTGAGCCACAGCGCCCTGACTGAGAGTTGTCGAAATGCTCGCAGGAAGTGTTTCTGTGTTAAAAAGTTGGGAAGATGGAAACTGAATCCTCCTTGTATTCAGAAGGCTGTTTCGGAAGGTCACTCTTGGCAGGCTTCTCCCTACAGGGATTCAGCAGTGAGGGAGCAGAGTATTCGGGGGACAACTGCTTCTTCTGGAGGGGAGAGAATGAGATGGAGTTCACCAGCAGCTCTTTATGTCAGACTTTTAGCAGGATTCAGCTTTATAAGTAAGCTTGTCGCCTCTGAATATAGGGTCTTCTCATCAACACTCTGAACATTACTGGAAACAAAAAATTTCTTTCCTTCAACTTTATCAAGTTGGCTATTTATCCTAACAACAGAACAAAGAGGGATAGGTCTTTTACAACTGATGTTGAGATTGGCAGTCATGACGATTCCCCCAGCCATCATTGCACACATACCAACAGTAGCATCAATCATGGTTGCAATGGCACCTCCATGAATCAATCCAGGTGGTCCTTCTAGGTAAGGGACTCCTTGAAATAAGCAAACCATCCTTTTCTCAACGTCATTGTAGAACATCACGTATTCAAAGCCCAGGCCATCATCAAAGCTTCTGGTGAAGAGCTGGGCCTGTGACACTTGTTCTTCTTTCATAAGCTTTGGGTCAAGAAAATGGGTTTTAAAGTCTTGAATCCTTTCAGTAGGTGTACGTTTATATGAAGGCAAACGTTTCCAGGAGCCGTCTTCACATTTCTTCATAAACTGGTCAAAGAGCAGTCTTAGGTCCTTGTTCCAGCTGGGGTTGGGGACAGAATAGTCCTTAAGAATGACTTCCTCAGAAGAAAATGACCTCAGCGCGGGTTGCGGCTCACTACCCGGCAGGCGCCTGCCTACCGGTGGCGGCTGGCAAAGGGCCCCCAGCGTGCGGAGGCGCCTGGCGCAGCTCCTCAGCATGGCTCAGGGCCGTGCAGGCCGTGGGGCCGCACTTGCTCTAGCCCTGGATGGCACACATTACTGCCACATTTTCTTAATCCAGTCTATCATTGATGGACATTTGGGTTGGTTCCAAGTCTTTGCTATTGTGAATAGTGCTGCAATAAACATACATGTGCATGTGTCTTTATAGCAGCATGATTGATAATCTTTGGGTATATACCCAGTAATGGGATGGCTGGGTCAAATGGTATTTCTAGGTCTAGATCCTTGAGGAATCGCCACACTGTCTTCCACAATGGTTGAACTAGTTTACAGTCCCACCAACAGTGTAAAAGTATTCCTATTTCTCCACATCCTCTCCAGCACCTGTTGTTTCCTGACTTTTTAATGATCGCCATTCTAGCTGGTGTGAGATGGTATCTCATTGTGGTTTTGATTTGCATTTCTCTGATGGCCAGTGATGATGAGCATTTTTTCATGTATCTGTTGGCTGCATAAATGTCTTCTTTTGAGAAGTGTCTGTTCATATCCTTCACCCATGTTTCGATGGGGTTGTTTTTTTCTTGTAAGTTTGTTTGAGTTCTTTGTAGATTCTGGATATTAGCCCTTCGTCAGATGAGTAGATTGCAAAAATTTTCTCCCATTCTGTAGGTTGCCTGTTCACTCTGATGGTAGTTTCTTTTGCTGTGCAGAGGCTCTTTAGTTTAATTAGATCCCATTTGTCAATTTTGGCTTTTGTTGCCATTGCTTTTGGTGTTTTAGACATGAAGTCCTTGCCCATGCCTATGTCCTGAATGGTATTGTCTAGGTTTTCTTCTAGGGTTTTTATGGTTTTAGGTCTAACATTTAAGTCTTTCATCCATCTTGAATTAATTTTTGTATAAGGTGTAAGGAAGGGATCCAGTTTCAGCTTTCTACATATGGCTAGCCAGTTTTCCCAGTACCATTTATTAAATAGGGAATCCTTTCCCCATTTCTTGTTTTTGTCAGGTTTGTCAAAGATCAGATGGTTGTAGATGTGTGGTATTATTTCTGAGGGCTCTGTTCTGTTCCATTGGTCTATATCTCTGTTTCAGTATCAGTACCATGCTGTTTTGGTTACTGTAGCCTTGTAGTGTAGTTTGAAGTCAGGTGGCATGATGCCTCCAGCTTTGTTCTTTTGGCTTAGGATTGTCTTGGCAATGTGGGTTCTTTTTTGGTTCCATATGAACTTTAAAGTAGTTTGTTTTCCAATTCTTTGGGGAAAGTCACTGGTAGCTTGATGGGGATGGCATTGAATCTATAAATTACCTTGGGCAGCACGGCCATTTTTACGATATTGATTCTTTCTATCCATGAGCTTGGAATGTTCTTCCATTTGTTTGTGTCCTCTTTTATTTTGTTGAGCAGTGGTTTGTAGTTCTCCTTGAAGAGGTCCTTCACATACCTTGTAAGTTGGATTCCTACGTATTTTTTTCTCTTTGAAGCAATTGTGAATGGGAGTTCACTCATGATTCGGCTCTCTGTTTGTCTGTTATTGGTGTATAAGAATGCTTGTGATTTCTGCACATTGATTTTGTATCCTGAGACTTTGCTGAAGTTGCTTATCAGCTTAAGGAGATTTTGGGCTGAGACGATGGGGTTTTCTAAATATACAATCATGTCATCTGCAAACAGGGACAATTTGACTTCCTCTTTTCCTAATTGAATACCCTTTTTTTTTTTTTTTTTTTTTAGTATTTATTGATCATTCTTGGGTGTTTCTCAGAGAGGGGGATGTGGCAGGGTCATAGGATAATAGTGGAGAGAAGGACAGCAGATAAACACATGAACAAAGGTCTCTGGTTTTCCTAGGCAGAGGTCCCTGCAGCCTTCCACAGTGTTTGTGTCCCTGGGTACTTGAGATTAGGGAGTGGTGATGACTCTTAACGAGCATGCTGCCTTCAAGCGTCTGTTTAACAAAGCACATCTTGCACCGCCCTTAATCCATTTAACCCTGAGTTGACACAGCACATGTTTCAGAGTGCACGGGGTTGGGGGTAAGGTTATAGATTAACAGCATCCCATGCAGAAGAATTTTTCTTAGTACAGAACAAAATGGAGTCTCCTATGTCTACTTCTTTCTACACAGACACAGTAACAATCTGATCTCTCTTTCTTTTCCCCAAATTTCCCCATTTTCTTTTCCACAAAACCGCCATCGTCATCATGGCCCGTTCTCGATGGTCGCTGTCTCTTCGGAGCTGTTGGGTACACCTCCCAGATGGGGCGGCCAGGCAGAGGCGCTCCTCGCCTCCCAGATGGGGCGGCCAGGCAGAGGCACTCCTCACCTCCCAGACGGGGTGGCCAGGCAGAGGCGCTCCTCACCTCCCAAACGAAGGGCACCAGGCAGAGGCACTCCTCACCTCCCAGACGGGGCGGCCGGGAAGAGGCGCTCCCCACTTCCCAGACGGGGTGGCCGGGCAGAGGCGCTCCCCGCTTCCCAGATGGGGTGGCGGCCGGGCAGAGGCGCTCCTCACATCCCAGACGGGGCAGCCGGGCAGAGGCGCTCCTCACTTCCCAGATGCGGCAGCCAGGCAGAGGTGCTCCTCACCTCCCAGACGGGGCGGCCGAGCAGAGGCGCTCCTCACCTCCCAGACGGGGCGGCCGGGCAGAGGCGCTCCTCACATCCCAGACGGGGTGGCCGGGCAGAGGCGCTCCTCACCTCCCAGACGGGGTGGCCGGGCAGAGGCACTCCCCGCTTCCCAGATGGGGTGGCGGCCGGGCAGAGGCGCTCCTCACATCCCAGACAGGGCAGCCAGGCAGAGGCGCTCCTCACTTCCCAGATGCGGCAGCCGGGCAGAGGCGCTCCTCACCTCCCAGACGGGGTGGCCGGGCAGAGGCGCTCCCCACTTCCCAGAAGGGGTGGCAGCTGGGCAGAGGCGCTCCTCACCTCCTAGACGGGGCGGCCGGGCAGAGGCGCTCCTCACATCCCAGACGGGGGGGGGGGGCAGCTGGGCAGAGGCACTCCTCACTTCCCAGACGGGGTGGCCAGGCAGAGGCACTCCTCACATCCCAGATGATGGGCGGCCGGGCAGAGGCGCTCCTCACTTCCCAGACGGGGCGGCCGGGCAGAGGCGCTCCCCACTTCCCAGATGGGGTGGCGGTCGGGCAGAGGTGCTCCTCACATCCTAGACGGGGTGGCCAGGCAGAGGTGCTCCTCACTTCCCAGACCGGGTGGCCGGGCAGAGGCGCTCCTCACATCCCAGATGAAGGGCAGCCAGGCAGAGGCGCTCCTCACCTTCCAGACAGGGCGGCCGAGCAGAGGCGCACCCTGCTTCCCAGATGGGGTGGCGGCCGGGCAGAGGCGCTCCTCACATCCCAGACGGGGTGGCCGGGCAGAGGCGCTCCTCACTTCCTAGACGGGGCAGCCGGGCAGAGACACTCCTCACATCCCAGACAGGGTGGTGGCCAGGCAGAGGCGCTCCTCACATCCCAGATGGGGCGGCCGGGCAGAGGCGCTCCTCACATCCCTGATGGGGTGGCCGGGCAGAGGTGCTCCTCACATCCCAGACGGGCCGGCTGGGCAGAGGTGCTCCCCACTTCCCAGACGGGGTGGCGGCCAGGCAGAGGCGCTCCTCACATCCCAGATGATGGGCGGCCGGGCAGAGGCGCTCCCCACTTCCCAGACGGGGCAGCTGGGCAGAGGCGCTCTCCACTTCCCAGACGGGGCAGCCGGGCAGAGGCGCTCCTCACTTCCCAGATGGGGCAGCTGACGGGCAGAGGTGCTCCTCACTTCCCAGATGGGGCGGCTGCGCAGAGGCACTCCTCACTTCCCAGACGGGGTGGCCAGGCAGAGGCGCTCCTCACATCCCAGATGATGGGCGGCCGGGCAGAGGCGCTCCTCACTTCCCAGACGGGGCAGCCGGGCAGAGGCGCTCCCCACTTCCCAGATGGGGTGGCGGTCGGGCAGAGGTGCTCCTCACATCCCAGACTGGGCGGCTGGGCAGAGGCACTCCTCACATCCCAGACGATGGGCGGCCAGGCAGAAATGTTCCTCACTTCCTAGATGGGGTGGCGGCCAGGCAGAGGCTGTAATCTTAGCACTTTGGGAGGCCAAGGCAGGCGGCTGGGAGGTGGAGGTTGTAGCGAGCCGAGATCATGCCACTGCACTCCAGTCTGGGCAACATTGAGCATTGAGTGAGCAAGACTCCATCTGCAATCCCAGCACCTCGGGAGGCCGAGGCGGGCAGATCAGGAGCTGGAGGTCAGGAGCTGGAGACCAGCCGGGCCAACAGAGCAAAACCCCATCTCCACCAAAAATACAAAAACCAGTCAGGCATGGCGGTGCGTGCCTGCAATCCCAAGCAGTCGGCAGGCCGAGGCAGGAGAATGACAGGAGCCTGAGGCAGGGAGGTGGCAGCGAGCCGAGATCACGGCAGTACAGTCCAGCCTCAGCAACAGAGGGAGACCGTGGAAAGAGAGAGGGGAGAGGGGAGAGGGGAGAGGGCAGAGGGGAGAGGGGAGAGGGCAGAGGGGAGAGGGGAGAGGGCAGAGGGGAGAGGGGAGAGGGGAGAGGGGAGAGGGGAGCCCCTTTATTTCTTTCTCCTGCCTGACTGCCCTGGCCAGAACTTCCAACACTATGCTGTGTTGAATAGGAGTGGTGAGAGAGGGCATCCCTGTCTTGTGCCAGTTTTCAAAGAGAATGCTTCCAGTTTTTGCCCATTCAGTATGATATTGGCTGTGGGTTTGTCATAAATAGCTCTTATTATTTTGAGATACTTCCCATCAATATCTAGCTTACTGAGAGTTTTTAGCATGAAGTGCTGTTGAATTTTGTCAAAGGCCTTTTCTGCATCTGGTGAGATAATCATGCGGTTTTTATCTTTGGTTCTGTTTATATGCTGGATTACGTTTACTGATTTGCGTATGTTGAACCAGCCTTGCATCCCAGGGATGAAGCCCATTTGATCATGGTGGATAAGCTTTTTGATGTGCTGCTGCATTCGGTTTGCCAGCATTTTATTGAGGATTTTTGCATCGATGTTCATCCAGGATATTGATCTAAAATTCTTTTATATTTTCATTTTTCTGTACTGAAAAATATGCAGAAGGTCACTTGAGCCCAAGAGTTCAAGGCTACAGTGAGCCATGATTGTCCCACTGTACTCCAGCCTGGGCAGCAGAGCAAGACCCCCAACTCAAAAAAAAAAAAAAAAAGGGTGTGTGTGTGTGTGTGTGTGTGTGTGTGTGTGTGTGTGTATAAACACAATTCAAAAATAATTCTATGGGCCGGGCGCAGTGGCTCACACCTGTAATCCCAGCACTTTGGGAGGCCGAGGTGGGTGGATCACAAGTTCAGGAGATTGAGACCATCCTGGCTAATATGGTGAAACCCCATCTCTATTAAAAACTACACAAAATTAGCTGGGCGTGGCGGTGGGCACCTGTAGTCCCAGCTACTCGGGAGGCTGAGGCAAGAGAATGGCATGAACCCAGGAGGTGGAGCTTGCAGTGAGCGGAGACTGCGCCACTGCACTCCAGCCTAGGGGACAGAGCGAGACTCCATCCCACAAAATAATAATAATTATTATTATTATTATAACTGTATAATTATAGAAATGTTACAAATATAGAAAATACCTTGTTTAATAATATGAAATAATTATTTATATTGTCATTATGTCTTTTATTTTTTATTTTTTTTTTTGAGACAGAGTTTCACTCTTTCACCCAGGCTGGAGTGAAATGGTGCAATCTTGGCTCATTGCAACCTCTGACCCCCGGGTTCAAGTGATTCTCCTGCCTCAGCCTCCCGAGTAGCTGGGATTACAGGTGCCTGCCACCACACTGGACTAATTTTTGTATTTTTAATAGCGATGGGGTTTCACCATGTTGGCCAGGCTGGTCTCAAACTCCTGACCTCAGGTGATCCACCCACCTCGGCCTCCCAAAGTGCTAGAATTACAGGCGTGAGCCACCACGCCCGGCTTGTCATTATGTCTTAAGGATCTTCTTATTTCTACAATTTTTCAAATCAAAGATGCATCAATTCAGCCTCGCAGTAAAAAAATGCAGTTCTTGGCTGGGTACGGTGGCTCATGCCTATAATCCCAGCACATTGGGAGGCCGAGCAGGGTGGATCGCCTGAGGTCAGGAGTTTGAGACCAGCCTGACCAACATGGTGAAACCCCATCTCTACTAAAAATATAAAAAATTAGCCAGACATGCTGGCGCATGCCTGTAATCCCAGCTACTAGGGAGGCTGAGGCAGGAGAATTGTTTGAACCTGGGAGGAGGAGGTTGCAGTGAACTGAGATTGTGCCCACTGCACTCCAGCCTGGGCAACAAGAGCAAAAACTCCATCTCTAAAACAAACAACAACAACAAAAAGACCGCTTTTTTTTTTTTTTTTTTTTGATTCAAAGTCTCACTCTGTTGCCCAGGCTGGAGTACAATGGTGCAATCTCGGCTCACTGCAACCTCCACATCCCAAGTTCAAGCAATTCTCCTGCCCCAGCCCCGCTAGTAGCTGCGATCACAGGTGCTCGCCACCACGCCAGGCTAATTTTTGTATTTTTAGTACAGATGGAGTTTCCCCATGTTAGTCAGGTTGGTCTTGAACTCCTGACCTCAAGTGATCCACCCATCTCGGGCTCCCAAAGTGCTGGGATTGCAGGCATGAGCCACTGCGCCCGGCCTACTGTACATATATTAAGTCGGTATTCTCTTATCACTATTCTGGAGCCAAAAACATCTGCAAAATATATTTTCTCATAAGGAAATTCTAAAACATATTCATGACGTTATTTCTTTAGTGTAATAAATACTTAAGAAATTCAGAACCAGTACTAATTTCAATAGATGAAATAAAAATAAAGTATTTTCATTTGTGGTAATTGTAACTAGAGTAAGTATATATACCTCCTCCTCTTCTGCTACTTGTGATTCACGAAGAGCTGTTGGGAATACTCGAGGGGTAAAGTTGATTTTAATACTGCCAACAGAGCGAGGAGCAGGAATACTGTCTTCCTTTAACTTCTCAGTAAATATATTTTCTGAATTTCTCCCTTCAAAAACAATGGTAGCAAACAAGTCACTTATTTCTCATTTTCTAGTTAACAATCAACTGATAAAGTAATTACACATCAAAGCTCACCCCCAAATCCTAAACAAATAAATCAAATATATTTTCTGCAAGAAAAGAATGCAAAATTTAGCAATGATAATATAGCAGCTAATGACCTACCTGCTCTTTATCAATGGCCTCAGCTACTTTTCTGGGGTTCTCTTTGTAAAACCACAGTGTTTAATTCACATCAACTCTAAGGGAGGATACTCTAGGCAACTCTACATCAACTCTAGAGAAGGGCACATAGGCAAAACCACCACTGCCAATACCATCTCTATCTCCTTAAACTCTATAGCAGTATCTCCTACATACTTTATCTCCTATATGCTTTCTTATAATAGTGTAAGAGGTTTTAGCCATCAAAGAGAACTAATGAGAACTGGCAAGGACGGGCGCAGTGGCTCATGTCTGTAATCACAGCACTTTGGGAGGCCAAGGCGGGCCAATCACCTGAGGTCAGGAGTTCAAGACCAGCCTGGCCAACATGATGAAACCCTGTCTCTACTAAAAATATAAAAATTAGCCAGGCCTGTGGCACATACCTATAATCCCAGCTACTTGGGAGGCTAAGACAGGAGACTTGCTTGAACCTGGGAGGTGGAGGTTGCAGTTAGCCGAGATCGTGCCATACACTCCAGCCTGGGCAACAGAGTGAGACTCCGTCTCCAACAAACAAACAAACGAAAACTAGGAAAGGGTCTTGACTAGACATTTCAAAGGACTGGGGCAAGGGGGGAAGGAGCGCTCTTAGACTCAAAGATGAAAGCCAAATAATGTGATAACAGAGGTGATCCCATCAGCCAGGATGGCCTTGTAGAACACAGTCGTTGAGCACTGTTGCATAACAAAGTATTACATTAAAGAGAACTAAATTTTTATCTTTATTTGATCTGTACATTTGGGGCTTTATTTTACAATGCTCGGCTTGAACCTACCTAATACAAGATCCCAATAATTTTATATCCAAGTTAACTGTTGCTCACTCATAATGGCAAAAGACATTTCTAGGTATGTAAGAACTCAGCCAACACTACCTAGTCATCTTTTGTGAATACATTACTCAAATAAATGTTCCAGAACACAGAGAAATAACATTAAGAAACCAGGAGTGGGGAATTTGAGAGCAAAATGAAAAAGAATGGGTTTTCTAAAGCAGTGGAGAACACACTAAAAATTTTGTGAATAATATCTTTTTTTTTTTTTGAGACAGGGTTATTACCGTCACCGAGGCTGGAGTGCAGTGATGCAATCACAGCACACTGCAGCTTTGAACCCCTTGGCTCAAAAAATCCTCCCATCTCAGCCTTTCAAGAGCAGGCACTACAGGTGCCCACCACCATACATGGCTAATTTTTTGTTTGTATGCTTTTTTGTAGAGATGGGGTCTTGTTTTGTTGCCCAGGCTGCTCTTGAACTCCTGGGCTCAAGCAATCCTCCCATCTTGGCCTCTCAAAGTGCTGAGATTACAGGTGTAAGCCACCACACCCAGCCTGTAAATAATATTTTTAAATAGTAATACAAAAGAAGGAAAATAGGTCTGGGCGCAGCGGCTCACACCTGTAATCCTAGCACTTCGGGATGCTGAGGCGGGTGGATCACTTGAGGTCAGGAGTTGGAGACCAGCTTGGCCAACATGGTGAAACCTCATCTCTACTAAAATTACAAAAAATTAGTCAGGGGTGGTGGCAGGCACCTGTAATCCCAGCTATTTGGGAAGCTGAGGCAGGAGAATCGCTTCAACCTGGGAGGCAGAGGCTGCAGTGAGCCAAGATCACGCCACTGCACTCCAGCCTGGACAACAGAGCATGTCTCACTAAAAAAAAAAAAAAAAAAAAAAAAAGGAAAAGGAAAAAAAGAAGGAAAATAGAATAGAAAGTAAAAATCAAGCATACTTCATTTTACTTCAGATTACTAATAATACTAATGATTAATACGATATAGAACATGCAGGAAATCATCACTATTATCCCATGAGGATAACTAAAAAAAACTATATTGCTACAGAAAAACAAATCTTTATGTGTTTATAAAAAATATTACAGTGACCACTAGTTACAGTAAAAATAAGATATATAATTTCCAAACTCATATATCTAATTTACAAACTCTTCTATTTTCCATTTGCAAATTGCAAAACATAAAAAAGAAATTTGCTGTTTGTAACAACACAGGTTAAAACTTTTACTACAAAGTTTTACATGCAATTTTATGAAAAGGTAAAATGTTATGAACACATACAAATTCTTGATAAAAAATAAATAAACAAAAGGTTCAATATATAGTTCAGTTTCAAAAGTAAGTAAAGGAAATGCTTCATCATCGAACTTAAAGCCAGGGTCATCTCAAAAGCTGACACAAAGCTGTTTGGAAAGATTTTAGATGCAAATAGATTAATATCAATGGCTGGAGACTGGAAATTTAATGCTGATATAGGTACAGAGGTGGGGAGGTGGAAATGAAACTAGAATCATAGAAGGGTAGGACCTCCCGGGTTCAAGCGATTCTCCTGCCTCAGCCTCCTGAGTAGCTGGAATTACAGACGTGCACCACCATGCCCAGCTAATTTTTTTGTATTTTTAGTAGACACGGGTTTCATCATGTTGGCCAGGCTGGTCTCGAACTCCTGATCTCGTGAGCCACCCACCTTGGCCTCCCAAAGTGCTGGGATTACAGGCATGAGCCACCGTGCCCAGTGGGCATCACTCTTAGTGAAAAGGATGCTTATACGATCTCTGCTCACTAATCTTAGAAAGTGAAGCTTGGAAAAAATGTCTCTTGTAAGAAATGGAAGCTCCAGGTATTCCTCATCAACAAGTCTTTTGCAAATAAGAATATATGATATTTCCTCATACATACACACTAAGAAGTTTTTGCAGAAGATTAGTGGTCAGGCAAAAAAGCACAATTCACAAGAGGAAACAATCCAGTATGAGGAACAATCAGCAGACACAACAAATAAGACGACTGGCTCCCCAAGACTTTGAAATAGCACAACAATCTGAAAGAGATTGATCATTTTAAACATACTTACTTAAAGCCAGTAAAGACAGGCTAACATCAATAATGAAAACTAAGAAGCTAGTGACAAAGAACAGAGAGGTGTGAAAAAAAAACAGTTCTTTTTTTTTTTTTTTTTTTTGAGACAGCATCTTGCTCTGTCGCCTAGGCTGGAGTGTAGTGGCGCGATCTCGGCTCACTGCAAGCTCTGCCTCCCGGGTTCACGCCATTCTCCTGCCTCAGCCTCCTGAGTAGCTGGGACTACAGGCACCCACCACCACGTCCAGCTAATTTTTTGTACTTTTAGTAGAGACGGGGTTTCACCGGGTTAGCCAGGATGGTCTCCATCTCCTGACCTCGTGATCCACCCACCTCGGCCCCCCAAAGTGCTGGGATTACAGGCATGAGCCACAGCGCCTGGCCAAAAAACAGAACTTTCAAAATGAAAAATATTGTCACTGAAATTAAAAACATCTTGGACAAGTATAACATAAAATTAGTCATGGTTGAAGAAAATTTATAAACTAGAAGATAGATCTGAGGATATTATACAGAAAATAGCTGAGGAAGATAAAGAGAATACAAGAAAGTTGGCCAGGTATGGTGGCTCACGCCTGTAATCCCAGGATTTTGGGAGGCCAAGACAGGTAGATCGCTTGAGGTCAGGAATTCAAGATCAGCGTGGCCAATATGGTGAAACCCCGTGTCTTCTAAAAATACAAAAATTAGCTTGGTGTGGTGGTGCACATCTGTAGTCCCAGCTACTAAGGAGGCTGAGGCAGGGGAATTGCTTGAACCCAGGAGGTGGAGGTTGCAGTGAGCTGAGATCGTGCCACTGCACTCCAGCATGGACAACAGAGCAAGACTCTGTCTCAAAAAAAAAGAAAAACATCTGTGTAATTTGAAAATATATATTGAAAACAAGAGAATACAATAATGTAATATTTGTTTGTTTTTGTTTTTGTTTTTGAGACAGAGTCTCACTCTGTTACCCAGGCTAGAGTGCAGTGGCACGATCTTGGCTCACTGCAGCCTCTGCCTCCCGGGTTCAAGCAATTCCCATGCCTCAGTATCCCAAGTAGCTGGGATTACAGCTATGTGCCACCACAGCCAGCTAATTTTTGTATTTTTAGTAGAGATGGGGTTTCACCATGTTAGCCAGGCAAGTCTCGAACTCCTGGTCTCAAGTAATTCGCCCAACTCAGCCTCCCAAAGTGCTGAGATTACAGGCATGAGCCAAGAAGGTAAATTACCAGCCAAGAAGGTAATATTTGAAGACAATAGTTTTGAAATTCCCAGAATTGATGAATGACAAAGTTCTCTGAGTGACAGTATGCTCCAAGTTATGATATTATGAGATAAATAAATATAAAATTGAACTTATACTAATGAACCCATAATATACCAAGGGAAAGAATTTTAAAACAACCAGAAACAAAGGATAGATTACTTTATTAAGCATCAAGCTAGATCCATTATACTTCATCCTGGGTGACAGGGTGAGATCCTGTCTCAAAAAAAAGAACAATATTAGAAATTAATAAATTATATAATTATAGATAAAGTACAGATAAGTAAATAAAAACTTTATGAAAATGAATTTGAATAGATAAAATGCACAATTTAGAAGACAAACTACCAAAATTGACTTTGGAAAATTTCAATAATCAATAACTATTATAGAAACTGAATCTTTTTTTTTTTTTAAAAAAACCTCCATAAAAAAACTCCAGACCTAGACAGTTTTAGGGGAAGTTTTACTAAGCCTTAAAACAACAGGTATTTCTCTTATCTAACTATATTGTTTCAAATAGTAGAAAAAGAAAAACGCTCTATAGTATATAGGTCTGGTACAATTTGGTATACAATCTAGACAAGAACAGTATGAGGAAAGAAAAATATAACTGAACCTCAATATGAAGATAAATGTGACAACTGCTTATAAAATATTAGCAAATTGAATATATATATATATATATATATATATTCAATCTAAATGACTTTTTTTTGTTTTTGTTGTTTTGAGACAGGGTCTCACTCTGTCACCCACACTGGAATGCAGTGGCGCGATCTTGGCTCACTGCAGCCTCTTCCTCCTGGGTTCAAGTGATTCTCCTGCCTCAGCCTCCTGAGTAACTGGGACTACAGGCGCATGCCACCACACCTGGCTAATTTTTGCATTTTTAGTAGAGACAGGGTTTCGCCATGTTGCCCAGGGTGGTCTGGAACTCCTAACCTCAGGTGATCTGCCCACCTCGGCCTCCCAAAGTACTGGGATTATAGGCGTTAGCCACCATGCCCAGGCTCTAAATGACTTTTCAATATGCCAAGCCTCACTGTTAAAGTTGTAAAGACATATGACCTGGTGGAAATAGCACAGGTTTCAGATGCAGACCAGATCTGGGTTCAAATCCCACAAGTTTACTTATTCATAGTTATTTTTTTTTTCTGAACATCTATTTCCTCTAAAATAAGAATAGCAGCACTTAGACTGAAGTGTTGTGAAGACTGAGTGACCCAAGCAATAAAATCCCCTGGCACATAGTAGTCACCTAATAAATGTTAATTATTATTATTATATATGTGATTTTACACTAAAATGTTAAATTTATAGGAATTCAATAATGACTTATGTAAGGAAAATACTAAATATTTCTTTTTTTTTTTTTTGAGATGGAGTTTCACTCTTGTTGCCCAGGCTGGAGTGCAATGGCAAGATCTCGCTTCACTGCAACCTCCACCTCCCTGGGTTCAAGCGATTCTCCTGCCTCAGTGCCTCCCGAGTAGCTGGGATTACAGGCACCCACCACCACGTCCGGCTAGTTTTGTATTTTTAGTAGAGACAGGGTTTCTCCATGTTGGTCAGGCTAGTCTTGAACACCCGACTTCAGGTGATCTGCCCGCCTCAGCCTCTCAAAGTTCTGGGATTACAGGCGTGAGCCACTGCATCCGGCGGAAAATGCATCCAAAACAAAGTTTAATATTCTAAAATTAGATAAAACCAAACTCGTAGCTTTCAGTATAGAATTATATTCATTGGGAGATAGGAGGGAAAATGGCAGATCGGAGACAGGATTAACATGCAGCTGCCACCTGGATGGACAGAACAGCATCTGGAGACTCACAATGCGAACTTTTACTCCAAGAATCACTTCAGGAACACCGCAAGAAACACTGTAGGAAAACTGAAAGAATTCACAGACCCTTTGAAAGAAGTGGTTCGCTGCTGCAAATGCCATGAAACAGCTGAAAAACCGTGAGTTCCCAAAGTGTGAGGGAAGAAAAGGTCAGTCTCTGAACATACATCCCCACTGGGGAACCTGAAAATCCAGATCACAGGGGAAGGATTTAACTTTACCCTGAGCTGAAATAGATTTAGGTAGCTGAGCAAAATATGAAAGTAGAAGAAGCAGCAGGAAGAGCCCTATAGGTACTTCCATCCCCAGCTGGAGTCCAAGGAAGCCATTCCTGGCGTGATCTCACAGAGGTCCTTGGAGACGGGAAGGCAGCCAGTGGAATTGGGGCAGGACCACAGGGTGAAGGAAGCTTGTAGCTGAACTTTGTAATAATTTTGACTGAGCAGGAATTTTCCTAAGCAGAAATTGGTGGCAGAGGGGGCAAATGGGAAGTACAGATGCGAGTGCAGAAGCCACAGCCAATAGTGTGGGCAGGCAGGGACTGGTGAGGCCTAACAGCCCTCTTGCTTTCTCAGTGGCAAGGCTTATAGTCTGGGGCAAGATCTCAGCCCTGCTCACCAACTGCCTGGATATAAACGCAGTGCGGTTGGGGTGGCATGGCCAGAGTGAGACTGGCCTTGGTGGCTGCCTGGGAGCTAGGTGAGGCCTGTCACTGCCAGCTTTCCCCCACCTCCCTGGTGACCTGTATAGCACAGCAGAGGCAGCCATAATGCCCCTGGGAACATAATTCCATTGGCCTGAGAATCCCCTCCACCCCCACTGTGGCCACAGCAAGCCCCACCCAAGGGGAGCCTGAGCCCAGACCCAACTAACCTTGCCCCCACCTGATGGGGCAAGGTTTTCTCTACCTGCTCTATGGCCCTGCCCATCACCTGAGAAACCCGAGTACTTGTCCCGGCCAACATCAAGATTATATCTCTCTTCTATACTGCAGCTGGTGCCCTCTTGAAAGTGCCACCTCCTGGCTGGAGCCCAACGAACTCAAGCCACCATAGCAACTCATAACAGAACAACCCTGCTCCAAAGAAGGAGAAAACAACAGCTAATTCCACTTCCTGCAACACCCTGTCTAGCCAGAGGTCCTGAATCTGTCCACGTGACAACTTCACTGCTTACATAACCAGTACTTGAAGTGCACTAAACAAAATTACAACAAAAGACTCCAACAGAATCCACTTCACTCACCTGCCACCACCAGAACAGGTGCTGGTATCCACGGCTGGGAGACCTGTGGATCACATCACAGGGCTCTTTGCAGACATTCCCCAGCACCAGCCTGGGGCCCAACTGGGTGGCTAGAAATAGAAGGGCAATAACAATCACTGCAGTCTGGCTCTCAGGAAGCCCCATCCCTAGTGGCAGGGGGAGGGCACCACATCAAGGGAACACCCATGGGACAGAAGAATCTGAACAGTAGCCCTTGAGTTCCAGATCTTACCACTGAAACAGTCTACTCAAATGAGAAGGAACCAGAAAAGTAATTCTAGTAATATGACAATACAAGGTTCTGTAACACCCCCAAAAGATCATACTAGCTCTCCAGCAATGGATCCAAACTAAGAAGAAATCTGTGAATTGCCAGATAAATAATTCAGAAGGTTGATTATTAAGCTCCTCAAGAAGGCACTAGAGGAAGGTGAAAATCAACTTAAAGAAATTTTTAAAAAAAGGAGGATATGAATGGAAAAGTCTCCAGAGAAATAGATATTATAAAGAAAAAATAATCAAAACTTCTGGAAATGAAAGACACACTTAAAGAAATGCAAAATACACTGGAAAGTTTCAACAATAGATTTGAACAAGTAGAAGAAATAACTTCAGAGATCAAAGACAAGGCTTTCAAACGAACCCAATCCAACAAAGACAAAGAAAAAAAGAATTTTAAAAAATGAACAAAGCCTCCAAGAAATCTGAGATTATGTAAACAAGCAAACATAAGAATAATTGGTGCTCCTGAGGAAGAAGGGAAATCTAAAAGTTTGGAAAACATACTTGAGGGAATAATCAAGAAAAACTTCCATGGTCTTGCTAGAGATCTAGACATCCAAATACAAGAAGCTCAAAGAACACCCGGGGAATTCATTGCAAAAAGATCATTGCCTAGGCACATAGTCATCACATTGTCTAAAGTAAAGATGAAAGAAAGAATCTTAAGAGCTGTGAGGCAAGGTCAGGCACAGTGGCCCACATCTGTAATCTCAGCACTTTGGGAGGCCAAGGCGGGTGGATCACGAGGTCAGGAGTTCGAGACCAGCCTGGCCAACCAAGATGGTGAAACACCATCTCTACTAAAAATACAAAAATCAGCCAGGCGTGGTGGCAGGTGCCTGTAATCCCAGCTACTCAGGAGGCTGAGGCAGGAGAATTGCTTGAACCCGGGAGTTGGAGGTTGCAGTGAGCCGAGATCACGCTACTGCACTCTAGCCTGGGTGACAGAGCAAGACTCTGTCTCAAAAAAAAAAAAAAAAAGAGCTGTGAGGCAAAAGCACCAGGTAATCTATAAAGGAGAACCTATCAGATTAACAGCAGATTTCTTAGCAGAAGCCCTGCAAGCCAGAAGGGATGGGGGTCCTATCTTTAGCCTCCTTAAACAAAATAATTATCCGCTAAGAGTTTTGTATCCAGTGAAACTAAGCTTCATAACCAGAGGCGAGATAAAGTCTTTTTCAAACAAACAAATGCTGAATTTGTCACTACCATGCCAGCACTACAATAAATGCTAAAAGGAGTTCTAAATATTGAAACAAAACCTCAAAATATACCAAAATAGAACCTCCTTAAAACATAAATCTCATAGGATCTATAAAACAATAACACAATGAAAAAAAATAAGGTACAGCAACAACTAGCATGATGAATAGAACAGTACCTCACATCTCAATACTGATATTGAATGTAAATGGCCTAAATGCTCCACTTAAAAGATACAGAATGTCAAATGGATAAAAATCAACCAACCAAGTAAGTCTTTTAACAGACTTGCCTAACATATAAGGACTCATAAACAGGGTGGAAAAAGATATTCCATGCAAATGAACACCAAAGTCAGCAGGAGTAGCTATTCTTTTTTCTTTCTTTCTTTCTTTCTTTTTTTTTTTGAGACAGAGTCTCCTTCTGTTGCCCAGGCTGGAGTGTAGTGGTGCAATCTTGGCTCACTGCAACCTCTGCCTCCTGGGGTCAAGCGATTCTCCTGCCTTAGCTTTCCAAGTAGCTGGGACTACAGGCACGCGCCACCACGCCTGGCTAATTTTTGTATTTTTAGTAGAGACAGAGTTTCACCATGTTGGCCTGGCTGGTCTCAAACTCCTGACCTCGTAATCTGCCCGCCTCGGCCTCCCAAAGTGCTGGGATTACAGGCGTGAGCCACTGCGCCTAGCCAGGAATAGCTATTCTTATACAAAACAAAGCAGACTTTAAAGCAACAACAGTTAAAAAAGATAAAAAAGGACATTATATAATGATAAAAGAATTAGTCCAACAGGAAAATATCACAATCCTAAATATTTATGCACCTAACACTAGAACTCTCAAATTTATTTATTTATTTATTTACTTATTTATTTATTTTTTTTTTTGAGACAGAGTCTCACTCTGTCGCCCAGGCTGGAGTGCCGTGGTGCAGTCTCGGCTCACTGCAACCTCCACCTCCAGATTCATGCAATTCTCCTGCCTCAGCCTCCTGAGTAGCTGGGATTACAGGTGCGTGCCAGCACGCCCGGCTAATTTTTGTGTTTTTAGTAGAGACGGGGTTTCACCATGTTGGTCAGGCTGGTCTCAAACTCCTGACCACCCGTGATCCACCCGCCTCGGCCTCCCAAAGTGCTGAGATTACAGGCATGAGCCACCGCGCCCGGCCGGAATTCTCAAATTTATAAAACAGTTATTATTAGACCTAAGAAATGAGATAGCACCACAATAATAGTGGAGGACTTCAGTACTCTACTGACAGCACTAGACAGGTAATCAAGACAGAAAGTCAACAAAGAAATAATGGATTTAAACTATATCCTAGAACAAATGGACTTAATAGATATTTACAGAATATTCTACCCAACAACTGCAGAATATGCATTCTTTTCATCAGCACATGGAACATTCATTCCAAGATAAACCAAATGATAGAACACAAAACAAGTCTCAATAATTTTTTTTTTTTTTTGAGACAGAGCCTCGCTTTGTCACCCAGGCTGGAGTGCAGTGGCGTGATCTCGACTCACCGCAACCTCCACCTCTTGGGCTCAAGTGATTCTTCTGCCTCAGCCTCCCAAGCAGCTGGGATTACAGGCCCCCGCCACCACACCAGCCTAATTTTTGTATTTTTAGTAAAGACAAGGTTTCACCATGTTGGCCAGGCTGGTCTCAAACTCCTGACCTCAGGTGATCCACCTTCCCTGGCCTCCCAAAGTGCTAGGATTACAGGCATGAGCCACTGCGCCCAGCCATCTCAATAATTTTTTTTTTTTGAGACAGAGTCTTGCACTGTTGCCCAGGCTGGAGTGCAGTGGTGCAGTCTCGGCTCACTGCAAACTCCGCCTCCTGGGTTCATGCCATTCTCCTGCCTCAGCCTCCCGAGTAGCTGGGACTACAGGTGCCCCCCACCACGCCTGGCTAATTTTTTGTACTTTTAGTAGAGATGGGGTTTCACCGTGTTAGCCACCAGATTCTGGTCTCTGGTTAGAGACCAGAATGGTCTCGATCTCCTGACCTCGTGATCCACCCACCTAGGCCTCCCAAAGTACTGAGATTACAGGTGTGAGCCACCACGCCCAGCCCATCTCAGTAAATTTAAGAAAATCAAAATTATATCAAATACTCTCTAAGACCACAGTGGAATAAAACTGGATATTGACTTCAAAAGGAACACTCAAAACTATACAAATATATGGAAATTACGTAACCTGCCCCTGAATGATCTTTGGGTCAACAATGAAATCAAGACGGAAATTTTAAAATTCTTTGAACTGAACGATAATAGTGACACAACCAGTCAAAACCTCTGGGATACAGCAAAAGCAGTGCTAAGAGGAAAGTTCATAGCACTAAACGCCTACATCAAAAAGTCTGAAAGAGCATAAACAGACAATCTAGGCTCACACATCAAGAAACTAGAGAAAAAAGAACACATCAAACCCAAACCCAGCACAAGAAAAGAAATAACAAAGATCAGAGCAGAACTAAATGAAACTGAAAGAAAAAAATACAAAAGAAAAATTAAACAAAATGCTGGTTCTTTGAAAAGACAAACAAAACTGATAGACCATTAGTAAGATTAACCCAGAAAAGAATAAGATCCAAATAAGCTCGATTAGAAATGAAATGAGAGAAATTACAACAAATACCACAGGGATACAAAAGATCATTCAAAGCTACTATGAATACCTTTGTGCACACAAACTAGAAAACCTACAGGAGATGGATAAATTCCTCAACCTAGAAGGAATTAAACAATCCTCCCAGATTAAGCCAGGAAGAAATAGAAACTCTGAAAAGACCAATAGCAGGTAGGGAGATTGAAACAGTAATTTAAAAATGGCCAACTAAAAAAAGTCCAGGACCAGATGGATTCACAGCTGGTTTTTTTTTTTTAAGACAGGGTCTTGTTCTCTTGCCCCCAGGCTGGAATGCAGTGGTGAGATCTCGGCTCATTGCAACCTCCATCTCCGGGTTTAAGCGATTCTCCTGCCTCAGCTTCCCGAGTAGATGGGATTACAGGCACATGCCACCACACCCTGCTAATTTTTGTATTTTTAGTTAGATGAGGTTTCACCACGTTGGGCAGGCTGGTCTTGAACTCCTGACCTCAGGAGATTGCCTGCCTTGGCCTCTCAAAGGCTGGGATTACAGGTATGAGCCATGTGCCCAGCCCAACAGCTGAATTCTAACAGACATTCTAAGAGAACTGGTACCAATCCTATTAAAACTATTTCAAAAGATAAGGAGGAAATCCTCCCTAAATCATTCTACAACGCCAGTACTACCCTAATACCAAAACCAGGAAAGGACATAACAAAAAAAAAAAAAAGAAAACTACAGAACAATATCCCTGATGAACACAGATGTAACACTCCTCAACCAAATACTAGCTAACCAAATGCAACAGCATATCAAAAAGGTAATACACCATAATTAAGTGGGTTTCATACCAGGGATGCAGGGCTGGTTTAACATACACACACAAAAAATCAATAAATATAATACACCACATAAACAGAAGTCAAAACAAAAATCATACAATCATCTCAATAAATGCAGAAAAAGCATTTGAGGCCGAGTGTGGTGGCTCATGCCTGTAATCCCAGCACTTCGGGAAGCCGAGGCAGACGGATCATTTGAGGTCAGGAGTTTTGAGGCCAGCCTGGCCAACATGGCGAAACCCTGTCTCTACTAAAAAATACAAAAAGTTAGCTAGGTGTGGTGGTGCACACCTGTAATCCCAGATACTGGGGAGGTTGAGGCAGGAGAACTGCTTGAATTTGGGAGGCAGAGGTTGCAGTGAGCCAAGATCATGCCACTGCACTCCAGCCTAAGGAACACAGTGAGACTCTGTCTCACACACACACACACACACACACACACACACACACACACAAAGCATTTGACAAAATCCAGCATCCCTTTATGACTAAAACCCTCAGCAAAATGGGCACAGAAGGGACATACCTTAAGGTAATAAAAGCCATCTTTGACAAACCCATGGCCAATATTATAATAAACAGTGAAAAGTTGAAAGTGTTTCCCCTGAGAACTGGAACAAGACAAGGATGTCCACTTTCACCAACACTATTTAACAGAGTACTGGAAGTCCTAGCCAGAGCGATCAGACAAGAGAAAGAAAGAAAGAGCATCTAAATCAGTAAGGAGGAAGTCAAGTTGTCATTGTTGGCCAATGATATGATCGTATACCTAGAAAATCCTAAAGATTCATCCAAAAAGCTCCTAGATCTGATATATGAATTCAAGTAAAGTTTCAGAATACAAAATCAATGCACACAAATCAGTAGCACTACTATACACCAACAAGGACCAGGCTGAGAATCACATCAAGAACTCAACCTCTTTTACAACAGCTGCAAAAAAACCCAAAAAACAAAACAAAAAACCAAAATACTTAGGAATATACCTAACTAAAGAGGTGAAAGATCTCACAAGGAAAACTACAAAACACTGCTGAAAGAAATCATAGATGACACAAACAAATGGAAATACATCCCATGCTCACAGATGGGTAGAATCAGTATTTTGAAAATGACCATACTGCCAAAAGCAATCTACAAATTCAGTGCAATTCCCATCAAAATATCATCATCATTCTTCACAGAACTAGAAAAAACAATCCTAAAATTCATATAGAACAAAAAAAGAGCCCATATAGCCAAAGCAAGACTAAGCAAAAAGAACAAATCTGAGGGGATCATATTACCTGACTTCAAACTATACTACAAGGCCACAGTTACCAAAACAGTATAGTACTGGTATAAAAACAGGCACATAGGCCAATGGAACAGAATAGAGAACCCAGACATAAAGTCAAATACAGCCAACCAATCTTTGACAAAGCAAACAAAACCATAAAGTGGGGAAAGGACAACCTATTCAACAAATGGTGCTGGGATAATTGGCAAACCACATGTAGGGGTATGAAACTGGATCCTCATCTCTCCCCTAACACAAAAATTAACTCAAGATGGATCAAAGACTTAAGTCTAAGACCTGAAATCATAAAAATTCTAGAAGATAACACTGGAAAACCCCTTCTAACACTGGCTTAGGCAAAGACTTGATGGCCAAGAATCCAAAAGCAAATGAAACAAAAACAAAGATAAATAGATGGGACTTAATTAAACTAAAAAGCTTCTGCACAGCAAAAGAAATAATCAGCACAGTAAACAGACAACCCACAGAATGGAAGAAAATCTTCACAAACTATGCATCTGACGAAGGACTAATATCCACAATGTACAGGGAACTCAAACAAATCAGCAAGAACAAAACAAACAATCCCATCAAAAAGTGGGCTAAGGACATGAATAGACAATTCTCAAAAGAAGATATACAAATGTCCCGCCAGGTGTGGTGGCTCATGCCTGTAATCCCATCACTTTTCGAGGCTGAGGCAGGCGGATCACCTGAGGTCAAGAGTTCGAGACCAGCCTGACCAACATGGAGAAACCCCATCTCTAAATTAGCCAGGCATGGTGGTACATGCCTGTAATCCTAGCTACTCGGGAGGCTGAAGCAGGAGAATCGCTTGAACCTGGGAGGCAGAGGTTGTGGTGAGCCGAGATCGTGCCATTGCACTCCAGCCTGGGCAACAAGAGCGAAATTCCATCTCAAAATAAATAAACAAACAAACAAATGTCCAACAAACATGAAAAAATGCTCAACACCGCTAATTATTAGGGAAATGCAAATCAAAACCACAATGCGATACCACCTTACTCCTGTTAAGAATGACCATAATTTAAAAATGAAAAAATAACAGATGTTGGTGTAGATGTGGTGAAAAGGGACACTTTTACACTGCTGGTGGGAATGTAAACTAGTACAACTACTATGGAAGACAGTGTGGAGATAGATGCCTTAAAGAACGAAAAGTAGAACCGCCATTTGATCCAGCAATCCCCCTACTGGGTATCTATCTAGAGAAAAAGAAGTCATTAGACACTTGCACACTCATGTTTATAGCAGCACAATTGCAATTGCAAAAATATAGAACTAGCCTAAATGCCTATCAACTAATGAGAAGATAAAGAAAATATGGTGTATATATACACACACACACACACACACACACACACAGACACACATACAATCATGGAATGCTACTCAGCCATAAAAAGGAATAAAATAATGGCATTCTCGGCAACCTGGATGGAGTTGGAGACGATTATGCTACATGAAGTAACTCAGAAATGGAAAACCAAATACCATATGTTCTCACTTTTTTTTTTTTTTTTTTTGAGACAGAGTTTTGCTCTTGTTGCCCAGGCTGGAATGCAATGGCACGATCTCGGTTCACCATAACCTCCGCCTCCCAGGTTCAAGCGATTCTCCTGCCTCGGCCTCCTGAGTAGCTGGGATTACAGATATGTGCCACCACACCTGGTTAATTTTGTAATTTTAGTAAAGATGGGGTTTCTCCATATTGGTCAGACTGGTCTCGAACTCCCAACCTCAGATGATCTGCCCGCCTTGTCCTCCCAAAGTGTTAGGATTACAGGCATGAGCCACTGCTCCTGGCCCATGTTCTCACTCATAAATGGGAGCTGAGCTATGAGGATGCCAAGGCATAAGAATGATATGGGCCTGGGGACTAGGGGGGAAGGGTGCAGGGGTGAGGGATAAAAGACTACACATTGGGTGCAGTGTACACTGCTTGGTTGATGGGTCCACCAAAATCTCAGAAATCACCACTAAAGAACTTATACATGTAACCAAACACCACCTGTTTCCCCAAAACTACTGAAATAATAATTTTAAAAACACACACATACAAAAACTGAATTATATTTGTATCAGCTGGACATGGTGGCTCATGCACACAATCTCAGCACTTTGGGAGGCCAAGGCAGGCAGATTGCTTGAGCTCACGAGTTCAAGACCAGCCTGGGCAACATGGCAAAACCTCGTCTCTACAAAAAATACAAAAAAGCATTAGCTGGACATTGAGGCACATGCCTGTAGTCCCAGCTACTTGGGAGGCTAAGGCAGGATGGCTTGAGCTGGGGAGGCAGAGGCTGCAGTGAGCTCAGATCACACCATTGCACTCCAGCCTGGGCGATAGGGCCAGACCTTGTCTCAAAAAAAAAAATTATATTAATTTATCTGTTTTTGAATACACCAAGATTAAAAGCTAGAAGCAATCTTTATTTGCTGTAGAGTAAGTCTGCTTATAGTACTCATTTTCCTAAGTGATGTGAGGAAAAGGTCTTTTAATGAAATTCCTAGTTTCTTATCTCTAATGGAATAAATGAATGCTTCTGACATTGCTAGTCCACTCCAAGTCTTTTTGGGCCTGAGTTAAGCACTTATTTAACAACATCTTTGTAAATTTCAAAAGAAAGCACACAAGCAAAGAAGACACTCTTCTTTTCGAATCCTTGAACGAATCCTTGCTCATTTTATTAGAAAACTTCATTATCCCCGAAAGAAGAAATGTCTTTACTTTAGTCTTTGTACTGAATTGCTTATTCTCAATGTGCCAAAACAGTAACCTAATGCTGTGAATAGATTTACAAAAAAAGAAAAGCGTCATATATACTTCACCAACAGGACTCACTACTCAAGAAATTCTTAATCATTTTACCTTTTGGAGCAAGATTTCTAGATGCCAAATTTCTAGTAAGACTCTTATATTTTATTTTTTTTCTTTCTTCTTTAATTTGCTTTTCTTTTTGACATAATTTCTCTTCTCTCTGAATTTTTTTTTGCTCCTCAGCTTTTCTTTGATATTCTTTCCAGGCTTCCAATGCTTTAGTGGCTTTTATCCGTTCATTTTCTTTCATATCTTCTATTTTTTTCCTCTCTTCTTCTTCAATCTATAACAATTGCAATTACCAAATTCTTTAAAATACATAAAAGCAACATTTATTTAAATGAGAAATTCATTACAATAATTAGTTATTCATACCTCTAAACTCTTGCCATTGTATTTGTAACAATAGGTAGTAGTGAATTATGAATTAAAATGGGAAAGGTAAATGATTCAGGAGAAAAACCATTGGTGTTGGAGTCATGGAACAAAGATTTTAGTCCCAGATCTACCATTAGCTGTATGGTCTTAGGCAATCACTTTCTCCAACCTCAGTTTACTTATATGTAAAATGTGGGCAGGCATTCAATTAGATGATACCTAAGGGCTTGGTAGAAAAAATAATAGAAATTTATTATTCTAGGAGTTAAGCCACTTCTCTCAAAATCTACACACACACACACACACACACACATCCCAACACATATATTCAAACATTTGCTTTTCAACTTATCCCAAGTCTTACCCTGTCAACCGAAGTTGTGCCAACCCTTCAGTCCTAAGGACTGAAGGAAGAGGGAACAGTAGAAAAGGAAATAGGAAGGATGAACAAGACGGTCTGTCTCTGCTGGGTGGAAATATTTGAAGTCTTAATCCTGCTGCAAAACCTATGTTTGCACTAGTAGTTGTCTGACACTTTCAAAGAGCTAAATATCAGATGAATTTGAAAGCAGTATCTTGTACAGGTGTGTGGCAACTTTTCTGCCTTTCAAACTTCCCTCACATGGGCAAGAAAAAAAACCTTGTGAAACAGAGTACCTAGTTGGTGTACATGATTGACTCCATGTATCTGACTTTCCTATGGTAAGAAAAATTTCTTACCTCTATCCACTAGAGAAGCACTTACTTCAATGATCAAAATGTCTGTGCTATCCAATATAGTAGCCACTAGCCACAGGTGGCTAATTAAGTACTTCAAATGTGGCTACTGAGACTCAGGAACTGAATTTTTAATGTTATTTAAGTTTCATTAATGTACATTTAAATTAATTTACATTTAAATAGGACATCTGAAGTGGTTCTAGACTATGGATATGCTAGGATGAAGGTCCCTAAATGTTGTATTACTTTAAAATAGAGATTTAACATTACGAGTATGAAACCTGTGCACTGAAAGGTGCTCTGTAATATCTACATGACATAATACTCTCTTCTAGAAGACTGATTATTTTCCTGTGAGATGCTGACTTTAAAATAAATTTCACGGGACACTGAATGAAAATTTCCTGTAGTCCCAATTTTACCTCAGGCTTAAATTAAGCACAAAATATGCTAATTATTACTATATATTCTTAGTTCAGAGAGTTGCCAGTAAGCTGCCAACAGATTGAACCAGGAAGAATCTACACATGGCAATGAAACAAAATTTAAATGCCTCACAATAAGGCATGATGAACACTCCATGTTAGAGAGGAAGCCACAACCTAAAAGACGACTTCACCCAGCCTAATTATATGTCTGCCTTTTTTCACTCTCTGCCCCAACACATGAAAAAGGGAGAATATGTGGAGAGTCAGACACCCTCACCCATCATACTCCCTGCAAGAAGAATGAATTTTACATGAAGTTTTTAAAATGCATAAGACTAAGTCTTAATTACCAAAAATGAGACTGTTCTTACAACAAAAAATAACAGGAAAGTTCTGGTATTATAGCCAAGATGTAGTTAAGGGAACTATAGGTATAATGATAATTTATAATAAGCTATATTAGAGACAGAAATAGTCCAGCTCTTCAGAGAGTAGTGATGAAGAGGAGAAACCAAGAAAGGCTTCACAGAGTAGGTAACAGAAGGAACTACAATGAAGAGAAAAACATGAAGAAGAAAATAACACAAAGCTTATGATAAAGAGAAAAGAGACTACATGTACCAAAGAAAAACAGAGTGTACAGTGACCGGGCGCGGTGGCTCACGCCTGAAATCCCAGCACTTTGGGAGGCTGAGGCAGGTGGATCATCTGAGGTCAGGAGTTCGAGACCAGCCTGGCCAACATGGTGAAACCCTGTCTCTACTAAAAAATACAAAATTTAGCCGGGCTTGGTGGCAGGCCCTTAATCCCAGCTACTTGGGAGGCAGAGGGAGGAGAATCATTTGAACCTGGGAGGTGGAGGTTGCAGTGAGCCGAGATAAAGCCATTGCACTCAAACCTGGGGGACAAGAGCGAGGCTCCTCTCAAAAAAAAAAGAAAGAAAGAAAGAAAAAGAAAAACAGAGTGTACAGAGAAAAAACAAACTGTTTATGCCTCTTATATACTCTCACAACACTCCATAGGTCACTTCCATCACGAAACTTGTGGGTTTCTCCTATGCTTACCAATTCTTTTTTTTTTTTTTTTTTTTTTTTTTGAGACGGAGTCTCACTCTGTCGCCCAGGCTGGAGTGCAGTGGCGCAATCTCGGCTCACTGCAAGCTCCGCCTCCTGGGTTCATGCCATTCTCCTGCCTCAGCCTCCCGAGTAGCTGGAACTACAGGTGTCTGCCACCACACCTGGCTAATTTATTTTTTTTTTATATTTTTAGTAGAGACGGGGTTTCACTGTGTTAGCCAGGATGGTCTCGATCTCCTGACCTCGTGATCCGCCCACCTTGACCTCCCAAAGTGCTGGGATTACAGGCGTGAGCCACTGCGCCCGGCCTATGCTTACCAATTCTCTAACATCAGCTATGTGTCCTCTAATTCAGTTCTGTCATTATCTACCCGGAGTTAGCATTAGATCCCACAGGTTAAGGGCTCAATTCCATAAGACAGTCTCCACACAGATGCCAATCATAAGTCCAGGACTCCCATATTTCTAACCAATCAGCTATAAGTTGGGGGTTTCTACAACCCCCTCCTCAGGTTTGACCATTTGCTTCAATGGCTCACAGGAATCAGATAAATACCTCGCTTATATTTACCCCTTTTTTTTTTTTTCTGAGACGGAGTCTCACTCCGTTGCCCAGGCTGGAGTGCAGTGGCACGATCTCGGCTCACTGCAACCTCCGCCTCCCAGGTTCAAGTGATTGTCCTGCCTCAGCCTCCTGAGTAGCTGGGTCTACAGGCACATACCACCACGCCTGGCTAATTTTTGTATTTTTAGTAGAGACAGGGTTTCACCATGTTGGCCAGGCTGATCTTGAACTCCTGACCTCAGGTGATCCACCCGCCTAGGCCTCCCAAAGTGCTGGGATTACAGGCGTGAGCCACCGCGCCCAGCCATATTTACCCATTTTTAATAAAAAGATGCAAATCAGGAAGAGGCAAATGAAAGAGATGTCTAGGGAAAGATACCGGGGAAGGAGCACAGAGTTTCCATGCCTTCTCCCTCCAAGTGTTCAGCAACCCAGAAGTTCTCCAAACCTCATAGTTACAGGAATTTTATGGAGGTTTTATCTAGCAGGCATGACTGGGTTTTTTTTTTTTTTTTAGACAGGGTCTTGCTCTGTCACCCAGGCTGGAGTGCAATGGCGCAATCATGGCTCACTGCAGCCTCAACCTCCTGGGCTCCAACGATCCTCCAGTTCAGCCTTCTAGGTAGCTGGGACACAGGCACATGCCACCAAGCCTGACTAATTTTTTATGTTATTTTTTTGTAAAGATGGGGTTTTCCCTTGCTGCCCAGGCTGGTCTTGAACTCCTGGGCTCAAGTGATCTACCCACCTCAGCCTCCCAAAGTGCTGGGATTTACAGACATGAGCTACTATGCCTGGCGGATTTTTTTTTTTTTTTTTTTTTTGAGACAAGGTCTTGTTCTGTCACTCAGGCTGGAGAGTGCAGTGGCACAACCTTAGCTCACTGTAGCTTCCACTTCCTAGGCTCATGTGATCCTCTCACCTCAGCCTCTCAAGTAGTTGGGACCACAGGCCCGCAGCACCACGAATGGCTAATTTTGTTGTTGTTGTTTTTAGAGTCAGGGTCTCACTATCTATGTTGCCCAGGCTGGTCTTGAGCTCCTGGGCTCAAGCGATCCTCCCACCTCGGCCTCCCAAAGTGCTGGAATTACAGGCGTAAGCCAGTGGACCCAGCATGATTGATTATTAAGTCAGTCTCCAGCCCCTATCAAAATGATGGGGAGGGGTGCTGCAAGTTCCAGACAACTAGTCATAGCTTGGTCTTTCTGGTGGCCAGCCACCACCCAAGAGCCCATCAAGAGTTGCCTCATTAGAACAAAAGATTTTCCTATTACATAGGAAATTCCAAGGGATTAGGAGCTCTGTGTCAGGAACCTGGGTCAAAATCCAAATAATTTAACAAAAGATGAACCTAGCACCCCATCACTCAGAAAATTACATGGGTTTTAGGAGCTCTATGCTAATAACAAGAGGCAGGGACCAAATATATATTTTTTATGATGTCATAAAGAGATGGACAAATGTTAAACTTTTTTTTTTTTTTTCTCAGATGGAGTCTCACTCTGTCGCCCAGGCTGGAGTGCAGCGGCACGATCTCGGGTCACTGCAAGCTCCACCTCCCGGGTTCATGCCATTCTCCTGCCTCAGCCTCCCGAGTAGCTGGGACTACAGGCACCCACTACCACGCCCGGCTAATTTTTTGTATTTTTAGTAGAGATGGGGTTTCACTGTGTTAGCCAGGATGGTCTCGATCTCCTGACCTCGTGATCTGCCCGCCTCGGCCTCCCAAAGTGCTGGGATTACAGGCGTGAGCCACCACGCCCAGCCAACAATTCTTAAAGATATTTTGTTATTTATTTACTTACTTATTTTGAGATGGAGTCTTGCTGTGTCACCCAGGCTGGAGTGCAGTAGCACGATCTTCGCTCACTGCAACCTCCGCCTCTCGGGTTCAAGCAATTATCCTGCCTCAGCCTCCTGAGTAGCTGGGATTACAGGTGTGTACCACCATGCCCGTCTAATTTTTGTATTTTTAGTAGAGACAGGGTTTCATCATGTTGGCCAGGCTGGTGTCAAACTCCTGACTTCAAATGATCCACCCGCCTCAACCTCCCAAAGTGCAGGGATTACAGGCGTGAGCCACCGTGCCCAGCTCTTAAAGATATTTTAAATAAAAATCATCTAATATAGGAAACACACAATTTAACACAGACACCGACAAATATTAAACAATCCTTGAAGGTCTTTCAAAGAAAAATCATCTAATACAGGGAAGACACACGGAGGAATATGCAGTAACAGAAAAACTCAGAAGGCTAAAATAATAATCATCGTACATAAAGGACTGGAGGCCCGGGGGCAGTGGCTCATGCCTGAAATCCCAGCACTTTGGGAGGCCCAGGCAGGTTGATCACTTGAGGTCAGGAGTTCAAGAACAACCTGGCCAACATGGTGAAACCCCATCTATACTAATAATACAAAAATTAGGTGGGTGTGGTAGCATACACCTGTAATCCCAGCTACTTGGGAGGCTGAGGCAGGAGAATCACTTGAATCTCGGAGGCAGAGGTTACAGTGAGCCAAGATCGCCCCACTGCACTCTAGCCTGGGTGACACAGTGAGACTTCTCAAAAAAAATAAAATAAACAAATTGGGTTTTAGGTGTTTGTACTGTTCAAAAAAGGATGCCATTTACTACAGGTTATTAGTTTAATGCAGACAGCAAATAAAACTAATACGAGAATAATGAATAGTTCCTACACTAAATTTTTGAAGAAGAGGAAATGTATAATTCTTTTAATCTAGAATGAATGTCTGGTCAACAAGGCATTGTTCTTTATAAGCCAATCCCACTTGTGAATTACATGCAAAAATTGTAAATAAAACATTAGCAAACTCAGCCCGGCATGGAGGCTCACGCCTGTAAACCCAACACTTTGGGAAGCCGAGTCAGGCAAATTACTTGAAGTCAGGAGTTAGAGACCAGCCTGGCCAAAATGGTGATAACCCATCTCTACTAAAAATACAAAAATTAGCTAGGTGTGGTAGCGCACACCTGTAATCCCAGCTATTCGGGAGGCTGAGGCATGAGAATCGCTTAAACCCAAGAGGCAGAGGTTGCAGTGAGCCGAGACTGCGCCACTGCATTCCAGCCTGGGTAACAGAGTGAGAGGCCACCTCAAAACAAACAAAAAAAAAACCTAAAAAAAAAAAATATATATATATATATATATATATGTGTGTGTGTATATATATATATGTGTGTGTATATATATGTGTATATATGTGTATATATATGTGTATATATATGTGTATATATATGTGTGTATATATGTGTGTATATATATGTGTGTATATATATGTGTGTATATATATGTGTGTGTGTATATATATATATATGCAAACTTAACCTAGAAAAATATTAAAATTATAATACACCTTAATCAAATAGGGGTAACTTAACCTAGGAAAATATTAAAATTATAATACACCTTAATCAAATAGGGGTAACTTAACCTAGGAAAATATTAAAATTATAATACACCTTGATCAAATAGGGTCTTTCTTACTTAAGGTATTAGGAAATCAATAGAGAAAAGCATTATGATGTCAGTGTATGCCAAAATGTCAGTTGATATTGGGAATAAAAATAAGAAATAAAAATTTATAAGCTGGATAGAAGGACCAAGACTATGTTATACTTCATGACGAAATATTAGAAATAGCCGGGCGCAGTGGCTCACACCTGTAATCCCAGCACTTTGGGAGGCCGAGGGAGGTGGATCACCTGAGGTCAGGAGTTCGAGACCAGCCTGGCCAACATGGCAAAACCCCTATCTCTACAAAAAATAAAAAAATTAGCTGGGCGTGGTGGCACACAACTGTAGTCCCAGCTACTCGGGAAGCTGAGGCAGGAGAATCTCTTGAACCTGGGAGGTGGAGGTTGCAGTGAGCCTAGATCACGCCACTACACTCCAGCCTGGGTCACAGAGCAAGACTCCGTCTCAAAAAAATAAAAATAAAAAATAAAAGAAATATTAGAAATATTTCCAGCAAAATCACTAAGGCAAGTATACCTAATGTTTTACTATTTTCCTAGAGGTCAGAACCTAAATGATAAACTTTTAAAAATAAGAAATACAAATATAGATTACAAGGAGATAGAATTGCATCATTTGCAAATAATAGTACACTACTTAAAATAACCAAAATAATAAACTGACAAACCAAAAGTAAGTTCAGCAAGGCAGTCACATATAAAATCAACTAGCTGGGCGCGATGGCTCACGCCTATAATCTCAACACTTTGGGAGGCCGAGGTGGGCAGATCATGAGGTAAGGAGTTCAAGATCAGCCTGGCCAACATGTTGAAACCTTGTCTCTACTAAAAATATAAAAATTAGCCAGGCGTGGTGGTGCATGCCTGTAGTCCCAGCTACTCAGGAGGCTGAGGCAGAAGAATCGCGTGAACCCAGAAGACGGAGGTTGCAGTGAGCCAAGATTATGCCACTGCACTCCAGCCTGGGCGACAGCGTGAGGCTCCATCTCAAAAGAAAAAAAAAGATCAACTTATACAAACTTATAAAAACAAACTTACTTTCCTACAAACTGGCAATAAATAATTAGAAACTACAATGGAAACGTTAATTTCATCAGCAATCACCAGAAAAACATAAATGAATAAGCTTAGCAAAATATAAGCAAGTCATAAGGCCAGGGGCGGTGGCTCATGCCTGTAATCCTAGCACTTTGGGAGGTTGAGGTGGGCGGATTACCTGAGGTTGGGAGTTCAAGACCAGCCTGGCCAACATGGTGAAACCTCGTCTCTACTAAAAATACAAAAAGTTAGCCAGGTGCAGTGGCGCACGCCGTAATCCCAGCTACTCTGGAGGCTGAGGAAGGAGAATCACTTGAACCTGGGAAGTGGAGGTTGCAGTGAGCCAAGATCGCGCCACTGCACGCCAGCCTGGGATACAGAGACAGACTTCGTCTCAAACACAAAACAAACAAACAAAAAATATATAAGCAAGTCATATATGTGTGTTAAATAATTTTGCTGAGAGATGTAAAGTATATCCAAATAAATGGAGATAAATGCCATGTTCCTGGAGGGAAATCTCAATATTATAAGTATGTTGATGCGCTGCAAATTTACAAAGTCAATGTAAATTCAATCAAAATACCAAGAGGACTTCTTAGGAAACTTGATAAGTAAATATAAAATTCATCTGCAAAGACAACATGCAGATTTTGTGGCAACATGAAGAGGTTGGCAATTCCCCTCCACAAATATTAAGGATAAAACTGGATAAAATTATCAAAAACAACCATTTCAGGGGACTGGAAATTAACCAAAAGAAGACTACAAAGAGAAAAGTCTTTAGTCTAGAAAAGCTGCTAAAGTTCTAAGTATGAAAGGTAAGAAGCTGTGCCCTTTGGCCTGAGGTTGCTCCTAAAACCCCCTCCCAGCTAGGATGATGAGCCTGGCAATTTTACTGGCTGAATATCCCTTGTCCAAAATGCTTGGAACTAGAAGTGTTTCAGATTTTGGATTTTTTTCAGATTTTGGAATACTTGCAGAATACACACTGGCTGAGCATCCTTACTCCAAAAATCTGAAATCCAAAATGCTCCAGTGAACACTTCCTTTGAGCATTGTGTTGGTGCTCAAAAGTTACAGATTTTGGAGCATTTCAGATTTTGTATTTTTTGATCATAAATGCTCAACCCATACCAACATGAAACTACCAAAAAGAACCTAGCAGTTTGTTGCTAAAAAGGGTGGGCTCATTTCCGGGTAGGGCAGTGAAAACCTGTAGCTTTGGTGGATAAAAGTGCTAGGCTTGGTTGGGAATAAAGAGGAAAACTTTGCAGTTGGTCTGAGGTTGAGATCCTGGTTAGGATAAGTGCTTAAGCAGTCAGAAATTTAATGGAAAGATTATGTAAATGAGAGAGCTACGGATGCATGGTGACCCTATCACCTTTTAAGGCTCTCATGAAACAATGGATAGAAGACAATGAAATGACATGTTCAAAGTACCGACAGAAAAAAACAGAACTATAAACCACAAATTCTATATTTAGCAAAACTATTCTTCACAAGTGAAAGCAAAATACCTTCCAAGACAAATGAAAACTGAGGGAGTATGTTGCTAATAGACCTGCTCTATAAGATACACTTTTTTAAAAAAGGGCAGGGCATGGGGAGGTGGCTCGCACCTGCAATCCCAGGTGTGATTTGGGATGCCAAGCCAGGAGGATCGCTTGAAGCCAGGAGTTCAAGACCATCCTGAGTAACACAGAGTATCCCCATCTTTACTAGATAGGCATGGTGGCATGTGCGTGTAGTCCCAGCTACTCAGGAGGCTGGGGCAGGAAGACTGCTTGAGACCAGGAGTTTGAAGTTACAGTGAGCTATGAATGTACCACTGCACTCCAACCTGTACAATAGAGTGAGACCTTATCTCTTAAAAGAGAAAGGAAAGGAAAATGATACCAGATATTAACTAATTCATACCTACAAGAAAGAATGAAGAGTATGAGAAATGGTAAATATGTGGGTAAGCGTAAAAGACAATACAAACAGATTTTTTTAAATGTGTTCTATACGTTTTAATAGAACATGATTCAGCCTTAAAAAGAAAGGAAATTCTGACACAAGCTAAAACAAGGATGAACCTTGAAGACAAAGTATGCTAAAAAATATAAAACAGTCACAAAAGGACAAATATTGTATAATTCCACTTACATGAAGTAAAATAAGTCATTTTTTTTTACATAAAATAGTCAAATTCATAGAAAAAGTAGAATGGTGGCTGTCAAGGGCTGGGAGGATAGAGAATAGAGAGTTATTGTTTAATGGGTACAGAGTTTTAATTGTGCAAGACGAAATGAGTTCTGGAGGGCCAGGCATGGTGGCTCACGCCTGTAATCCCCGAACTTTGGGAGGCCAAGGCGGGTGGATCACCTGAGGTCAGGAGTTAAAGACCAGCCTGGCCAACATGGTGAAACCCCGTCTCTACTAAAAATACAAAAAATTAGCCGGGCGTGGTGGCATACGCCTGTAATCCCAGCTACTCAGGAGGCTGAGGCAGGAGAATCACTTGAACCCAGGAGGCAGAGGTTGCAGTGAGCTGAGATCACGCCACTGTACTCCAGCCTGGGCAACAGAATGAAACTCCAACTCAAAAAAAAAATAAAAAAAGAAAAGAGTTCTGGAGATGGTTAGTAGTGATGGTTGTCAATATACTTAATGCCATGGAACTGTATACTTAAAGATGGTAAGTTGTATGTTAGTTATATTTTACCACAATTAGAAAATAAACTTTTTAAAAAGACAATATATATATTTTTGCTTTCTACTCTTTATTTATTTAAAAACCTAAGATTTTTTAAGAAATAATGATTTTTAATGTAAAATCATAACACATATTGTTGGGATTACAACAAATATATATGCATATACACATACCTGAATGGCACTAATAGACCAAAGGGAGGAGTAGAAAATGGAGTTATATTAGAACAAGTTGCTATATTTTACTGGAACTGAGTCAGTATTAACCTGAAGTAGATTGTGATCAGTTAAAGGAACACAGAACAACCACTGAAAAATAAATTTTAAAAATATTTAAAAATATATGTAAGTATGTATGTATGTATGCGTGTGTGTGTGTATATATATATATACATATATACACATATATGTGCATGTTTTTTATCTATATAGGTAAAAAATTAACATAGGAACATCAGTTTAGGCTTTGACATGTAAAGAGCTTAGAAGCTGTCACTCCTAGCTGGGTGTGGCAGCTCACACCTATAAATCCCAGCACTTCAGGAGGCTGAGGCAGGTGGATCATTTAAGGTCAGGAATTTGAGATCCATCTGGCCAACATGGTGAAAACCTGTCTCTACTGAAAAAAAAAAAAAATTAAAAAATTACCTGGGCATCATGGCAGGTGCCTGTAACCCCAGCACTGGAGGACTGACTGCCCCAGCTCCCACGGAGGAGCTCAGTCAGTTAAGACTCTAGCAGTGCAAAAGCAGGAGCTAGATGAAGACTGAAGGGGCCCAGGGCCTTCCTCACTGCCCCTGTCCAGGAACATCATCATTACTACTGAGGATCCCTGAGTAACTCTGGACACAACGGGTACACAAATTCAGTTTCTTTTTGATTCAGGGGCAAGTTACTCTGTACTTACTGCTTATGCAGGAAAGCCCTCCACTAGGACAATGACTGTTATAGGAAATGAAGGAAAAAATAAAGTCAGGCATTTCACCCCTCCTTTAACCTGCCAATTTGAAAAACAAATTTTCCAGCAGGGGTTTCTAATAGTACCAAGCTGCCCAGTCCCCTTGTTCAGAAGAGATTTTATGGTTAAAATAGGGGCACTGCTACAATTTAAGCACTGCCTGGGTGCTAATGGTCAGTGATGCAGACAACGTTCTGGACCATGTCAACAAACAGGTCAACCTGCTAGCATGGTATACTGGGAGGCCTGGAAGGGCTAGAATGGCAGTGCCAGTCAACATACAGCTTAAAGGACCCAGTCATTATCCCAACCAAAAACAACATCCAATTAAGCTGAAGTCAAACACACTGCTATCCCAATCCCAGCCCAATCTTGGGCCCTTGAGAAAATATCCCCACCCAAATCTCCAACTATAAGAGAAGAACTCCCTTCAATTTAATGAACCTGCATGACATATTTGACTTCAAAATTACGGAAATGACAAAGGTTACAATGACAAGACAAGCAGTAAACCTTCTCCAGTCCTATCAAATCAACCTTTCTGGAGTTGCATCCCCTCAAAAACCCATTAGGGGCCCAATATCGATGCACACAGAACTAAAATTCCAGGCACCACTTTGTATTAAAAGAAGCCAAAATTTTGGTCAAGCCCTGAGTACCTTGAAATATCTTCAATGCAACCACCCCCTAGAGATTAACCTCTTATCTGATCATGTAAGCTATGCAGTTACCCAGACTGCATCATTTAGAAAACTTGTATGGTTTTCATGAAAACCACCCTTAGTTAAGGCTACTTTAAAGGATATGCAGTCTAAGTACTGTCAGGGTAGGCCCACTAGCTGTATGCACATTTTCCCCTGGGAAGGCTATACTAATCCTGAGACATCTAGTTGCCTTTTAGTCCCCCAGTACAAAAATAGCTCTGGGTGTTGGCTGGTAGACACTAAGCATAACCACCTAAACTGAGAGAACAAAACCACTTGGGCAACTCAGAGTACTTCCCAAGTGTTGCGGGAAGTCAGGGACCCCGAATGGAGGGACTGGCTGGAGCCGCAGCAGAGGAACATAAATTGGGAGATTTCATTTTAATATGGACATTTATCAGTTCCCAAATAATACTTTTATAATTTATGCCTGTCTTTACTTTAATCTCTTAATCCTGTTATCTTCGTAAGCTGAGGATGTATGTCACCTCAGGACCACTGTGATAATTGTGTTAACTGTACAAACTGATTGTAAAACATGTGTGTTTCAACAATATGAAATCAGTGCACCTTGAAAAAGAACGGAATAATAGCAATTTTTAAGGAACAAGGGAAGACAACCATAAGGTCTGACTGTCTGTGGGGTCAGGCAAAAAGAGTCACATTTTTCTTCTTGCAGAGAGCCTATAAATGGACATGCAAGTAGGAGACATATCGCTAAATTCTTTTCCTAGCAAGGAATATTAATATTAATACCCTGGGAAAGGAATGTGTTCCTAGGCGGAGGTCTATAAATGGCCGCTCTGGGCTCTGGGAATGTCTGTCTTGTGCAGTTGAGATAAGGACTGAGATACGCCCTGGTCTCCTGCAGAACCCTCAGGCTTACTAGGGTGGGGGAAAAACTCCACCCTCGTAAATTTGTGGTCAGACCAGTTCTCTACTCTTGAATCCTGTGTTCTGTTGTTTAAGATGTTTATCAAGATAATATGTGCACTGCTGAACATAGACCCTTATCAGTAGTTCTGCTTTTGCCCTTTGCCTTGTGATCTTTGTTGGACCCTTGTCAGTAGTTCTGCTTTTGCCCTTTGTCCTGTTCCCTCAGAAGTATGTGATCTTTGTTACACCCTTATTAGTAGTTCTGCTTGTTGCCCTTTGAAGCATATGATCTTTGTATCTACTCCCTGTTCTTACACCCCCTTTTTGAAACCCTTAATAAAAACTTGCTGGTTTGAGGCTCAAGCAGGCATCACAGTCCTACCGATATGTGATGTCACCCCCGATGGCCCAGCTGTAAAATTCCTCTCTTTATACTGTCTCTCTTTATTTCTCAGCTGGCCAACACTTATGGAAAACAGAAAGAACCTACGTTGAAATACTGGGGGTGGGATCCCCCGATACCCAAGGCCCCCTCCAGCCTTTAACCAGGGCCACTGTAGCAGGGACCTTAACCACTTGGGAAAAGGAAAACAACAAGCTAACCTACATGTTCATCATAGAGAACAATTTTTGTCTTGAAAAACAAGCAGCCTTTTTCCTGTGTGGGACTAGTTCCTACTTACGTTTACTAGCCAAATGGACTGGAACCAATTGTTTGCACTGCACACTTGTTTACTTAGCCCCCGAGATCAATATAGCTCCCAATAACCAGTCTCTCATTATACCTTTAACTGCAACCATCAGGCACAAACAAGCCACCCAACTCATACCCTTTCAGGTAGGGTTACGAATAACTGCAGGCGTAGAAACAGGAAATAGTGGGCTTCCAACTTCTCTATCCTATTACCAACGCTTGTCCAAGGAGCTTTCAGACGGCTTGGAAGACACTGCCCAAAGTATGCCTTACAAAATCAGGTAGACTCTTTGGCAGTCACTTTACAAAACAGAAGAGGACTGATAAGGTTGGGCTCTGTATCCCCACCCAAATCTCACCTTGGATTGTAATAATCCCCACGTGTCAAGGGTGGGACCAGGTGGAGGTAAATGAATCATGGGGGCAGTTTCCCCCATGATGTTCTCATGATAATGAGTGAGTCTCACAAGATCTAATGGTTTTATAAGGTTTTATGGCATTTCTCCTGCTGGTGCTCATTCTCTCTCCTGCCACCCTGTTAAGAGGTGTCTTCTGCCATGATTGGTAGTTTCCTGAGGCCTCCTTAGCCATGTGGAACTGTGACTCAATGAAAACTCTTTCCTTTATAAATTACCCGATCTTGGGTATGTCTTCATTAGCAGTGTGAGAATGGACTAATACAGGGACTGGATCTCCTAACTGCTGAAAAAAGTGGCTTATATCTTTTCCTAGAGGGAAAGCACTGTTTTCATATCAACCAATCAGGATTAGTAAGGGATGCTGCCCCAAAATTAGCTGACCAGGCCTCTAAAATATGACAACAGTTGTCCAAGTCATGGGGCCCCTGGTCAAGGATACTAAGCTGGGTTTCATGGCTCCTTCCCCTAGCCAGCACATTATTAATACTTGTACTTACATTGATTTTTGGACCATTTTTGTTTAATCATGTAACCAGATTTATTTCTTCTCACCTAGAGAACATTAAGCTTCAAATGATCATGCAGCAGGGCTTCTAGCCAGTTCCAGGTGACGATGCCAGCCCTAGCCTTCAAGAAGTCACCCTCTCTCCACTAGACAGAGCAGGGCAAGAGTTCTGTGGTCCCCAATATGTAGGGACTCTGCCCTAATCCGCACGAAGCAATTACAGAAGACAGACCATCAGTTCCTCTGCCTCCCATAAAGATTTATTGGGATCAAGTCTCTCAGGGGGAAATGAGGCAGAACAGGGTCTGGAACAGGGAGCCTGAGGCCAACTAGCAGCTGGCTTATTGGAATTGGGCCAAAAGAAAAACCCCACCTCTCCATGCCAAGGGCCAGAGGCCCCTCCCTCTACAAAACCCCCTCTCTCCCCTATTGCTAATTAGTTATGGGCCAAGACTTCACTTCAGCCTCTGATTAGTAATGGGCCAAGCCTTCATTTGTGTAGGGTGCAACCAATGGGAAGCCTCTAAACGGTACCCAGGAATGCTACCAAATTCTTTTAGTTTAGTACAAACCTGAAAGAACATTGCAATCGGGGCTCTTGAGCTGCTTGCTTGAGCCCGCTTACACTCTGTGGAGTGTACTTTTGCTTCAGTAAACCTGCACTTTCGTTGTTTTGTTCTTTTATTGCTTTGTTTGTGCATTTTGTTCAATTCTTTGTTTAATGTGCCAAGAACTGGGACAACTCATAGTCAAGACTTTCCATCTGGCAACAACAGAAGTGTTGGCAAAGATGTAAAAAAATTAGAATCATCATACATTGTTGGTGGGAATGAAAAATAGTATAGCCATTGTGGAAAACTATTTGATGATTCCCCAAAAAGCTAAACAGAATTACAAATGACCCAGCAATTCTATTCCTAAGTATATACATGAAAGAATTAAAAACAGACACTCAAGGCCAGGCGTGGTGGCTCATGCATGCAATCTCAGCACTTTGGGAGGCCGAGGTGGGTGGATCACCTGAGGTCAAGAGTTAGAGACCAGCCTGGCTAACATGGCAAAACCCCCTCTCTACCAAAAAATACAAAAAACGAGCTGGGCATGGTGGTGCTTGCCTGTAATCCCAGCTACTCAGGAGGCTGAGGCAGGAGAATCACTTGAACCCAGGAAGGAGAGGTTGCAGTGAGCTGAGATCATGCCATTGCACTCCAGCCTGGGCAACAGAGCAAGATTCCATCTCAAAAACAAAACAAAACAAAACAAAAAACAGATACTTAAATACTAGAAGTACATGAATGGTCATAGTAGTACTATTTGTAATAGCCAAAAGGTGAAGAGAACCTAAATTTTCACCAACTGATGAATGGATAAACAAAATGTGGTGCCATCCATACTATGCCATATTATTCATCCATAAAAAGGAATGAAAAACTTATACATGCTACAATATGTATAAGCCCTATATACATTTTGCTAAGTGAAAGAAAGCCTCCCATAAAGACTGATGGGCATCACATCCAAAGACCACACACTGTATGTGAAATGTCTAGAGTAAACAAATCTATAGAAACAGACAGTAGATTCTGTCTCCTCCAGGGGCTATGGTGGAGGGAAAAGTAGGGAGTGACTGCTAATGAAAATAGGGCTCTTTATTTATTTATTTATTTATTTATTTTGAGACAGAGTTTTGCTCTGTCGCTTAGGCTGTAGTGCAGTGGCTCAATCTCGGCTCAATGCAACCTCTGCCTCCCAGGTTCAAGCAATTCTCCTGCCTCAGCCTTCCGAGTAGCTGGGACTACAGATGCACACCACCACACCTGGCTAATTTTTGTATTTTTAATAGTGATGGGAATTCACCATATTGGCCAGGCTGGTCTCAAACTCTTGACCTTGTGATCCGCCCCCCTCAGCCTCCCAAAGTGCTGGGATTACAGGTGTGAGCCACCATGCCTGGCCAATAGGTCTCTTTTTATGGTTATGAAATGTTCCAGAATTACATAGTGGTGATGGCTGAATAACTTGTATACATACTAAGAAACAATGAATTCTACACTTTAAAAGAATGAACTTTATGGTATATAAATTATATCTCAATAAAGCTGGGGTTTGTTTTTGTTTTTGAAATGGAGTCTCACTCTGTCGCCCAGGCTGGAATACAGTGGCACAATCTTGGCCCACTGCAACCTCTGTCTTCTGGGTTCAAGTGATTCTCCTGCCTCAGCCTCCGGAGTAGCTGGGATTACAAGTGCACACCACCACACACGGCTAATTTTTTGTATTTTTAGTAGAGATGGGCCAGGCTGGTCTCGGATTCCTGACCTCAAGCAGTCCACCTGCTCAGCCTCCCAAAGTGCTGGGATTACAGGCATGAGCCATCACACCCAGCCAATAAAGCTTTTTTTTTTTTTTTTTTTTTTTTTTTTTTTTTTTTTTAAGAGAAAGCATAGGCCAAATAATGGGAGAAGAGAGGAAAAGAGCAAGCAAGAATAAATGTTATACTTACCAATATCTCAAAGATTTAGGAAAAAAGGGAATGAGTGGGTTTCAGAGATATAGTTCAAATTAAAATGGCACTGAAGAGCACATCAAAACCACAATGAGATACCACTTCACACCCATTAGGATGGCTACTCTCAAAAAACCAAAATAACAAGTGTTAGTGAGAATGGGAGAAACCGGAATCCTTGCACACTGTGATGAAAACATAAAATGGTCCAAATGCCATGGAATACAGTATGGCAATTCCTCAAAAAATTAAAAATAGGCCGGGCGCGGTGGCTCATGCCTGTAATCCCAGCACTTTGGGAGGCTGAGACAGGTGAATCACGAGGTCAGGAGATCGAGATCATCCTGGCTAACATGGTGAAACCCTGTCTCTACTAAAAATACAAAAAAAATTAGCCAGGCGTGGTGGTGAGCACCTGTAGTCCCAGCTACTGGGGAGGCTGAGGCAGGAGAATGGCTTGAACCTGGGAGGCGGAGCTTGCAGTGAGCCGAGATCGCACCACTGCACTCCAGCCTGGGCAACAGAGTGAGACTCCGTCTCAGGAAAAAAAAAAAAAAAAACAGAATTACCATTACCATATGATCTGCTATATCCACTTCTAGATACAAGCCCAAAACAATTGAAAGCAAGATTTCAAAGGGATATTTTTATACTCGTGTATATTAGTCAGGGTTCTTTAGAGAGACATAACTAATAGTATAGATAGATATATATAAAGGGGAGTTTATTAAGTATTAACTCACACAATCACAAGGTATCACAATAGGCCTGCTGCAAGCTGTGAAGCAAGGAGAACCAGTCCAAGTTCCAAAACTGAAGAACTTGAAGTCCCATGTTCGAGGGCAGGAAACACCCAGCACGAGCAAAAGATGTGGGCTGGGAGGCTAGGCCAGTCTCGTCTTTTCATATTTTTCTGCCTGCTTTATATACTAGCCATGCTGGCAGCCAATTCAATGGTGACCACCCAGATTAAGGGTGGGTCTGCCTTTCCCAGCCCACTGACTCAAATGTTAATTTCCTTTGGCAACACCCTCGCAGACACACCCAGGATCAATACTTTGCATCCTTCAATCCAATCAGTTGACAGTCAGTATTAACCATCACATCATGTTCACAGCAGCATTATTCACACTAGCCAAAGGGTGGAAGCAACCCAAGTGTCCAATAACACATAAATGAATAAACACTGGCCAAAGACATCAGAACAGGAGATACCAAAAGTACAGAGCTCTAAGAACGGGTTTATGGAGAAAATACAAAACATGTAAAAGTGGAAGACAGGCTGCTGAGAAAGTCTGACATACACTGAAGAGGAATGAGATGAAAGAAAAAAGAAAGATGGGAGGATTTTTTAAATGCCAGAATCATGAAAGTTATTATCATAAAATAGAATAAAATGGCAAAGCAGTTCATTGTGGTCTTTTTGTACATTAGTTATACATGCCCATGATAAACAGGGCATGTGTATTCACTGATAAGGATCATTTTGAGGTCCTATGGCATTAAATAGACAACTAGCAACTCATACCTTATCTGCATGATCAGGCAAACCTCTTTCAAAGATTAAGGTTTCTGGGTTTCAACTTTAAGAAACCACAGCAGAAAAATGCACTTCAAATTTGACCTATCCAGTTTAAAAGATCAGTTGGAAAAAAGAGTTCCATTGAAGCGGAAAACAAAACAAAAACAAGAAATGATAAAAAAAAAATTCAAGATAGAAGTGGGTAATGTACAGAACAAAATAGTGAAGAAGACAGGAAAAGTAGGCGGCCAAGCGCAGTGGCTCACGCCTGTAATCCCAGCACTTTGGGAGGCTGAGGCAGGCAAATCACGAGGTCAGGAGATCGAGACCATCCTGGCTAACACGGTGAAACCCCATCTCTACCAAAAAATACAAAAAATTAGATGGGCGTGGTGGCGGGCACCTGTAGTCGCAGCTACTCGGGAAACTTAGGCAGGAGAATGGCATGAACCCAGGAGGCAGAGCTTGCAGTGAGCCAAGACTGCGCCACTGCACTCCAGCCTGGACAACAGAGCGAGACTCCATCTCAAAAAAAAAAAAAAAAAAAAGGAGGCAGTAGCAGCCAAGATTAGCGAAGAGGAAAAAAAAGCACATTTTGGAAGACTCTGGCATCAGTATTCCAAGCTTCCACTAATCACCTCATATCCCTATACCTCCACCTCAATCTCTCCCTTTCTGTTGATGACCCTGCCTCGTTTTTCTGTTTGTTTGGTTGGTTGGTTGGTTGGTTTTTTTTTTTTTTGGAGATGAAGTTTCACTCTTTGTTACCCAGGCGGGAGTGCAATGGCATGATCTCAGCTCACTGCAACCTCCGCTTCCTGGGTTCCAGCCATTCTCCTGCCTCAACCTCCAGAGTAGCTAAGATTACAGGTGCCTGCCACCACGCCCAGCTAATTTTTGTATTTTTAGTAGAGACAGGTTTTCACCATATTGACCAGGCTGATCTTGAACTCCTGACTTCAGGTGATCCACCTGCCTCGGCCTTCCAAAGTGCTGGGATTACAGGCATGAGCCACCATGCCCAGATGACCCTGCTTCTTTACCAAGCAAAGTAAAAATTCCTTTAATTATCTGTGTGCTTAAGAATTTTCCAGATCCTTAGATATCTATTCTTTGTTCCTGCTGGGCAACATAGTTAGACCCCATCTCTACAAAAACTACAAAAAAATTAGCAGGGCATGGTGGCATACACCTATAGTCCTAGCTACTTGGGAAGCTGAGGTGGGAGGATCTCTCGAACCTGCGAGGTCAATGTAGTGAGCTGTAATTGCGCCATTTTGCATTCCAGCCTGGGCAACAGACCCTGTCTCAAAAAAAAAAAAAAGTTTATTTTTAATTAGCAAAAATGATAAAATATCCCCATATCACCAGAAAACTGCTCCATCATCAATCTTCTCTCTTCATTGTATTATTAACCTTTCCCTCTTTACTGGCTTCCTTCCTCAACATACGTATGCTCAAAATTTCTCCATCTTAACAAAAACTCTGCCTCCTCCCTGCAACCTCTTCAAACTCATTAGCCAGAACGAGCTTTCTAAAAGACAAACTCAACTAATTTTACACTTTTGTGGAAAATCCCTTAAGAGAGTTCTCTATAACCTTTGAGAAATTTTTCAAAATCTTAGTGAGAGGTGAAGCCAGCTGGACTTCCTGGGTCAAGTGGGGACTTGGAGAACTTTTCCTGTCTAGCTAAAGGATTGTAAACGCACCAATCAGCACTCTGTAAAAATGCACCAATCAGCGCTCTGTGTCTAGCTAAAGGATTGTAAACATACCAATCAGCACTCTGCAAAAATGCACCAATCAGTGCTCTGTGTCTAGCTAAAGGATTGTAAACGCGCCAATCAGCATTCTGGAAAAATGCACCAATCAGTGCTCTGTGTTTAGCTTAACAATTGTAAACGCACCAATCAGCACTCTGTAAAATGGACCAATCAGCACTCTGTAAAATGGACCAATCCGCAGGACATAGACGGGGACAAATAAGGGAATAAAAGCTGGCCACCCCAGCCAGCAGCGGCAACTGGCTCGGGTCCCCTTCCATGCTGTGGAAGCTTTGTTCTTTCACTCTTCATAATAAATCTTGCTGCTGCTCACTCTTCGGGTCCGCGCCACCTTTAAGAGCTGTAACAGTCACCGTGAGGGTCTGCAGCTTAATTCCTGAACTCAGCAAGACCACGAACCTACCGAGAGGAACAAACAACTCCGGACGCGCCACCATTAAGAGCTGTAACACACCATGAGGTATGCGGCTTCATTCTTGAAGTCAGTGAGACCAAGAACCCACCAGAGGGAATAAATTCTGGACACATTAGGATATTATTTCTGACCAATAAATGTTCCTTTGTGTGCCTTATTTTCATATACCTATCCAAATTGTAATGTCATTTTCCCATTATACCTCTCTTTCCAAGAAGTATAGTCTATTTTTCCAATCTTTAAATCTGGACTTGGCTATGTGACTTGATTTGGCTAATGGTACATTAGCAAATATGACACAGCAGGGGCTTTAAAAGCACTTCTGCAATGAGGTTTTCCCTCTCTTTCTACCAGGAACCTAATTGTGATTCATTTTCCAGGATTCAGCACAAACAATACTGCTTTGGATTCCTTGACCATACTCTCAGGATGAAATACCAATCTTTTTCTTTTTCTTTTTTTTTTTTTGCTGCGTAAGAGCGCAGCAAGAAGGCCCCAAAAACAGAGAGTCTAACCAGAAAGAGACCCTACCAGACCTTGATCTATGAGAAAATAAATTTCTGTTAAACAACATTTTGTTAGGGTAGCCCAAGCAGAATAATACCTGTACACACAGTATAGCGAATTGACACAGCCCCACTAATTATTTTTTAAAAGGTTACTACTTAAAAACCACTTATTTTTGGTAGATGTCCTTCAAGTTTTAAATTAATTTATGCTAACTTAAGCTAACAATATGTTGCCTTTTGTTACTATTTGCTCTTACTGGATCGTCAAAGTTCTTTTCTTAACAGTGTCTAGGATTGCACAGAGTGAAAATAGCTTCAGCTAATTCACCAAAGTAGACGTTTGCTACGGGTACATAGTACTAGAGTAATGCATTCATATTAATTTATTCAAATGTTTGAGCACCAATTTACTTGATAATGGCTATAATAAGGATGAAACAAAACATACTCCCAACTCTCAACACTACTGAGGGAAGAGAGAAAACAGACAATTTGTGGAACAGGATACTGGCTTTTGTAGGTTCTGTCCTCTTAATATAACCCGTATCTTCATATTTTATATATTAATTCCTCTAAATCACCTTTCCCAATACCAAAGTCAAGCTTTCATACATTAGTAAATTGAAAACTTCAGCTGGGTGCGGCAGCTCACACCTGTAATCCCAGCACTTCGGGAAGCCAAGACGGGCAGATCACGAGGTTAGGAGAGCGAGACCATCCTGGCTAACACAGTGAAACCCTGTCTCTACTAAAAATACAAAAAAATTAGCCAGGCGTAGTGGCAGGCACCTGTAGTCCCACCTATTCGGGAGGCTGAGGCAGAAGAATGGTGTGAACCCAGGATGCAGAGCTTGCAGTGAGCTGAGATTGCGCCGCTGCACTCCAGCCTGGGCGACTAAGCAAGACTCCATCTCAAAAAAAAAAAACAAAAAACAAACCTTCAAGGTACAACATAGTGGTGCTTCCTGCTGGTCAACTGTTCTGTTTTGACATACCAATACAGCAGTAAGTGTGCCATTATTTAACTGTTTTATTATTTCAGTGAATATCTATTGCCACAAATTCTATATTAATTTTTTTAAATTCATGAAAATGATAAAATCAAAAGGCCAACAGCTGTGATCATACAATAAAGAAAAGATGGAATTAAGTATGCTAAAGGCAGGAATCTTTGACCAGCTGACCAGTTCAATTATTAAGTAAAAGACAAAGTATATGGCTCAGTGCGGTGACTCATGCCTGTAATCCCAACACTTTGGGAGGCCAAGGCGGGTGAATCACTTGAGGTCAGGAGCTCGACACCAACCTGGCCAATATGGTGAAGCCCTGTCTCTACTAAAAATATAAAAAATTAGCCAGGCGTGGTGGTGCACATCTGTAGTCCCAGCTACTCAGGAGACTGAGGCATGAGAATCTCTTGAACCCGAGTGGCAGAGGTTGCAGTGAGCTGAGATCTCACCACTGCACTCCAGCCTGGGCAACAGAGCCAGACACCATTTCAAAAAAAAAAAAAAAAAAAGTTAAGTGGAAGTGATAAAAAAAGTGGACAAATCTTTGGAATCATAAACTGTTGATAATAGAAAACAATGCTAGTTATGAAAATCCAAAAAACAGTCATGGGTCCACAAAAATCTTAAATAATGCGTATTATAGATTCCTTAGTCACTGCAACATGTCAAAATGGGAATTCGAGATAAGAAGTTTTTTTTTTTTTTTTGAGACGGCGTCTCACTCTGTCGCCCAGGCTGGAGTGCAGTGGCGCAATCTCCGCTCACTGCAACCTCCACCTCCTGGGTTCAAGCGATTTTCCTGCCTCAGCCTACCGAGTAGCTGGGATTACAGGTGCCCACCACCACGCGCGGCTGATTTTTGTATTTTTAGTAGAGACAGGGTTTCACTGTGTTGGCCAGGCTGGTGTTGAACTACTGACCTCATGATCCGCCCGCCTCGGCCTCCCAAAAGTGCTGGGATTACAGGCATGAGCCACTGCGCTTGGCCTGAGATAAGAATTTTTTTGTAAAAATTACTCAAAATAGGTATATCTATTGAGACAGAAAATAGATAAGCAGTTGCCTAGGACTAAGTGTTAGGGGAAATGGGGAGTGGCTGCTTAGGGGTATTGGTGCTTTTTGGGGGGTGATGAAAATGTTCTAAAATTGACTGTAGTAATGGTTACACAACTCTGAATGTACTAAAAACTATTAAATTGTACACTTTAAATGGGTAAATTATATGGAATGTGAATTGTTTCTCAAAAAATATATTGCTGATTAAAACTTTCACTTAAAACCCTTAACAGTTAAAAAAATTTGACAATAATGTTTTAAATATGCTTCTGTTTTAAAATCATATCTGTTATTCCAAGATTTAAAAAGAAGTAAAACACTTGCACCATTGAAACTTTATTTTTACTCCCCTAGAAATAGAACCCTCTCCCTGAAACAACTGTCCAACTTTTACACCTTTGACTTTCATTCAGATTTCAAGAACAAACATGGGCCGGGCACGGTGGCTCACGCCTCTAATCCCAGCACTTTGGGAGGCCGAGACGGGCAGATCACGAGGTCAGGAGATCGAGACCATCCCGGCTAACACGGTGAAACCCTGTCTCTACTAAAAACACAAAAAAATTAGCCTGGCATGGTGGCAGGTGCCTGTAGTCCCAGCTACTCAGGAGGCTGAGGCAGGAGAATGGCATGAACCCGGGAAGTGGAGCTTGCAGTGAGCCCAGATCACCGCACTGCACTCCAGCCTGGGCGACAGAGTGAGACTCGGTCTCAAGAAAAAAAAAAACACACATATAAATAGCAGACAGTCTATATAACATAGTAAGTCCTCTAAACAAAGTATGAAGAAAATGCTGAGGAAGTCCAGCAGCTGGAACTCACTATCCTCACATAGTCTACTATTATCTCTTTAGAGGACTTGCCTGTCATTCTGCAACTTACCTTCATCATGACACTTAGTGCGTATTTTTGATCTTCCCGCTTTGCTGCAGCTTTTGCTTCTGTAGCTTCTTTTGCTCTCTCTTGTGCTTGTAAAATAGATTTTTCTCTAATTCTTTGCATCATCTCTTTGTCAACTAAAATGTACAGAATATTGCTAAATTAGAATTATGACAAATTTGCTTTACTTATGAGAAAACTACTTAAATAAACTGACCCAGGATGAGATTTCTTTGTACCCAACTTCACAAGGAACATGGAAAATATTTTTCAATATTAAACTGGCCAAGAAGCTAATGTTAAAAGGTAAGCAACTAACTGTAATAATAATGAATGACTAGAGAATGAAGGGGGTGGAGAGGAAGAAGAAGGGATGGGGGAGGGACACAAGAGGCAGGTAATGAGAGGGAGAGGGTGAGGATGAAGGTGCAAGGACACATTTATCCTCTTCCTTCTCTGTTAAGAAACTAGGGCTATTTGCTTATAAACCTGATCACAATAAATCATCATTTATATAATATATAAAATATAAAATATATATTATATATTATAGATAATATTATATTATTATATAATAATATTATATACTATTATTATATAATAGTATATAATATAATATATAATATTATATTATAATAGTATATAATAATATAATAGGTAAGGTTTTATATATATTTATATATAATATTTTATATAATATATATAAATATATATAAAACCTTACCATCCACAGCTTGTTTGTTTGTTTTCCTGAGACTAGGTCTCTCTCTGTCACCCAGGCTGCTGGAGTGCAGTTAAGCAATCACAGCTTAATGTAACCTTAACCTCCTGGGCTCAAGCAATCCTCCTACCTCAGCTTCCTGAGTAGCTGGGACTACAGGTGTGTGCCAACACATCTGGCTAATTTTTAAATTTTATGTAGAGACGAGGTCTCACTATATTGCCCAGGCTGGTCTTGAACTCCTGGGCTCAAGCGATGCTCCTACCTTGGCCTCCCAAAGTGCTGGAATTACAGGCATGAGCCACCACGCAAGATCTCACAGTTATCTTTATATTTGATGTGGCCCAAAGTTTCACAAACTGAAGACTACGATCAATGGGTAAATTATCTTACAAAGGGAAGGATCAGAGCCTAAGGGAAAAGATCTAGCCTTTAAGCAGAAAAAAAAAAACAGAAGGGGAGAGGAGAAAACTTGAGGGGAAGACAAAGTAGGGGAGAGTAGATAAGGGGTGGGTAGAGGGATGAATCATACCCCAGGCATGGGTTCTTAACCTTTTTTGTGCAGCAGACACCTTGGCAGAGTAGTGAATCCTTATAAATCCTTTCACAATGTTTTAAAATGTATGAAATAAAATATACAGGTCTACAAAGAAACTCAGTTATATCAAAACACTTATAAAACATTAAGAAATAAAATTGTGATATACTTTTTTTTTTTGAGCCGGAGTCTTGCTCTGTTGCCAGGCTGGAGTGCTGTGGTCCGATCTCAGCTCACTGCAACCCCCGCCTCCTGGGTTCAAGCAATTCTCCTGCCTCAGCCTCCCAAGTAGCCGGGACTACGGGTGGGCATCACCACGCCCACCTAATTTTTATATTTTTAGTACAGACGGGGTTTCACCATGTTGGCCAGGATGGTCTTGATCTCCTGACCTTGTGATCCGCCTGCCTTGGCCTCCGAAAGTGCTGGGATTACAGGCGTGAGCCACTGCGGCCGGCCAAATTGTGATACACGATTATGTGCTTCTTTATTAATGCATTAATATATAGCAACAAGTCTAATATTGTAATTTCAAAGTAGAGTATAAAAGAGGTATCTCTGATATAAACATACTTTTGTTTTTGTTGATACTACTTGCTATGGTCTGAATGTTTATGTCTCCCTAAAACTCTTATGTTAAAATCCCAACCCTTAATGTGATATTATTTGTAGGTGAGGCCTTTTGGGAGGTAGTGTCCTTATACAGAAGGCCCCAGAAAGCAGACTTGCCCCTTCCACCATGTGAGGACACAGTACGGTGCCATCTACAGGAAAGTGAGCCCTCACCGCATACCAAACCTGCCAGGACCTTGATCTGGACTTCCCAGCCTACAGGAGTGTGAGAAATAAAGTTCTGTTGTTTATAAGCTTCTCAGTTGATGGTATTTTGTTATAGTACCCAAACAGACTAAGATACTACTATTATTTGTTGCCTATCTTCACAATTGAAGAGAATGTTAAATATCAGTTAGAGGTAAGTAAAAGTGTGTAATTTTATTCATCTAAGATCTTGGCTAAGAACTAGTACTGAAGTTAGGTCTGAAGCCTCTTCTCATCTCTCCTGCTGTTTAAAAACAGGAAGGTAGACAGCTAAGTCAGCTTCAGCGGCAGAAATAACTGGAAGAACATTAACTTCCCAAATGAAATACTCCATGTCTAATAGAAATAAAGAGTGTATCAAGAAGGAATTTCCAGAAAAAATGAGAAAAATTAGAGTCTGAATAATGAGGTAGACAGTCTACGTGTATAAACTGGAGTTCCACAATATTTTATGTGAAAAAAAAATGGTTAAATAAATAATCCCACTGAATTGCAAGTAAAATTGAGTTTGATTTCTTTTTTTTGAGAGAGGATCACATACTGTCACCCAGGTTGGAGTGCAGCATTATGAGCATGGCTTACTGCAGCCTCCACCTCTTGGGCTCAAGTGATCCTCCAACCTCAGCCTCCCAAGTAGCTGGGACTATAAGGCACATGCCACTATGCCCGGCTAATTTTTTTTTTTTAATAGAGGTGAAGTCTCCCTATGTTGCCCAGGCTGGTCTTGAATTCCTGGGCTCAAATGATCCTCCCACCTTGGCCTCCTAAAGTGCTGAGATTACTTTAGGCATGAGCCACTGTAACCTGGCAAAACTGAGTTTGATTTCTTTCTTGTTTTTTTTTTTTTTTGAGACTGAGTTTCGCTCTTGTTGCCCAGGCTGAAGTGCAATGGCACAATCTCGGCTCACCGCAACCTCCGCCTCCCGGGTTAAAGTGATTCTCCTGCCTCAGCCTCCTGAGTAGCTGGGATTGCAGGTATGCGCCACCATGCCCGGCTAATTTTGTATTTTTAGTAGAGACGGGGTTTCTCCATGTTGGTTAGGCTGGTCTCGGACTCCCAACCTCAGATGATCAGCCCGCCTCGGCCTACCAAAGTGCTGGGATTACAGGCGTGAGCCAGCGCGCCCGGCAAACTGAGTTTGATTTCTAAAGGAATCTCAAACCTGGTTTCTGAAGTAGAATCAATGTTCATTGTGATATAAATTAGTGGTTTTTTATTTTTTATTTTTTTTGAGATGGAGTCTCGCTCTGTTGCGCAGGCTGGAGTGCAGTGGTGAGATCTCAGCTCGCTGCAACCTCCACCACCCGGGTTCAAGCGATTCTCCTGCATCAGCCTCCCAAGTAGCTGGGACTACAGGCATCCACTACCACGCCTGACGAAGTTTTGTATTTTTAGTAGAGACAGGGTTTCACCATGTTGGCCAGGCTGGTCTCAAACTCCTGACCTCAGGTGATTCACCTGCCTCGGCCTCCCAAAGTGATGGGATTACAAGCATGAGCCACTGCGCTGAGCTTAAGTCAGTTTTAAGACTGTTTTGATTTGTCTAAATCAGAGGTTGGCAAACTATGACCCATGGGCCAAATCCGACCTGCCACCTGTTTCCCCTCAGCCCACAAGCCTTGAATAATTTTCACATTTTTAAATGGATGAAAAAAATCAAAATAACATTTTGTGGCATTTAAAAATTAGATGAAATTCAAATTTCATTGTCCATAAATATGAATCACCTGTGGCTACTTTTGTGCTACAATGGCAGAGCTGAATAGATATGACAGAGACCATATGGCCTGTGAAGTCTAAAATACTATCTGGTCCTTTACAGAAAAAGTTAATTTACAAGAGTCAAAATAAATGTATATTCAATTTTAGGTAAGAAGTCAAAACAGACTGGGTGTGTTATGACATCCTCAGGCCCCAACATAGACTTACTGAGTCACAGAGGAAGTAAGAGGTCAAAAAACAGGAACCTGATTCTTTAAAACTCTTTAGGTAGTCTGGGGCTCACTAAAAAAAAAAAAAAAAAAAAAAAAAAAATTAAGTAAACTGGCTATGTTAACCTACCTTAACCAGTATTCTCTGAGCTGAATACCCGATCTTAGAAAAATAAATTCTACCTTGGTCTTGGAAATTAAAAATTAAATTCCACTACAAGATACCAAGAAAGCCTTGATAGAAAGAATGGTTGCAACTCTTTCTACCCTCAAGAGTCCATATTCAAGGCTTAATGCCAAAGGCTTAAAAGAAATTCCAGGCAGTAGTCTGGGTGCAGTGGCTCACGCCTGAAATCCCAGCATTTGGGAGGCCAAAGTGGGAGGATCACTTGAGCCTAGGAGTTCAAGACCTATCGGCAACATAGTGAGACCCTGTCTCTACAAAAATAAAAACAATTACCTAGGTGTTTTGGTGCACACCTGTAGTCCCTGCTACTCAGGAGGTCGAGGCAGGAGAATTGCTGGAACCTAGGAGTTTGAGGTTACAATGAGCTATGGTAACACCAACCGCACTCCAGCGTTGGTGATAGGGTGAGATTCTATCTCTTAAAAAACTCAAAATTAAAAAAAATAAATTCCAGGCAGTAAACATAAAGTATTAGAAAACATGACAACTAAAGAAGGAAGGAGGAAAACAGGGCTAAAGCAGTAGAGGACAATTACTGACTATGGAAGCTGATCTTGGTATTAGTACAAAGCACTGACAACTAGCTTAATAAGACTACAGAGAACTAGCTTTAAAACTGGGGATGTCAGGCCGGTCGCGGTGGCTCATGGCTGTAATCCCGGCACTTCGGGAGGCCGAGGTGGGTGGATCACTTGAGGTCAGGAGTTTGAGACCAGCCTGGCCAACATATAGTGAAACCTTGTCTCTACTAAAAAATACAAAAATTAGCTGGACGTGGTGGCACGTGCCTGTAGTCCCAGCTACTTGGGAGGCTGAGGCTGAAGAATCACTTAAACCTAGGGAGGCGGAGGTTGCAGTGAGCCGAGATCGCATCACTGCACTCCAGCCTGGGTGACTGAGCGAGACTCTGTCTTTCCAAACAAACAAACAACAACTGGGGATTTCAACTTTGGCTGCACATTATAATTCCTGGAAAGCTTTTCAAAACTTCCAACACCTGAGTCCTATTCCCAGAAACTGATTTCACTGGATTAGAGTATTATTTTAAAATTCCATAGCTGATTCAAATATGTAGCCAGGGTTGGGAACATCTGCTCTAGAGTGAAACTGCTAAGGCTCCAGTTCCAGGCTGCCAGTCACTAGCTGTGTGATTTTGCCAATTACTCAAACTTTCCATATGTCAGTAGCCTCCCCTGTAAAAAAAGGGTAATAATACCTAAGTGACAGGTTGTTTCATGGAATTACAGGCATGTTAACACCTAACGCAAAGTTAAGTACTCAATAAAGGCTATATATCAGGAGGGCTTACCCTTAAGACATGAGCCCACATCTTCTGCTTAATGTGCTCTAACTTTGACTAATTCAGCCTTTAGGTTTATTTAAATGGCTGCTGAAGCACTGTATCACTTAAATTAGGCTCATAAGCCTTTTTTTTTTTCTAAAACAGCAATTGAATGAGTTCAGGATATGCCACCCCAAAATATGCTGCTTTCATATAGCGATCATTTTGAGTTAAAGGCACTTGAAAGCAGCAAATGCAGGGAGAGGTTTTGCCAGAACTCCTCTTATCTGCCTAAAAACAGATTTTCCAAAGGAACCCAAGTGTCATAAATCTCTTCCCCTGGAGTTTCATTAACCAGGGAATATTGACTATTCTCCCAGAAAAGGAAACTACAAGTCAACACCACACTCTGACAAATTTTGTTAAAAGCTATCACATTTCCTATCTATTCTTCTAAGGATCCATTCATCTTTCCTAAAAATCATTTCCTGTTCTAAGCGGCCTACATCCCCTCCCCCTTCCCCTATTAAGACAGTCCCTAAACTCTCAAATCTCACCGCTTGGGGGGTATTCACTTTTTTCCCTGTGATGCCCTCAAGCACTAATATTAAAAATTCATAAATTTCTATACATTTTCTTCTGTCAATCCTTCTGTTGTTAGTTTATTTTATAGACCCAGCTATTGAACCTTGGAGAGTAAAAGGAAAGTCTATCTGGCCGGGTGTGGTGGCTCGCACCCGTAATCCCAGCACTTTGGGAGGTCAAGGCGGGTGGATCACTTAATGACCGGTCAGGAGTGTGAGACCAGCCTGGCCAACATGGCAAAACGCTCTACCAAAAATACAAAAAAATTTAGCCGGGCGTGGTGGCGGACACCTATAATCCCAGCTACTTGAGAGGCTGAGGTAGGAGAATCCCTTGAACCCCGGGGGCAGAGGTTGCAGTAAGCCGAGATCATGTCACTGCACTCCAGCCTGGGCGACAGAGCAAGACTCTTAAAAAAAAAAAATCTATCTTCCCCTACACAATATAGGTGCTTCAAAATAAAATTTTTTAAAAGGTCTGAAACCGAAAAGGTACAACCAGATGAACATCTTTTAATAAAGAACTTACCACCCGTCACAGAAAGGGTCTCCCACATGGCCGCTTCTTTTTTATACAAGGTGAAGACAATGGTGTCATTCCCAATCTTTGCTTTGCTGCTCTCATCGTCTATGGGAGCATAAAGAAATGCCTCAAATAAAAATGGAGGAAAGTTGACCTATGCAGAAGGGTGAAAACAGAAACTAAGTTAGTTACACAAATTAAGCACGCGTATTAAGAAACACGTGAAAAAGGTAAAATAACTTTCTAAAAGGCCCACTAAATTTATGCCAGGTAGTGAAAGATTAGCAAGGCATATGAGGAAGCCCTGGATAAAAGTAGTCTCTGATCTGATTATCTGTCTACAGATGGTGTGTTACCTGTATGGGATTCATTTTTTTAATAGGATTAAAAATTTAGGACGTTTATCGGCAAAGATGAGCCTGTTGCTCGTGCCCAGCTGCGCTCTTGCAGAAGCTTCGGACCACACCCCCGGAGACCGGCAGGCAAGACTTGCATTCTTACCTTCAGATAGTTTTCCGTGCAGAACACGTCCGTGTCTCTGACGCACACGCCTTTGAGGGGCAGAGACAGAAAGACCGCAGTCTTCGTCTGCTGCCAGCTGTAATCGCTAACCTGAAGAGGCATTCCGGTAGCAACGGGAGCGGATAGCGCGGCTGGTTGCTTCTTGCGCCTGCTTGGTTGCTAGGGAAGCTGGGGTTACCATGCGCCAGCCCTTCCGGGTCAGGCCGGCCGGGAGCCCGGCGTTCCCAGCGTGCTCCGGCGCCAGCACCTCGCGGACTCCATGCGTGACTATCCAGGCGCCCAGACCAGAGAGTGATGCCGATTCTTGGGGTTACCTTACGATCTGAGCGAATGTTCAAAGAAGTAGACCCATACCCTCTGCTTGAGAAAAAAAAAAAAAAAAAAAAGCACTCTGTGGGTCGGGCGCGCTAGCTCACGCCTGTAATCCCAGAACTTTGGGAGGCCGAGGCGGGCGGATCACCTGAGGTTGGGAGTTCGAGACCAGCCTGACCAACATGGAGAAACCCCGCCTCTACTAAAAATACAAAATTAGCCGGGCGTGGTGGTGCATGCCTGTAATCTCAGCTACTCTGGAGGCTGAGGCTGAGGCAGCAGAATCGCTTGAACCCGGGAGGCAGGGGTCGCAGTGAGCCGAAATCGCGCCATTGCACTCCAGCCTGGGAAACAAGAGCGAAACTCCGTCTCAAAAAAAAAAAAAGAAAAGAAAAAGAAAGAAAGAAAAAAAAAAGCACTTCCAGCCTCATAATGCGATAATGCTAAGGAGGGCTGTGGGCATAAGGCTCGGGAAAGCAGCCCATGAGGAGCAGGTGCAATGCCCATACGCCCTTGGTGCAGTGTCTTGTCTGTTTATTCTGACTGAGGCTATTAAGAGTTAGCGCTAGTTGTTCTGTTTTGCAAATTTCTTGGTCATACAGACTGTGAACAAATGTGAACCTGAAAGAGCCAATCCGTCAACATCCAGAGCGGCTAACTGGGTCTAAATTTAAAATAGAGACACGTGGTCATTTACCTACTAGAGGTCACACATGGACTCTGCGTTCTCCCCAAACCCACACCTCTGTTGAGTGTTGGGTCTTATAGGGCTCACCTGCCTCAACCAATCAGGGCTCAGCTGTATCAACCAATCAGAACTAAGTGCGGTTCAATCGTTCATTTGTATAAACGAACCTGACTGGGAACCTGGGCAGAAACTTTTGCTGTAAAACCCAAACCCTCCCTTTGTTCTCTGGAATGCACCTTTGTTTTACACCTAAGGCTTCAACTCCCCAGTTTGCAAACTGTTCCCTGAAATAGTTGCTTTGCTCCAAATTCCTCTTCAGAAAACGTTTGTTCACAACACATACCAGGAGCTTGTCTAAAACTATTGTATCCTGCAAATCCTATTAACTGTAAGGCCGCCAAAAGCACCTATATAGGTTTTGCTCCAAAGTTTGAAAACTGAAGAGAAACCACCCTATGATTCATCTGACAAATGCTTTGCTACAAATCTGGAATAGGGTAAATTGGAATTACACTGACACATTCCGTAAGTGCTTAAGTAGAATCTGAACTTAAGTGCTGCAGAGAAGCTTGAAGATTATGTAGTCTTATTCTACATATTTAAGGAATCTGAAACCTATACACAAACCATTTTCGTATAGATTAGTAGCAGACCATCATTAAAATCCTGATCTCTTAACTCCCATTACAATGTTTTTGCTCCAGGCTGCTTTCTGCACACCCAGTTTATAAATTGCTGGGATAAAACAGTGAATGTATACAATATTTAGATACACACAAATTACTTCCCACTTGGGGCTTTTGATTTTCAACTTTTTTTTAACTTTAAAAAAAAAACAGAGAAACTGGGCCTTTGTGGAAATCTGAAAGTATAATACAAAACCCTGGATTTTAAACTTATTTACTTTTGGAAGCCTTTCTTTCACACAAATTTCAATGCTCCTTAGAAATTCATTGAGGAAAGATAAGGAGCAACAGACTTGAAGAGAAAACCATCTTTTCCCCAAAATAGGGCACACTCACTACCTTAGCAGTTCATCATCTCAAGCTTCTGGTAACTTTGAATACTGGGAGTCATCCTAGACTTGCTTTCCCTTGTCCCTTTAAGCTGAGAAACCCACGAATCCCATGGACTTTTTTAAAAAAATTTCTTTTGTCATTTTCCCCCTTTTGTTCTATTCCTACTTTTACCATATTGTTTCCAAATCTTACATTATCTTCTAAAGACAGGGTTTATGCATTTCTTTCATATAAAATGTTAAAGTCCAGGTTCTCCCACTATACAGAAATATGTGAGATTTTATATGCATGAAAGATAATAATGTAAAGGATACTTTGTGCTGTCGGGGATTTCAGGAAAATCTGTTAGCAATCACTTTGCTAAACACATACACACCTCTGCAGTGAAATTATTCTCCTGACTACCATGATCCTACTAAACTTTTAGACTCTGAATGAATTATACCTTAAAAACTTGTCAAGTTGGCCGGGCGTGGTGGCTCATGCCTGTAATCCCACCACTTTGGAAGGCCGAGGTGGGCGGATCACCTGAGGTTGGGAGTTCAAGACCAGCCTGACGAACATAGAGAAAGCTCGTTTCTACTAAAAATACAAAATTAGCCAGGCATGGTGGCACATGTCTGTAATCCCAGCTACTCGGGAGGCTGAGGCAGGAGAATTGCTTGAACCCAGGAGGCAGAGGTTGCCATGAGCTGAGAGCGTGCCATTGCACTCCAGCCTGAGCAACAAGAGTGAAACTGAGTCTCAAAAAAAAAAAAAAAAAAAAATGGAAACTTAAAAAAAAAAATACCTGTATGATATTGGAGTAAGAAAGGATTTTTTTGTTGTTGTTTTTTCAGACGGAGTCTCACTCTCTCACCAGGCTGGAGTGCAGTGGCGCGATCTCGGCTCACTGCAACCTCCACCTCCGGGGTTCAAGCGATTCTCCTGCCTCAGCCTCCTGAGTAGCTGGCACTATGGGCATGCACCACGAAGCCCAGCTAATTTTTGTATTTTTAGTAGGGACGGGGTTTCACCGTATTGGCCAAGATGGTCTCGATCTCCTGACCTCATGATCCGCCCACCTCGGCCTCCCAAAGTGCTGGGATTACAGGCGTGAGCCACTGTGCCTGGCAGGATTTCTTTCTTTCTTTTTTTTTTTTTTTTTGAGGCGGAGTCTCGCTCTTTCGCCCAGGCTGGAGTGCAGTGGCGCTATCTCGGCTCACTGCAAGCTCCGCCTCCTGGGTTCACGCCATTCTCCTGCCTCAGCCTCCCTAGTAGCTGGGACTACAGGTGCCCGCCACCGCATCCGGCTGATTTTTTGCATTTTTAGTAGAGACGGGGTTTCACCGTGTTAGCCAGGATGGTCTCGATCTCCTGACCTCGTGATCAACCCACCTCGGCCTCCCAAAGTGCCGGGATTACAGGTGTAAGCCACCACGCCGGGCCAGGATTTCTTAAATATAACATAAAAAGCACTCATTAGGGAGGCAAAAAATTAAAAACGAACTAAAATTAAGAAGTGTTGCTCACTGGGCTGGGCGGGGTGGCTCACGCCTGTAATCCCAGCACTTTGGGAGGCCGAGGCAGGTGGATCACTTGAGGTTAAGAGTTTGAGACCAGCCTGGCCAACATGGTGAAACCCCATCTCTATTAAAAATACAAAAATTAGCCAGAGGTGGTGGTGTGTGCCTGTAATCCCAGCTACTCAGGAGGCTGAGGCAGGAGAATCGCTTGAACCTGGGAGGCGGAAGTTGCATTGAGCCGAGATCATGCCACTGCACTCCAGCCTAGGCAACAAGAGCAAGACTCTGTCTCAAAAGAAAAAAAAAAAAGAAGTGGTGCTCACCAAAAGGCATAATAAAGACTATTAAGATCTCTGAAATATGCCCTTCAGCCAGAGACACAGGGACATTTGTGGTTGAACAAGATGAATTCATTGCTCACTGAGCAAGAGAGAACACACATCATGGGGTGTCTCAGTAAGACAGTTTTAGAATTTAGGAGAAGGAGGTTTGGTTCCCCCATAGTATGAGTGTTTTCAGAAAGCAAGGGTAATTCTATTGATGGAGTTCAGGACATGCTACCCCAAATTATGACACTTTAATTAAATTTTTAAAATTTAAATATTTAAAAATTAATTATTTTAAGCTGAAGGAATTGCAGCTCATATCCTTTGTGTTATTAGGTTTTCCTATGACTTTTCATTCTCTATCAAACCTAGCATAAAAATGCTCAGGTTTAATCATTTCTTCCATTCTTCATGTCCTTAAGAAGGTTCCCATGTTATGTAAACTTATATTGAATAAATTTGTATGTTTTTTGTATTGTTAATCTCTCTTTTCTTACAAAGGCCCCAGTCAAGAACTTAGAAGGGTAGAAGGAGAAGATATTTTTTCTTCCCTACGTGATGACTGGTAAAAAAAAGTAGCTGTTGCTCTTGAATTACTGGGTAAATATCGAAATGAAGGCAGAAATAAAGATGTTATTTGAAACCAGTAAGAACAAAGACACAACGTACCAGAATCTCTGGGGCACATTTAAAGCAGTGTGTAGAGGGAAATTTATAGCACTAAATGCCCACAAAAGAAAGCAGGAAAGATCTAAAATCGACACCCTAACATCACAATTAAAAGAACTAGAGAAGCAAGAGCAAACACATTCAAAAGCTAGCAGAAGGCAAGAAATAACTAAGATCAGAAAAGAACTGAAGGAGATAGAGACACAAAAAACCATTCAAAAAAATCAGTGAATCCAGCAGCTGGTTTTTTGAAAAGATCAACAAAATTGATAGACCTGTAGCAAGACTAATAAAGAAGAAAAGAGAAAAGAATCAAATAGACGCAATAAAAAATGATAAACGGGATATCACCACCGATACCACAGAAATACAAACTACCATCAGAGAATACTATAAACACCTCTACGCAAATAAACTAGAAAATCTAGAAGAAATGCATAAATTCCTCGACACATACACCCTCCCAAAACTAAACCAGGAAGAATTTGAATCTCTGAACAGACCAATAACAGGCTCTGCAATTGAAGCAATAATTAATAACCTACCAACCAAAAAAAGTCCAGGACCAGACGGATTCAGAGCCGAATTCTACTGGAGGTACAAGGAGGAGCTGGTACCATTCCTTCTGAAACTATTCCAATCAATCGGAAAAGAGGGAATCCTCCCCAACTCATTTTATGAGCCAGCATCATCCTGATACCAAAGCCTGGCAGAAACACAACAAAAAAAGATAATTTTAGGCCAATATCCCTAAGGAACATCGATGCAAAAATCCTCAATAAAATACTGGCAAACCGAATCCAGCAGCACCTCAGAAAGCTTATCCACCACGATCAAGTCGGCTCCATCCCTGGGATGTAAGGCTGGTTCAATATACGCAAATCAATAAACATAATCCATCACATAAACAGAACCAAAGACAAAAACCACATGATCATCTGAATAGATGCAGAAAAGGCTTTTGACAAAATTCGATAGCCTTTCATGCTAAAAACTCTCAATAAACTAGGTATTGTTGGAACGTATCTCAAAATAATAAGAGCTATTTATGAGGAACCCACAGCCAATATCAAACTGAATGGGCAAAAACTGGAAGCATTCCCTTTGAAAACCGGCACAAGACAAGGATGCCCTCTCTCACCACTCCAATTCAATATAGTAATGGAAGTTCTGGCCAGGGCAATCAGGCAAGAGAAAGCAATATAGGGTATTCAAGTAGGAAGAGAGGAAGTCAAATTGTCTCTGTTTGCAGACGACATGATTGTCTATTTAGAAAACCGCATAGCCTCAGCCCAAAATCTCCTTAAGCTGATAAGCAACTTCAGCAAAGTCTCAGGATACAAAATCAATGTGCAAAAATCACAAGCGTTCCTATACACCATTAACAGACAGAGAACCAAATCATGAGTGAACTCCCATTCACAATTGCTACAAAGAGAATAAAATACCTAGGAATCCAACTTACAAGGGATGTGAAGGACCTCTTCAAGGAGAACTACAAAACACTGCTCAGTGAAATAAAAGAGGACACAAACAAATGGAAGACCATTCCATGCTCATGGATAGGAAAAATCAATATTGCGAAAATGGTCCTACTGCCCAAGGTAATTTATAGATTCAATGCTATCCCCAACAAGCTACCAATGACTTTCTTCACAGAATTGGAAAAAACTACTTTAAGGTTCATATGGAACCAAAAAAGAACCCGCATAGCCAAGACAATCCTAAACAAAAAGATCAAAGCTGGAGGCATTACACTACCTGACTTCAAACTATACTACAAGGCTACAGTAACCAAAACAGCATGGCACTGGTACCAAAAGAGATATATAGACCAATGGAACAGAACAGAGGCCTCAGAAATAACACTATACATCTACAACCATCTGATCTTTCACAAACCTGATAAAAACAAGCAATGGGGAAATGATTCCCTATTTAATAAATGTGCTGGGAAAACTGTCTAGCCATATGTAGAAAGCTGAAACTGGATCCCTTCCTTACACCTTATACAAAAATTAACTCAAGATGGATTAAAGACTTAAATGTAAGACCTAAAACCATAAAAACCCTAGAAGAAAACTTAGGCAATACCATTTAGGACATAGGCATGGGCAAAAACTTCATGACTAAAGCACCAAAAGCAATGGCAACAAAAGCCAAAATTGACAAATGGGATCTAATTAAACTAAAGAGCTTCTGCACAGCAAAAGAAACTATCATCAGAGTGAACAGGCAACCTACAGAATGGGAGAAAATTTTTGCAATCTATCCATCTGACAAAGGGCTAATATCCAGAATCTACAAAGAACTTAAACAAATTTACAAGAAAAAAACAACCCCATCAAAAAGTGAGCAAAGGATATGAACAGACACTTCTCAAAAGAAGACATTTATGCATCCAACAGACATATGAAAAAATGCTTGTCATCACTGGTCATCAAAGAAATGCAAATCAAAACCACAGTGAGATACCATCTCACACCAGTCAGAATGGTGATCATTAAAACGTCAAGAAACAATAGATGCTGGAGAGGATGTGGAGAAATAGGAACACTTTTACACTTTTGGTGGGAGTGTAAATTAGTTCAACCATTATGGAAGACAGTGTGAAGATTCCTGAAGGATCTAGAACTAGAAATACCATTTGACCCAGCAATCCCATTACTGGGTATATATAAAAGATTATAAATCATGCTACTATAAAGACACATGCACACGTATGTTTACTGAGGCACTATTCACAATAGCAAAGACTTGGAACCAACCCAAATGTCCATCAATAATAGACTGGATAAAGAAAATGTGGCACATATACACCATGGAATACTATGCAGCCATAAAAAAGGAGGAGTTCACGTCCTTTGCAGGGACATGGATGAATCTGGAAACCATCACTCTCAGCAAAATAGCACAAGGGCAGAAAACCAAACACCACGTGTTCTCACTCGTAAGTGGGAGTTGAAAAATGAGAACACATGGACACAGGGAGGGGAACATTACACACTGGGGCCTGTTGAGAGGTGGGGGGGCTGGGGGAGGGATAGCGTTAGGAGAAATACCTAATGTAAGTGACAAGTTGATGGGTGCAGCAAACCAACATGGCACATGTATACCTATGTAACAAACCTGCACGTTGTGCACATGTACCTTAGAACTTAGAGTATAATAATAAAAAAAGTAGCTGTTGTACATTTTATCCAGAAAGGGGGTGTCTGTTATCTTATGGGTGACACAAAGACCTTGTTTTTGCCTATGCTTAGATAATGCTATGAAGTGGCCTTGTCTCATTTTATTGTGATCTCAGAGTACTTTTGTCTCAGCTTGGTATTCTATGAGATTTAAATTGTTAATGTTCAACAGAATAATATTATGGCCAAGCTGTGAGTGCCAGGTCAGCTTCTGAATATCAGGGGCTGCTTTTTGCCCTCTTTCTCAATAATAAACAAAGAGAACATATAAACAAAATATATAGAGAAAAAGAAACACAACCCCACAATAAAATGGGCAAATTGGCATAATCTTATTAATGTGAATACCTGCTTATTTTATAACCAGCAATTCCACTCCTATGTATCTATCTTAGAGATTTCTAGCAAGTTCCTAGGTGATGCTGATGCTTTGTGAACCACTGTCCTACAACAGGGTTTTTCAGCCTCCACACTATTAACATTATAGGCTGGATCATTTTGTATAATTTAGGCTGCTCTGTGCATTTTAAGATGTTTAGCAGCATCCACCCTCTTAATTCTAGTAACACTCCTGAGTTCTAATAATAAAAGTGTCTCCAGACATTGCCAAATGTCTTCTGGGTTTCAGGGGTGGGTGGGAATAGCAAAATTTCCCCCATCTGAGAATTACTGCCCTAGAAAAAGTCTTGGTCCTATACACTAGGAAACATTTATAGGTGTTCATAGCAACTTCATAGAAAAAAACCTGAAAATAAGCCAAATGTCTTTCAACAGGTATATACACAAAACAGAATATTATACAACAATAAAAATGAGTGAATGATAGCTATACATTGGATGGATGAGTGAAAAAAGCAAGTCAAATAATATCCTCAAGAAATAATGCTATTTTATACAACTTTTACTTTTTTATTTTTCTTTTTTCTTTTTTTGATGGAGTTTCACTCTTGTCACCCAGGCTGGAGTGCAATGGGGCATCTTGGCTCACTGCAATCTCTGCCTCCCAGGTTCAAGCGATTCTCCTGTCTCAGCCTCCTGAGTAGCTGGGATTACAGGCACCCACCACCAAGCCTGGCTAATTTTTTGTATTTTTATTAGAGGTGGGGTTTCACCATGTTGGCCAGGCTGGTCTCGAACTTCTGACCTCAGGTGATCCGTTCACTTCCATCTCCCAAAGTGCTGGGATTACAGGCATGAGCTACCATGCCTGGCCTTTATAAAACTTTTGAACAACGGAAACTGAATCCACTAGATAAGGATTCCTAGGTATGTGGTAAAACTATACAAACACTTCTCTACTTACAATGTGGTTACCTCCTGATAAACCCATCATAAGTTGAAAATATCCTATGTCAAAAATACATGTAAAACACCTAACCTACCAAACACCATAGCTTAGGCTACCCTACCTTAAACATGCTCAGAACACTTACATTAGCCTACAGTTGGGCAAAGTCATCTAACATAATAAGGTGTAATAAAGTGTCTAATATACCCTGTAATTTATTGAATACTGTATTAAAAATGAAAAACAGAATGGTTGTATGGGTACTCACAGCATGGTTTCTACTGAATGCATATAGCTTTTGCATCACTGTAAAGTTAGGAAATCAAAGAGAAACCATCATAAGTCAGGGGTCGTCTGTAAAGATAGGCACTAGAAAGGAGAGTGGTTAACTCTTATGTGAAGTTCATACAAGTGGGAGCCTTTTTGGTAACCAACAGAACTGATTACCACATAGTCACACTGTATGAATTAAAACGAAGGCCCGGGATGCACATTGTGTCTCACGCCTGTAATCTCAGCACTTTGGGAGTGTCACTTGAGGCCAGGAGTTCAGGTTACAGTGGACTATGATTATGCCACTGCACTCTAGCCTGAGTAACAGGGACTCAAAAATTAAATTAAAACAATAAATAAAATAAATAAATACAAATAAAATTAAATACAGAGGTTCTCAGAATGTGGTCCTCCCCACCACCACCAGCAATATTACCATCATCTGGGGACCTGTTAGAAATGCAAATTCCCAGTCTCCTTCTAGATCTATTGAACCAGAAGTTCTGGAAGTGGGGCACAGCAATCTGTGTTTTATCCAGCCTACCAGATAATTTTGATACACACCAAAGTTTGAGAACCACTAGATTAAGGGATGAGTTTTACTGGGGAAAGGGGAAACTTACAAAACCAAGAGAAAACACAGGTTTCCCCCTTCTCCCATCATCCCAAGGAGCAGCATGCTGGGGCCAGAGTAGTCTGCTGGATCCATGGTGTGGGTTTGCATAATAGGAGAGGAATCCCATCCTCTTGTTGCTCTCCTATTTATAGGGCACACACAAAAAGAATTTTGTCAGTAAGGAAACTACTAGAGCACCAGGCAGTCTGTTTACAGGCATTTATTTGTTTGTTTGTTTGTCTGAGACAGACTCTCACTCTGTCGCCCAGGCTGGAGTGCAGTGGCACGATCTCAGCTCACTGCAAGCTCCACCTCCCGGGTTCACGCCATTCTTCTGCCTCAGCCTCCCCAGTAGCTGGGACTACAGGCGCCCGCCACCATGCCCGGCTAATTTTTTGTATTTTTAGTAGAGACGGGGTTTCACTGTGTTAGCCAGGATGGTCTTAATCTCCTGACCTCGTGATGCGCCCCCCTCGGCCTCCCAAAGTGCTGGGATTACAGACGTGAGCCACTGCGCCCGGCCCGATAGGTATTTTTTGAAAAAGCCCATTATCCAGTATCTGGAGACCTTGGGTCAAACAGAAAGTTGTTGGAACTTGTGTTGGAAGAAACTGTCCATCCCATGAAAAGCTGAGTTCAGGTGTAGCCCCTCCAACTGTGAGCCAGAAGGTCCAGGTCCCACTGGCTGGTTGCCCAGGAAAATCCAGAGAAAACACCCAAGGTCGTTTCTGTTTGATTCTGGTCATTGCATTAAAGCGTGCAATCAGAAAGCATGAAGGAGACTGACAGGTGTATTAGTCTGTTCTCACGCTGCTAATAAAGACATACCCAAGACTGGGTTATAAAGGAAAGAGGTTTAATTGACTCACAATTCTGCAAGGCTGGGGAGGCCTCAGGAATCTTACAATCTTGGTGGAAGGGAAAGCAAACACGTCCTTCTTCACATGACCGCAGCAAGGAGAAGTGCAGAGCAAAGTAGGGGGAAGCCCCTTATAAAATCATCAGATCTCATGAGAACTCACCCACTACCACAAGAGCAGCATGGAGGTAACTGCCCCCATGATTCGGTTATCACCCACTGGGTCCCCACGTTGGGATTATGGGAACTACAATTCAAGATGAGATTTGGGTGGTGACACAGCCAAACCATATCACCAGGTTATTTTTTTCCTCTCTCTGTAATTTTCAGTGATAGATTTATACTTATTCCTTTTATTATTAATAGTTTATGTATGTAAATCCATAAATTATTTTGTTTGTAAAAAATATTACAAGTTTAAAGTAAAAATTTCAAAACAATCTCTATAGTACACAAGCATACTTATTTCCTTATTTCATATCCTGAGGTTCTTAGAGAGTGTAAGCATACATTATGGAGCAAAAATTAAGTATGATTTACTATTCGTAACCTAAAATTAATTACCTATAATTTTATTTACTTTTGATGTGCAAAATTCGAAATTTTGCCATTGGAAAAGGTTGCTTTCTATGTTTTCTTAACACCACTTTGGAACTTTAAAAGGCATTTAAAAAAATCCCTCATTCTAGTAGCAAGATCACTTAGGTCCACCTTAAAGGTTTTTCTTTTCTTTTTTTTTCTCTAGGAATTGAAATTCTCCAAGAACTTTTAGTTCTATTTAGTGGAGAATAGCTTTACAGACCAAACTCTAGGCACTAGGTGTTAAATGCATTAGTTATTTTACTATTTTAAATTTGGGCTTTCGGAAATGATAATGTGATTTAAAATTAAATGAGAATATCTAGGTAGAGGTCATGTAGAATGTGAAGTGACCCTGCATAATTTTCCTTTTCTTTTGGGTCCTAATATCTTAGATATATATTTATAGGGTATGAGCTTGATTGTTTTTCCTATTAGACTTGTTTTGGCACAATACCACTTATTTCATTTTTTTTTTTTCAAAACGGAGTCTCGCTCCATTGCCCAGACTGGAGTGCAGTGGTGTGATCCTGGCTCACTGAAACCTCCACCTCCTGGGTTCAAGTGATTCTCCTGCCTCAGCTTCCCTAGTAACTGGGAGTACAGGCATGCGCCACCATGCCTGGCTAATTTTTTTGTATTTTTAGTAGAGACGGGGTTTCACCATGTTGGCCAGGCTGGTCTTGAATGCCTGACCTCAGGGGATCTACCCACCTCAGCCTCCCAAAGTGCTGGGATTACAGGTGTGAGCCACCACACCTGGCCTAGTTATTTAATTAAAAAAAAAAGTTTTAAGGGACTCTTAAGGAGAACAACTATTATTAAAGTAGAATTTTGTAGGCTTAATTAATCCTTAAAGAGGATTAATAAGGGGAGAATATAAACAAACATGAAGGTTTGTTTTTGTGTCATCCACACATTTTTTAAACATTTTAAAATTGAGTTTAGTTTATAACTGAGTAGAGTTTAAAATGTTAACATTTTGTCATTAGATAAATGCAAATTCCTATTTGTATTTATTATCTATGCCAAAACATTAAACTGTTGAAAAAATGTATTAAAGTATATCAGTATATTTAACCACATTAATTTTGAAATACAATTAATATTATTCATGAAATATTAAACCATTACCCTGTACGTGTAGCGGGACGAACCACAGACAAGAACCCCTCAGACGACACCGAGTTGTGGAAGGAAAGGGCTTTATTCAGCTGGAAGCATCAGCAGACTCACGTTTCCAAAAACCGAGCTCCCCGAGTGAGCAATTCCTGTCCCTTTTAAGGGCTTACAACTCTAACGGGGTCCGCGTGAGAGGGTCGTGATCAATTAAGCAAGCAGTGGGTACGTGACTGGGAGCTGCATGCACCGGTCATCAGAACGGAATAAAACAGGACAGGGATTTTCACAATGTTTTTCCATACAATGTCTGAAATCTATAGATAACACGAGCAGTTAGGTCAGGGGTTGATTCTTAACTACCAGGCCCAGGGCGTGATGCTGGGCTATCTGCCTGTGGATTCCATTTCTGCCTTTTAATTTTTACTTCTTTCTTTGGAGGCAGAAATTGGGCATAAGACAATATGAGGGGTGGTCTCCTCCCTTATTCCCCCACTTTGAGAACCTCAGTCAATTAGTGGGAGTTCTCACTTTCATCCTCACTACCCATGTATTCTTGCAAGACAGATCGATAGTGATTCATATAGTACAGTTGTTCTGAAGCATTTTGGTGAACTAAGGTAGCGATGAAGCTTTTTATCATTTGAAGAAGTACAGGTAGCAAACAAGGGAGCAGTAAGCAGGTTCCTATTACTAATATAACTCCTATTATAAGAGTTTTAAATCCTCCTAACACTGGGAACCATTTTCCAAACATGGCCCCAGGATCAAATCCATGCCACACTTGCATGGGCACATGTGACAGTTTTATCATATCTCTGACTATGTCTTCAACTACTTGCCCTTGATCATCTACGTGTAGACAGCAATTAGTAAGGTTAAATTTCCCACAGACCCCTCCTTCAGCTGCTAGCAAGTAGTCAAGAGCCAATCTATTTTGATAGATAGCATTTCTCATCTGAGTCTCTTGACAGGCCAGAATAGTCAAGGCTCTGTCGGTTTTATTAGTGATTCTTTCTTTCTTTTCTTTTTTTTTTTTTTTTTGAGATGGAGTCTCACTCTGTCGCCCAGGCTGGAGTGCAGTGGCACAATCTCGGCTCGCTGCAAGCTCTGCCTCCCAGGTTCACGCCATTCTCCTGCCTCAGCCTCCCAAGTAGCTGGAACCACAGGCACCCGCCACCACCCCTGGCTAATTTTTTGTATTGTTAGTAGAGACGGGGTTTCACCATGTTAGCCAGGATGGTCTCAATCTCCTGACCTCGTGATCCACCTGCGTTGGCCTCCCAAAGTGCTGGGATTACAGGTGTGAGCCACCGCGCCCAGCCCATATTAGTGATTATTTCTAAGACAGCTTGTAACCATATGATTTGGTTGAGCATGTAAATGGGGGTCTAGTATCCCCATGAACCATCTCGTCCCCAAGTAGCAGGTCCATAATATTGTATGATTCTCTCTGGGGGCCATTCATTATCTTTCCAATTTCCTATAGCTATGCTTCTTTTTTCATGGGAAGCATAGACAGGGAAGCCCAGGAGTTCGCCTGTCTTTATGGACAGTAGGAAGAAAGATGGTTTAATAGTGCCAGTAATACAACTACCTGCCCACTGGCCAGGTAATTTAGCGTAAGCTCTATGCCCACATAGCCAGTATAATCCAGTGGGGGCTGTCCAGTCCTAGTGGGACTCCAGGTGGGTCCACATGGTTTGCAACCTTGGGAATTTACTAAATGGATTCCTTTCTGTGTGATTTGAACTCCACCAAGTGACTGTTTTTGTGGTACCATTATACAGTTTCTGTCCCAGACAACTAAGTTGTCCTAAGGGGTGAGTGAATTATTTTCCTTCTCTAGCTATGCAATATTGTCCAATAATTGAGGCTTCAGGGTCCAGAAATTATCAAGGTGACTCTTTTGAGCTGGGAATTCATTGGGAACTGGGTCTGTAGGTACTAATTCTTGGGCTTCCCATGGCCATTGATCTCCCATCACAGTTCCTCCACATACATAACATGAAGTGACACTGAGAGACTGGGCTACATGCTTGGCTAATTGCAAAAACAAATTTCTTGTTTTTCCTGGAATTTCTGGTACTGGCACATTTAGTTCATCTTAGAAAGTTTGAAACACTGGCTGAGCAGAGCGTTTGTAAACTTCTCCTCGAACTAAGATATTTACTCAAGGATCCAGTCCTGCCCCATCGATTCCTAAGGTCACATGCTCCCCTCTTTTCCAGCAAGGATCAAGGGGATTGGTTGTTGCTAGCTCTAAGGGGTTACATTGTCCCTTAGTACAGGAAGGGCCACTTTTTCCTTTCTGAAGTGGACTGGATCCTTTTCATTTTTTTATCCAAGTGGCCTAAATGACACAAGACCAGTGTTCACATTCATTTCCACACAGTCCTAATTCATGACAAATGTACTTATTTTCAGTCATATCGCCTTTTTCCCAAAAGAGCCACATCCCTTTCCTAATTTACTGCCACTAATGACAGCACAGGCATCAAATTTCAAGATTATGTGTTTGGGCACCCCTTTCTCTTCTGTTCTGGCTATTACTTTACTTGTATCATTTACGCGTCCCCACTAGTCTTCAGCCCTTAATCTTATTTCAAAAACCGTCAGCCACAAACGCCGGCCCATTATCTAAGCCAATTCGTAAGGGCAGTCCAAACCTAGGAATAAGGTCTCAGGGAAGCACACGGGTTACTTCGTAGGCCTTTTCAGTTTCGTGTTGGATAAGCTCAGAGGGGTCATAACACACAGCTGGCCGGTCGTTTCCTAGGCTACATACCTTGTACTGAGTGTCAGTATATAAACATGTTCCTTTTAAAGTTCCTAGGCATTCACAGTAACTATAGAACAGAAAGATTGTTTTAACTTGTTGCCTTACCTCAGTAACCTGATGTATACACTGAGAGCAGTCCTCCATGCGGGGAAAATCAGTGGAAGTTTTTACTATACAAGTCCAAATTATAAGGAAAATGAGTCCCACGATGATTCTCCTCATGCTTCGGCCGTGCGTAGACCAGTCAGCTTCCGGGTGTGACTGGAGCAGGGTTTGTCGGCCTCCTCAGAGTCACTTCGCAGGGGTTGTCCGGGCTCGGTTTTGCCTCCCAGGTTTCAGCGGCTGCCAGTTTCACATGGCTGTGGTGGATCCAGGCTGGGATTCCTTCTACCTTTACAGCCGTGGGGGTGGTCAGGATGACGGTCTGAGGTCCTTTCCACCATGGCCGCAAAGGGGCTACGTTCCAGTCCTTGATCCACACACGATCAACTGGAAAGAAAGGATGAACTGGGGAGAACAAGCTGACAGGACACCTCTCATTTACCCAAGTCGAGATTGTCTGTGTAATTTTTCCCAAAGCCTGTAGCTGTCGCTGTAACTCAATGTCACCTAACTCTCGGGGAGTGCCTGGAAGTCCCCGTAGTATAGTAGGAGGCCTATGATACAGTATTTCATAAGGGGAGTATCCTGTTTTCTTAGAAGGGGTGCATCTAATTTTAAACAATACCATAGGAAGGGCCTGTATCCATTTTAATCCTGTTTCCTGACGTGCTTTCCCTAAACCATTTTTGATAGTCCGATTAATTCGCTCCACCTTTCCGAAACTCTGAGGTCAGTAGGCGGCACGCAGCTTCCAAGTGATTCCTAATGCCTTTGCTGTCTTCCGTACCAAGTCAGCCACAAACGCCGGCCCGTTATCTGAGCTGATTCATAAGGGCAGTCCAAACCTAGGAATAAGGTCTCGGAGAAGCACAAGGGTTACTTCGTAGGCCTTTTCGGTTCGTGTTGGGGAAGACTCCGCCCACCCAGAGTAAGTACACACAAGAACCAGCAAATACTTGTTACCTCTACATTTTGGCATTTCTGTGAATTCCACCTGAAGATCCTCAAAAGGAGCTACTCCGTAAGCTTATAGGCCGGGCAGAACAGTGGGGCCTTGCCTTGCGTTCTGCTGTCTGCAAGTAACGCACCGTTGTGCTACTGCTTTGGCAAGGGCTGGCAAGTGTAGAAGTACCGGCCTAACAACTTTTCAAGTGACTCTTGACCTAGATGAGTGGTTTCATGCATGGCCAGTATGATTGTGGCTCCCAGCAACTGCGGCACAGCTTCCCTCCCATCTGGCAGTCTGATCCATCCTTCTTTTATTACTTGCCCCCTTCTGTGTTGAAACATTCTTTTTCTTCCTTAGAATAGGTAGGTACCAGGTCAGGTGTTTGAGGGAGTAAGGAGGCTGCTACCGATGCCCAGTAAGGGGTAGATGCTGCTTTTTGAGCTTCTGAGTCAGCTCGGGAGTTTCCTAAGGCCACTGAAGTGGAGGTTCGCTGGTGTCCCCTGCAGTGCATGACTGCCACTCTCTGAGGTTTCCACACTGCCTCTAATAATTGTAGAATTTCTTGTTGATATTTTATGTCCTTTCCCCCAGAGTTTAACCGGCCCTTTTCCTTATATAATGCTCCACGCACTTGGAGGGTTAGAAAGGCATATCGAGAGTCAGTGTCGATGTTTACAGTCTTACCTTCACTGAGTTCTAGAGCCCAAGTTAAAGCAGTGAGCTCAGCCTTCTGGGCTGACGTCCCTGTGGCAACAGTTTGGCTTCAATGATAGCATCCAAAGTTACCACCACATATCCTGCATGTCTTTCTCCTTGTGGGTTGATGAAGCTGCTCCCATCCACGTATAACTCCCAGTCTACTGATGCCCATGGCTGGTCCTGAAAGTCAGGTCTGCTAGAACAAACTGAGTCCAACACTTCTACACAGTTATGCTCGACTGGGCTCTCATACTGGGAGCAGGGTGGTGGGATTTAGGGTGTTACAGACTTCAGTGGTTATGTGGGAATTTTCACACAGCCAGCTTTGGTACTTGGTTAATCTAGCGTTTGTTAGCTGATGCTGTCCTTTGGTATTCATCAAAGTTACCACAGCACGGGGGGCCTTTATATTCAGGTTTTGCCCAAGGGTTAGTTTATCTCCTTCTTGTGCTAACAGGGCTGTTGCTGCCAGGGCCCTTAGACATGGGGCCCAGCCTTTAGAAACCCCATCTAGTTGTTTTGAGAGATAGGCTACTGGCCTTGGCCAGGGCCCCACAGTCTGGGTTAAAACTCCAACTGCCATTTTATCTCTTTCTGACACATACAGTGTAAAGGGCTTTGTCAAATCTGGTAGTCCTAGGACTGGGGCCGACATAAGGTTTTCCTTTAACTCACGAAAGGCTTGCTGTTGTAGAGGTCCCCATTCAAAAGACTCCCGGTCGCCCCCCTTTGTAACTCCATACAAAGACTTGACCAGTACAGCAAAGTTTGGAATCCATAATCTGCAAAACCCCACAGCTCCCAGGAATTCCCTTACTTGCCTTCTGGTTTTAGGTTCCTGTAGGCTGCAGATGACCCGCTTTCTTTCTGACCCCAGGCTGCGCTCCCCTTTCCGAATAGCGAATCCCAGGTAGTGTACCTGCTGTCTGCAGATCTGAGCTTTCTTCTTGGACACCTTATACACACAGTTCTCCAGGTGCTGAAGCAGGGCATCCGTCCCCTTCGCACACCCAACTGCCATGGCATGTTCCAGCAGAAGGTCATCCGTGTACAGGAGCAAGACGCAGCCTAGGGCATAAGACAATATGAGGGGTGGGCTCCTCCCTTATACATGTGAATCAAATGTTACACGGTAGTTATAAATTAAGCTAAGAAAGTATTTAATAAAATAAACTCTATTTCCTTACATAGTCTGAATATGCATTCATAATGACCTGGAAGGCCAAATTTACATTTGGAATTCTCAGTCTCCTTGGGGTTTCATGCAGGAACATAGCAGAGCTAACAGCCTGTCATTGGACATAGAGATGTACACTCAAGACTCACAGGCCACCCTCAGAAGGACTAGCCAGAGAAAAGACTCCGGGAAGTAGCCTGGGGCTGTTGGGCAGGGATTCGAGGTAGCCAAACCATGATGTAGAAGGGTGAGCAGGTTGCAGGTGAACAGCTTCCTTACACTTGGAGAAAGTGCAACTGGAAGTGGTTCAGAGAGGCGGCCTTTAAACCAGGGGGCTCAGGATCTAAGGTCAGGAATGTTGGGAATGTTAACATCTTTCCAGGGTAAAATCCTTTTTTTTTTTTTTAATTCCTTAGCATCAAAATTTGGTCCTCTAATCAAGTGTTTGTAACTGGACAAATTGGGTTAGTATGCCTAGTCTACTTTTCTTTTTTTTTTTTTTAATTATCGTTATTTTTTTTTTTAGTGACAGGGTCCCACTCTGTCACCCAGGCAGGAATCCAGTGGCACTGTCATCATAGCTCACTGCAACCTGGGCAGAAGCCTCCCTCCCACCTCAGCCTCCCAAAGTGCTGGAATTTCAGGCGTGCACCACTACACTCAGCCAATTCTACTTTTATTAGCTGTATGACCCTGAGTAAGGTTCTCCCCCCAAGCCTCAGTTTCCTTATCTGTAAAATGCAAGCAATAATATCTATATGTAGGGTATTGAAAGGATTAATTATGATTTTGTGTAAAGCCCTCATATTATCAATACTTTATTCAGACATTTGAGCAGATCTATCGTTTTCTTCTTGGACTTTACCAGAAGCATTTTTTTTTTTAACTTTTCTGTAGAGACAGGGTCTTTATATTTTTCCCAGGCTGGTTTTGAACTCTTGGCTTTAAGCAATCTTCCCACTTCAGCCTCCCAATGTGTTGGAATTACAAGCACGAGCCACCATGCCCAGCCACAGTCATTTTTCTGATTCACATCCTGACAGACATGAAATGGTTTTTTCTATCTGAGTGAGAACAAAACTGAAGCTTTTAATATTCACGAACTGAATGCTTTTGAATTTGATAATTATACCTATGATAGTGTGTTCGGTCATTTTTGCATGCTATAAATACAAATGGATAATTTATAAAGAAAACATGTTTAATTGGCTAATGGTTCTGCAGGCTTTACAAGAAGCGTAGTGTTGCCATCTGCTTCTGGTGAGGCCTCAGAAAGCTTACAATCATGGTGGAAGGCAACAGAAAGCTAGCATGTCCCATAGTGAGAGTGGGAGCAAGAGAGACAGGAGGAGGTGCCACAGACTTTTAAACAACCAGATCTTGGGTGAACTCAGAGCAAGAATTCGCTCATCACCAAAGGGACGGTGCTAAGCTATTCACAAGGGATCCTCCCCCATGATCCAAACACCTCCCAGCAGGCCCTAATTTCAACACTGAGGATTCCATTTCAACATGAGATTTGGAGGGGACAACATCCAAATCATATCAGATAGGTGCCACAAATCCAATCAACCTCAGAGTCCTAAATATCTCTCAGATCCATCCACTTTTCACTGCCTCTGTCTTAATTTCTTGACGTATCAATAGCTGAGGATATCAATTCTATAGTCTTCTGCAATGCCCTAAGTGTTTCCTCCTTAGATTGAGGCAATCTTTCTTTCTTTTTTTCTTTTCCTTTCTTTTCTTTCTTTCTTTCTCTCTTTCTTTCATTCTCTCTCTCTCTCTCTCTTTCTTTCCTTCTTTCTTTCTTTTCCTTCCTTCCTTTCTTTCCTTCCTTCTTTCTTTCTTTTCCTTCCTTCCTTCTTTCTTTTCCTTCCTTCCTTCCTTTGTTTCTTTCTTTTTTTCTTCTTTCTTTCTTTTTTTTTCTTTCTGAGAGATGGGATCTCGCTCTGTTGACCAGGCTGGTCTTGAACTCCTGGCCTCAAGCGATCCTCTCATCTTGGCCTCCCAAAGTGCTGTGAGCCACTGCGCCCAGCCAAGACCCTTTCTAACCTACAGCTTATAGCAAAGGCTTCAGGTGAGCATGAGAGAAAAGCAGAAATAACCTGCCGATGATAATACTGAATGCCTGATGCTAAATGAAAATGGAGAAGAGAAAAACTCTCTACTGGTATACAATATATAACTGTTTAAAAAGGATTTGGTCAATATTTTCCTCAAAGGAAAGAACATACTATGGATAGTGAAGACATTGAAAAATTATGCTAAGTGCATAATCTCTGAAACATGTTTATATTGGTACTATTTACCTAAAAATTGAACTAGAAATGGTTGAACTTTAAATTTGACAGCTTTTCCCATGCAGTTCTTACAATAATGTTCTGCTACTTCAGAAATATGAAATATATCAGGCAATTTCAATTATTTTTACCATTCCTTTTTGAGTAAAGAATAAATCTAGTGGCAAGATCACGCCATTGCACTCTAGCCTGGCAATGGAGTGAGGCTCTATCTCACAAAAAAAAAAAAAAAAAGAATAAATCTTCATGATTTTTAGGGGCCTCTTGGGAAAACTCAAAAACAGTTAGGTCTAAAAGACATCTTGAATTTTTGAAAATATAATTTAGGGTTCGATCTTGGAAAAGCATAATCAAAAAGTTATCATAGCAGAATTTGTCACTTGATTAAGAAAAAATCATAGAAATCTGAGAACAATGAATTATTTTAACTTGACTACCTATAAATCAAGGTTGGCACAGGAGTTGACACTAGAGAAAAGAAAAATATAGGGTGAAAAAAATCCTAAAAGATAACACAATTGTAAGGAACTTCAGCTTTTTCAGCATGAGTACTTTGTTTTTTGTTTTTGTTTTTAAGTACTGTAATCAAGGCCATGACAAAATCAGAAAACTTTTCTTGTGAGATATAAAATTGCAGGCTGGGCACAGTGGCTCACACCTATAACCCTAGCACTTTGGGAAACTGAGGTGGGCAGAGCACTTGACGCTTGAGCTCAGTAGTTTGAAACCAGCCTGAGCAACATAGTGAGATAATGTCTCTAAAAAAAAAAAAAAATTACTCAGGCGTGGTGGCTCACACCTGTAGTCCCAGCTACTCAGGGAGCTTAGGTGGGAGGATTGCTTGAGTACAGGAATGGAAGGCTGCAATGATCCATGTTGGCACCACTGCACTCCAGCCTGGGTGACAGAGCAAGACCCTGTCTCAAAAAAATAAAGTTTCATTATCTGAGTAGATTAAATTGAAGGTAAAAAAATAACCTGCCTGTGGTTAACAACAGACTGAAGGCTCTGAAACCAATTTATCATTTTAACATAAGGGAAAAAATAAATTATAATTTTGTATTAACCTAAACTTTAGGCAGTTAAAAACTTTACATTTTTACTTTATCTTAAATTTCTACTCGTAAAACTCATAAAAATTGGGCAAAACTTACTAACAGTTGTAATAAATTTTATTGCTTCTTTTCAGGCTCATTATCTGTAGTTATGATAAACCAAGGCAAATAAAGTTCACTGTTTGCATGACTTTAATTTTCCTCACCATCCAAGTTTCATCCTTTACTATCTTCTTTAACATTCTACACCAAACACTTTGCTTTAAATAATAGTGTTCTCTTCATACTTCTCTGTCACACTGCACCTGCAATAATCTCTACCACTTGTATTATTTAGAACTGTAATCAAAGAAGCTACTTTTACTTCATGGAAACTACTAAGAAGTGGCAATTGAGAACTATTTGTTACATATAAGAAGCATTTAGTAGCCCAGAAAAGCTCATAAGTTCACATAATGCAACCTCATATGTCCACACACATCCCTTTCACACATTGAAGTGGAAAAAATTAACACGCTCATTAGTAAGACTCAAAGAACCACTCTATAACTTATAAAAATAAAATCCAAAAGCATGTGTACGAAATAACAACTGAGATTGGTCTGGGGATTCTATATTACTTAGAAATTATCAAAGCAGGCCGGGCACGATGGCTCACACCTGTAATCCTAGCACTTTGGGAGGCCGAGGCAGGCGGATCACGAGGTCAGGAGACCGAGACCATCCTGGCTAACACGGTGAAATCCCATCTCTACTAAAAATACAAAAAAATTGGCCAGGTGTGGTGGCGGGTGCCTGTAGTCCCAGCTACTCGGGAGGCTGAGGCAGGAGAATGGTGTGAACCCGCGAGGCGGAGCTTGCAGTGAGCCGAGATTGTGCCACTGCACTCCAGCCTGGGCGACAGAGCGAGACTCCATCTCAAAAAAAAAAAAAAAAAAGAAATTATCAAAGCATTCAAAGATTATTTATGACTTAATTGAATATAGTTCAGAATCTTAAAGTGAATGTTTGGCTCCCACTTATCAGTGAGAACATGTGGTATTTGGTTTTCTGTACCTATGTTAACTCGCTTAGGATAATGACTTCCAACCCCACCCATGTTGCTACAAAGGACACGATCTTGTCCTTTTTTATGGCTGCATAATGTTCCATGGTATATATGGACCACTTTTTCTTTATCCAGTCTACCATTGATGGGCATTTAGGTTGATTCCATGTCTTTGCTATTGTGAATAGTACTGCAATGAACATATGCATGCATGTGTCTTTATGCATGTGTCTTTATGATCTTGGCAGAATGATTTATATTCCTCTGAGTATATACCCAGTAATGGGATTGCTGGGTCAAATGGTAGCTCTATTTTAAGTTCCTTAAGAAATCTCCAGACTGCTTTCCACAGTGGCTGAACTAATTTACATTCCCACCAACAGTGTATAAGCATTTGCTTTTCTCCACAACCTCACCAGCATCTGTTATTTTTTGACTTTTTATTAGTAGCCATTCTGACTAGTGTGAGATGGTTATCTCATTGTGGTTTTGATTTGCATTTCTCTAATCATTAGTGATATTGAGCATTTATTCATATGCTTATTGGTGTGTATGTCTTCTTTTGAGAAGTATCTGTTCATGTCCTTTGCCATTTTTTTAATGGGGTCATTTGATTTTTGCTTGTTGATCTAAGTTCTTTATAGATGCTGAATATTAGACTTTTGTCAGATGCATAGTTTGCAAAGATTTTCTTCCATTCTCTAGGTTGCCTGTTAACTCTGTTGATAGTTTCTTTTGCTGTGTAGAAGCTCTTTAGTTTAATTAGGTCCCTATTGTCAGTCTTTGCTTTTGTTGCAATTGCTTTTGGAATTCTCATCATGAAGTCTTTGTCAGGTCTGATGCCCAGAAGAGTATTTCCTAGGTTTTCTTCTAGGGTTTTTATACTTTTAGGTTTTACACTTCAGTCTTTAATCCATGTTGAGTTCATTTTTGTACATGGTGAAACATAGGGTTCCAGTTTCAACATTCTGTATATGGCTAGCCAGTTATCCTAGCACCATTTTTTGACTAGTGAGTTCTTTTCCCACTGCTTGTTAGCATCAGCTTTGCTGAAGATCATATGGTTGCAGATGCGTGACTTTATCTGTGGGTCCTCTAACTTGTTCCATTGCTTTATATGTCTGTTTCTGTACTAGCACCATCCTGTTTTTGTTACGGAAGCCTTGTAGTATAGTTTGAAGTCAGGTAGTGTGATGTCTCTGGCTTTGTTCTTTTTGCTTAGGATTGCTTTGGCTATACAGGCTCTTTTTTGGTTCCAAATGAATCTTAAAATAGTTTTTTTCTAATTCTGTGGAAAATGTGAGGAGTTTGATAGGAACAGCATCGAATCTGTAAATTGCTTTGAGCAGTATGACCATTTTAACAATATTGATTCTTCCTGTCCATGAGCATGGGATGTTTTTCCGTTTGTTTGTTTTGTCTCTGATTTCTTTCAGCACTGTTTTGTAATTCTCATTATAGAAATCTTTCACTTCCCTGGTTAGATGTATTGATATGGTTTGGCTGTGTCCCCACCCAAATCTCATCTTGAATTCCCACGTGTTGTGAGAGGGACCTGGAGGGAGGTAATTGAATCATGGGGGCAGGTATTTTCCATGCTGTTCTCATGAGAGAGAGTAAGTCTCACGAGATCTGATGATTATAAAAACAGGAGTTTCCATGCACAAGTGCTCCTCTCTTTGCCTGCCACCATCCACGTAAGATGTGACTTGCTCCTCCTTGCTTTCTACCGTGATTGTGAGCTTTCCCCAGCCACATGGAACTCTAAGTCCAATTAAACCTCTTTCTTTTGCAAATTGCCCAGTCTCAGGTATGTCTTTATCAGCAGCATGAAAACGGACTAATACATGTATTCCTAGGTGTTTTATTCTTTTTGTGGTTATTGTGAATGAGATTTTTTTTTTTAATTTGGCTCTCAGCTGGGACATTATTGGTGTGTAGAAATGCTCCTGAATTTTGTACATCGATTTTTTTTATCCTGAAACTTTGCTGAAGTTGTTTATCAGATCTGGGAGACTTTGAGGTTGTTTATCAGATTAGGAGATTTTGGGCAGAGACTGTAGGGTTTTCTAGGTATAGAATCATATTTTCTGTGAAGAGAGATAGTTTAGCTTCCTCTCTTCTTATTTTGATGTCTTTTATTTCTTTCTCTTGCCTGATTGCTCTATCTAGGAGCTCCAGTACTGTACTGAATAGGAGTGATAAGAGCAGGCATCCTTGTCTTGTTCCAGTTCTCAAGGGGAATACTTACAGCTTTTGCCCATTCAATATGATGTTGACTGTGGGTTTGTCATAGATGGCTCTTATTATTTTGAGGAATGTATCTTCAACGCCTGGTTTGTTGAGGGTTTTTAACATGAAAGTGTGTTGAGTTTTACTGAATGCCTTTTCTTCTTTATTGAGATGGTCATTTAGTTTTGTTTTTAGTTCTGTTTATGTGATAAATCACATTTATTAATTTACCTGTGTTGAACCAACCTTGCATCCCAGGGAAAAAGCCTACTTGGTTGTGGTGGATTCGCTTTTTGATATGCTACTGGACTTGGTTTGTTAGTATTTTGTAGAAGATTTTTGCACCTATCTTTACCAGAGATATTGACCTAAAGTTCTCCTTTTTGTTGTGTCTCTGCCAGGTTTTTGTATCACAATGATGCTGGCCTCATAGAATGAGTTAGGAAGGATACCCTCCTCCTCAATTTTTTGGAATAGTTTCAGTAGGATTGGTACCAGCTCTGCTTTATACATTTCGTAGAATGCAGTTGTGAATCCATGTGGTCCAGGGTCGGGTAGGATTTTCATTACTGATTCAGTTTCAGAACTCATTATTGATCTTTTTGGGGTTTCAATTTCTTTCTGGTTTAATCTTTGGAGGTTGTATGTTTCCTGGAATTTACCCATTTGCTGTAGGTTTTCTAGCTTGTGTGCATAGAGATGTTCATAATAGTTTCTGATGGTTTTTGTATTTCTATGGGGTTGGTGTTCATGTCCTCTTTGTCATTTCTGATTGCGTTTATTTGGATCTTCTCTCTTTTTTTATTAGTTTAGCTAACAGTCTATCAATCTTATTCTTTCGGAAAAGCAGCTTTTGGTTTTGTTGATCTTTTGTATGGCTTTTCTCATCTCCATTTTGTTCAGTTCAGCTCTGCTTTTGATTATTTCTTTTCTTCTGCCAGCGTTGGGGCTGGCTTTGTGTTTTTCTTCTAGTTTCTCTAGGTGTAAAGTTAGGTTGTTAATTTGAGATCTTTCTCACTTATTTAATTTTTTTTTTTTTTTTTTTTTTTTGAGACGGAGTCTTGCTCTGTCACCCAGGCTGGAGTGCAGTGGCGCGATCTTGGCTCACTGCAACCTCTGTCTCCTGGGTTCATGCCATTCTCCAACCTCAGCCTCCCGAGCAGGTGAGGTTCCATTTAATTGTCACCAGGCTGGAGTGCAGTGGCATGATCTCGGCTCACTGCAAGCTCCGCCTCCCGGGTTCAAGTGATTCTCCTGCCTCAGCCTCCCTAGTAGTTGGGACTACAGGCACTTGCCACCACGCCCAGCTAATTTTTGTATTTTTAGTAGAGACGGAGTTTCACGTTGTTGGCCAGGATGGTCTCAATCTCTTGACATTGTGATTCGCCTGCCTTGGCCTCCCAAAGTGCTGCTGGGATCACAGGTGTGAGCCACTGCGCCCAGCCTAAACTTTCCTCTTAACATTGCTTTAGCTATGTCCTAGAGATTCTGGTATTTTGTATCTTCATTTTCATTCATTTCAAATAATTTCTTAGTTTCTGCCTTAATTTTATTGTTTACCCAAAAGTCATTCCAGAGCAGATTATTTAATTTCCATTTAATTGTGTGGTTTTGAGAGATCTTCTTGGTAAATAAATAATAATAGAAATAAAATAATAGAAATAAAAATTTCTATTTTTATTGCATGGTGGTCTGAGAATGTGGTTGGTATGATTTTTTTTTATTTAGTTGAGAATTGCTTCATGGCTCAGCATGTGGTCAATTTCAGAGTGTATGCCATGTGCAGATGAGAAGAATGTATATTCTGCTTTTGTTGGGTGAAGTGTTCTGTAGATGTCTGTTAGGTCTATTTGGTCAAGTGTCAAGTTTAGATCCCAAATATCTTTGTCAGTTATTCTGCCTCAGTGATCTGTCCAATACTGTCAGTGGGCATTGAAGTCTTTCACTATTATTGTGTGGTTATCTAAGTCTCTTTGTAAGTCTGTAAGAAGTTGTCTTATGAATCTAGTGCTCCAGTGTTCGGTTAATATATATTTAGTCTAGTTAAATCTTCTTGTTGAACTGAGCTCTTTATCACTGTGTAATGCCTTCTTTGTCCTTTTTGATCATTCTTCATTTAAAGTCTGTTTTGTCTGAAATAAGAATTGCAGCTCCTACTCTTTTGTTTTCTGTTTACTTGAGAGATCTTTCTTCATCCCTTTACTTTGAGCCTGTGGGTGTCCTTGCATGTGAGATGGGTCTCTTGATGATAGCATACCACTGGGTCTTGCTTCTTTATCCAGCTTGCCACTCCATGCCCTTTAAGTGGGATTTTTAGCCCCTTTACATTCAAAGTTAGTATTGATGTGTGCTGATTTGATCACATCATTGTATTGTTAGGTGGTTGTTATGTAGACTTGAAGACTTGATTGCATATTTGCTTTAGTTTCAATGGTCAATATGCTTGAGTGTCTTTTTGTGGTGGTCAGTAATGGTCTTTCATTTCCCTGTTTAGCACTCCCTTAAAAACCTCTCGTAAGGCAAGTCTGGTGGTAATGAATTCCCTTAGCATTTGCTTGTCTGAAAAGGATTTTATTTCTCCTTCACTTATGAAGCTTCATTTGGCTGGATATGAAATTCTTGGTTGGAATTTCTTTTCTTTAAGGATGCTGACTATTAGCCCCAAGTTTTTCTGGCTTGTAGGATTTCTGTTGAAAGGTCCATTGTTAGCCTGATGGGGTTCCCTTTGTTGGTGACTTGCCCCTTCTCTCTAGCTGCCTTTAACATTTTTTCTTTCATGTTGACCTTGAAGAATCTAATGACTATGTGTCTTCAGGGTGATAGCCTTGAATAGTACCTTGCAGGGCTTCTCTAAATTTCCTGAATTTGAATGTCAACCTTTCTAGTAAGGTTGGGGAAATTTTCATGGTTAATATTCCCAAATATGTTTTCCAAGCTGCTTTCTCTCTCTTCTTCTCTTTCAGGGATGTCAATGGGTCATTGATTTGGTCTCTTTACATAATCCCATATTACTCAGAGGTTTTGCTTATTCAAAAAAATTCCTTATTTTTGTCTGATTGAATAATTTGAAGAACTGATTGTCAAGCTCTGAGATTGTTTCTTCAGCTTGGTTTATTATACTGTTAATACTTCTGATTGTATTATAAGATTCTTGTAGTGAGTTTTTCAGCTCTATCAGCTCAGTTTGGTTCCCTATATGGCTATTTCATCTTTCATCTCTTGAATCATTTTACTGGATTTCTTAGATTCCTTGGAATGGATTTCAGCTCTCTACTGAATCTCAATGATCTTCATTGCCATCCAGATTCTGAATTCTATGTCTGTCATTTCAGCCATTTCATTCTGGTTAAGAACTATTGCTGGGGAGCTAGCGCAGTCATTTGGAGGTAAGCAAACGCTATGGCTTTTAGAGTTGCCTGAGTTCTTGTACTGGTTCTTTCTCATCTGTGTGCTGATGTTCCTTAACTGTGGTGTAATTTCAATATAGCCAGTTGGATTTGTTTCTGGATGTTTTCAGAGGGCTGAGGCTTTGTGCAGGGTGTTTATTTGGGGCTGGATTTTTGTCCTTGGTTTCACAGGGTCTACTAACAGAAGTATTTTTGATGTTGAAGTTTGAGCTGTGATCCAGTAGATGGCGCTAACCATAGGGCCGGTAGCTCTTAGCCACGTGGCTCCTCTTTCATTTCCTCACATACGCAGCCATGCTCCCTGTCAGTGCTCTCTGAATGTGGGCTCCTCTTCCACTTGAGTGCTGGCCACAGATCTCGGCTTGGCACTCCAGGCCTGCACAACACAGCTTTGTGGCAAGCTCAGGCTTTTTGTTCCCTCCCCAGCTTGGGGGCAGCAGGGGCAGGAACCTTGGCAGTGGCAATGGTAGAGGGCCTTTCACTCGTCTCTTGGGTCTCTGCCCCAGAGAAACGCAGGGCCACTGCCAATCAGAACAATCAGCCCAAGGTGAGGAGGCTGCACTGTGGGCTCAAGTCTGGGATCCCTGCTTGGTGAATAGCAGGGGGATGGAGGGCCCATGGGGAAGAGTCTGACTTCTTCTCTGCAGGGCGGCTATGGCGTGCTGGAGGTGTGAGTAAAGCACTCAGGCTATTTTTTCCTTCCCCAGCCTGATGGCAGGAAGGGCAGATACTGCTACAGTAACAGAGGGGCTGTCAGTTGCCTGCAGAAGCTCCACCCTAGAAAAACACAAACCTACTGCAGGCTGTGCTACAGGCCCAAGCTGGGGGCCCTACCTGGTGAAAAGCAGTGGGTTGAGGGATTATAGGAAAGAGAGACTGGGCTCCTCCACATATGGGAGCTGCCAGCAAAGCAATTAGGCTCTTTGTTCCTTCCCCAGCCAGAGGGCAGCAAAGGTGGGTACCACTGCAGTGGCAATGGCAGACAGCCTGTGGATGGTCTCTGGGATTTCCTCCTCAGAGAAATGCAGAGCTGCAACGGATTGAAGTGATCAGGCAGGGCCTGGGAAGCTGTGCTGGGGGCCCAGGTCTGGAGGCCCCTAATGTACTGTTGATATTAAAAACTTTGTCAGAGGCCAGGAGCAGTGGCTCATGCCTGCAATTCCAGCACTTTGGGAGGGTAAGGCCAGATAATTGCTTGAGGCCAGGAGTTTGAGACCAGCATGGGCATCAAAGTGAGACCCCCATCTTTACAAAACAAATAAATTAGCCAGACATGGTGGCATGGACCTGTAGTCCTAGCTGCTCAGGAGGCTGAGATAGGATGATCACTTATACCCAGGAGTTTGAGGTTACGGTGAGCTATGATAGCACCACTGTGCTCCAGCCTGGGCAACAGAGCGAGACCTGTCTCTAAGAAGAAAACAAACCAAAACAAACAAATAACAAAAAAAAGTTTGTCAGAATTATAAACCAATCCACTTAAACAAAATTATTCACTGTTCCTCATCCTAAATATTACGTAGGAATAATATTAGCTTATCAGATTAAATCTGTATAAGAAATGTCAGAAATTCAAAGTAGCAATTCTCTTCGAAATGCAAATCAAACCCACAATGAGATAACATCTCACACCAGTAAGAATGGCTATTATTAAAAAGTCAAAAAATAATAGATGCTGGCAAGGTTGCAGAGAAAAGGGAACACTTATACACTGTTGGTGGGAATGTAACTTATTTCAGCCACTGTGGAAAGCAGTTTGGTGATTTCTCAAAGAACACAAAGCAGAATCACCATTCAACCCAGCAATACCATTATTGTGTATATACCCAAAGGAATATAAATAATTCTACCATAATGACACATGCACACATATGTCCATCACAGCACTATTCACAACAGCAAAGACATGGAATCAACCTAGATGCTCACGAATGGTGAACTGGATAAAGAAAATGTAGTACATATACACCATGGATTACTACGCAGCCATAAAAAAGAACAAGATCATGTTTTTTGCAGCAACATGGATGGAGCTGAAGGCCATTATTCTAAGTGAACTAACACAGGAACAGAAAACCAAATACTGCATGTTCTCACTTACAAGTGGGAGCTAAACATTAAGTGCATATAGACACAATGAAGGAAACAAGAGACACTAGGGCCTGCTTAAGAGTGAAGGGCGGAAGGAAGGTGAGGATCAACAAACTACCCACCCGGCGCTATGCTTATTACCTGAGTGATAAAATAATCTGTATACCAAATCTCCATGACACGCAATTTACCTATACAGCAAACCTGCACATGTATTCCTGAACCTGAAAAAAAAGGAACAAAAACAAAATTACCTTTATGTAAACAATCCATATTTTTAAAAAGAATAAAACTTGTATACTTGTATTTTTTCTTCACACTGATATAATCAGAAAAATATACGACTTTTTTGGTGTTTTTTTTTTTTTTTTTTTTTTTCCTGGAAACAGTCTCACTCTGTCTCTCAGGCTGGACTGCAGTGGTGCAATCTTGGCTCACTGCAAACTCTGTCTCCCAGGTTCAAGCATTTCTCGTGCTTCAGCCTCCCCAGTAGTAGCTGGAATTAAAGGCATGTGCCACCACACCCAGCTAATGTTTTTTTGTTTTTTTGTTTTTTTTTTTTAGTAGAGACGGGGTGTCACCATGCTGGCCAGGCTGGTCTTGAACTCCTGGCCTCAAGAGACCCACCCAACTCAGTCCCCAAAGTGCTGAGAGTACAGGCATGAGCCACTACACACGGCCTGATACAGTTATTTTTTAAACCCAAATTATCAGTCTAGTTTAATTGCATGAACTTGATTTCTTGTTTTTTTTTTTTTTTCTAAGTGCTTTTTTTTAAAGTGCTTTTGAGCTAGCAGCTTCTGTGAGAAGGACTTTTTTTTTTTAAGCAGGCTATCACATTTAAAGCATTAGACATTCAATTTATGTTGAGGAAATGTTGAGAATATTAGATTTATATAAGTGCTTTTCAGTTTCTCTAAAACGATTGTCATTTTAAGCCAGATAATTGTTTTGTCATGCAGGGCGGTCCTGAGCATTGTGAGCTGTGTGGCAGCACACCAAATCTCTACCCATTAGATGCCAAAAGCACCCCCAAATTGTAACAGCCCAAAATGTCTCCAGACATTGCCTAAAATCCCTGAGGAGAGAGTGGTGACATTGCTCCAAAACAATCATAACGGTACTCTTTAAAGAGTCTTCTAATTTATTTTACTTATACCCTCCCCCTCCACCCCCGCTGAGGTAGGAATATATCTCAAACTCACACAACCAGAGGTAAAGACTTTTCCCACTAGATGCTCAAAAACACAAGGCTCTTGCAGCTTCAGTTCAGCAAATTAGCAACAGATCCTAAGCAATCAAAGGACACAAACTCACCTGTCTGTTATCCTTTTCAGTGGACTGACTAGTTTGTGCACAGAGTTAAACCTGTGGAACTGTAAGTCCAATTAAAACTCTTTTTCTTCCCAGTCTCGGGTATGTCTTTATCAGCAGCGTGAAAATGGACTAATACAGTTATCAAGTCTCTTCAGTTTTCTCCAATCTCAAAAAGCTCCTTAGTCTTTGAAAGAGTACAGGCCTTACCTTTTGTAGAGTGATCCTTGAGCTGGATGTTTCCTTATGATCACACTCAGGTCATGCATTCATGGCAGGAATATCATGGAAATGAAACTATGCCCTTGTAAGAGTATCAGCCATAGTACGGACATATGCGGTTGACTGTTCCCACCACTGGTAACATTGGTCATCACCTGTCATATTGGTGTCTGCCAAGTTTCTTCACTGTAAAGTCATAATTTTCTTCTTTGTAATTGATTAGTGTTTTGTGGGAGACAGATAATCTGCAATCACACCAATATCCTATTTCTTATTCTTCCTGCAACTAGTCTTAGCCTCCATTGACATAAAGCTACTTATAGCATTTTCTACTTTATCTAAGATAATCATGTTTTTATTCCTAATATTGCTTGTTTGTATAATCTCTTTCTGTCCCATCTCTCTTATTACATGTTTATTAGTTTTTTGAAAGACTAGTAAAAATAACCTTTATTTTTGTTGATCTTCTCCCATTTTTCATTTCATTAACTTTTGCTCTTACATTTGTTTCCATTCTTCTACTTGTTATTCTTCAAACTCTTGAGTTAAATCATAATTCATTTTTTTAAAAGCTCCTTGGTTTTTATAGGTTCATTTAAGACTGCAAATTGGCCTTCCAAATATTGCGAGAGCTGTATCTTAGAATTTTAAAGTTAGGTTTACTGAGGTATAATTTACATGCAGTAAAATCCACTCGTTTGAGATATATTGTTCTAGAGTTTTGATCAATATAAACAGCTATGTAACCTCAACCACAACCAAGATATAAAATATTTCCATCTCACCAAAGTTTTCTCGTATTTCTTTGCAGTCAATTTCCTCCTCCTGTAACTGACTCAAGTTCAACTGCTCACTGTTAGAAGTCAAAGTATGAGAAATGAGGTGTGACCAAAGGGAAACAGCTTTTATTCAAACGCTAGCAGATGGGGAATGTCCAGACTCGTGCTCTTAACAGACTATTTCAAACTTTAGGCCGTGGACAGGGGTTTAAAGAGGGGAACTTGGAATGGAAGGCATGCAGGAATGGTGCTGGGTACGAGGTCTGTGTGTCTTGTTCCACTGGTTATCCTGAGTCATGGTCCACTTGGAGTGCAGGCTGGCATCATCTCAACAATGGTGAGGCTGTTGACTAACTGCTCTGAGGTAATCTCTAGAATTTCACACCTGGGTTTCCATGCCTGGTTTATCTCAAGATTAGCCCCTGCAACTTCTGGGCACATAATTAGATAAACTACCAGTGCACAAGAGTGTCTGGTGGGAAGGCAGGGAAACAAAGAGTATTAAGGTATGTTTCAAGGCTAAAAGGAAGAAAAGGAAGAAAAAAAAGTCTCAAAATGCATTTTGAACCTAAGCTACTCAGTTACATCCTCCCAGCCCCGATCCCTGGCAACCACTGAACTGAATTCTTTTCTTATTGTTTTGTCTTTTTCAGAATGTTATATAAGGAAATCATGTAGTATGAACCCTTTCGTTTTCTTCTTATTTAGCTCAATGCTTTGGAGATCCGTCTGTGCTGTTGTGTTTCATGCATTCTTTTTTTTTACTAAGTATTATATGATATACATGTACAAAGAGTCGTTTGTCCATTCTATAGTTGGTAGACATTTTGGTTGTTTCCAGTTTTTGGTAATTATGAATAAAACTGCTATAAACATTCAGGAGTAAATACTTAAAAATATAATTGCTGGGCCATATGATAGGTTTAAGTTTACTAATGTTATAAGAAACTACTAAACTACTTCAAAAGTACAAATTTTACATTTCTACCAGCAATGTATAAAAGTTTCCATTACTCTGCATATTCACCAGGACTGGGTATCAGTAGTTTTGTGGGCTTTTAAAACATTTTATTAAATCTAGTAGTTGTCTATTTGTACCTCACTACAGTTTTAATTTGCATTTGTCTGGTGACCAGTGATGTTAAGCATCTTTTCATGTGCTTATTTGTTTCACTCTTCGGTGATATGTCTGCTACATGTGTGTTATGTATTCTGGATACAAGAATCCTTTATGAGATATGTGCTTTTCAATTATTTTATTTTATTGTATGTTTGTCTTTTCATCCTTCACAATGTCTTTTAAATAATAGAAGTTTTGTGATAAAGCTCAGTTTAACAACATTTAAAATATTTGTTTGAGTCTTAACTAAGAAATAGTTTTCTAACCTAACACACAAAGCTTTTTGATTTTCTTCTAGAAATGTTATGGTTTTAGGTCTTAAATGTAGATCTGTGTTTCATTTTGAGTTAAATTTTTATATGATACCAAGTATAGGTCCAGGCTCATTTTTTCACATATGGTTGTCCAATTGTCTCGTATCATGTGTTTAAAAAGTGTACCCTTTCTCCATTGAATTATCTTGGCAATGTTTTCAGAAATCAATAGACTATATATATATAGACAGTCTCTCTCTCTATATATAGACATATATATATAATATGTGGGTCAAAGCAATTACAAACAAGAAGAAATATCTTTTATATTTACCTTCATTTTTACTACTTCCAACACTATTCATTTTTTGGTGTGGATACAAGTTTCTCTGCAATATAATCCTTCTGCCTGAAGAACATCCTTTTTTTCAGACTTCTCAAAAGAAGAATTATTTATTTCTTTTCGTGTGTGTGTGTGTGTTTTATTTCCATAGGTTTTTGGGGAACAGGTGGTATTTGGTTACATGAGTAAGTTCTTCAGTGGTGATTTGCGAGATTTTGGTGCGCCCATCACCCGAGCAGCATACACTGAACCCAATTTGTAGTCTTTTATCCTTGACCCCCTTACCACCCTTTCCCCGAGTCCCCAAAGTCCATGTGTCATTATTATGGCTTCACATCCTCATAGCTTAGCTCCCACTTATGAGAACATACGACGTGAAGAACATCCTTTAATCTTTCTGGTAGCACAGGTCTGCTTGCAACAAATTCTCAGCTTTTGTTTGCCTTGGCTGAGCTGGGTTTGGGTTTTGTTGTTGGTAGAGCTGTCTTTAGTGCAACACAAACTTCAGATTCCTCTACAGGTGTGCTACTAAGGTCTTGTGCTTAGGGGAGAGGCACAGGACCTGTGTCTCAGTAGTGGGACTTCCTCATTATTCTTTTCCTTCCTCTCATGGCCACCAGCTCTGCCTTATCTTTGTGATTGGTCTAGGGACACAGTTTCCTACCCCCTTCCAGGACTTCCTCTCATAATCTGCTTGATATCAATGAAGCCTCCTTTGCCCAAGAAATTCCCTGTCCTTCCTACAGTGGCAAAGAGTTTTTTCCTTTACCCTTCCTCCCTTACCATTCCAGCAGCAATGGATCTTTGCCTTTGTTCTGGTATTGGGATAGTTTCCTATCTGTTACCAAGAAGCAAACAAGCTTTTCTTCTGGCCCTCCCCTAAAAACAATAATTCTTTGCCTGTGTCCAGGGACAAAAGAGTTTGATGATCCTCCCCAATGTTTTAAGACTTTTGATTTGTAGGAGAGAAGGGGTTAGAAAATTGCACTTTATGCCTGTCGCCAAGAATCTACTAATCACATGAACATTTGAACCACTGCTGTGGGTGGTGGGTGAGGGGGATTTCTTCAGTCTTCTCTCCTGCCCCCAGTCATTTTCTTGAGCATCCAGTGAAGGCCTACAAGGGAGTGCAAACTCACTTGGTGTCTGAGGCCCCCACCTATGACAAACTGACACACTAACCCATATATGGCCTTTAAAACAATTTAGTTGATTTCTTCTTTCCCATTGATATGATGGCCACCTTTCTCTTCCACTTTGCTAAATGTGAAATCGTTAATGTGCTTTCTCTCCTTGGAGAATCTTGTTTCTCTTTGCTATTCAGATTACTTGATTGCCTTTAAAATTAGCTCTATGATGGTTTTAGAAAAAGTCATGGTTTTGTGGATTATCCAGCTTTTTCTCATGGTTAGAGTGGAAATGAGGTTCTTTGCAGTTTTCTATATCCTAAACCTACCCCTGTGGTTTTGATGTGTAGTATTTAAGTTGTCTTTAAGGTATAAATGTTACATAACTTTCCTTCTGATGAATTAAGTACTAAAGAGTTTACCTTTTTTTTTTTTTTTTTTTTTTTTGATGGAATCTCGCTCTGTCACCAGGCTGGAGTACAGTGGCATGATCTTGGCTCACTGCAACGTCTGCCTCCTAGATTCAAGTGATTCTCCTGCCTCAGCCTCCCGAGTAGCTGGGACTACAGGTGCCTGCCACCACACCTGGCTAACTTTTATATTTTTAGTAGAGACGGGGTTTCACCATGTTTGCCAGGATGGTCTCAATCCGAGGCAGGCGGAACATGAGGTCAAGAGTTTACTTTCATTTTCTAAACATACATAGTTTTTTTTCATTATCTTTTGGTCAGACAACATAGTCTGCATACTACCTAGTCAATAGTATTCTGTTATAGCAGCCTAAGTGGACAAAAATATATATTAAAAATAATTTTAAAAAATTTGATGCTTGGACTATCATTTTCTGAAAGAAATTTGTTTTAAAATCTTAAGCAATTGCTGCTTATTTCTCCCTATAATTCTCTGTGATTGTATCTTCTGCTTTATATATGTTGAGGCTCTTTTGCAATCATACATGTCCATGATTATTTTATCATTTTGGTGGGGTTTTAAAAATATTTATAAAATGTTTTCTTGGGTGAAAATGGGGGCAAGGTGGCCAACTAGATGCAACCAGATGGAACAGCTGCCACTGAGGGACTGAGATGACTGTTATACTCCTAACAGATCTTCAGAGGGAAGGCACCAGAATGAACAAAGGGAAGACACAGAAGCTAGGCTGAAGCAGGAGGAAGCTGGGAGCCCTGCATGGGGCTACTATGCACCAGGACTCATTCCTGGCCCTCAGAAACTCTGAGGGAACAGGTAAGTTGAACTGGTAAGGAGCAACCCACTCTCACTGCGTGCCTCTGGAATCCTGGCAGGAGACCCCCTGACCACCAAGGACCCTTGAGTTGGCAGGGATAGCTGCTCAGAGAACTGGTAGGGGCAGCACGTCTGCTGAAGAGGAGCCCAGAGGGTTTGGTGTGGGAGCATCTGTAGCGAAGCATGGCCAGGATAACCCATCTCTCTAGGCTCAACATGCTCCCATAGGAGACTTTAGCCCTAGAGGAAGTGTTGGACCTGAACTCTGTTACGTGGTCTTGCCCATCAGACAGGCCGGTCTGACATGAGCATCCGTTGGTCTGCTGGCCCCTCCTGGGGCCCAGGCCTGATTGAGCCTGCCTGTCAAACAGCCTTGGGTGTCCTGGGGGCTCACATCATAGTTTCTGTGCTGGTGGACCATGCCTGACCATCAAGAGAACTACAGCAGGACAGCCCCCACAGCCACACACCAGGCCACCCACTCCCTCCCTACACGCTGTTTTGCCTGGCCCACAGCAACCCCCCACATTGCTTTGCTGGCATGCCCTTGCACCAACACTGCCATGGGAATGAAACTAGGCACAGAGACCAGCGGAACCTCCCCCGACTTGAGTGACCACCCCTGCCTGTGGTGCACAGAGAACACATACAGATTGCGCCTGCCTGCACCCCATTCTAACACTACCACCAGCCAACCGCACACATAGTCACCAGCAGGGGCCCCTGGAAGCTGTACTCCTTCGCCACTGTGGTGAATGCCTGCACAAAGGCAGGCACCCCAGCACCTGCTACATCCTGCTGCAGCGGATGGGTGTGCCCCCACCATGCTGCCACTATGCCACTACTGCTGCTGCTGCTGGCTCATGTGAACAAGGTGCCCAGCCTGCTATATTTCTTTGATTAGTATTTTTCTGGTATACTTTTTTCTATCTTTTTTTTTTTTTTTTTTGAGATGGAGTCTTGCTCTGTTGCCCAGGCTGGAGTGCAGTAGCAAGATCTCGGCTCACTGCAACCTCCGCATCCCAGGTTCAAGCGATTCTCCTGCCTCAGCCTCCCGAGTAGTTAGGATTACAGGTGCATGCCACCACCCCCGGCTAATTTTTGTATTTTTAGTAGAGACGGGGTTTCACTATGTTGGTCAGGCTGCTCTCAAACCCTTGACCTCAGGTGATCCGTCCACCTTGGCCTCCCAAAGTGCTGGGATTACAGGCGTGAGCCACCGCACCCGGCCTGCTATATTTCTTTGATTAGTATTTTTCTTTTTCCTATTATTTTCCTATTATTTTCCTATTACAGGTGTGAGCCACTGCACCTAGCCCCTTCATTTCTTAATTGCACTTACCCTTTTACTGTCTGTATCATTAGAATAAAAACCTCATGAATAGTGATTTTTGTCTGTTTGATTTACTGCTATAGTTCTAGCATCCAGAAGAGCGCCTGAACATATTAAGACAGTAAAATATTGAATGGATTAATGTCTACTTATTTGGGTTTCATCATTTCTATTTTATTGTTTAGCTTACTTTTCAAAGTCCTAAGCAAACTTATTTAAAGTTTCAGTTTATTCCATTATTTTCATCTTGAGTGGACTGAAATTTCAAAAGGTATTGATTTGCTGGTTTTCCTGTCTTCAGATCTCATGTGTTCAGAAATTTTGATTCGCAGTGTCTTTTTTGTTCCCTTCATTTATCTTTCTTTCCTCTGGGTTCATCCTTTTCTTTCTAGCAATTTTGGGTTGCCTCCAACTTGTGTCTTAGGGACCCCAATTCAGCGAGGTGTTACATGCTAATTCACTGCTTCAATTCTTTCTTCATATTGTAAACCAGTTACCAACTCTGTACATTTTAAAAACTGCGTATTTCTACCCCCTTAGCCCTGCATCTTCCTATAAATTAGAGCCCCAGGTATCAGTTGAAGGTAGGTTTCAGTTTTTAGCTTCCTTTCACAAGTGGTACAGCAGCGGAGAGAAATCCCAGCTCAGCACCGGCTTAAAGCAGTGCTATGCTTGCCTCCATTTTCATTCCTGATATTTCTGCCTACCATTAAAAAAAAAAAAAAAATCAGTTTTGGCCGGGCACAGTGGCTCATGCCTGTAATCTCAGCACTTTGGGAGGCTGAGGCAGGCGGATCACTTGAGGTCAGGAGTTCAAGACCAGCCTAGCCAACATGGTGAAACCCCGTCTTTACTAAAAATACAAAAATTAGCTAGGTATGGTGGCATGCGCCTGTAATCCCGGCTACTCAGGAGGCTGAGGCACGAGAATTGCTTGACCCTGGGAGGTGGAGATTGCAGCGAGCCAAGATCGTGCCACTGCACTCTAGCCTGGGTGATAGAACAAGTTTCCATCTCAAAAAAAAAAAAAAAAAAAAAAAAAAAAAAAATCAGTCTTGTCAGAGGCTCAGTTTTTTTTTTTTTTTTAGACAAGGTCTTGTTCTCTTGCTCAGACTGAAGTGCAGCGGCATATCAAGGCCCACTATAGCCTCAACTCCTGGGCTCAAGCAATACTCCCACCTCAGCCTCCTGAGCAGCTGAGACCACAGGTGTGCACCACCACACTTAGCTAATTAAAAAAATTTTTTGTAGACAGAGTCTCCTTATGTTGCCCAGGTTGATCTTGAACTCCTGGGCTTAAGTGATCCTCCCACCTTGGCCTCCCAAAGTGTGGAATTACAGGCATGAGCCACCGCTCTGGGCCTCATCTTTATTGTTTAAATAACCTATTTATGGTCTTCTTATTCCTTCTAGTGTTTTCCTATTTTATTTCTTATTATTTCCTTCCTTCTACTTTCAAGTTTTTTGTTGTTGTTGTTTTCTTAGTCTCTTGAGATCAACTTAGCTCATCATACTTTGGACTTAAAAATAATCTAAAGCTATATATTTCCCTTTTAGCACTGTTATTGCATCTCATGTTTTAAGATGTTTAGACCTCATTACCTTGTCAGATTAGAATTTCCTACTGCAAGTTTCTGCTTGAGAACTCAGAGTCAGGCAGGCTACTGCTTCACCATGGCTCATGCTTTCTTTCTGTACAATATTACTTGTCCTTGGATTTAGCATGGTTTTGAGTTCAATTTTATCTTTTCATATTTATCACTGCTATATGTTTAAAACAGAGGGAGTAACTTAGAGCATCAATGTTATTTGATAAGAATTCTCTCTATATATATCTTCTCTCTCCTTCAGCGAGATACACATATTTTTATTTTTTCCTATTAAATTTGAAATGTCACGCATTCAAATTTTATCTTGAGATTTCATCTTATCACTTCTTACCTATAATGTCAAGCTTTCATCAGTTGACACATTATTTTATTCAGCCTCTTTTTATGTAACAGACTCAAGGCAACTGATGATTGTTTCAAGGAAACTAGAGGTCTTATCATTCAAGAAAGTTTGTTCTTTTTTTCTTTTCTTTTTTTTTTTTTTTTTTGAGACAGAGTCTCGTGAGTCTCGCTCCGTCGCCCAGGCTGGAGTGCAGCGGCACAATCTCAGCTCACTGTCACTGCAACCTCTGCTTCCTGGATTCAAGTGATTCCCGTGCCGCAGCCTCCCGAGTAGCTGGAATTACAGGCGTGAGTCACTGCACCCAGCCACAAGTTTGTTCTTAATATTTGCTACAGTGGTGTCTCTGCCCCAGGGGTCATTAAGCTGCTGAAGTTGTAAAACTCTTCTCCAAATAATTTTTACTAACAGAACTGAAGTCACAAACTGTTAAAATCAAAGTAAATATGTCATGCTCACAATTTCTTAAGGAAATCCAGGACTCAGTTTTCTGAATAGACTTCACAGAAAAAATATGTATACAGCAAGGCCTGACTAAAAATACTGGTTCTCTCCTTAGTATAAAATTACACTGATAAATTGTAGGCTATTCCCTGCTTGATGTTATACTGGACATCTCCCACCCAAAGCCAAGATTCTCACACCTACTTGTCCTGATGAAAGTCAAACGCTTTAAAAAGTTATTTTTCTCTTTAAAAACTAGCTTTATTTAAAAGAATCTGAACCATAATAACACTATAGGAAACAAACTTACAATACATATTATTCAAGAAAGCCTGCCATACATCATTTCTACTAATGGTAGGTCTATATACTGATAAACAACATTCCTTATACAACGCACAAATAACATTAAGCATTATCCCTGAAAAGAATGGCCAACAATAACATGGACTGTCTTGACAGCAGAACGTCTACTTGTCTTCTTACTTATCTATAGAATAAAAAAACTAAAATGTAGATGACAAATTAAACTCTTCCAATTTTAAATTCTAGCATGGTTTTTGGGGAAGAAGGGAATGGGATCAGAAGACGCAAATTGTGTTAAATATCTCAAAAAGAAAAAGGAGAATTGGCTTACCATTATTTAAGTAGTTACTATGAAGTAATTCAGAATTGAGAATGTATTTAACACTTGGAAGCCCTTAAAGAGTCAAACTTTCCATTATCTACTATATTCAATCAGTTATCAAGCCAATTTCATTTGTCTGAGAATTGTAACCTGGTCATTAACCAAAAAAAAAAATAAACAATTTGGGGTAATCTAGTCATTTCATACTTTATTTAAATTTTTCCACAAAGCAGTTCATGAATTAATAATACTTCTTTAGACGTCTATGATCTAAATAGAAACAGACTCAGTTCTAAAAGAATGTATGTGAAAATAGCAGACAAAAATAAATCCCTAACATGTAATACTAAATTTTTAACATAAAATATAGAACTATGAAAATTTTGGGCATTCAAGTCAAATATAATAGGATTATGATACAGTATGGTATCTAGCGTTTTAAAAAATATTAAGTCTGAATCAGATTTATTGCTATATCAATCCTATCAATAGTCCACAATCAAAAGTACAAAATATACCATAACCATGCCGAATATGATGCAGTATAGAGATATCATTAACATAACATAGGTAGACATTTTGTAATATACATCACTGACATAGTAAAACCTTATTAAGGATAATTTAAACTGATATGTCTAAAATTTGAATTTTTAAAAAGATATGCAGTTTAAGCACTCACAAGCCTTCATTTTTTTCTTTCAAGTGTATGATTTCAAATGTACAAATTTGCATTGGCCAAGTATTACTTATTACAATTCTTTTGGGTACTTGTCTTAATGACAAAATAAGAATGCTTTTAAATTACTATTCTTAAGTAAACACCTCTAAATAAAAAGCTTAAAAATTTGCCTTCAAGATGAAACATTTTTCTTTAAAATCGTGATTATAACCTTTATTACCAAATCCTTTCATTAGGTAGTACCAAGTAAACAGCATTCAAGTCCTTGAATCAATGGCTAAAAATTCCAGGTAAATTAGAGGAGTCTTACGGTATCTTAATCATGTCTAAATAAATGAAGATAAATATTACAGTACTACTTATTTTGGTTATGATGAAGTGAATGATGTCTTTTTTGGTTGGGAAATATCAGCACAAGTTAAAAGTTACTATATAATTTTAGTAGTATGTGCTAAAAAATCCTAATATGCACTGCCATTTAAGGTAATTATTTAGTAAAGTATACCTGTAAGTGGAAAATAAAAATTTTAAGATTTATTGTATTACAAGTGTCATGAGTTGGTAACACTAAAATTTACTCCTCTCCCATTTGAAAGACATCAGGCCATCTATTAATCCATAAATATTGATGTTTCACATACTTCATAGAGTAGCTTAAAACATACCAGCATAAGAAATAATTAGTATTACATAGTAATTTCCTTTGCCATAGGAATAAATGTTGGACAAAGTCTGGAAACATTTTTTTTTCCAATTTGAATTACAGTAATTTTGCCACAGACCACAGCACTAGTGCATGTGTTACTTTAGACATGTTCTAAGAACAAAACAAAAAGTTACTGCAAAAATACATGTCACCAATGTGGAACACACTCAGATTTGTATAAAAGTACTGAACTAATATCCCAAAAAGAGGTATATGTAAACAGTACATAAGGAAGAAATAGTTTTAATATGAAACAATCATTTAAGTCACATACATCATGATAAGAAGCAGGACTTTCTTTTATAAAAGATAATATTTTGACAAACAAGCAACATCATCTACACATCTACAGAACAAGAAAGGTACAGGTATTTAGAATAAGTTTTAATATAATTGCAAGTAATGTATTATTGACAAAATATGACAAAGATGCTTATCCACTGAGTTTCATCAAAAGTTTTAAATTAAATACAGGCAGCTCTGATGTATTAACGCCTGGCATATACATGGCCACAGTCTTTCCTTCATTTCCCCTATACCACTTGTCTTGGGAGATGTTAATGCTATCCCTAGCCTCTTTGCTCCAGGGGTGCTTCCAAATTCCCATCACTGTACCATAAGTTGGAAGATGCAGATGTGACTTTTATAATGCTCTACTGGATGGAACAATAAGCTACTAAAAATTAGAAATGAGAAGAAAATCTCTAAGTTCAGAATTAGAGGAGAGGAAGCTGTGAAAAGTCACAACAGCCTAAAGGAAACTGGAAGTACCCTCAGACAGTACCAGCTAATTCACTAAATGTACTGCTTCCCATGGTATCTGAAATGCGGTCATATTGTCTGAAATGTTAGATATTAAAGATTCATTCTTAATAAACATACTTTTTTAAAAAAGAAATTTAATGACACTTTTCCCACTATCTTCATTCATACCTTAGTAGAAAATGCTTTTCTCTTAAAGTCTAGCCAACTACTACTGCCACACAAAGACACAGGATTTCTGATGGGAGGAAAGATATAAAATGTTGAAGCACAGAGCACCCAGGAGAGGAAAAGCCAAGGCTGCTTATACATTTCACCAGAGTTTAGCATGGTAAGGGGGCAAATGCAAAGAAACCCACACCAAAGAACTTAACCTCCTAATCACATCAGGAAAAAGACAAGACCTCTGCTTCTTTCTCCCTCCTACACTGATTGATTGGTTTCCTAAAGAAAACTGAGAGTTCAGCATGATACTATTAACTAGATTATGGTCTAAATGAGCCTTTAGGAGCTTCCCTATTGTGTAGAGTTCCAAGCCACTATTTACAAATGAACTTAGGGAGCCTGATGCCTTTAAATTTTTTTTTAATTGAAAAAGATATAAAACAGCACAAATGTCCATGCATAAGAAACCTCTATACACGGCAGAAAGAAATCCAAAACTCTTGAGAACTCCCTTTTAAAAAATCATTGCTTATATATTTTCTTACTATTAAATACAATTACTATAGTACATTGAACAATAAGTGCTAAAACTCTAATTTGTTCGAGACAAACAAGTTTGAAAGAATATTGAATGAAGACTCTTGATACTTATTTGGATTAAAGTTGGCAGATTTTATGATGACCCACACTATTAAGAGGTTTTTCTGCCACTAGGCAGAGTTGGGAGTCTAAAACAAACCACCAAAAAAGTAGATTTCTTTACACTGTGTTTATGAAGAATAAGCACTAGTACAAGAAAATCTTTAGTTTTATGTATATAACCTTCTAATTTGAATAACAATTATAGCAGTACTCTAAAGTATTTCACACAAAAGGAAAACACTGATCACAAATCTAATTCTAAGCACTCTGTCTGAAGAACAATTTATCTTTCACAAGCTGAGCTGTTTCAGTATTAGTGAATCGAGTAACACCTAGAAGCATGTGGACCACAAATTCTCTAGTGCATGAGCAAGTCAAGTTCTGAGAAAGGAACTGATGCTTTTTAAAATTTTCTGTCTGGCCAGGCGTGGTGGCTTACACCTGTAATCCCAGCACTTTGGGAGGCTGAGGCGGGCAGATCACTTGAGGTCAGGAGTTTGACACCAGCCTGGCCAACATGGTGAACCCGTCTCTACTAAAAATACAAAAATTAGCCAGGTGTGATGGTGGGCGACTGTAATCCCAGCTACTCAGGAGGCTGAGGCAGGAGAATCACTTGAACCAGGAAGGCAGACGTTGCAGTGAGCCGAGATCTCATCACTGCACTCCAGCCTGGGCAACAGAGCAAGACTGGCAAAAAACAAAAACAAAACAAAACAAAACAAAAAAAACAAAAAAAAACCCACCTTTCTGTCAATAACCTAGCTTTGGTGAGTAAACCTAGATGCTCATAGTTAGCCAGGTTGAATTTAAGCAAAACTCAAGGATGTTGGAGAAACTGTGGGGGGTGTGTGTGTGTGTGTGTGTGTGTAAGATGAGGACTTTCAGTGAAGGAAAGGGATTATACCAAAAAAGGTACAATTCCACCTGTGTTTTTTTCCATCACTGCATATTTTTAAAGTTGAAGGCAGCTTATCATTTATCCTAAGAAGCCATTTCAGTTTGTATAATAGCCTTCTTCAGACAAATTATCATCTGGCTATTCTTACAGTTCATCACTTATTCCATCCAAAAGCATCTATATAACTTTTGACTTAGCATTATGTAGAGACAAATGTAGAACTAGCAGGAAAATTAATTCAAACACATGAACGCTATTCATCAGCTATGATTACAGTTTGGCTATGATTCACTATCAGAATGAACCGTGAGTTTTTCTTTTGAATATTTACAGATTCTTATTTAAGTAAGGTGCTTTGAAGACCTAAACACCTGAATAAAAATTCACCTGTTTGTAGGTTTTTAAAAACAACTATGTGGAAATAGAAAATGAATTATATTGCATAACACATACCTTTAGACTAGCTTGGGAGAAGTTATTTCATTTTCACAAAAACAGCTAACTACTGAAACTTAAAGAGATAAAGGGTTTAAGAAACTGCATAATTGATTTTAGTAATGATCACAACTCAAGTACTACCATGTAAAGTGTTAACTCCTGAGAACACTGGAAAGTTCTACTCAAAATATCTATCATCTAGCTCTATTCAGGGTAATAATAAATCATGATCTGATGCTACAACTAGGCATACAGCATACAGTGCATCATTTATTAAAAATCAGCACTCATTAAACTTTCAGGAGCAACATAACTAGGTCCTTAAACATTTAGAGAAATATGTATAATAAAAAATCCAAGTAAAATGAGATCTTCAAGTACACTACTGAACACCATCAAATGCCTGTCAGCCCAAAATACTGCATTTTAACCTGCTTCAACTGGTAAAGTTTTCACACAAAGGAGTACCTAGAAGTATAGTTTATATCATTTTGTTTCCTAAAATTGTAAAGATAAATATTTTACAACTACTGAAAATATTTTGTACTCACCTCTAACTAGTCAAGGGTAAATGGAGAAAACCTTGTATTACCTTGTACCATATGAAATTGCTGTTTTTGTAGGTCAAAATTAAAACAATGTATTTAAAAAAATAAGTTTTATTCAATCAAAATATGCATCAGGAGCATGAATAGTTTTCTTCCAACAGAATATTAAAGGTCTAACTTTTATAAAATTCATCATTTGTTAGGCTGTATAAATTGTTAACATCTTCCAGTTACTTCATCTCGATTGGGGAATGCATTGTTTCTTAGAAAAAGCTCCAAATGATAGACAGTAGTCCATGGAATAAAGGTCCAGTGACTAAAATGGACATGACAAAATTTCATAGCCCAAGTCACTTAACTTTGCTTTAGTAGCTTGTGACATGTGAGGTCGAGTCCTTGTCTGTGAAAGTGTAGGTTCTTGTGTGTTACCCAAAGGACATTGTTTTTAAATCACATTTTCATGCATAATTTAAATTTCTTGATAATATGCTGCTGCCGTCATTGTTTCACTTGGGTTTAAATAACAGTAATTATTTATCTCTTTCGTAGATCACCACACAATCTTCAGAATTTTTTTGGTTGCAATGATAATGGTGGCAACATATTAGGGAGCTTTACCAGCCTCCAATGATTGTATAAATTGCCATTAGCTGTCAAACAGCACACATTTTTTTTTTTTGGCCACAGGTTATAATCTGCTCCAAAAATGGATTTCTGCTGTTTTGAATCTTAATGAGCACAACTCCAACTGTCTCCATTCTTGATCATCCCTCAAGAGGGTACTCTCAGGTCCATTTTTATACTTTTCCCCAGTCAGAGCGGGAATTCCTTAAGTCTGCTGCAAGGCTTCAAATTGTTGTTTGCAAGTTAGATTTCACTTTGGCTCTTAATTGATCTTTGTTTAAAATGGATTTTGATCTCCCCTAGGGTTCATTTTTGAAATTCAGATCCCCAGAACAAGATTTTTCAAACCACCACTGAGTAGTTCTTTTACTAGCAGAGCCCTCTAAGGCCAAATGGATGTTTCTACCTTCCTCATCTGCAATATGTCCCAGTTCAAAATTATAAAAAAGTATTCACAATTCTTCTGTGGATACTATAGTATTTCTCTGGAAAACAATAAACAATAACAAGACAACTCAATATCAAAGAAAAGTAGGAGCATAATACTATCATAATTCTAAATAGCACAACTGGGAACGTACGTTATACCAACTTTACTAATTGCAGTCAATTTTCAACTGATCTAATATTAGCAATTTCATGTGGTACCATCCACAAGTTAATCAACAATACTTACTGAGAATTTACTATATGCTAAGATCTGTCTCGTATCTGTACAAACAGATATCCTGAAAACTCACTTGAAATATGAAATTCATTGATTCCAAAGACCCTAGTGGAGGAGGAATCTGGTGTCATACTATTATTTTTTTAATCCATAAAAATGTATGCTTTCCCCCATGTTACAGTTACATATATTATGTTGTGAAGACGTGTTAAGTGGATCCTTGATAAACTTTTTGAACTAAATCTTTAATATGGTACAACCAAAGTTCAGCACTGAAATACACGTTTTTCAATGATTCTAACTTTTAAAAGTTAAAACTTGCCTACATTTGTTATATATTATTTTGAAGTTTCAAGAGGCTTTTATGTTTGTGATAAATAACAACAACTAACATTTATTTATGTTTCTAAAGCACCCCCATATACATTATTCTCATTTAAGACAGCAAGCAAAGACAATAAAAAATTTGCTCTAGTGATGAAGTGATTAATAAAAACTAAGTAAATAATGTTTTTGTGTATGCATTTAAAAAAATAATGTAAAACATTAAAATCCTGTGTCAATGAACTTCTGCAATGCACAGGAAAATAAACCCACTTTAGTTAATGCCTTTGATTAAGCATCACTGCCCACTGCAGATGGACCAAAAGTTTCTCTAGTACGCATTAACTGGACATCTTTGTCAGCCATACAGGTATCACAGCCCCATACTGCAGATGCTTCTGCAGTTAAGAGGCCATAAGCTGTTTCAGTCATTCCAGTACAGATCCGATGAAACCATTTCTGACAAGAGGCCTCACATAAGATGGCATCCTGATCATCGTTCACCTCGTTTGTACAAATTCCACAAGGATACACTGGGTCAGAAGACGAATGGCCATGACGGTTTGGGTGAAGAGAGGATTTATTGCTTTTTTCTGTGGTGCAGGCATCTGCTGCACCTCTTGGTTGTCGTGGCTTATTCTGCGTCCCATTTGCAGGGTTATTGTTTGTGGCTTCAGTGCTACTTGAACGGCTGTTCTCCTGATTTACTGCATTGTTTCGATTAACATTTTTTAATTCAATATTACTCTGATTCACTGTGTCATCCATATTCAAGTGAGGTGGATGAGCAGAGGAATTTTGATTAGTGTTTTTGGTTGCTCCTTGAGTAAAGTCTTGTTTTGGGGGTGGTGCTTTTGCTTGACCAAAAGTGTTTGGGGGAGGAATAAAAGAATGATTAGATTCTAACGGAGAAGTAAAATTTGAATTATTTCCAGGAACAAAATTAGATGCCAAATCGGGGTTAGAAACTTGGCTAGCATTCTGTGGAGGAATTTGACTGAAATTTTCAGCAGGATTTTGTCTAAAATGTTGATTAGGCATGTTGACATTCTGACTTAGTGCATTATTATAAGATGGATTACCGAAACTTGAATTATCATGTGGCCCAAAGTTAAAAGCATGAGGTCGATTAAAACCCATGCCCAGAGGATTCTGAGGAAATGGGTGTGGCTGGTTCCTGAGTGAGTAAGGACCACAGTATGGGGAAGACATTCTTGGGGGAACGTGAGGTGGCATTCTGAATGTACTATAGCCTCCAAAGCCAGGATAACCAGGGCCAAGATATGGATTTGACGAAGGTAGTGGTTTATAGGAAATAGTATTATAGTTGTCATCAAATGGATTAGCAGCCACTAGATGGTCAGAGTTTGGATTCGGTGGTGGAGCATACTCAGACAATGGAGGGAAAGAAGGTCCCTGAAATGAGAATGTAAAGTAAAATACATGTTTTCGATCAAATACATTATTAAAATTGTCCTGTTACCTTAATACCTGTGAACCTAGTATTAGTCAAATTTCTCTTGCAGTGTTAACAAACATTTATTATCTTCACTTGACCTTTCAATTTTGACTAATGTTTATATTTAATTATACTTGCTGATAAAAATATTTAGTTTTATTTCATTTCCAAAAGAAAATAAAGTATGATTTTCTGAGCTCAAATCCATTGTAACTTCAAAAACCAAAAGTAGTTAACTTTCAAAAGAAGCTTCATTATCCTAATTTTCATTTAATATGCTTACCTATAACTCTAGAAACTTTCACTTAAATACTAAAGCAGTCTAACCTAAAATACCTCTCATACACCAAACAGTCATAAAGTTAAATAACAACAATCAGAATCTAAGTTTTTCCCCTAGCTTAACTTCAGGGAGATACAATTAAAATATTTCCAAAACATTAAGTTCTGGGCCTCAGACTGAAAAAATAAACTGCCAGTTTTAGTCACACTGCAAGTTTAACAGATGGTGGTCAAAATGATAAAAAGATCAGTAATCTGTACACACATACTTACTAGTAGCCTTTATCATAGAAAGAGTGCTTCAAATTTATAAAGAATAAAACAGTGAGAGCCTGTATATATAATTGCTTGTTACAACCACAAGTTATAACAAAAAAAGGCCTCCATCATGATTGCTTCGTGATATGCACATAATACTAAATCACTATTATAGTTGAACAATTATTTCAGGTTAAAATTGTTACTATATATTTTGAAATCTTTTAATAGAACTGCAGGCATTCATGCCCTTTAAAAACCTTTAAATTAGATTTAAGAACAAGCATTTTAATTTTAATTTTTTTTTGAGACAGAGTCTCACGCTGTCACCAAGGCTGGAGTGCAGTGGCGTGATCTCAGCTCATTGCAACCTCTACCTTCCAGGTTCAAGCAATTCTCATGCCTCAGCCTCCGCAATAGCTGGGATTACAGGAGTGTGCCACCACACCCGGCTAATTTTTATATTTTTAGTAGAGAAGGGCTTTCCCCATGTTGGCCAGTCTGGTCTCGAACTCCTGGCCTCAAGTAATCCACCCACCTTGGCCTCCCAAAGGGCTGGGATTATAGGCATGAGCCACCATGCCCAGCCTAAGAACAAGCATTTTAATTTGCCCACACTTCCTTTTTGCAGTATCTAGTCTATGCCTATAGTCTGACAATAGCCACTAGTTACAGACTTAAACAAAAAAAAATACAGCGAGGCGTGGTGGCTCACACCTGTAATCCTAGCACTTTGGGAGGCCGAGGCGGGTGGATCACGAGGTCAAGAGATTGAGACCATCCTGATCAACATGGTGAAAGCCCGTCTCTACTAAAAATACAAAAATTAGCTGGGCATGGTGGCGCGTGCCTGTAATTCCAGCTACTTGGGAGGCTGAGGCAGGAGAATCGCTTCAACCTGGGAGGTGGAGGTTGCAGTGAGCTGAGATCACCCCACTGCACTCACTCCAGTCTGGCAACAGAGCAAGAATCCACCTAAAAAAAAAAAAAAAAAAAAAAAAAAAAAAAAAAAAAAAAAAGAAAGTACCATCACTGGAATGATTGATTGAAAGTACAATGAATGATTAAAAGTACAATCACTTGAATAGAAAACAAAACTTATGACCAAGTTCAAATTTACCTCATCAGCCTGACCATACTAGCAAAGAAAAACTTTTATTAAAGAAAATGTCAGTTTACCTGTGTATTTGCCTTGCGCTTTTTCTTATCTGGGCTTCCTAGTTGTACACCTGGTCCTCCTAACCCATCCAGTCCACTATCACCACCTAAAAAAAAAAAAATTCAGGTAATATTTCCCACTTGTAAGTGAAGTTACTTTATATCTCATAGTAATATCTATTATATTTACCTGTTAATGTTTTCTATTTTCGTTAGACAAGAGCAATACTTTTATTATCATTATCTGTTTCAAAAAAGTCTTTCCCATAGTTTGAGCCAGAAATAGCCATTCATCCCTGCTCCCATATTTATTATTCTTTCAGTGAAAAAGCAAGTCTCTCTCTCTCACTCTAAAATCTTTAGTAACTGGTTCCCTGTCTCAGAGGCCACCACTATTACTAGTTTCTGGCCTACCTTTCCAAAGATAATCTAGATATATTAAAGTATATTATTATTATTTTTTTGGCGGGGAGGACACAAATGAGACAAAGTACACACAGTACACACAGTGTACCTTGCTTTCTTACTTGGAGATCATTCCATATCACTCTATTTAGAACTTCTTTATTTTGTAATAGCTGAGTAGTATTCTACAGTGTGACTACACCATGATTCATTAAACTAGTCCCCTCCATATTGATCAATGTTTAAGTTGTTTCCAAGCCTCTGCTGTTGCTGCAATAAAAATCCATGTATAAATGCCTTTAGAGAGATTTACAAGTAGCTCCTAGAACCAGAATTATGGCATCAAAGGTATGTGCCTTTTAATTCTTAAAGATAATGTTAAAAATGCAACAATGTTTCCAAATATTGCTTTCTCAACAGTACATGATCAAGGAAAGCAAAAGCTTGACTATCAATCTAAGAGGTTAAAAAGAGTTTATGAAAGGAATTTTTCCAGCTTTAAGAAACATTTTATTATGGAGAATTCTGAACATATACAACATACAGAGAAGAATGAAATTAACCCCATATGCCTATCACCCAGCCCTAATAACCATCACATCTCATCTTGTGTTTTCAACACCATCTTCACCTCTCTCCATCCAGTACTACTTTGAAGAAAATTTCAGACATCATTTTATTGGTAAATATTTCAGAATGTATTTCTAAAAACTAGGAACTTAAAAAAAATACAATGCCATTCTAGCCACTACAGAAATTAACAATAATCCTTCATATAATTTCATACCCAATCCAATTATCTCATAATATCTGTATGGTTTGTTTAGATTGGGATCCAAATATGTTCCATAGATTACAACTGGTTTGACATGTCTTTTAATTGATATACTTCCCTCCATCCTGTTTTTTCCTTGCAAAGTATTAACTGAACCAGGCTGATTATTGTTCCAATTATTAAGCTACCATCTTTTAGCTCCAACCCCTCTTAGTGACACTGGAACTGGGACTTTGCAAACTACATTTTTCTTTTGCTAGGGTCTTCCAACGGGAGCTCTAGAGGGATACTTGAAGGCCAGGGGAAGTGATAGGAAATTTCTGCCCCTCCTGTCTGCTTACTCTTCTTATCTCTATCATCCCAACAGGCCTTCTCTCTGGCACTGGTAGTCCATCACACTCCCCAAACCAGCTTCAACATGTTTTCTCAGAGGTTATTAATACCAGCTGGGCAGCACCTCAATCTCCAAGTCTGAGTCCAAGCTCTATGGCATCTCTCTTCCAATCCTCTAGGTTCTCATAACCCCAACTTCTTTTCTTTGTTCACTAAGTCCCAGATGTGGAAGTTCCTTCCTGCAGTCACTGTCCATGCTACCTCACTTTTTGCTTTTTTGGTTTTTCAACACCTGTTTAATTCCTTACATAAAATTATATTACAAATTATATTACATTAAATTGCAGGTGTGATTTATATTTTCTAGTCTGGAATGTTTGATATATCTTGATTTTGCTGATTATATTTGCTGATTGACATGTTTAACATGTTCCTTATTTCCTATAAATTGATATTGGGTCTAGACCAGTGATCCCCAACCTTTTTGACACCAGGGACCAGTGGTGGGGGATGGGAGGTGGCGATGGTTGTGGAATGAAACTGTTCCACCTCAGATCATCAAGCATTAGATTCCCATAAGAAATGCACAACCTAGATCCCTCGCATGCACAGTTCACAATAGGGTTCACCCTCCTATGAGAATCTAATGCTGCTGCTGCTGATCTGTCAGGAGGCGGAGCTCAGGCAGTAATGCTCGCTCACCCGCCAGTCACCTCCTGCTGTGTGGCCTGGTTCCTAACAGGGCATGGACTAGTACCAGTCCGTGGCCCAGGGGTTGGGGATCCCTGGTCAAGACTATAGGCTTGATCAGATTCAGATTTCTGTTTTTTTGCAAGGCTGCTCCATAAGTGATGGTCTGTTCTTCCACTAGAAGGAACCTAATTTCTGGTTGATTTTCTTTAACAGTTGTATTAATTTTCTATTGCTGTATAACAAATTACCACATACTTGCTTTGCCACTTAAAACAATGTCCACTTAAATAGAAGCAGAGGGAACACTTCCTAACTCATTCTATTGGGCCAATATTACCTTGATACCAAAGCCAGACAATGATATCACAAGGGGAAAAAACCAAAAAACCACAGACTAACACCTCCTAAGAATACAGATGTGGCCGAGTGTGGTGGCTCATGTCGATAATCTCAACACTTTAAGAGGCTGAGGCGGGGGATTGCTCCAGCCCAAGAGTCTGAGACCAGCCTGGAAAACACAGTGAGATCCCACCTCTACATTAAAATTAAAATTAAAAAAAAAATTAGCCAGGTATGGTGGCACATGCCTGTGGTCCCAGCTACTCAGGAGGCTGAGGTGGGAGGATCTCTTGATCTCAGGGGTTGGAGGCTGCAGTGAGCTGTGAAGATGCCACTGCACTCTAGCCTGGGCAACAGAGCAAGACCCCAACTAAAAAAAAGAACACAGATGCAAAAATTCTCAACAAAATACTAGCAAAACAAATGCAGCAGAATATTCAAAGGATAATACATCATGACAAAGCGGGATTTTTCCCAGCAATAGAAGGTTGATTCAGCATATTAAAATAAATCAATTTAATATGCCATATTAATAGAATAAAGAGAAATATACATGATCATTTCAATAGATGCATAAAAGCATTTGACAAAAATCTAATACCAAGGAGGGGTCAAGGTGGCTGATTAGAAGCAGCTGTGGGCCAGGCACAGTGGCTCACACCGGTAATCCCAACACTTTGGGAGGCCGAGGCAGGCAGATCACTTGAGGTCAGGAGTTCGAGACCAGCCTGGCAAACATGGCGAAACCCCGTCTCTACTAAAAATACAAAAATTAGCCAGGTATAATGGCAGGCACCTGTAATCCCAGCTACTTGGGAGGCTAAGGCAGGGAGAATTGCTTGAGTCTGGGACGCAGAGGTTCCACTGAGTTGAGATCGCACCACTGCACTGCACTCCAGCCTGGGCAAAAGAGCGAGACTCTGTCTCCAAAAAAAAAAAAAAAAAAAAAAGGTAGGGGGAGCTGTGGTCCATGGCTCTCAGGGAGAAGAATGAAAATGGTGTGTGAATTAAGCACCTTCAACTGAAATATCCAGGTTCTCACAATGGGACTGACCAAGTGAACAACTTGACCCACAGAGAATGAAGAAAAATGGGGTAGGGCAATCGCCCGCCCAGGAGCAGCATGGAGCCAAAAAAAAAGCCCCACCTCCAGCCAAGGGAAGCAGTGAGTGATTGTGTGACCCCATCCAGGAAACCACACTTCTCCCACAGATCTTTGCAACCCACAGATCAGGGGATCTCCTCGTGAGCCCATGCCACCAGGGCCTTGGGTCCGATATACAGAGCTGTGTATGCAGAGTCTCAGTAGAGCAGCCACTCAGGCACACACAGAGACCCAGGAGTTTTACATACTCCGGCCCCAGAAGTCCCTGCAAAGATGAAAAAGAATCCTGCAAGGCAAAAGATCCACCCATACATTCCCTAGGAAGGGTGCTGAATTCAGGGAGCCAAGCAGCATTGTTCTGCGGGCCCCACTTCCATGGCACCTCCCAAGTTAAGATCCACTGACTTGGAATTCCAGCCACCAGCATCAACAGACTGGAGACTGGCTGAGACAGAGCAAGTTCCTGGGGGAGGGGTGGCCGCCATCTCTGCAGTTGACTCAGCTGTTCTAGCCTGCTGGCACTGGGGAGTCCAGGCAGTCTGGACGAAGGGGAGTGCTCTACAATGCAGCACAGCTGCTGTGCCAGATCATGGCCAGACTACTTCCTTAAGTGGGACCCTGATCCATCACTTCTCACAGAGCAAGGCCTCCCTGTGGGAATTTCCAAGCAGGGTTATACAAGCAGAACTCTGAACTCTCCCCATGATGGAGCCCCTGGGGAAAGGGGCAGCTGCTGTCTCTGCAGTTCAGTAGACAGTCTTTCCTGCCTGCTGGCTCTGAAGAATCTAGGCAGTCTGGACAAAGAAGGATTCCCCCCAGTGCAGTACAACTGCTCTATCAAAAAGCAGCCAGACTGCTTCCTTTTTTTTTTTTTTTAAGAAGGAGTTTCGCTCTGTTGCCAGGCTGGAGTGCAGTGGCGTAGCCTTGGCTCACTGCAACCTCTGCCTCCTGGGCTCAAGCGATCCTCCTGCCTCAGCCTCTTGATTGGCTGGAATTACAGGCACTTGCCACCACCACCACTTGCCACCACCACTAACTTTTTTTGTATTTTTAGTACAGATGGGGTTTCGCCATGTTGGCCAGGCTGGTCTCAAACTCCTGACCTCAAGTGATCTACCCACCTCAGCCTCCCAAAGTGCTGGGATTACAGGTGTGAGCCAACGCGCCCAGCCTCTAGACAGTGGTGAAACCTCTGAACCGGGGTCTCCAGATACCTCCTATAGAAGCACTCAAGCCAGCAATAGGTCAGGACTGCCCTGGGAAGGAGCTCCCAGAGGAAGGAGCAGGCTGCCACCTTTGCTGTTACGCAGCCTTCACTGGTAGTATCTCCAGGTACAGGAAAAACTGAGGCAACTAGGGTCAGGAGCAGACCCCCAGCAAACTGCAGCAGCCCTACAGAAGTATGGCCTGAATGTTAAAAGAAAAACAAACAAACAGAAGCAATGTCAACAACAATATCAACAAAAAAGACCCCACAAAAACCCCATCCAAAGGTCAGCAACCTCAAAGAGCAAAGGTAGATAAGCCCAAAAAGATGAGAAAGAATCAACACAAAAACGCTTAAAACTCAAAAAAACAGAGTGCCTCTTCTCCTCCTAATGATCACAGCACTTCTCCAGCAAGGGCACTGAACTGGGCTGAGGCAGATGGGCACAGTGGCTCATGCCTGTAATCCCAGCACTTTGGGAGGCCAAGGTGGGTGGATCATGAGGTCAGGAGATCGAGACCATCCTGGCTAACATGGTGAAACCCCATCTCTACTAAAAATATATTTAAAAAAATTATCAGGGTGTGGTGGTGGGCACCTGCAGTCCCAGCTACTTGGGAGGCTGAGGTGGGAGAATGGCGTGAACATGGGAGGTGGAGCTTGCAGTGAGCTGATATTGAACCACTGCACTCCAGTCTGGGTGACAGAGCAAGACTCTGTCTCAAAAAAAAAAAAAAAAAAAAAAAAAGAAAGAAAGAACTGGGCTGAGGCTGAGATTGGCTGAACTGACAGAGGTAGGCGCCAGAAGGTCAGTAATAATCAATTTCACTGAGTTAAAGGAGCATGCTGTAACCCAATGCAAAGAAGCTAAGAATCATGATAAAACAATACAGGTGCTGATAACCAGAAGAGCCAGTTTAAAGAGGAATATAGGTGACATGATGGAGCTGAAAAACACAACATGAGAACCTCATGATGTAATTACAAGTGTCAACAGCAGAACAGACCAAGCAAAGGAAAGAATCTCAGAGCTTGAAGATAATCATTCTGAAATAAGAAAGGCAGACAAGAATAGAGAAAAAGGAAAGAACTAAACCTCCAAGGAATATGGAATTATGTAGAGAATAAATCTACAACTCATTGGTTTCCCTGAAAAAGGGGGAGAATGGAACCAAGTCGGAAAACATACTTCAGGATATCATCCAGGAGAACATCCCCAACCTAGCAAGACAGGCCAACATTCAAAATTCAGGAAATCCAGAGAACCCCAGTAAAATAATGCACAAGAGATCAACCCCAAGATACATAATCATCAGATTCTCTGAGGTCAAGATGAAAAAAAAAATGTTATGGGCTGCCAGAGAGAAAGGCCAGGTCGCCTACAAAGGGAAACCAATCAGACTAACAGTAGACCTCTCAGCAGAAACCCTACATGCCACAAGGGATTGAGGACCAATGTTCAACATTCTTAAAGAAAAAATTTCCAACCAAGAATTTCATATCCGACCAAACTAAGCTTTATAAGCAAAGGAGGAATAAGATCGTTTTCAGATAAGCAAACCCTGAGGGAATTCGTCACCACTGAGCCTGCCTTGCAAGAGCTCCTGAAGGAAGCACTAAATATGGAAAGGAAAAACTGTTGCCAGCCAGTACAAAAGCACTGAGGTACATGACCAATGAAGCAACCACATAAACAAGCCTGCAAATTAACCAGCTAACATCATGATGACAGGATCAAATTCACATATAACAATATTAACCTTAAATGTAAATGGAGTGGGGTGGGGGGAGGGGGGAGGGATAGCATTAGGAGATATACCTAATGCTAAATGACGAGTTAATGGGTGCAGCATACCAACATGGCACATGTATACATATGTAACAAACCTGCACGTTGTGCACATGTACCCTAAAACTTAAAGTATAATAATAAAATTTTTTAAAAAATGTAAATGGAGTAAATGGCCCAATTAAAAGGCACAGAATGGCAAGCTGGATAAAGAGTTAAGTCTCATCGTTATGCTGTCTCCGAAAGACACACCTCACAGGCAAAGACACACATAGGCTCAAAATAAAAGGAGGGAGGAAAATTTATCAAGAAAATGAAAAACAGAAAAAAGCAGGGGTTGCAATACTAGTTTGTGACAAAACAGAGATCAAAAAAGGGCATTACGTAACGGTAAAAAGTTCAATTCAACAAGAATAGCTAACTATCCTAAATATATTTGCACCCAACACAGGAGCACCCAGATTCATACAGCAAGTTTTTAGAGACCTACAAAGAGACTCAGACTCCCACAAAATAATACTGGGAGACTTTAACACCCCACTGACAATATCAGACAGATTATCGAGACACAAAATTAACAAAGATATTCAGGACCTGCACTCAGCTCTGGGTCAAGAGGACCTGATAGATATATACAGAATTTTCCACCCAAAAACAACAGAATTTACATTCTTTTCATCGACACATGGCACTTACTCTAAAATTGATCACAATCGGAAGTAAAACACTCCTTAGCAAATGCAAAAGAACAGAAATCATAACAGTCTCTCACACCACAGCGCAATCAAATGAGAACTCAAAACTAAGAAATTCACTGAAAACCATACAACTACATGAAAACTGAACAACCTGCTCCTGAATGACTCCCGGGTAAATACTGAAATTAACACAGAAATCAAGTTCTTCGAAACTAATGAGAACAAAGAGACAATGTACCAGAATCTCTGGGATGCAGCTAATGCAGTGTTAAGAGGGACATTTATAGCACTAAATGCCCACATCAAAAAGCTCGAAAGATCTCAAATTACCAAGCTAACATCACAACTAAAAGAACTGGAGAACCAAGGGCAAACAAACTCCAAAGGTAGCAGAAGAAAAGAAATAAGCAAAATCAGAGCAGAACTGAAGGAGACAGAGACACAAAAAACCCTTCAAAAAAAAAAATCAATAAAGCCAGGTTGGTATTTCGAAAAAATTAATAAAAGAGACTGCTAGCTAGACTAATAAAGAAAAAAGAATCAAATAGACACAATCAGAAATGAAAGGGGGATATCACCACTGACCCCACAGAAATACAATACAGAAATACAATCACCAGAGAATATTATAAGCACCTCTATGCACATATACTAAAAAAAAAACTGGAACAAATAAATTCCTAGGCACATACATCCTCCCAAGACTGAACCAGGAAGAAACTGAATTAAAGAATAGTAACAAGTTCTGAAATTGAGGCAGTAATAAATAGCCTACCAACCCAAAGAAGCCCAGGACCAGACAGATTTACAGCCAAATTCTACCAGAGGTACAACTGAAACTGTTCCAAAGAAATGAAAAGGAGGACGACTAATAAAGAAGAAAAGAGAGAAAAATCAAATAGGCGCAATAAAAAATGATAAAGGGGATATCACCACCGATCCCACAGAAATACAAACTACCATGAGAGAATACTATAAACACGTCTACGCAAATAAACTAGAAAATCTAGAAGAAATGCATAAATTCCTCGACACATACACCCTCCCAAGACTAAACCAGGAAGAAGTTGAATCCCTGAATAGACCAATAACAGGCTCTGAAATTGAGGCAATAATTAATAGCCTACCAACCAAAAAAAGTCCAGGACCAGACGGATTCACAGCTGAATTCTACCAGAGGTACAAGGAGGAGCTGGTACTATTCCTTCTGAAACTATTCCAATCAATAGAAAAAGAGGGAATCCTCCCCAACTCATTTTACCGGGCCAGCATCATCTTGATACCAAAGCCTGGCAGAGACACAACAAAAAAAGAGAATTTTAGACCAATCTCCCTGATGAACACTGATGCAGAAATCCTCAATAAAATACTGGCAAACCGAATCCAGCAGCACATCAAAAAGCTTATCCACCATGATCAAGTGGGCTTCATCCTTGGGATGCAAAGCTGGTTCAACATATGCAAATCAATAAATGTAATCCAGCATATAAACAGAACCAAAGACAAAAACCACATGATTATCTCAATAGATGCCGCAAAGACCTTCACAAAATTCAACAGCCCTTCATGCTAAAAACTCTCAATAAATTAGGTATTGATGGGACGTCTCTCAAAATAATAGGAGCTATTTATGACATACCCACAGCCAATATCATACTGAATGGGCAAATACTGGAAGCATTCCCTTTGAAAACTGGCACAAGACAGGGATGCCCTCTCTTACCACTCCTATTCAACACAGCATAGTGTTGGAAGTTCTGGCCAGGGCAATCAGGCAGTAGAAAGAAATAAAGGGTATTCAATTAGGAAAAGAGGAAGTCAAATTGTCCCTGTTTGCAGATGACATGATTGTATAGTTAGAACACCCCATTAGCCTCAGCCCAAAATCTCCTTAAACAGATAAGCAACTTCAGCAAAGTCTCAGGATACAAAATCAATGTGCAAAAATCACAAGCATTCTTATACACCAATAACAGACAAACAGAGAGCCAAATCATGAGTGAACTCTCACTCAAAATTGCTTCAAAGAGAATAAAATACCTAGGAATCCAACTTACAAGGGATGTGAAGGACCTCTTCAAGAACTACAAACCACTGCTCAACAAAATAAAAGAGGATACAAACAAATGGAAGAACATTCCATGCTCATGGATAGGAAGAATCAATATCGTGAAAATGGCCATACTGCCCAAGGTAATTTATAGATTCAATGCTATCCCCATCAAGCTACCAATGACTTTCTTCACAGAATTGGAAAAAAAATACTTTAAAGTTCATATGGAACCAAAAAAGAGCCCACATTGCCAAGACAATCTTAAGCCAAAAGAACAAAGCTGGAGGAATCATGCTACCTGGCTTCAAACTACACTACAAGGCTACAGTAAGCAAAACAGCATGGTACTGGTACCAAAACAGAGATATAGACCAATGGAACAGAACAGAGCCAACGCATGTACAACCATCTGATCTTTGACAAACCTGACAAAAACAAGAAATGGGGAAAGGATTCCCTATTTAATAAATGGTGCTGGGAAAACTGGCCAGCCATATGTAGAAAGCTGAAACTGGATCCCTTCCTTACACCTTATACAAAAATTAACTCAAGATGGATTAAAGACTTAAATATTAGACCTAAAACCATAAAATCCCTAGAAGAAAACCTAGGCAATACCATTCAGGACATAGGCATGGGCAAGGACTTCATGTCTAAAACACCAAAAGCAATGGCAACAAAAGCCAAAATTGACAAATGGGATCTAATTAAACTGAAGAGCTTCTGCACAGCAAAAGAAACTCCCATCAGAGTGAACAGGCAACCTACAGAATGGGAGAAAATTTTTGCAATCTACTCATCTGACAAAGGGCTAATATCCAGAATCTACAAAGAACTCAAACAAACTTACAAGAAAAAAACAACCCCATCGAAACGCGGGTGAAGGATATGAACAGACACTTCTCAAAAGAAGACACTATGCAGCCAACAGATACATGAAAAAATGCTCATCATCACTGGCCATCAGAGAAATGCAAATCAAAACCACAATGAGATACCATCTCACACCAGTTAGAATGGCGATCATTAAAAAGTCAGGAAACAACAGGTGCTGGAGAGGATGTGGAGAAATAGGAATACTTTTACACTGTTGGTGGGACTGTAAACTAGTTCAACCATTGTGGAAGACAGTGCGGCGATTCCTCAAGGATCTAGACCTAGAAATACCATTTGACCCAGCCATCCCATTACTGGGTATATACCCAAAGGATTATAAATCATGCTGCTATAAAGACACATGCACACGTATGTTTACTGCAGCACTATTCACAATAGCAAAGACTTGGAACCAACCCAAATGTCCATCAATGATAGACTGGATTAAGAAAATGTGGCACATATACACAATGGAATACTATGCAGCCAGAAATGAAAAGGAGGGACTCCTCCCTAACTCATTTTATGAGGCTAGCATCATCCTGATAACAAAACCTGGCAGAGATAAAACAAAAAGAGAAAACTTCAGGCTAATATTCCTGATGAACATTGATGTAAAAACCCTCAATAAAATACTGGCAAACCAAATCCAGCAGCACATCAAAAAGTTTACGCACCATGATCAATTTGGCTTAATCTCTGAGAATGCAAGCTTGATTCAACAGATGAAAATCAATAAATATAATTCATAAACAGAACTAAGACAAAAAACACATGATTATCTCAGTAGATGCAGAACAGGCCTTCAATAAAATTTAACACCCTTCGCGTTGAAAACTCAATAAACTAGGTATTGAACAAACATACTTAAAAATAATAATAACCATATATATGACAAACCCACAGCTGATTATCATACTGAATGGGCAAAAGCTGGAAGCATTCCCCTTGAAAACTGGCAAAAGACAAGGATGCTCTCTCTCACCACTCCTATTAAATATAGTACTCAAAGTTCTGGTCAGGGCAATCAGGCAAGAGAAAGAAATAAAGTGTATTCAAATAGGATGATAATAAGTCAAATTATCTTTGTTTGTAGATGACATGATATATCTAGAAAACCCCATCGTCTCAGCTCAAAAGCTTCTTAAGCTGATAAGCAACTTCAGCAAAATCTCAGGATATAAAATCAGTGTAAAAAAATTGCAAGCATTACTATACACCAACAACAACCAAGCAGAGAACAAAATCATGAATGAACTCCCATTCACAATTGCTAGAGAGAATATACTACCTAGGAATACAGCTAACAAGAGACGTAAAGGACCTCTTCAAGGAGAACTACAAACTACTGCTCAAGGAAATAAGAGAGGACACAAACAAATGGAAAAACATTCCATCCTCATGGATAGGAAGAATCAGTATTGTGAAAATGGCCATACTGCCCAAAGTAATTTATAGACTTGATGCTATTCTCATCAAACTACCATTGACATTCTTCACAGAATTAGAAAACACTACTAGCTGGGCACAGTGGCCCACACCTATAATCCCAGCACTTTGGGAGGCTGAGGTGGGCAGATCACAAGGTCAGGAGTTTGAGATCAGCCTGGCCAACATGGTGAAACCCTGTCTCTACTAAAAAATACAAAAATTAGCCAGGCATGGTGGTACACACCTGCAGTCTCAGCTACTCGGGAGGCTGAGGCAGCAGAATTGCTTGAACCTGTGTTGCAGTGAGCCGAGATCATGCCACTGCACTCCAGCCTGGGCGACAGAGCAAGACTCTATCTCAAAAACAAACAAACAAACAAACAAACCCCACTACTTTAAAGTTCATATGGAACCAGAAAAGAGCCCAAATAGCCAAGACAATCCCAAGCAAAAAGAACAAAGGTGGAGGCATCACACTACCTAGCTTCAAACTATACTACAAGGCTACAGTAACCAAAACAGCATGGTACTTATACAAAAACAGACATACAGAACAACGAAACAGAAGAGAGAACTCAGAAATAAGACCACACACCTACAACCATCTGATCTTTGATAAATCTGACAAAAATCTGCAATGGGGAATAGATTCTCTATTTAATAAATGGTGATGGTAGAACTGGCTAGCCATATGCAGAAAACTGAAACTGGACCCCTTCTGTATTAGTCCCTTCTCACATTGCTATAAAGAATTTCCCTGAGATGGTAATTTATAAAGGAAACAGGTTTAATTGACTCACATTTCCACATGGCCCGGGAGGCCTCAGGAAACTTACAATTATGGCAGAAGGGGAAGCAGGCACCTTCTTCACAAAGTGGCAGGAGAAAGAAGAGTGAGCAAAGGAGGAACTTGCCAAACACTTATAAAACCATCAAATCTCCTGAGAACTCACTCGTATCACAAGAATAGCATGGGGGAAACCACCCCCATAAGCCAATCGCTTCCCACCAGATTCCTCCCTTAATACCTGGGGTTTACAATTCAAGATGAGATTTGCACAGGGACACAAAGCTAAACCATATCACCTTCCTTACACCTTGCACAAAAATTAACTCAGGATGGATTAAGACTTAAATGTAAAACCTAAAATGATAAAAACACTAAAAGAATATCTAGGCAATACCATTCAGGATTTAGGCATGGGGAAAGATTTCACGGTGAAAACTCCAAAAGCAATTGCAACAAATGCAAAAATTGACAAATGGGATCTAAACTAAAGAGCTTCTGCACAGCAAAAGAAACTATCATCAGAGTGAACAGACAACCTACAGAATAAGAGAAAATGTTTGCCTTCTGACAAAGGTCTAATATCCAGAGTCTACAAGGAACTTAAATTTACAAGAAACAACCAACCAACCCCATTAAAAAGTGGGCAAAGGACATGAACAGACACTTCTCAAAAAAAGACATTTATGCAGCCAACAAACATGAAAAAAAGCTCAACATCACTGATCATTAGAGAAATGCAAATCAAAACCACAACGAGATACCATCTCACATCAGTCAGAATGGCGATGATAAAAGTCAAGAAACAACAGATGCTGGCAAGGTTGCGGAGAAAAAGGAACACTTTTACACTGTTGGTGGGAGAATAAATTAGTTCAACCACTGTGGAAGAAAGTGTGGTGATTCCTCAAAGATCTAGAGGCAGAAATACCATTGGACCCAGCAATCCCTTTCCTGGATATAGACCCAAAGGTATATAAATCATTCTGCTATAAAAATACATGCACACTGGCTGAGCGTGGTGGCTCATGCCTGTAATCCCAGCACTTTGGGAGGCTGAGGTGGGCAGATCACCTGATGTCAGGAGTTCAAGACCAACCTGGCCAACATGGTGAAACCCTGTCTTTACAAAAATACAAAAATTAACTGGGCATTTTGGCGGGTGCCTGTAATCCCAGCTACTCGGGAGGCTGAGGCGGAAGAATCACTTGAACCTGGGAGGCAGAGGTTACAGTAAGCTGAGATCACGCCATTACACTCCAGCCTGGGTGACAGAGCAAGACTCCAACTCAAAAAAAAAAAAGAAAAATCCACACATATGTTCAGTGCAGCACTATTCACAACAACAAAGACATGGAATCAATCCAAATGCTCATCAATGATAAAGAAAATGTGGTACATATACACCATGGAATACTATACAGCCAAAAAAAGGAATGAGAACAAGTCCTTGGCAGAGACATGGATGGAGCTAGAAGCTGTTACCCTCAGCAAACTAATGCAAGAAAAGAAAACCAAAAACAAAACACCACATGTTCTCACTTACAAGTGGGAGCTGAACAATGAGAACACATGGACACATTGCGGGGAACAACACACACTGGGGCCTGTCGGGGGGAGCGGGAGGGAGAGCATCGTGACCTTGATTAGCCAAGTTTCTTAATTATAATGCCAAAGCACAAGAAACAAAAGAAAAAAAACATAAATTGCACTTCATCAAAATTAAAAACTTTTGATGAAAGTTTTTCATCAAAGAACACTATCACTAAAGTGAAAAGACAACCCACACAATGGGGGAAAATATTTGCAAATAATAAGACTCTGATGAGAGTCTAGTATCCAGAATATATGAATAATTCTTACAACTCAAAGAAAACAACCTAACTGAAAAACGGCCAAAGGTTTGTCTTTTTCCCCCCTCCAAATGTATCTTTTATTTCAATATGTTTTTAGGGAGGAGGTGGTGGTTGGTTACATGAATAAATTCTTTTTTTTTTTTTTTTTTGAGACGAAGTCTTGCTCTGTCGCCCAGGCTGGAGTGCAGTGGCACAATCTTGGCTCACTTCAACCTCTGCATCCTGGGTTCACGTGATTCTCCTGCCTTAGCCTCGTGAATAGTGCGCCACCATGCCCAGCTAATTTTTATATTTTTAGTAGAGATGGGGTTTTACCACATGGGTCAGGCTGGTCTCGAGCTCCTGACCTCGTGATCCGCCTGCCTCGGCCTCCCAAAGTGTTGGGATTACAGGCGTGAGCCACCACGTCCAGCCACAAATAAATTCTTTAGTGGAGATTTCTGAGATTTTGGTGCATCTATCACCCGAGCAGTGTACACTGTACCCGACGTGTAGTCTTTTATCCCTCACCCAGCCAAAGGTTTTGAACAGACATTTCTCCAAATAAAATACACAAATGGCCAAGAAACACATGAAAAGATGCTCAGCACCAGTAGTCGTTATAAAAAATGCAAATTAAAACCGCAATGAGATAACACTGGGATGGCTGTAATCAAAAAGACAAATAATAACAAGCATTGGCAAAGATATGGAGAAACTGGAACCCTCATACTTTGCAGGTGGGAATGTAAAATGGTACAGCCACCGTGGAAAACACGTGGAAAACAGTTTGGCAGTTCCTCAAAAAGTAAAACATAAAGTTATCATATGATCCAGCAATTCCTCTCCTAGGTATTTATCCAAGACAAGACAACTGAAAATTTCTTTGCACAAAAACTTGTACAACGTTTTTAGCAGTATTATTTGTAATAGCCAAAAAAGTAGAAACAACCCAAATGTCCATCAACGAGTGAATGGATATACAAAATGGTATATCTATACAATGAAACATTACTCAGCCATAAAAAGGAATGAAGTACTGATACATGCTACAACATGGATGAACCTTGAAAATGTTGTAAGTAAAAGAAGCCAGACACAAAAAGCCACATGTTGCATGATTCCATTTATAGGAAGTGTCCAGAATGGGAAAATCTTTAGAGACAAAAAACAGATTAGTAGTTGACAGACCACTAGGAAAGGGAGGAAATTGGGAGTTACATGGTATCTTTTTGAGGCAATGGAAAGTAATATAGAATTAGAAAGTAGAGGGTAAAGTCCTCTAAAGCTTTGCCTGCTCAGAGCTCCTCTGCTCCTAGTGGCCAGAACAGAGAGGTGGAGCAGATCTGCAGCCCAGGGGTTCTGGTGGCCATGCCTGTCCCAGGGCCATGCAAGGCACAGGTGTCACAAAAGAGAGAAACAAAGAAAGTAGTGACTTTTTAGCACAGTACTAAAAACCACTGAAATGTATACTCTAAGATAGTTTAAATGGTGAATTTTACATCATGTGAATTTTATCTGAATTAAAAATAAATTTTAAAACCATTGATAATCTCTCAGTCTGTAGTTCAAAAATCAGAAATTGGGCTGCGTTCTCTGCTCAGGATATCAAGGTATCAGTAGGGTGAGTTCTTGTCTTGAGGCTCTGAGGGAAATCTGCCTCCAATCTCATCATTCTTGTCTGTAGCCAAATTCAATTCCCTGTGGTTGTAGGATTAACATCCTACTTTCCTTGCTGGCTGTCAGCTCTTATCTCCTAGAGACCACCCACATTCCTTGATTCATGACTCTTTCTGCTTTCAATGTGTATCAACTCCTTGTGCTTCAAGTCTCTGATTTCTTCTTCTTGAACTAGCCATAAAGAAGCCTTTGCTCTTAGAAGGTTCATGTAATTAGTTCAGGTCCGCCCAGTTAATCTCCCTATCTCCAGGTGAACTGTGCCATATGATACAGCCCAATCGAGGGATTAACATTCATGAAATTCACAGTACTGAGCATTACACAGGGAGGTACACTAGCAGGATGGGACATCTTGGTGGTCATCTTAGAATTCTGCCCCTACATAAACCACCACTGATAATCAAAGCCTAGGCCCACTGATTCACCAGAGGATGCAAAATGGTCATATTTTCATCTGTTTTCATTTATCTCACCATGTATAAACTTTCATTTCTCTATAATGTATATTTAAAAATCATATGTATTTTGGCCAAGCGCGGTGGCTCATGCCTGTAATCCTAGCACTTTGGAAGGCAGAGGCGGGCAGACTACCTGAGGTCAGGAGTTCGAGACCAGCCTGACCAACATGGTGAAACCCCATCTCTACTAAAAATAAAAATTAAAAAAAAAAAATTAGCCAGGCTGGTAGCGGGCACCTGTAGTCCCAGCTACTCAGGAGGGTGAGGCATGAGAATCGCTTGAACCCGGGAGGCGGTGCTTGCAGTGAGCCAAGATCGCACCACTGCGCCCCAGCCTGGTGACAGAGTGAGACTCCGTCTCCCCCAAAAAAAAACAAAAACAAAAACAAAAAGAAACATATTTATTTCCTTTTCCATGTATGTCCTTTGCCATTTTTTCTTTTCTTTTCTTGAGACAGTCTCACTCTGCCACCAGGCTGGAGTGCAGTGGCACATGTTGGTTCACTGCAACCTCCAACTCCTTGGTTCAAGAGATTCTCCTGCCTCAGTCTACCAAGTAGCTGAGATTATAGGCACACGCCACCACACTCAGCTAATTTTTGTATTTTTAGTAGAGACAGCGGTTCTACCATGTTGGCCAAGTTGGTCTCGAACTCCTGACCTTGTCATCAGCCTGCCTCGGCCTCCCAAAGTGCTGGGATTACAGGCGTGAGCCACCGTGTCTGGCTTTTATTTTCAACTTTTATTTTAGATTTGGGGAGTACATGGGCAGGTATGTTACCTGGGTATATTGTATGATGCTGAGGTTTGAGGTGTGAAATGATCCTGTCACCCAGGTGCTGAGCATAGGTTTTCAAACCCTGCCCCTAATTGCACTGCCCCTCAGTAGTCCCCAGGGTCTATTGCTGCCATCTTTATGTCCATGAGTAACCAATGTTTAGCTCCCACTTACAAGTGAGAACATGCAGTATTTGATTTTCTCTTCCTATGTTAATTTGCTTAGGATAACGGCCTCCAGTTGCATTCATATTGCTACAAAAAAAAAAAAGATTTCATTCTTTTTTTTTTATGGTTGTTTATATTCCATGGTGTGTATGTACCACATAGTCTTTATCCAATCCACCACTGATGGGCACCTAGGTTGATTCCATGTTGTTGTGATTGTGAATAGTGGTGCCATGTACATGTGATTATGTGTCTTTTTAGTAGAACAATTTGTTTTCTTTGGGGTATATATCCAGTAAGGGGATAGCTGGGTTGAACAGTAGTTCTGTTTTAATTTATTTGAGAAATCTCCAAACTGCTTTCCACAGTGACTAATTTATATTCTCACCAACAGTCTATGTGCATTCCCTTTTCTCCACAGGCCTTATCAACACCTGGTTTTGATGGTTTTGAGACAAGGTCTCACTCTATTGCCCAGGCTGGAGTGCAGTGGCGTGATCACAGCTGACTACAGCCTTGCCCTCCTGGGGTAAGGTGATCCTCCCACTTCAGCCTACCAGGTAGCTGAGACTACAGGTGTGGGCTGCCATGTCCAGCTAATATTTTGTATTTTGAGTAGAGAAGGGGTTTTGCCATGCTGTCCAGACTGATCTCGAACTCCTGGGCTCAAGCAATCCACCTACCTCAGCCTCCCAAAGTGCTGGGCTTACAGGCATGAGCCACCCATGCCCAGCCATTTTTTGACTTTTTAAAAATAGCCATTCTGACTGATGTGAGATGGTATCTTATTGTGGTTTTGATTTGCATTTCTCTGATTAGTGATGATAAACATTGCTTCATGTTTCTTGGCCACTTGCACGGCTTCTTTTGAGAAATATCTGTTCCTGTCTTTTGCCCACCTTTTTTTTTTTTTTTTTTTTTTTTTTTTTGAGACAGGGTCTGGCTCTATCACTCAGGCTGGGTGCAGTGGTGTGAAGACAGCTAACTGCAGCCTCAAACTCCTGGGCTCAAGAGATTCTCCTACCTCAGCTGCCCACGTGTCTGGGACCACAAGCATGTGCCACCATACCTGGCTAATTTCTTTATTTTTTGTAGAGACAGGGTCTCCCTTTGTTGCCCAAGCTGGTCTCAAACTCCTTTTGCCCATTTTTAATGGGGTTGTTTGTTTTTGGCTTGTTCAATGGTTTAAATTCCTTATAAATTCTGGATATTAGACCTTTGTCAGATGCACAGTTTGTGAATATATTCTCCCTTCTGTAGGTTGTCTGTTTACTCTGTTGTTTCTTTTGCTATGCAGAAACTCTCTAGTTTAATTAGATCCTACTTGTCAATTTTTGTTTTTGTTGCAATTGCTTTCAAGACTTAGTCATATATTCTTTTGCAAGACTGTTGTCCAGAATGGTGTTTCCTGGGTATTCTTGGATTCTTATAGTTTGAGGCCTTAGATTTAAATCTATAATCCATCTTAATTTTTGTACATGGTGATAGGTATGGGTCCATTTTCATTCTTCTACATATGGATAGCCAGCTATCCCAGCGCCATTTACTGGGCCTTTCACCATTGCTTGTTTTTCTCAATTTTGTCAAATATCAGATGGCTACAAGTATGTGGCTTTATTTCTAGGTTCTCCATTCTATTGGTCTAAATTGTTTTCGTACCAGTACCATGCTGTTTTTGATACTGCTGCCTTATATTTGAAGTAAAGTAATGTGATGCCTCCAACTTTGTTCTTTTTGCTTAGGATTGATTTGGCTATTTGGGCTCTTTTTTGGTTCCGTATGAATTTTAACACAGTTTTTTCCAATTCTGTGAAAAATTCCATTGTAGTTTGATAGAAATAGTGTTCAATGTGTAGACTGCTTTGAGCAGTGTGGCTATTTTAATGAGATTGATTCCTTCAATTCATGAGCATAGAATGTTTTTCCATTTGTTTGTGTCATCTATGATTTATTTTATCAGTGTTTTTTAGTTCTCCTTGTAGAGATGTTTCACCTCAATGGTTAAGACGTATTTCCTAGGTACTGTGTGTGTGTGTGTGTGTGTGTGTGTGTGTGTGTGTGTGTGTCTGTAAATGGGATTGCTTTCTTGATGTGGCTCTCAGCTTGTATATTACTGGTATATTGAAATGGTACCAGTTTTTGAACGTTGATTTTGTATCTTGAAACCTTGCTAAAATTGTTTATAAATTCTAATAGCCTTTTGGTGGAGTCCTTAGGGTGTTGTAAGTATAGAATCATATTGTCAGCAAAGAGAAATAGTTTGTCTTCTTTTCCTATTTGGATGCCTTTTCTTTCTCTTGCCTGAGTGCTCTAACACTTCCAGTACTGTACTGAATAGGAGTCATGAGAGTGGGTATGCTTGTCTTGTTCCAGTTCTCAGGGTACTGCATCCAGTTTCTGCCTATACAGTATGATGCTGGCTCTGGGTTTGTCATAGAGGGCTCTTATTATTTGGAAGTATGTTCGTTCGATGCCTAGTTTGCTGAGGGTTTTTATCGTGATAGGATGTTAGATTTTATCAAAAGCTTTTTTCATGTCTATTAAGATGATTATATGATTTTTATGTTTAATTCTGTTTATGTGGTGAATCACACTTATTGATTTGCTTATGTTGAACCAACCTTGCACCCCAGGACTGAAACCTACTTAATCATGGTGAATTAACTTTTTGATGTGCTATTGAATTTGGTTTGCTAGTATTTTGTTAAGTATGTTTACATCTATGTTCATCAGGGATACTGGCCTATAGCTTTCTTTTTTTTTTCATTGTGTCCTTGCCAGGTTTTGGTATTGGGATGATGGGACTCATTCTACTTTATAGAATGAGTAAGGAAGGAGTTCCTCCTCAATTTTTTAGAATAGTAGAATTGGTACCAGCTCTTCTCTTTTTGAATTTCTAGTAGAATTCAGCTATAAATTCATTTGATCCTAGGGTGTTTGTTTGTTTCATTGATACTTTGTATGGATTTTGGTGTCTCAATTTGTTATATTCAGCTCTGATTTAGTTATTTCATTTCTTCTGCTAGCCTTGAGATTAGTTTGTTCTTGTTTTTCTAGTTCTTCTAGGTGTGATGTTAGATCATTAATTTGAGATCTTTCTAACTTTTTGAGGTGATGTTCAGTGCTACATATGCTCCTTTTAATACTGTTGCCACTGCATCCCAGATATTTTGGTATGTTGTGCCTCTGTTTTCATTTATTTCAAAGAATTTTTTAAATTTCTGCCTTGATTTCATTACCCAGATGTCATTTCATTACCCAAAAGTCATTCAAGAGCAAGTTGTTTAACTTCCATGCAATTGTGTGATTTTGAGAGATCTTCTTGGTACTTCTATGTTTATTCCACCGTGGTCCAAAAGTACTGTTGGTAGGATTTCAATTTTTTTGAATTTATTGAGACTTGCTTTACAGCCAAGCATGTGGTCAATCTTAGAGTATGTTCATGTGCAGATGAGAAGAATGTATATTCTGTGGTTGATGGATGGTGGCTGTGCCTGCCATTGGGGTCCTATAGACATATCTACCACTCCACAGCAGGCACTCCAATCTCTAGCCTGAGACTAAAATGCCTATATAGCTGCACTGCCAGGTCACCAAGGAATTCCTGATTTTGTACACAACCAGATTTAAAATGGCATCCTGCTCTCAGGGTCTTGGAAAATACCTGCAGCTTTTCCCAGTGTCTTTCCCTCACAGTGTCTCCAAGATTTTCCCCATGTTAGCTCCAGGGCTTGGGAGAAACAAAGGGCTTTCCCTCTACCTGAGTTGCTCAGATCCCCAGTGGAAAGGTCAGTCAGAGAGAGGGGCTCTCTACCTCTTTCACATACTTAGGCCTCACTCACTTTTATCAACTGGATGCCATCATGGGGGCTGTTTGCCAGTGTTCTCCTCTCTGGGATTGAGGGTGTCCTTCACAATTCCATTGGATACTCATTTTCCTTTTTGAATTAAAGCTCACAGAGTTGATCTTTATGTACTATCTTGCTATTTCCAGGTGGCTGAGGCATGCCAAAAGCCTCTAATCTGCCATCTTGGGGAAAAAGAAGCCTGCTTTTGTTTTTAAGAAAAATTTTTTCAAATTTTACTCTGATTTATCAAAAATATCTAAACTAGTCATTTTCAATCTTGGCTGCATGTTGGAATCACTTGGGAGCTAATATTCCTTGCCATTTTTCTACTGAGTGTTTCATCCTTTTCTTAGTGATTTATGGAAGCTTTTCATATACTAAAAAAAAAAACTGAACATATTTAAACTGTAAATACTTTCATCAGGTTATTATGTTTTGATTTCTTGTTATAAAATTTTAAATACATTTTAAATTTTAGATTTTTACATTTATAAAAATGTGAAGATAGTAAAGAGAATTTGCACATACCCTGTACCCAGTTTCCTCTATAATGCTATCCAGAATTTTAAAAAATAATTTTATGTAATAAAATGCATCAATATTTTATTTTTTAATTCTGGGCTTTGTCTTATGCTTAAAAGAGCAATCCCCATTTTTAGAGAATAAAACATAATTCTCTCAGGTTTTTTTCCTAATATTTTTATGGCTTAATTTTTTAATTTTAACTTTTAATTGTAGTAAAACACATATATAATTTACCATCTTAAAGTATACAGTTCAGTGGTATTAAGTATATTCACATTACTGCATAACCAACCTCCAGAATGTTTTCATCTTGTAAAACTGAAACTATATCCATCAAGCAACAACTCCCCATTTTCCCCTTCTCCATCCCCTATGATCCTCATCTACTTTTAGCTTTTATGAATTTGACTACTCTAGATATTTTACACAAGTAGAATCATCCAGTACTTGTCTTTCTGTGACTGACTTATTTCATTAAGCATAATGTCCTCAAGGTTCTATAGCATGTGTCAGAATTTCCTTCCTTTTTGTGGCTGAATAATATTCCATGTATAGTATACACATACTACATTCTGTTTATCCATTTATCTGTAGATGCATACCTCGGTTGTTTCTACCTTTTAGCTACTGTGACTAATGCTGCTAAGAACATACATGTTATAATACCTCTTTGAGACTCTATTCTCAACTATTTCGGATATATACACAGAAGTGAAATTGTTGGAGAGTTTATCCTATGATATGGTATGGCTGTGTCCCTACCCAAATCTCATCTTGAATTCCCATGTGTTGTGGGAGGGATCTGGTAGGAGGTAACTGAATCATGGGGGCAGGTCTTTCCTATGCTGGTTTTATGATAGTGAATAAGTCTCACGAGATCTGACGGTTTTACAAACAGGGGTTTCCCTGCACACGCTCTCTCTTTGCCTGCCACCATCCACGTGAGATGTGACTTGCTCCACCTTGCTTTCCACCGTGATTGTGGGGCCTCTCCAGCCACATGGAACTGTAAGTCCATTAAACCTCTTTTTATCTATAAATCATCCAGTCTTGGGTATGTCTTTATCAGCAGCGTGAAAATCATCCAGTATTCGTCTTTCTGTGACTAGACTAATACATCCTATTTTCAATTTTTTGAGGAACCATCAAGCTATTTTTTCGTAATATGGCCATATTTTTATGTCATATCTTTACTCCATTTGGAATTTATTTTGGGATAATGTGAGGTAAAAAACAATGTTATTTTGTTCCAGATGGCTAGCCACAACAGGGAATACTATTCCATTTATTAGAAGTCTTCCTCTGTGTCCCTCAATAGGGTTTTTAGGGAGTTTTTATCTACAGATTCAATATAATCTCCATCAAAATTCCAAGGGCATCTTCCACAGAAAAAGAAAAAAAATCCTAAAATTCATATGGAACCACTAAAGATTCTGAATAGCCTAAGCAATCTTGACAAACAAGTGAACAAAAAATCACTTCCTGATTTCATACTATATGACAAAGCTACAGTAATACGGGCATAAAAACACACACATTCACCATGGAACACAATCAAGAGCCCAGAAATAAACCAACAAATACATGATTAATATTTGGCAAAGGTACCAAGAGTACAAAATGGAGAAAGGATAGTCTAGTCCCTCCAACAAATGGTGCTGGAAAAACTGAATAACCACATGCAGATGAATGAAACTGGACACCTATCTTATAACTACTCACAAAGATTAACTGGAAATGGACTAAAGATTTAAATGTAAGACCTGAAATTGTAAAACTCCTGGAAGAAAAGAGAGGAAAAAACTTCCTTGACATTGGTCTTGCCAATGATTTTTGGGATATGACCAAAAGCACAAGCAACAAAAGCAGAAATAAGCAAGTGGGAATACCTCAAACTAAAAGTCTTCTGCACAGAAAAGGAAACAAAATGAAAAGGCAGCCTACAAAAATGGGAGAAAATATTTGCAAATCATATATCTCTTAAGGAGTTAATACCCAAAATATATAGGTGCTCATCCAAAAGCAAAAACAATGCTTAATCAATGGAGAAAGGACCTAGGTACACATTTTTCCAAAGAATACATAAAAATGGCCAACAGGTACCTGAAAAGGTGCTCAACATCACTAGTCAACAGGGAAATCAAATCAAAACCACAATGAGAAATAACCTTACATTTCTTAGGATGTATTATCAAAAAGACAAAAAAAATAAATAAATAAAGCCAGGTGTGGTAGCTAATGTCTGTAATCCCAGCACATTGGGAGGCCAAGGTAGGAGGATCACTTGAGGTCAGGAGTTCAAGATCAGCCAAGGTCAACACAGTGAGACTCTGTCTTTAAAAAAAAAAAAAAAAAGCTGGGCACAGTGGCTCATGTCTGTAATCCCAGCACTTTGGGAGGCTGAGGTGGGCGGATCACGAGGTCAGGAGTTCGAGACCAGCCTGGCCAACATGGTGAAACCCTGTCTCTACTAAAAATACAAAAAATTAGCCGGGCGTGGTAGCAGGCACCTGCAATCCCAGCTACTTAGGAGGCTGGGGCAGGAGAATCGCTTAAGCCTGGGAGGCAGAGGTTGCAGTGAGCCAAGACTGTGCCACTGCACTCTAGCCTGGGCAACAGAGCAAGACTCCATCTCAAAAAAGGAAAAAAAAAAAGAGAGACAAGAGATAGCAAGTGTTGGTGAGGATGTGGAGGAAAGGGAAGCCTCATCCACTGCTGGTGGGAATGTAAGTTGGTACAGCCATTAAAGAGAAGCCTGGAAGTTCCTCAAGAAATTAAAAATAGAACTACTTTATGATCCAGTAATCCAACTTCTGGATATACACCCAAAGGAAATGAAATCAGTATCTCAGAGAGTTATGTGCACTCCCATGTTTGTTACATTATTCACAAGAGCCAAGACATGGAAACAACATAAGCATCTGTCAACAATGGGTGCATATAGTTGATCCTTGAACTATATACATTGTGATATAGTTGATTCTTGAACAATGCGGATGTTAGAAGCTCTGATACTCTGTGCAGTCAAAAGTCCATGTATAACTTTTGATTACCCTAAAACTTAACTACTAAAATAGGCTACTGTTGACTGGAAGCCTTAACAGATAACATGAAGAACTGATTAACAAATATATGTTATATGTTGTATTACATACTGTGTTCTTACAATAAAGTAGGCTAGAGAAAAGATATAATTGAGAAATCATAAGAAAGAGAAAATACATTTATAGTACTATATTTATCATACTATATGTTTTCATTGTCTATTTACAAGATGAATCATCTGTCTGAAATGGCGGGCAACCAAGGTTGAAGACCTCAATCTACGGTATATATCAAGCAATTCAGCTTTTTCTGGTAACGTCATGGCTTTTCTGTTTCTTGGGAGCACTTCCAGCATCACTAGTGGCACTTTATATGGGTCCCATGGTGTTATTTAAGGTTTATGGTACAGCACTAAAGATGATGAAAAATATGTGAGAACCAAAAGATACTATTTTTTACTGTGATGTGCAATTTATTGGAGAAATGAACTGCTTTCATAGAGATGATTAGCACCATGTGGTATTTTAAGCAGATACTTGCAACATTTGACCTCACCACAATAGCAATAGGAGGTGGCTATGAAATTACAGTAGTACAGTAAGCACAGTTAATTTTATGCAGTTATGATTTAATACTGCATCATTGTTTACCTTCCTCTCTACTGCAAATGGTGCCACGTAGGGTCTGCAAATGCTTGTGTAAGTTTTGATAAATTTTAACTTTTTGTAATAGATTTGTGTAAGTTTTACGGTAGTAAATAATAAAGTAGACTAGTGTCTACATATATTTTATGCAGTCATGACAGACTTAACTTTTTCTTAATTTGTTGGTATTTCTAGGCTATAGGGTTCATCTGTTGAGTTTTTTCAATTTGTTGCAATTCTTCAAAAAATTTCAGGTTCAAACCCATGTTGTTCAAAGGTATACTGTATATGTGTGTGTGTGTGTGTGTGTGTGTATGATACGTAAACATATCTTCAAAGATATATGATATATAAAGATATCTTTATAAGGACAGCTAATGTCATTTATTTTTTATCTACCTACAATATATGGCCTTATCCACAGGCAATAAATGTTTGTTGAATTAAATTGAGTCCAAGTATCTTTGTTTTTGTTCGTTCCTTCATTTGCTATAGTATATTTCAACAGTTAATTAACAATTAAAAGACAAAAACTAAGAAAATTTCCACAATACCAGATTGTTACAAAACTGAAGGGAAGAGGATTACCATTTAATAACATTAATTCAGTGAATGTTTACTGTGTCAGATACTGGGATAAGCACTTTATATACATTATTTCATCTGATCCTCAAAGAATTCTATGGCTATACCCATTTTATAGATGAGAAAACAGAGGCTCAGATTTAACTAACTTGCCCAAGGTCACAGAGTTGTGTCTTTCTGACTCGAAAGCCTATATATGAAGTTTTAAACTATGTATCAGTGGTTCTCAAACTTCAGTATGCATAAAGATTACCACAAAAGTGTGTTAAAATGTAGATTCCTGAGTCCTACTCCCAAAGATTCTGATTGAGTAGTTCTGGGATAAAGCCCATGAACTTGGATTTCTAACAATCCCCCTCAGGTAATACAGATACTGGTGGTCCATCAACCACACACTGAGTAGCAATGTACAATTCTCTCCCCTAGGCTACACTACTTTGCTTTTTAAGCTTTATGACAAATACTGTAGTCAGTACTTTTAAAAAAATCACTGTGTTTTTGTAGGAAATAGACATGCTCATTATAAAGAAGTATAAGCAATGCATACAAATACAAAGAAAAAAATCAATCACCCTGTTCACATCATTCTATACTCTCTGCTTGATCTCTATTAGGCTATGCCAACAAGGTGTGCTAGAGGGAGACTGGAAGGCTGGAGGACAAAAATGAATATGATGCTTCTGTTCTTCTCCATGGCAACCCTGGCCTGATGTCTACTATCCTGCATTGGCAGTTTGTTTCAGTCATAGCAGTTGCGGTAAATCTAGTTTGTAGTATTTCCAACACTTGCAGAAACAGACTTCTGCACTCCTCAGAGACACCTGCACCAGGTGTCTGGGTCCCAGGCCTACAGGGCTGCTCTTCCAAGCCCAGAGGTATTAATACCAGCTTAAACAGTATTCCTTTCTCAGAGATCTGAGTTTATACTCCACAGGGCCCCTCCTCTGAGTTTGTACAATTTAATAATTTCAGCCACAATCCTTTGTTCCACAGCCTTAGGAATGGCAGCTAGTTCTCACAGTTGCTATCTCTGTGAAAACTTTAGCATCTTATTTTTGCTACTTAAATCTCTGTTAGCAATACTTTATATTATTTGTTAAAAATAACTGGTGTGGTTTCTGTTTCCTGACCAAATCCTAGTTGATTTACATTTCAAGTCCCATCAGCCAGAAACTATCATTACTATTAACATCAATAAAGCTGTTAAAGCTTGTTAATTTAAAAAAGAGAGGCCGGGCGCGGTGGCTCACGTCTGTAATCCCAGCACTTTGGGAGGCCGAGGCGGGCGGATCACGAGGTCAGGAGATCGAGACCATCCCGGCTAAAACGGTGAAACCCCGTCTCTACTAAAAATACAAAAAATTAGCCGGGCGTAGTGGCGGGCGCCTGTAGTCCCAGCTACTTGGGAGGCTGAGGCAGGAGAATGGCGTGAACCCGGGAGGCGGAGCTTGCAGTGAGCCGAGATCCCGCCACTGCACTCCAGCCTGGGCGACAGAGCGAGACTCCGTCTCAAAAAAAAAAAAAAAAAAAAAAAAAAAGAGAGAGGCCGGGCATGGTGGCTCATGCCTGTAATCCCAGCACTTTGGGAGGCCAAGGCAGGCAGATCACCTGAGGTCAGGAGTTTCAGACCAGCCTGGCCAACATGGTGAAACCCTGTCTCTACTAAAAGTACAAAAATTAGCCGGGCGTGGTGGTGGGTGCCTGTAATCCCAGCTACTCGGGAGGCTGAGACAGAAGAATCGCTTGAACCCGGGAGGTGGAGGTTGCAGTGAGCCGCCGAGATTGTGCCACTGCACTCCAGCCTGGGCGACAGATCAAAAAAAAGAAGTGGGGGAAAAGATTCTGTAAAGCAGTCTTGTTCCATCATCTTAACTTAGAAGTCTGTTGGATACAACATCCATGTTCTTTTCCTTCATCTTCATAAACCTATGAGGTAGGTGTGAAAGTAAAATAAACCTTAGAACCCCAAAATCACTAAGCCAAGGGAAAGGTCAAGCTGAGAACTACGTAGCTAGGCAAACCTGCCTCCCATTCTATTCCTAAATAAGATAGCAACAAAGATAAAAAAAAAAACTACATACCTCCCTCACGATTTGCTCACAAGGAAGAGTTCTGTTGAATTTCACCCTGCCAATGTAAACTGATAGCTTATCTTCAAAGATGTGGGACAGAAAGTCATCTCTGCTCATCTGAGACAAATGCATATCTGATCGGTTTCTCTGCCCTGTTGTTTATGTAAAAATGGAGATTCACTGAGCCAGACTAAATTATGTATTCAGTGAAAGGCTGATCAAGGATTCAAAAGAATGCAAACTTTTGTCTCTTATCTGCCTATGACCTGGACGCCTGCCTACCCCTCACCCCGCCGCTAGCCAATGTATCAATATTAGTTGATGTCTCACGTCTACCTAAAATGTATAAAAGCAAGCTGTATCCCCACCACCTTGGGCTCAGGAACCCCTGAGGCTATGTCATGGGTACATGCTTAACCTTGGCAAAATAAACTTTCTAAATTGATTGAAATCTGTCTCAGATACTTTTGAGTTCACAAAGCAAGTCATTCCCAATTTTTAAAAAGTTAAGAAAAATAAATGTAAAGCAGTCACACCATTGGTCAAAAGAAGCAATGAAATCTAAAACTAGGTTTTTGTTTTTAAAACTAGGTTTTTGTTTTAAGTGTATAGTCGGTGATTTTTATTCACCTGGTTATATAACCATCATTACCATCTAATTCCTGAACATTATCATCATCCCCAAAAGAAACCCTATCCCATCAACAGTCACTCCTCATTCCCCCACCCCCTGACAATTACTAATCTACTTTTTTTTTTTTTTTTTTGAGACAGAGTCTCGCTCTATCACCCAGGCAGGAGTGCAGTGGCACAATCTTGGCTCACTGCAACCTCCTCTGCCTCCCAGGTTGAGGTTCAAGCAATTTCCCTGCCTCAGCCTCCCGAGCAGCTGGGATTACAGGTGGCTGCCACCATGCTTGGTGAATTTTTTTATTTGTAGTAGAGACCTGGTTTCACCATGTTGGCCAGGCTGGTCTCGAACACCTGACCTCAAGTGATCTACCTGCTTCAACCTTAATCTACCTTCTATTTATAATATGCCTATTCCAGACATTTCACATAAATGGAATCATACAATATGTAGCTTTTTGTACATAGCTTCTTTCGTTTAGCATAACATTTTCAAGGTTCATCCATGTTGTAGTATGTATCAGTATTTCACTCCATTTTATGGCTGATTAACATTCCAATATATAAATATACCACATTTTGTTTATTCATTCACTAGCTGATGGACATTTCGGTTATTTCCACTTTTGGGGCTATTATGAATAATACTTCTATAAATATTCTTGTACAAGTTTTTTTTTTGTACAAGTTTTTGTATAAGCATGTTTTCAATCCTCTTGAGTATCTATCTAGAGGTGGAATCACTGGGTCACATAGCAATTTTATGTTTAACTCTGAGAAACTGCCAAACTGTTTTCCACAGTGGCTACATCATTTTATATTTTCATCTGCAAGGTATGAGGGTTACAATCCACATCCTCACCAACATTTTTCTGTTTTTGTTTTAATATAGCCTCCTAGTGAATGAATATAAAGTGATATCTCACTGTGGTTTTGATTTGCATTTCCATAATGACTAATGATGCCAAGCATCTTTTTATGTACTTATGGACCATATATATCTTTTCTTTGGAGAAATGTCTATTCAATCCTTTGGCCATTCATTTCTTAGGTTGTATTTTGTTGTGAATTACAAAAATTCTTTATATATTCTGGGTACTAAACTCTTAGCTACAAGATTTGCAAACATTTTCTTCCATCGTGCGGGTTGTCTATTTTTACTGACAGTATCCCTTGACACTCACAATTTTAAAATTTTGATGAAGTCCAATTTATCTATTTCTTCTTTGGTTAATTGAGTAAAACTAAGCTTATCTACCTCTAAGATACTAGTTGCCTCCCTAAAATCTGATCCATACACTAAGTCTTCCTCAGTGACTCACAGAAGGCAAAATTAGAAACTTCTGGTTCAAATTAAAAGAACTTCTATATTTTAATTTTAATTTGATGTTATAATCCCACTTGGGAAGATGGTAAATAAAGAATTGACAGTAAGAGCCAGTGCTCTCCTCAAGGTCATTTTTTTTCAAATTTGATGGTTTAAATAAACCTATTACCAATTTATAATTATTCAGTAGTCCGTATAAAATGATGATTGCAGATTAATAATTTGCATGCAGTTTTTCTATAACACCATATACCCACATATTGAACAGAGAAATGTGATATCCTTGAATCTGAATACCTTGAGATGGTGATGAGTCTGATATGGAAAAAGAATTAGCAATGGTCTTAGAAGTCAAATAATAAAGTGGTTATATAAACAAACGAAGGCGCCAAACCTCAAAGTCCTATCTTCCCTAACATGTCATGAGTATTTCATTTTAACAAAAGTATAAATAGAAAAAGGTAATTCTTAAAAATAAAACAATTATTAATAAATTAATCTCCAATCTCTAATCTAGGACATCTAAATTATTACTCATAAAATTCTTTTTTATTTTATAAGCGACTGGGTCTTGCTCTGTCACCCAGGCTGGAGTGCAGTGGCACCATCACAACTCACTGCAACCTTGAATTCCTGGGTTCAAGCAATCTTACTACTTCAGCCTCTCAAAGTGCTGAGATTACAGGCATAAACCACCACATCCAGCCCACAGCATTCTTAAGACTACTGAACAGACATAATATTACAATTAAAATGCTGTAATTTATAAATGGACAAAATATACTCTTAATGGTATCTATCATCTTGCTTACTTTTCAAGAATCAAATAATTGCTTATACTTACTATACAGCAAAATTCTGACGCTTGAAATCATTGAAATAACTTTTTCATTTTCAAGCAATCTGTGAGCAAAACCACCTAAAATTCTTTTTTGAACATTGAGTTTTATGGTATTAATTTTATATTTAAGAATCTAACATTTCCCTCTGTAAAACAAATCTTCACATTCCCACTGGTCTCCCACTTACCTCTTTGTGTTACTGAGGTCCATGGGGTTTAAGGTTGCTTAGAAAGGTAAAGCTTAGGAGAGTAGGTGGATGGTATTCACATGTGAAGATAACTATACAATAATACCTCTGATAATGAACTTCTTTCATGAACGAAGTCAGGCAAACTTTTAGCCAAAAAAACTCAGAAATCATGGGGAACAAAGTTGCAGATATTCATAAATATTATTCAATAAACAGCTTCTATTTGTCTTTTCCAACAAAACGGTGAAACCTCAGAGTTTTCTGCTTAAAAAATTTTTTTTTGTTCATTGTTTTCTTTCTGTAAGAAGAAAACCATTTCTGTTCTCTTCACACCCACTCCTAAACAAAATAAGAATCTGCTGTAGGTTATGTACATTTATTGATTGATTAAATATACCTAAAAGAGAATGTTGATCACATTACTTACACAGAATGTGTATTTTAGACCTGTTTCTGATGTTAATAGCAAACAGATAACTTAGAAGGCAGAAGACAATGTTCTAAGTGGTTCATACATATTAACCAATTTAATCCTTCCAACAACTCCATGAGATAAGTACCATTATTATTCTCACTTTGCAGCTGAGGAAACTGATGCAGAGATGTTAAGTAACTTGCCAAGGACCATACAGCTAATAAATGGCAGAGCTGGGATAAAAACCTTGGCAGTCAGGCTCACAGTTACAATGCTGTACTGTTTCTCATTATTGCAGTTAGCACATCTACAGAGATTAGGGATAAAAAAGCAGATCTGAAATCATTCTTGACCATACTTTAAGGCTAATTTTGATGTTAAAGATGACTTAGACCTATCGGGTTGCCTAAAACAAGAATGTCAGAAGACAGAACTGTATCATCTTCCCAGGAGGTAACTTCTCTACACACCTGGGAAAAGCAAACCAGGAAGACTAATGACTTGAAGTTACTGAAACCTCTTCATTAATGTTCATCAAATTGGATTTCAGAAACATTTGTTGAGCTTGTGGAAGTATAAAATAAATAAAAGTAATAATTCCTCCCTGTAAGGATCTTATAACCTATAGGAAACAATATTTTTCTTTTGAAACTCTTAAGTTTAATGTGATAAACACTATGATAGAGATAAGCACAGGATACTGAGAGAACATAAGGAACTCCCACCTAATCTTGGCTGAGTGGGGAGCTCAGGAAAACATCCTGGGAGATTTCAACTGAACTGAAACTTTGAGGATGAGTATCACCCAAAGGTGGGAGAAAAAGAGGGCATGTTTAGCAGAAGGGATAGAATATGCAAAGGAAGTTTTAAAGGCAGGAGAGACCAGGACAACATTTAGAGAGGAAGTGTGAATACTGCAGAACTGGAGCATAAGAAATAGGGAAAGCACTTCATGGAGTGTGAAGAATAGAGGACTAAGTGGTAGACCTGGGCCAAATAAAAAAGAGCCAACATAAGAAAGTTTGATTTTTACTCTAAAGGTAATAGGAAACCACTGAATAATTTTACAAAAGAGAGAAACGTGACTCAGTTGTGTTTGGGGACCACTATGGCAATGCAGCATAGTAGCTAAGATCTTGGGCCCTAGATTTTGAGTTCCGGCTTTGCTGCTTCCTCACTGGGTAAACTTATATATGTTACTTAAGCACATACTACTTAACCTCTCTGAACATCAATTCCTCGACTGTAAACCAACAATAATATCTAATTCACATATTTACTGAGAGGATTAAGCAGGAAGATCCATTTAAAACACTCAGCAAAGTACTTGGTAAGCTATTCATCACTATCAGTAGCAATGTGGAAATGGATTAAGAGGGACTAAGGGGGAGGCCATGAAACCAATAGAGGGTTACTGAAATAATCAAAGGGATAAGCAAAACCTAAAATAAAGCAGCAGCTATGGAAAGGTCAAGAAGTCAATGGGTTCAAAACATTAAGGAGAGGCCGGGCGCAGTGGCTCATGCCTACAATCCCAGCACTTTGGGAGGCTGAGGTGGGCGGATCACCTGAGGTCAGGAGTTTGAGACCAGCCTGGCCAACATGATGAAATCAGCCCTCTACTAAACATACAAAAATTAGCCGGGCGTGGTGGCACGTGCCTATAATCCCAGCTACTCTGGAGGCTGAGGCAGGAGAATCGCTTGAACCTGGGAGGCAGAGGTTGCAGTGAACCAAGATCATGCCACTGCACTCCAGCCTGGGAGACAGAGCAAGGCTCCATCTCAAAAAAAAAAAAAAAAAAATTAAGGAGACAGAAATTCTAGGACTTTGGGACAGTGTTGCGTGGGAGTAGGGGATGGATAAAGATGGCCATGTTCCCCAAGAGAGGGAATATGGTAGAAAAAGAATCATGGACATCTCATGGATAGAAACATTTTATTCCACACATTAAAAACAAAATTCATTTATCTACCCCTCATTAGTCCATTCTTCCTTCATTAGCTGTAACACCACTCTCTCACGGTTTTTCTCCTACCTCTCTGACTACTCCTTCACATTCTGCTTTTCAGCGTCTTTTTCCCCCCTTGTCTCCCAAATGTTAGTGTTTCCAAAGTTGGTGTTTTCAATGCTTTTCTCTTTTTACTTCTCACTCTCTCTTGCATGAGCTCATACACTCCCAAGGCATTAATTAGTATTTATCTGTTTACTGATGACTTCCAGAGCTCTACTTCTGGGTGAACTCAACCCAGTTCCAAACCATATACATCCACTGTATACACTGGAATATCCCAGGAGGATACTCATTCAATGTGTCTAAAACCAAACTCACTTTCCTGATAATCTGCCTAGCTCTTACATGGACCAATTTTAAAAACAAAAACAAAAAATCCTTTCCTTCAGACTTTCTCTCACAGGCTCTTCCCCAACCCCCAATTTGTGACTGCATAAATTATGCTCCTTCTCCAATCTTAATCCAAATCCTCTATATTCATCCCATCGAGACAGTCTATATTTTCTTGTAAAGTCCATTTTTAGTAACTTTTATGACATTTCTGTACTACTCCATTCTAAAATACATCCTTATCCCTTCTATGTTATTTCTAACTCTGGTTAAAAGCACTGAAATAAATGCCCTTGACTTCCTTCTTCATCTCTAAATTTCTTTCTTTCTCCATTCTCTTTTTCTCCAAGACTAAACTTCCATGTGTATACCTGATGCTAACCTTGTTCCCTTAGCTGCAAAGACCTGATTTATGACAATAGAAACCTTGTCTGTCTCATCTCCAGCTACTGGAATGATTGTATAGCACATGGTCTATATTTTTTAAACATGTATTGAATGCTGTATTAATTAATGAATTATCCTCTTTCTGGTGCCTTTCCAGTTTTTCCCCTGTCCTTCTACAATGGGTTCTTCTGTAAATCTACAAATACGTTTAAGTCTTTTTCCAATGAAAAAAAAAAAAGACTCATATTTTCTCTTGACTATCTTTTTAAGATATTTGCTATGTCTTTCTGTCTACCATCAAGCTTCTTTTAAGTTTTAAGCCACATCTTCATCATTTAATCTTTTACCACATTTTTTTGTTTGTTTTTGTTTTCTTTTGTTTTGAGACAGGGTCTTGCTCTGTCACCTAGGCTGGAGTGTCTTGGTGTGAACATGGCCCATTGCAGCCTCGACCTCCTGGGCTCAAGGGATCCTCCTACCTCAGCCTCCTGAGTAGCTGGGACTACGGGTGCACACCACCACTAATTTTTAAACTTTGTAGAGATGGGTTCTCCATATGTTGCCCAGGCTGGTGTCAAACTCCTGCGCTGAAGTGATGCTCTTGCCTGAGCCTCCCAAAGTGCTGGGATTACAGGCATAAGCCACCACACCTGGTCCCACGTTAATGTTCAACACTTTGAAATGTGGTTTCCTCCTAAAAACTGCCTTCTCAAAATCACAAGAGACCTCCTAGACCCTTTCTCACATTTTTATCTCCTCTGATGCTTTCTGTACATCACTTAAGACAAAAGAACACTCACTACTTCTTAGAATTCTTCTCCTTCCTTGATTCCCCAAAAGATGTGTTCCTTTATTTCCTATAAATAATCACAGCCCTTATCATGCTATTTGTAGCTATTTATTTGTCACTGTCCTGTACTAGACTTAACAATTTCTTGAAGACAGGTGTCATACCTTTTTTTTTTTTTTTTTTTGGTGGGGGCAGATAGGGTCTCACTCCAATTGCCCAGGCGGGAGTGGAATGGTGCGATCTCAGCTCACTGCAGCCTCAACCTCCCTGGGCTCAGGTGATTCTCCCACCTCAGCCTCCCACGTAGCTAAGACCACAGGCACATGCCACCACGCCCAGCTAATTTTTCGTACTTTTAGTAGAGACAGGTTGTCGTCCAGGCTGTTCTTAAACTCCTGGAGTCAAGTAATCCACCTGCCTCAGCCTTCCAAGGTGCTGGGATTACAAGCGTGAGCCACTGCGCCCAGCCAGGTGTCATATCTTAATTAGTGCATTCCCACTATATGGCACTGTGATTGCTCTATAAATATTTGTTGAATAAATGAATGAATATTGCCATCAGATCAATGCCTAAAAGAGTTCTAGGAATACTGGAGAATGGGAGTATTGGTTAAAATAACGATGGCAGTTGACATTCTAAGGGAAAAGGGCAAGTAAAAGTAGTATGAGGGGAAATGGACTATCAGAAAGCAGCATAATTCATGTATTCACTCATTCATTCATTTGACATTTACTATGGGCAAGGCAAATAAGATAATCAAGACATAGTACCTGTCCTCATAGATCTGTCTTATAATCAAAAGGTGAAGGTTTGGGGGTGGAGTGTTAAGAACTGGTAGAAAATAGGAGTAAGATACTGTGTCACTAAAGAGTAATTCTAAATCTATTGTTAAAATATAAGGACAGTTTGGAAGACCACAGCCAGCTGCTTCTGGTCTACTCACACCTTTATAATCTAGGTCTATTAGTGGCATTTCTCAAACTTCAGTATGCATAAGGAGCACCTGGGGATCTTGTTAAAGATGCAGAAGTCCCAACTCTGTGGATCCCAGAAGTCCTGATTCCGTAGATCCACGAATCTATATTTTAATAAGCATCACAAGTGATTATGATGCTTTTGGTCTGCAGAGCATGCTACTGTAAAGTCCTCAGTCATTCATGTTTTAGTTTTGCCATATCTGAGTTCTACCTATAATATTACTTTCTTAATAATTCATGTAATTGCTATATGTGTGTTAATAATTCATTTAAATTGCTATATGTGTGTATTTATACACATATGTATCTTAGCCTTATCCTAAGCAAGGTATTTGGTGACTCTTTTAATACATATAAAATAAATACACAACCATTAAAAAGGTCTGTCTCTATCACATCAGCAGATGGGAAACAGTTTGAAAAGCACTGCTCCAGAGTTTATGCCCTGCAAACACCACATCCTGCATGCAGTCTGATGATATAAATTACATTAAATAACAAAAAGCTCCAGGGCAATGAAGTTCAGCAGAATGGTGCTTCAGAAGAGCTAATCATAAAATATTCCAAAAAATTTTTTAATGAATGTTCTAATTATTACAAAATGACATTAAGAAAATTCTCCCCATAACATAAAAATACTGACTTTTTATTTTAAAAAGTGTTTTGTCTTTTATTCTGGTACTTAACTCTCAGAATATTCTTGAGCTGACACCGGAGCCAACCCCAATAGCTACGCCATAGAACTTAACAGCAGTTGGAACAAAATGAAGATATATCTGTGTTCTTGACCCACAATAAAACACTCATCCATTTTATTTAGAATTAAATTTGATTAGGACTGATAATTCAGTTCAAAGGTATAAACTTGATAGCTCTTTCTTTTCCTTTAACCCCAAAACAATTTATAATAGTAGGCAAAATTATACAGCACAAATATCAGGGGAATAATTGTATCTCAGGAAGGTCTATTCCTTAAAGGCTTTGGCAACTCACAACCACAAACAGAAAAAGACAATTAAAATATTTCACCAAATTAAAGGTTGTGCTGATATTAAGCCTTTAAAAACAATATTCTCTAAATTATGTTTTCTCTTAAATGGCTAAGAAAATCATTTTCTACCAAAATACTCTTGAGTGGATGTCTTTTGGATTGTGTGTCACAAGCTAGTTCTATACATGTTTAATTTCTAGTCACATTGAACAAAAACAAAAATGAATGACTGTGGTCCTTCATCTCTACATCACTTAAGTCAGCCGGAAATTTACCTTCCTACTTACTGATTTATAAAGCATTTTACCCTGTTTACCCTGTTTGGATGACTATTGCAATCACCTCCCTACTAGTCTCCCCTGCTTCAGCCTTTTCTCTACAGTCTATTCTCCGCACAGCAGCTTAAGATGCCCTGTTTAAAATGTCAGATCACTCACTCTTATGCTCAAAACTCTGCAGACCTTTTCTCAGAGTAAAAGCCAAAGTCTTTTAAATGGCACACCAGGCCCTCTAATACACAATCATCCTATAGCCGGCAGCATTAAGACTACTGAACGACTGTAATTTTACTATTAAAATGCTATAATTTAAAAATGTACTCTTAATGATATCTATCACCTTTGCTCACTTTTCAAGAATCAAATAATTCTTGATCCTACTCCTTAGCCCCTGTCACAGGACTCTTTCCTTGCTCACTTTGCTGCAGTTACAATAGCTTCTTTGCTGTTGATTGCACACACTGGGCATATTCCAGACACAGGGGCTTTGCATTTGCTGTTGCTTTTCAGAGACTGCTCTTCCCACGTGAATTCATATGGCCCTGGCTCTATCATTTCCTTTAGGTCTTTGCTCAAACATTATCTACCAGGTGAGCCCTTTCATGATCACCTTACATACAATCCATACTTCCCATCCCCACACATATTTCCTCTCCTCTATTCCTGTTTTGTTGTCCACCATACCACCTACGATTTGACATTCTGTATCTACTGTTTATCATTTGTTTATCCCACAAGAGGGTGAACTCCTACTGGATGAAGATTGTCTATCTGCTTTGTTCACTGCTGTATCCCAGTAACAAGAACAGTGTCTAGCACATAGTAGATGTTCAATAAATATTTGCTTAATGAACAGTGAGTACTACTCCAACTCTAGAACTTTCAGTCTTAACCTTATTAAGAGCTAAAAGGCATCCCCCAATTTCCGGGTGGCATTTGACTTTTGTGAACTTATATGCAGTATCTTTTGTTTGACACATGGTTCCCTCTGATTTTTCTTAGATGATAGTAACACGAAAGGAAAATTCCTAACCAGTGCGCAAGAAAGAAGAAAATCAACCATGCATAACACTGATTTTAGATAATATCTTATCCATAAACCAACAGAGAAAATGCCTTCTGAATTTGTAGCTTCTCCTCTTAAACCTACGGAAAATAAACTGAATATTTGTTGCCTTTGCCGGGGTGGGGGGGCGAGAAGGGGGCCAGGAGAGACGTGAAAGCCCAGGAGCCCTTCTTCAACAGCATCAACTCTTGTGTACTCCAACTTACTTTTTTTGAGGGGGTGGGCACCGTTCGAGGTCTCTGCCAGGGGGTGTCTGTTTTTCACCCTTTGAGGTGCCTATTGTGCTGTCTTGAGAACGAGGAGAGGTGGGTGAGGAGGGGGTAAGAAAGGATGCTGCTTGCGGCTCCAACTGCCTCCGAACACAAAGTCGGGAGGCGAGGGATCCGCGCGGATGTCTCGGGGGCCAGCGGGCGCCCGGGCCGCGCGCTCGGATCGCAGCCTCGGCCCCGGGGTGCCGGCGGGACGCGGGCTGCGCGGACTTAGGCCCGGACAGAGCCCCATGGCCTCCCGGCGGCCGGGCACGGGGCCCCGCGCACCTCACTCACCCCGGTTCCCCCAATCCGGCACCCTTCTCGGTTACCTCGAACTCTCTTCAGCGAAATGGGATCCTTCTCCTGTTCTGCTGACATTACAGACCGCAAAGCATGACTCCCCCCCAGGCCGCGGGAATTCGGTCTCTTTGATGCTGCGGCGGCGGCTCCTCCTCCTCGCGGGGCCGCTGCGGCTGCGAGGCAAGCCTCGGAGCCGAGGCACGGCCGAGGGCGGTGGGGACGCGGGCCGACTTTGCAAAGTTTGGGAGGAGGACGAGGCCTCGGGGCGGCGGGGCGGCGGGGCGGCGTGCGGGCACCGGCGGGGCTCAGCGGCGGTGGCCGGGAGCGCGGCCTGGGGGCGGCCCCCCACCCGGGGCCGGCATGTGCTGAGGGCGAGTGCGCCGCCGCCGCCGCCGCCTCCTCCCACTCCTTCTTCTTCGCCGCCGCCTCAGGAGCCGCTGACAGGGGAAGCAGGAGGCTCGCGGCCCGGCCCTGGCGGCACACTCACAGCGCCCTCTGAGGAGGAGGTCTGCTCTCTCGCCGCTCCCGAGTCGCAGACACAAAAGCCCCCAGACTGGAGCCGCCTGTAAAACCCGCTCTGGGGCGGGCGAGGGACGTGGCGCGGCCCCGCGGCTTCCCCGCCCTGAGCTCCCCAGCCCCGCGCGGGGACGGGCTTCGGGGGGCGGGGGCCGCTGCCTCGTCCCGCGGCGCCTCCCGCCACCGCCGCCGCCTCGCGCTCCGCCTCGGCCCAGCCCCCACGGCCCGCGCGCGCCTCTTGCTCCAAGCCGGGGCTCGCGGGCCCGCGGCTCTTGCAGCCCGGGTGGGCAGCGCGCGCCTAGGGGCCGCCCCGCCCCGCGCCCGGCGCTCCCTCGCCGACCGCCAGGCCCGAGAACGCCCGACCCCGCGGCCGACGCTACCGGGCCCAGCTTTCGCAAGGAAAGGGCATCTCCGAACTTCGTCGGAGGCCACAGCAGCAGGCGTCTCGGCCTCGCAGCTAGGGATCGGAAAGATGAACGTACCATGCGAGGAAACTTTGTAAGCGGGAGCTGGAGAGTTCTCGGCGGGCATGTGGGGATCCAGATTCCCCGACTCCGTGTCCGCGTGGCCGTGGTGTGGACACCTGTCTGTAGAATGCCTCCACTTGGTATTTTAACGACTTGACTCTTCAAGAAAGAGCGACGTAGAATAAATACCAGAAAGGACGGTGGGCGGGGGAGGGGGGAGCGTGGGTAGAAGCGGTGACGCGGCTGGATCTCATTTAGACGTTAAATTTTAGGAGGAACACCCCCAGTGTGATTGTAAATTAGATGTGATCACCGGTCCACATTCTTCAGTTGGGCTGTGTGACCGGAGGCGACTTAGGTAACCTCTCTGGGTCTCAGTTTTCTTGTCTATAAAAGGCAGTGGGGCTACATCTCGAAGGTCTCTTCTAGCTCCGACATTGTTTAACGCACTTCTACGAAATTGTTTTCCCTGGTTTTTGTTTTTTGTTTTTTGTTTTTGTTTTTGTTTTGCTAGGTTTTCTGGTTATCCACTGGGCTTATTTTGATGTAAGAATCACCGAAAAGCACTCATGAAGCGTGGGAGGACACAGAACTAGCTACAGACAGGAGTCTCGTCCTTCCGGAGACAGACACCCAACTCATTCAGCTGCACAGTGTCACAGAGAACAGATGTTAACATGAAGCCAATGTACAGCCTCAACAGCTGCATACCAGACAATCGCCACAGCGGCTGATCGTCGTTAAGACATAGCGTGGCCGGAGGCAAATGTTACCCTTTATCTAATAAGGGTGGTCTGGAATTATGGAATTCCTGATTAGAAGAGTCAGACTAGGACAGGCTAAGGAAAATATTCTTACAGGAAGCACTCTGAGGAGAAGGTTCCTCCTAACTAGAATGTAAGCGCCATGCAGGCAGGAATTTTGACTGGCTCACTGCTGTATCCTCTGGTACCTAATACTGAGTAACACATAGTAAGTGTTCGGGAAAATATTCATTGATGTATGAATAAAGAGATTTGAAGTGGCCCTGGGACGACTGGGGTGGCAGGGCTTTGGTAAGTGTAATAAAGCCGAAGCAAATGGTAATATAATAAAGCAGATTGGGGGCCGGGCGCGGTGGCTCACGCCTGTAATCCCGGCACTTTGGGAGGCCGAGGCAGGCGGATCATGAAGTCAGGAGATCAAGACCATCCTGGCTAACACGGTGAAACCCCGTCTCTACTAAAAATACAAAAAAAAAATTAGCCGGGTGTGGTGGCGGGCGCCTGCAGTCCCAGCTACTCGGGAGGCTGAGGCAGGAGAATGGCGTGAACCCGAGAGGCGGAGCTTGCAGTGAGCCGAGATCGCGCCACTGCACTCCAGTCTGGGTGACAGAGTGAGACTCTGTCTCAAAAAAAAAAAAAAAAAAAAATTAAAAATAAAGCAGATTGAATCTAATAATCTATGTTATAGGGTGGTTGGAGGAAAATTTGAAAGCACTTTGGTAAGTCAACAAAGAAATGAAGGCCAGCTGTGGTGGCTCACGCCTGTAAATCCCAACACTTTGGGAGGTTGAGGCGGGAGGATCACTTTAGCCCAGGAATTTGAGACCAGCCTGGGTAACAAAGCTAGACCCTTCTCTACAAAATAATTTTTAAAAATTAGCCAGGCGTGGTGGCACCGGCCTATAGTCCCAACTACTCAGGAAACTGAGGCAAGAAGATCCCTTAAGCCCAGGAGTTCAAGGTTGCAGTGAGCGATGATTACACCACTACACTTCATCCTGGTTAACAGAGCAAGCAAGACCCTGTCCCCCCTCCAGAAAAATATGGAAATGACATATTTTCATTTTATAACTCTTAGTGGAAGGAGAATGGTTCAGAAAAATCATTGCTAAGAGATTTTGAGTTCTTTATTGTAATTCCCTAAAGCTAGAGACTCAGAAATAGCATGAAAATCAAGAGAAATGAATTGGCTTCTTTTTAATGATTCATCAAGAATAAAAAGACCATCTTACTTGGGCATAGTCTTTTAAATCGATTTTACTTCCAAATCTTGATGGCTTCCTTGCACATAATCAGAATTACCTGGAGAGCATTCCAAAATTTCAGATTCCTAAGTCCCTCCCCAGATTTACTAGAGTCAGAATCCCTAGACGTCTGTTTTTAAAGGCTCTCTAGGTGATTCAAAAGCAATGAGCAGATTTGATGACTTGCATTTATCAGCCATTTGGTATAAAACATTGTCACCCAAAGATTGTATACAGAGATTGAGACAATGGTTCCTGTCCTTAAGAAGTTCACAGTTTAGGGCAGGAAGTAGAGGTTTAAGGTAACATGAACAATGCAAAATGCCAAGCACTGCAATAGACTTCCGTGTCAGCAGAGGACAGAAACCCTCCACTCAGCTTGGGAGGCAGGTAGCTGATGATGTTTTTAGGAGAGCCTTAAAAAGAACATATAGGAGGCCGGGCACAGTACCTCATGCCTGTAATCCCAGCACTTTGGGAGGCCGAGGTGAGTGAATCACGAGGTCAGGAGTTCAAGACCAGCCTGGCCAAGACGGTGAAACCCCGTCTCTACTAAAAACACACCAAAAAGCCAGGCATGGTGGTGGGTGCCTGTAATCCTAGCTACTCGGGAGGCTGAGGCAGAGAATTGCTTGAACCCAGGAGGCAGAGGTTGCAGTGAGCCAAGATTGTGCCACTGCATTCCAGCCTGGACGACAGAGAGAGACTCTGTCTCAAAAAAAAAAAAAAAAAAAAAAGAACATGTAGGAGTTGTTACCAGGGGTTGAGGATAAAGGTTAGGTAATGAGGAGTTACTGTTTAATGAGTACAGTATTTCAGTTTGGGATATTGAAAATTTTCTGGAGATGGATAGTGGTAATAGTTACACAACAATGTGAATGTAATTAATGCCACTAAATTGTATTTGATGGCTAAAATGGTAAATTTTATGTTATATGTATTTTACCATAAAATGGTTGAGGTGAGAACATGTAGAAAATAAAATGGATTGCAAGGGCAAATGGAGTCTTGTAATCAGAGGGAACAGAGTTTCCAAAGGACAAGAAGGGTGAAAACGTATGAATCTTTTGGAGACTGTAAGTAGTTAGGACTGGCTGGAGCATAAGGTACCTTTTGAGAAGTGGCAGGAGCTGATTTTGAGGAAGTAGACAAGAGGCCAGACCTCTGAAGGGCATTGCATGCCACACCAAGAATGTTTGATTTTATCCTGAAAGCAATGGAGAAACATTGATGAGTTTAAGCAGGTGAGTGACATGTTTAGGTCTGAATTTTAGAAAGATCATTCTGGCTACTAGGTGAAAGATGGATTAGAGAGGCACAGAACATTAGTATCTTAGTCTATTTGTGCTGCTATAACAGAGCACCACAGACTGGGTAATTTTTAAAGAACAGAAATGTATTCCTCACAGTTCTGGAGGGTAAGAACTCTTAAGATTAAGGTGCTGGCATCTGGTGAGAGCTGCTCTCTGCTTCCAAGATGGTGCTTTGAACACTATGTCCTCCGGAAGGAAGGAACACTGTGTCCTTACAAGGCAGAAGCTAGAAGGGCAAAAAAGAGCACATTCCCTTTATGAAGCCCCTTTAGAAGGGCACCTAATCCCATTCATGAGGGAGGAATCCGCATGGTCTAACCACCTCTTAAAAGCAACACATCCTGGCCAGGCGCGGTGGCTCACGCATGTAATCCCAGCACTTTGGGAGGCCGAGGCAGGCAAATCACGAGGTCAGGAGATCGAGACCATCCTGGCTACCATGGTGAAACCCCGTCTCTACTAAAAATACAAAAAATTAGCCAGGCGTGGTGGCAGGTGCCTCTAGTCCCAGCTACTCAGGAGGCTGAGGCAGGAGAATGGCGTGAACCCGGGAGGCAGAGCTTGCAGTGAGCCGAGATTGCGCAACTGCACTCCAGCCTGGGCGACAGAGCAAGACTCTGTCTCAAAAAGAAAAAAAAAACCAACACCTCCTAACACTATCATATTGTCAACACCTGAATTTTGGAGCAGATACATTCAAATCATACCAATTAGAAATTATAATGTAGCCAACAAGCATATGAAAAAAAGCTCAACATCACTGATCACTAGAGAAATGAAAATCAAAACCACAATGAGATACCGTCTCACACCAGTCAGAACAGCTATTATTAAAAAGTCAAATTTATACTCCCACCAGCGGTGTATAAGCATTCCTTTTTCTCTGCAACCCCAGAACTACCATTTGACCCAGCAATCTCTTTACTGGGTATATACCCAAAGGAAAATAAATCATTCTGTCATACAGACACATGCACACATATGTTCATTGCAGCACTGTTCACAATAGCAAAGACATGGAATCAACCTAAATGCCCATCAATGATAGACCAGATAAAGAAAATGTGGTACATATACACCATGGAATACTACGCAGCCATAAAAAGAACAAGACCATGTCCTTTGCAGGAACATAGATGGAGTGTAGGCCATTATCCTTAGCAAACTAACACAGGAACAGAAAACCAGACACCACATGTTCTCATTTATGAGTGGGAGCTAAATGATGAGAACACATAGATACATAGAGGGGAATAAGAGACACTGGGGCCTACCAGGTGGTGGAGGGTGGGAGGAGGGAGAGGATCAGAAATAATAACTGTTGGGTACTAGGCTTAATACCTGGCTGATGAAATAATCTGTACAACAAACCCCCATGACACAGGTTTACCTAAATAACAAAACTGCACATGTACCCCTGAACTTAAAAGTTAAAAAAATTAAAAAAGGAAATTATAGAGAAAATGAGGTAAGAGATGGATGAGGGCCTTCTACATTGAAGTGGGGTAGTGGAGAGGAAGCATAAGGAATGGTGGTAACAACTGACAACGTGGTAATTGTTTAGATGGGGAAGGTGAAGGACAAATCAGGAATTTGCTCCCAGACTTGTTTTAGGTGACACAGAATACAGGGAGACATTTGATGGTGGTAATAGTTGGTGAAGTGGGATGATGATGAGCTTAGTTTCGGACACCTGAGTCTGCGATGTCTCTCTTAAAAATACAAAAAATTAGCCGGGCGTGGTGGCGGGCACCTGTAGTCCCAGCTACTCAGGAGGCTGAGGCAGGAGGACAGCGTGAATCCTGTAGGCGGAGCTTGCAGTGAGCCAAGAACGCGCCACTGCACTCCAGCCTAGGCGACAGAGCAAGACTCAAAAAAAAAAAAAAAAAAAACAGGCAATGAACTGGATTTGGCCCACACATGGTAGTTTGCTGACCCCTGGGCTAGAACATGGGCTATATAAAGGACTCTGGAGCTCAGATGACAGGCCTAGGCTGCAGATACACATGAAGGAGACATTACCTAAGAATGGATAAACTCATCAAGGACCAAAGAAAAATAAGAGCCAAGAACAGAATGCAAGGAAATGATGACAGTTTAAAAGGTTAACAAAGATAGAGGAGGCTGTAAAGGAAATCATGAAAGAATGACAAAGAAAACAGGACTGTTAGGGCAATAAAGAAAAGGAAGAAACAGTATCACATGCTGCGGAAAGAAGTACTCATTTCTATCATCAGTCATCCTTGGCCTGGCATCTACTGAACTTTTTGGTTTTCTTATATTTTAAAGTATTGATTTTATAGTCTGCTTTTAATATTTTTCATCTCAAATTTTGCATGTTTTTATTGTGGATGGTTGCGTGATGCAATGTTTAAGCACTCAGCCTCTAATCTAAGTTGGTTTCGATTAACATGTACACTTTAAAAAAAAAAAGGAAAATATTTCTGTAAGTTCTATTTTAAAACATTTGCAATCACAGATTTGTATTACATTGAATGGAAATAAAAATCAAATCCAATCTAGATGTTTGGAAGTTTTGCAAATTGGTTTGAATCCTTTCATGTTGTAATTGAAGCTGCAGCCAGTTTAGCAAACTCTAGCCATCGGCCAATCATATCCAGGAGCCTTTCGTTGACAAATATAGTGCTATCAAAAGCTCAAAGTTGAGGGCAATAACAACAGCAAACTTTGGAAGATGGTTTGTATTAATCAGGATTCCATCAGGACACAAGGGGCACACAGTTTGAATGGAGAAAGTTTAATATAAAGGATTATTAACTATACCAAGGGATTGAAGTAGTAAGGGATTAGTATGAAGTGAAGTGAGGGACAGTATGAAGTAAAGAGAATGCTAAAGTATTTGAGAAAAACAGATATAAGGAGCAGGCACTATCCTTAAAACTAAGATAAAGCACCTAAAGAAGAGGTCCCCCTCCTCTCCAGGCTAAGATCCTGACCTTACCGGTGAGTGCACAGCTGCGGCTCACTGGATGCCAGAGAAGCTGCTGTGGTGCTACCTTCTGAGGGGAGTGCCAAAGGAAGATGCCCTGGGTGCTGCCGGCATTGCAGAGCCTGGCACTGATGTTGCCAGCACTGCAGGACCTGGAAGGAGGCTATGAATGCTGCAGAAACCCGTTCAGAGGAACAACCGAAACAGGAAGGAAAGCAAAAGCCCCTTACTCTTATAATGTCTCTCCAGCACCTTCTACTGACAAAGTTTAACATCATGCCAGCTGGCAAAGGCAAAATATTAATATTTAGAGTCCAGCTCCATTTTTGCAGAGCAGGCAAGGAAGGATAAATTTGGAGTTGAGAGGCAATAAATTTATTATTGACACAATGATGGTGTGTACTTTAGCCTAGCAAAGCTCTGTAAGGGACCTCATATCAATAAGCACCTTTGGTTCTGGAATATACTATGTCATAAAATGGTGCCTCCCAAATATTTGCTGTCATGCCCTAAATACATGTTTATTTTCTATATTATGAAATATGGGACAAAGTTTTACTTCAGAATACTTTTGATCTTATTCTCTTTAGCCTTTCTTTTTTTGAGACAGAGTTTCACTCTTGTTGCCCAGGTTGGAATGCAATGGCATGATCTTGGCTCACTGCAACCTCTGCCTCCCAGGTTCAATTGGTTCTCCTGCCTCAGCATCCCGAGTAGCTGGGATTACAGGTGCCCACCACCACACCCAGCTAATTTTTGTATTTTTAGTAGAGATGGGATTTCGCCATAATGGCCAGGCTGGTCTTGAACTCCTGACCTCATGTGATCCAACCAGCTTGGCCTGCTGGGATTACAAGCGTGAGCCACGGAGCCTGGCCCTCTTTAGCCTTTTATATCCCATCCATCATCAGATTCCACAAATTTTACCACCTATATATTCTCAGATGTGTCCATTCTTCTCTATCCCCACTACCACCATCCAAATCTAGCCAAAATCATTTATTTCTTTTCTGGACTTATGCAATAATCACCCAAGTTTTCTCCACATTTTTTGTCCTCTGTTCAATTCATTTTCCACTTAGTAGCCAGACTGCTGGGTTTTTTTTTAACTTTTTATTTTGAAATAATTATGGCTTCAAAGGAGGTTATAAAGAAATGCACAGGGAAGCCCTGTGCATCCTTCCCCCAGTTTACCCCAATTTTTTTTTTCTGGAGACAGAATCTTGCTCTGTCACCCAGACTGGAGTGCACTGGCATGATCTTGGCTCACTGCAACCTTCATCTCCTGAGTTCCAGCAATTCTCCTGCCTCAGCCTCCTGAGTAGCTGAGACTACAGGCACACACTGCCACGCCTGGGTAATTTTTCATATTTTAGTAAAGATGGGGTTTCACCGTGTTGCCCCAGCTGCTCTCAAACTCCTGAGCTCAGGGAATCCACCCACCTTGGCCTCCCAAAGTGCTAGGATTATAGGCGTGAGCCACTGCCCCCAGCGACCTGATTTTAACATCATACGAAACTATAGCACAGTATCAAAACCAAGAAATGCACATTGGTGCAATTCATAGAGCCTATTCAAATTTCACTAGTTTTACACGCACTTGTGTGTGTCTATGTAGCACACAATCAAGATACTTAACTGTATCAGCACCACAAGACTCTAATGACAAGACTACCTTGTTAGCCCTTTATAGCCACACTCATCCACTCCCCCATCCTTAATTCCTAGCAACCCCTAATCAATTCTGCATTTTTATAATTATTTTATCTCATGAATGTTACACAAATGAAATCAGGAATATGTATTTTTGAGATTGGCTTTTTTTACACACAATGCAATTTCCTTGAGTTTCATCATGGTTGTATGTGTCAAAATTTTATTCCTTTTTACTACTTCATAATATTCCATGTATGGAGGTATCACAGTTTAACACTTGTCTCGTTGAAGGACATTTGGGTAGTTTGTACTTTCTGGCTATTATAAACAGAGTTGTTATAAACATTTACATAGAAGTTCTTGTGTGAAAATAAGTCTGCATTTTTATTTTTCTTTCTTTCTCTCCGTTTCTTTCTTTCTTTCCCTTTCTTTCTTTCTTTCTTTGTCTTTCTTTCTTTTTTTTTTTGAGACAGGGCCTCCTTTTTGCTTAGGCCAGAGTGCAGTGGCACCCAGGCTGGACTGCAGTGGTGTGAACACAGTTCACTGCAGCCCTGACCTCCTTGGCTCAAGGGCTCCTCTCACCCTAGCTTCCTGAGTAGCTGGGACTACAGGTGTGCACCACCATGCCCTGCTGATTTAAAAAAAAAAAATCCGTAGAGACAGAGTCTCGCCGTGTTTCCCAGGGGGGCGTCTCAAACTCCTGGGCTCAACCAATCTTCCTGCCTTGGCCTCCCGAAGTGTTGGGATTACAGGTGTGAGCCACTGCGCCCAGCCCAAGTCTTCATTTTTCTAGGATAAATGATCAATAATACAATTGCCGGGTCATATGATAAGTCCATTTTTAGTTTTGAAAGGAACTTCCAAACTATTTTCTGGAGTGGAGAGTGCTTTTTTAAAATACACAAATCTCATCATGTCGTTATTTTACATAAAACTCTTCAATGCCTTTCCACTGTGGTATAATTAAGGCTTGATTTTTATTATTTTATTTTATTTCATTTTTTGAGGCAGAGTTTCGCTCTCGTTGCTCAGGCTGGAGTGTAATGGCACGATCTCGGCTCACTGCCACCTCTGCCTCCCGGGTTCAAGTGATTCTCCTGCCTCCCGAGTAGCTGGGATTACAGGCATGTGCCCCATCCCCAGCTAATTTTTTTTTTTTTTTTTGTATTTTTATTAGAGACAGGGCTTCTCCATGTTGGTCAGGCTGGTCTCGAACTCCTGACCTCAGGTGATCTACCCGCCTCGGCCTCCCAAAGTGTTGGGATTACATGCGCGAGCCACCGCGCCCGGCCAAGGCTTGATTTTTAAAAATATATACTGCAAGACTTTAATATAATTTCCACTGATTTCTCCAACCTCATTCTGTACCACTTCCCTTGCTCTTTATGCTCTCTGGCCTTTTAAACTTGTCCTCAATTCATCATTAGTCTCCTGCCACGGTGGCTTTGCTAATGCTGTTTCGTTTTCCTGGGATGCTCTTCTCCCTGCTCTTAGTCTAATTAACTCAAACTCTACCTTTCATTCTTAACTCAAGCATTATTTCCTCAGGGAAACCTCTCTAGTCTAAGTCAGGTTCCTTTTTTCATCTTTCTTTCATCACATCTCTCAGTTTGAAATTATATAGTAATTTCTGTGAATATCTGATTAAACCCTGTCTTCATCTCCAGATTAAAATTCATGTAAGCAAGAATTGTGTTAATTTTTGCTCGTTAATGCCTGGCATGTAGCAGGTGCTCAAAAATATTTTTTGAGTGAATGAATGAATGAATTGTACACTGGAAAATATTTCAGTGCCAAAGCATTCACATTCTATAATTTTATTTATCCATTATTCATTTAATATATATTAACCAGTAATCATGTTCCTGGTAGTTTGCTAAGCAATAGGTTACTATAGACAAATTTCAGATTCACACAAAATGTATATTAATGCATCCTGAAATACATGTTATTTCAGACAAAGACTTTCCAGATAGTTCTACTGCATAAATATTGAAAAATAAATTAATAGGATATTTGTAATTCTTTTAAAATATTAAGGAAGTTTCGCCTGGGCAACATGGTGAGACTCTGTCACTACAAAAAAAAAATTTATTTTATTTATTTATTTTTGGAGACAGAGCCTCACTGTGTCACTCAGGCTGGAGAGAAGTGGTGCCATCTCACCGCACTGCAACCTCCGCCTCCCAGGTTCAAGCGATTCTCCTGCCTCAGCACCCCCAGCAGCTGGGACTACAGGTGCCCGCCACCACGCCCGGCTAATTTTTTGTAGTTTTAGTAGATACGGGGTTTCGCCATGTTCCCCAGGCTGGTCTCGAATTCCTGAGCTCAGGCAATCTGCCCAACTTGGCCTCCCAAAGTGCCGGGATTACAGGCATGAGCCGCTGAGCCCGGCCTAAAAAAATTTTTTAAAAATTAGCCGCGCTTGGTGGTGTGCACCTTTAGTCCCAGCTGCTTGGGAGACTGGGGTGGGAGGACTGCTTGAACCCAGGAAGTCGAGTCTGCAGTGAGCTATGATTGTGCCTCTGCACTCCAGCCTGGGTAACAGAGTGAGAGACCTTGTCTCAATAAAATAAAATAAAAATAAATAAAAATGAAATGAAAATTGAGAAAGTTTACAAGTCAAGAAAGGGACAAACGTAGCTCTCCATCTTGATCACTGTTTGTCATATGGACTTGACATAACCCTCTGCAACCAATAACCAAAGACTTGAGTTTAATATTACCATCATAAGAAGGTCCCTGGTATTTTTTCCTGGGCAGCATGGTTTAAAATATTCATGGTTGCCACATCATATTATAAGGGACATACCTGTAGTGATGCATCTGTCTGTAATCTTTGATCCTAAAGGCTTAGTGAGTCATGTACTTCTTATGTGATAGCTGAAGAAGCCAATATGGCAAAATCATGTGGGATTTTTGCCTTGTTTTGCTCTGTTTTTTACAGCAATGCGAAAAAAAAGGCAGATTTTTTTCGGGATATGAATACTGCCAACATAGGCAGACTGCAACACTGTGGGTTGCCTGAGAAATTTTTTAAGAACGTGGGAATGAGCAAGATGTGTGCATATTTGTGAATGAAACACAGCAAGGCAGGACTACCTAAGAAACATGACAAGTCTTGGTGTTAAAACAACAAACTGTAAATATAGAACATTGGCATTTTATAAAATCTTTTTTTTTCTTTTTTTTTTTTTTTGAGAGAGACTCGCTCTTGTCGCCTAGGCTGGAGTGCAGTGGCGCAATCTCGGCTCACTGCAACCTCTGCCTCCCGGGTTCAAGCGATTCTCCTGCTTCAGCCTCCTGAGTAGCTGGGATTACAAGTGCCCGCCAGCACGCCTGGCTAATTTTTGTACTTTTAGTAGAGAGGGGTTTCGCCATGTTGGTCAGGCTGGGCTCGAACTTCTGACCTCAGGTGATGCGTCCGCCTCAGCCTCCCAAAGTGCTGGGATTACAAGCGTGAGCTACCGTGCCCGGCCTATAAAATCTCTTTTAAAAGACAGAAAATGTGCCAATTTTAAGCCTTTTTGGTTTGTATGTGTGTTTGGAGGGAAAGAGTGGGAACAGGAAGGCAAAACGATGACAACTTTGTACTGTAATATTCCTTTAAGTCTTTCATTTTTTGTACACTTGTGAATTTTATAAAGATATTTTCATACCACAAAATTCACCATTTTAATGTGTATCATTTTGTGTCTAGTATTCTCACTTTTTAGTATATTTTTGTATATTCACAGAGTTGTGTAAACATTACCACTAGCTAATTCCAAACCATCTTAATCACCCCAGAAAGAAACCCTATACTAGTTAGCAGTCACTCCCTCTCTTTTTATTTCCTAGGCTCTGGCAACTACTACTCTCTGTCTCTATGAATTTGCCTATTCTGGACATTTCATTTAATAATAAATGAAATCACATGTAGCCTTTTGCGACTGGCTACTCTGACTTAGAATAATGTTTTCAAGATTCCTCCATGTTCTTTTTTTTTTTTTTTTTTTTTTTTTTTGAGACGGAGTCTCGCTGTGTCACCCAGGTTGGAGTGCAGTGGCGCGATCTCGGCTCACTGCAAGCTCCGCCTCCCGGGTTCACGCCATTCTCCTGCCTCAGCCTCCCAAGTAGCTGGGACTACAGGTGCCTGCCACCACGCCCGGCTAATTTTTTGTCTTTTTAGTGCAGACGGGGTTTCACCGTGCTAGCCAGCATGGTCTCGATCTCCTGACCTCGTGATCCGCCCGCCTCGGCCTCCCAAAGTGCTGGGATTACAGGCGTGAGCTACCGCGCCCGGCCTCCACGTTCTATATGTATTAGTACTTCATTTCTTTTACGGGTCAATAATATTCCGTTGGATAGATATACCAGTACATTAACTTCTTAAATTTTTAAATTTTATTTTCAAACTGACAGAAGAGGTACAAGAAAAATAAAAAGAACTTAAGTGTATCCTTCACTTGGATAAATAAATAAACATTTTGCTTCAATTACTTATTTTTTTGCCTTCTTTGTTTTCCTCCCTGTCTACACACTCACACTTTATTGTTATTATTGCCATTGTTATTATTTTCTGAACAATTTTCTGAACCTTCATGCCTACTTCTAATAATTCAGTGTATATTTCCTAAGAACAAAATAGTCTCTTACACAGTCATAGAACAATAATCAAATTAAGGAAATTTAACACAAGTTAAAATATTTTTATCTAACATGCCGACCATATCTAAATTCATCAATAGTTTGAGTAATGTCCTTGGATGTCAGTTTTTTTCTCCCCGATCAAAGATCCACATTGTATTTAACTGTCATGTTCTTTCTTTCATCTGGAATAGTCCCTCCATCTTCTCTTGTCATTCATGACACTGATATTTTTAGAATACAGGCCTATCGTTATTATAGGGTGACACTCAGCTTGGATTTTTCTGATGTTTTCTCACCATTAGATTAAGGTTGATGCGTTCTAGGCAGGAATAATGCATAATAATGAAGCTTTGTCCTACTCAGCGCACCACATCAGGAGGCACATGATATCCATGTGTTTTATTATTGGTGATGTTAACTTTGATCACTTGGGTAATGTGATGTCCTCTATGTTTCTCTACTGTAAAGTTATCATCACTATAAAATTAATAAGTGCTCTCTGGGAAAAGACTTTGAAACTATGATATATCCCATTCTGCATTAAACTTTCATCCACTATTTTTTTGCATCCTTTGATGATTCCTACCTGAATTAGTTATCAATATTATAGCTGCAAAATGGTCATTTCTAACTCTAGCATTCCTTTTACGTTTCTTATTTGGCATTCTACTTTCTCTTTTTCTCTCTCTATCAGAATGGACGTATGCATTCATTATTTTATTCAGTGGGTTATAATTTATTACTTGTTATTCATTCTGATAATCAGCTTGTTCCAGAATTGGCTAGAAGAAGCCCCTTCAGCTGACGTTGGTGATCTTTTGAACATGTACCATAGTTTCTTGAGCTCTTCCTTACTTTCTGACACAATAAAATGTTCCAGGTTCCAATACTTTTCTCTGTTCCAGCCCTGGAATTAGCAATTTCCCCTAAGGAGTCCTGAGGACTAGTATTTAGAACACAAATTCTGGGTGCTTAGTGTGCTCATTACCACTGCAGCGTCACTAATTATAGGCTTTTTCTGGGAAAAATGACAATTTCATATGGTTCAACTATATATTTATTTATTTATTTACATGTATTTACATGCATATATAATGAATTCATATTATTCAATACATATGAATGCCTCTAATTCCAAATCAGTTGCACATGGTTCTTCCTTACCTTTCACCCTTCCACATTTTTATCTTTCTTCTCCCACAGGGAGAACTCTGGTTCCCAGAGTTCCCATTCTTATTATGGCTTTTGTTATAAACAAAATGTGAAAGGACGTGTTTCATTTCTAATTTCAAAATTATATTAACATTATATGTAAATTATAAGCTTGTGTATACATGCACAGACAATTTGAGAGTATATGGTTATTCATTTAAATGAATTCTGATATTTTTAGAATATCAGAATATCAATATGCTCACACAACTCTGTGAATATACTAGTTAGGCCCCTTACACAAAAGTATCATCCTCATCCCATGTCATTCCACAACTGTGGCTTCATTCTTTTGGATTGTAAAATTGCTTTGGAGTTTAACAGTTATCTATTAAAATGTTAATTACCTAGCTCTAACAGCTTAATAATCAGTTAATATTGAAAGGAATTAGTAGACAGCTTTGTGAGACTGAGCTGGAGGGTACTGAAGGTGAAGAAGGTTGACACAGAGAGAGGTGAGGATTGAAGGTCGTTAGGGAGGGTTGACTAGTACAAATGTTAACTTTTCATAGTTATAAATTTTCTTTTATGCATAAATTGATCATAATACAGGTTGAACATCCCTAATCCAAAAATCTGAAATCCAAAATGCTCAAAAATCTGATACTTGTTGGGTGCTGCCACCACAAGTGGAAAATTTCACACCTCAACTCATGTGATGCGTTGTAGTCAAAATTCAGGTACATAACACAGTTTATTTCTGTAGATAATGTGTTTAAAATATTGTTTACAAGGGCTGGGTGCAGTAGCTCACACCTGTAATCCCAGCACTTTGGGAGGGCAAAGCAGGCAGATCACTTTCACCATGTTGGCCAGACCAGCCTGGCCAACATGGTGAAACCTCGTCTCTACTAAAATACGAAAATTAGCTGGGCGTGGTGGTGCGCACCTGTAATCCCAGCTACTCGGGAGACTGAATCAGGAGAATAACTTGAACCCAGGAGGCGGAGGTTGCAGTGAGCAGAGATTGTGCCACTGCACTCCAGCCTTGGGGACAGAGCAAGACTCCATCTCAAAACAAAACAAAACAAAAAACTCTATACAATTATTGTAGGTCCCATCTCTAAGATCTCTCATTACGTATATGCAAACATTCTAAAAATAAAAAAAAAATCCCAAATTTGAAACGCTTCTGGTCCCAAGCATTTTGGATAGCAGATACTTAACCTGTACGAATAGATATGTCAACACGGGCTATCTCCCTCTTTAAACAGTTCTTCAAATATACCCTTTGATAAAATTTTATACTTTTCTCCATAAAAGTCTCGCATATTTTGTATAATATATTCTTAATTGTTGGTATGGTAAATTGTTGTTGGTATGGTATGGTAAATAATATCTTTTTGATTGTTTGTTGCTGATATATAGTAACTCTGTTACACTTTGTATTTTGATCTTATACCCAACTATCTTTCTTAACACCTCTGTTTGGAATGATAGTTTATCTATTCCTTGGATTTCTGATGTAGACAATCACACTATATGCATGTAATGACAATTCTGTTTCTTCCCTTGTAATTCTACCTACAGACCCATATGATGCCGTCTAGCTTATCCAGTATATTGTTGAATAGGAATGCAACAGCAAGCATCTTAGACTTTACCCTAACTTAAGTATGTTTGCTATAGGTATTTGGTGGATATTTTATCAGGTTAAAATATGTGCTTAGTTTGCCAAGATTTTTCTTTTTTAAAATAATGAATACTGGCCAGGTGCAGTGATTCAAGACTGATAATCCCAGTATTTTGGGAGGCCAAGGTGGGATGATGGCTTGAGCCAAGAGACCAGACTGGGCAACAAAGTGAGACCCCGTCCCTACAAAAAAATTTAAAAATTAGCTGGACATGGTGGTGCGGGCCTGTAGTCCCAACTATCTGGGAGGCTGAGGTGAGAGGATCACTTGAGCCTGGGAGGCAGAGGTTGCAGTGAGCCATCATTGCGCCATTGTACTCCAGTCTGGGCAACAAAGCGAGGTCTTGTTGCACTCCAGTCTGGGCAACAAAGCAAGACCTTGTCTAATAATAATAATAATAGATACTAGTACAATTTTATCAAATTATTTCCTATTTCTATTTATTTATTTGAGACAGAGTCTTGTGTTACCCAGGCTGGAGTGCAATGGCACAATTTCGGCTCACTGCAACCTCTGTCTCCCAGGTTCAAGCCATTCTCCTGCCTCAGCCTCCCAAGTAGCTGGGATTACAGGGTTCCATCACCACGCCCAGCTAATTTTTTGTATTTTTAGTAGAGATGGCATTTCGCCATGTTGGTCAGGCTGGTCTCGAACTCCTGACCTCAAGTGATCCAGCCTCCCAAAGTGCTGGGATTATAGGCATGAGTCACCGTGCCCAGTCCCTACTTCTTTTTAAACATTCATATTGTTTTTATTTATTGGATTACATTAATTAAATTTCTGATGTCAAAACACCCTTTTATTTCCTGGGATAAATAATACTTTCCTTGGGATAAGTAATACTTTATTTCCACATGCTAATATTATATTTAGGACTAATATTGTATTTATGATCATAAGTGAAATTAGTCTATAATTTATCTTTACCGTTTTTTGTCCATTGTTGGTATTAACTGTACCATCTTAAAATAATTTGTTGAGATTTTCTTTCTTTTTCTATTTTTTGTAACAGTTTATATAAAATAGAGAATATTTGTATTTTAAAGATTTGTGATTTGTTAGAAATTGCTGTTAAATGGCCAGGTGCTGTGGCTCATGCTTATAATCCCAGCACTTAGGGAGGCTGAGGTGGGAGGATCGCTTGAGGCCAGGAGCTCAAGACTAGCCTGAGCTAGTCTCTTCTTAAAAGAATAAGATCTTAACAATAACAAGTTTTGAAATTGAGACAGTAATAAATAGCCTACCAACCAAAAAAAGCCCAAGACCAGGTGGCTTCACAGCCGAATTCTACCAGAGGTACAAAGAGGAGCTGGTACCATTCCTTCTTAAACTATTCCAAACTATTGAAAAGGAGGGACTCCTCCCTAACTCATTTTATGAAGCCAGTTTCATCCTGAAGCCAAAACCTGGCAGAGACACAACAAAAAAAGAAAACTTCAGGCCAATATAACTCATGAACATCGCTGAAAATCCTCAATAAAATACTGGCAAACCAAATCCAGCAGCACATCAAAAAGCTTATCCACCATAATCAAGTCGGCTTCATTCCTGGGATGCAAGTCTGGTTGAACATACGCAAATCAAAAAACGTAATCCATCACATAAACAGAACCAAAGACAAAAAACACATGATTATCTCAATAGATGCAGAAAAGGCCTTCGATAAAATTCAACATCACTTCATGTTAAAAACTCTCAATAAAACTAGGTATTGATGGAACGTATCTCAAAATAAGAAGAGCTATTTATGACAAACCCACAGCCAATACCGATTGCAATACCTATTGACTTTTTTTTTTTTGAGACAACTCTGTCGCCCAGGCTGGAGTGCAGTGGCATGATCTCGGCTCACTGCAAGCTCCGCCTCCCGGGTTCATGCCATTCTCCTGCCTCAGCCTCCCGAGTAGCTGGGACTACAGGCGCCCACCACCACATCCGGCTAATGTTTTGTATTTTTAGTAGATAGTTTTTGTATTTTCAATAGATAGTTTTGTATTTTTAGTAGATAGTTTCACCATCTTGGCCAGGCTGGTCTCGATCTCCTGACCTTGTGATCCACTTGCGTCAGCCTCCCAAAGTGCTAGGATTACAGGCATAAGCCACCGTGCCCGGCCTCAATTAGGATAATATTTTTGAGGTCATACATGTTGCAGCATGTATCAGAACTTCATTTCTTTTTATGGCTGAATAATATTCCATTGTATGGATATACCACATTTTGTTTATCCATTAATCTATTTATAAATACCTGAGTTGCTTCTACCTTTTGGTTATTTGTGTATATACCTAAGAGTTGAATTGCTGGGTCATATGGTAAGTATTTATTTACATTTTTGAGGAAACCAAACTGTTTTCCGCTGTGGTACACCATCTTACATTTCCATAAGCAATGTATGTTGGCACATTCTTACCAACACACTTTTCTTTTCTTTTTTAAAAATTATAGCCCTCCTGGTGAATGTGAAATGGTATTTCATTATAGTTTTGTATTTCCCTAATAATTAAGCATGTTGAGCATCTTTTCATTTGTTTATTGGCCATTTGTATATCTTCTTTGAAAAAATTTTAATTCAACTTCTTTGCCCTTTTTTCATTTGGGTTGTTGGTGTTTTTGTTGTTGAGTTTTAGAAGTTCTTTATATACTTAAGATATTAAACCATTATCCTATATGATTTGCTATTTCTCCCATTTTGTAGATTGTCTTCTTTTCTTGATGGTATCATTTCATGCATGTAAGTTTTTAATTTTGATTAAGTCCAATTTATCTTTCTTACTTTGGTTGCTTGTCCTTTTGGTGTCAGATCTTAGAACCCATTGCCACATCTAAGATCATGAAGATTTATCCCTATATTTTCTTCTAAGAGTTTTATGGTTTTAGCTTTTACATTTAGGTGTTGATCCATTTGAGTTAATTTTAGTACATGGTGTGAGGTAGTGGGTCTAACTTCATTCTTTTTTATTTTTTTGATAGAGACAGGGTCTCACTCTGTTGCCCAGGCTGGAGTGCAGTTGTGCAATCATAGCACACTGTAACCTCAAACTCCTGGGCTCAAACAATCCTCCCACCTCAGCCTTCCAAGTAGCTAGGACTACAGGTATGTGCCAGCACATCTGGTCATTTTTGTAAAATGTTTTTGTAGAGAAACGGGTCTTTCTATGTTGCCCAGGCTACTCTTGAACTCCTGGCCTCAAGTGATCCTCCCACCTCAATTAATTTTATTCTTTTGCATGTGAAAATCCAGTTGTCTGGCACCATTTGTTGAAGAAACTGTTATTTCCCCATTGAATAGACTTTACATTCTTGTCAAAAATCAATTGGCCATAGATATGTGGGTTCATTTCTGGTCTCTCAATTCTATTCCATTGGTCTATAGGTCTATCCTGATGCCATTACCACACTGTTTTGATCACTTTATCTCTGTAGTAAGTTTTCAAGTTGGGAAGCGTGAGTTCTCTGACTTTGTTCTTTTTCAAGATTGTTTAGGCTATTTGGGGTCCCTTCCAATTCCATATCAATTTGAGGATTGGCTCTTCTATTTCCATAAAAAAAAAAGCTGTTGGAATTTTGATAGGGATTGCAATGAAATCTTTTTTTTTTGAGATGGAGTCTCACTCTGTCACCCAGGCTGGAGTGCAGTGGTGCGATCTCGGCTCACTGCAAGCTCCGCCTTCTGGGTTCATGTCATCCTCCTGCCTCAGCCTCCCAAGTGCTGGGACTATGGGCGCCCACCACCACGCCTGGCTAGATTTTTGTATTTTTAGTAGGGTCAGGGTTTCACCATGTTAGCCAGGATGGTCTCGATCTCCTGGCCTCGTGATCCGCCTGCCTCAGCCTCCCAAAGTGCTGGGATTACAGGCATGAGCCACCGTGCCCAGCAATGAAATGTCAATACTCTAATGTTTTCCTATACATGAACATAGTATATCTTTCCATTTATTTAAGTCTTTAATTTCTACAGGAATGTTTTGTGGTCTATAGCGTGCAACTTAATCACGTCACTTCACTGGTAAAATTTATGCTTAGGTATTTAATTCTCTTAGATGCTGTTGTAAATGAGATTGCTTTCTTAATTTCCTTTTCAGATTGTTCATTCCAAGTTTATAGAAATGGGACTGAGTTTTGTGTGTTGATCTTGTTCCCTGCAACTTTGTTCAATTCCTGGTCATTATGTTTTAAGTGCATGTATTGTAAACAACCTATAGCAAGATTTTTTTTAATCCAATCTTTAAAGTGGCAGTATTTTACTTTTTTTCGTAACTACAGATATTAATTATACTTTTCCTACCATATTACTTTTTCCTTTTTTCTCGGGATTATTTTTGCTTCTTTAACTTCTTTCCTGTCTTCTATTTTTTTTTTTTTTTTCACTTTTGAGGCAGAGTCTCACTCTGTAATCACCTAGGTTGGAGTGCAATAGTGCAATCTCGGCTCACTGCAACCTCCACCTCTCAGGTTTAAGCAATTCTCCTGCCTCAGCCTCCCGAGTAGCTGGAATTACAGGTGCTCGCCATTATGCCTGGCTAATTTTTGTATTTTTAGTAGAGATGGGGTTTCACCATGTTGGCCAGGCTGATCTCGAACTCCTGAGCTCAAGTGATGTGCCCGCCTCAGCCTCTCAAAGTGCTGGGATTACAGGCATAAGCCTCCATGCCTGTCCCTGCCTCCTTTTTTTTTTTTTTTTTTTTTGATACACAGTCCCACTCTGTCACCCAGGCTGGCGAGCAGTGGCGCAATCTCGGCTCACTGCAACCTCAGCCTCCTGAGTTCAAGTGATTCTCCTGCCTCAGCCTCCCGAGTAGCTGGGACTACAGGTGCACATCACCACACCCTGCTAATTTCTGTATTTTTAGCAGAGATGCGGTTTTGCCATGTTGGCCAGGCTGGTCTTGAACTCCTGACCTCAGGTGATAAGCCCACCTCAGCCTCCCAAAGTGCTGGGATTACAGGTGTGAGCCACCTCGCCCAACCTGGACATTTCTTTTAAATGAAATAATACAATGTGTGGTCTTTATTGACTGAGTTCTTTCACTTAGCATAATGTTTTCAAGATTTATCCACGTCATAGCATATATCGGTACCTTATTCATTTTTATGGCTGAATAATATTTCATTGAGTGGATATACCACACATCATTTGTCCATTTATCAGTCAGTAGGTATTTGGATTGTTCTCATTATTTCAGTACTATGCATATTGCTTCTATGAACTTATGGACAAGTTTTTGTGTGAATATGTTTTCATTTTGCTTGAGTATATATCTAGGAGTAGGATTGCTGGGTCAAATGTTAACTTTGTTTTTGAGAAACTGTTATTTTCCACAGTGGCTTCCCAATTTTTACATCCTACCAGCAACGTATGAGGGTTTTAATTTCTCCACATTCTCACCAGCAGTTACTATCTTTGCTTTTTTTTTTTTTTTTGAGGCAAAGGTCTTGCTCTGTTGCCCAGCCTGGAGTGCAGTGGCACAATCTCAGCTCACTGCAGCCTCTGCCTCCCGAATTTAAGCAATTCTTGTGCCTCAGCCTCTCAAGTAGCTGGGATTACAGGTATATACCACCACGCCCAGCTAATTTTTTGTATTTTCAGTAGACACAGAGTTTTGCCATGTTTGCCAGGCTCGTCTTAAACTCCTGTCCTCAAGTGATCCACCCACCTAAGCCTCCCAAAATGCTGGGATTACAGGCATGAGCCACTGCACCTGGCCTATCTTTTTGATATAGCCATCCTACTGGGTGTGGAGTAGTTATCTCATTTTTTTTGTATTTTTGGCTCTTCATTGCTTCTTCCTTCTCATATCTTCTTTGTGGATTCTATTTCCCTCTTCCTAATGTACATCTTTAATCGTTCACGTACAAGGATGTATTAGTGGTAAATTCTCTTGATCTTCATCCAGAATTATTTAACACTAACACTTAAATAATAATTTATGTTGATACAGAATTCCATATAGCAGCTTTTTTCCCTTGTGATGTTTTGAAGATATTATCACACCATTTTCTTGGTTTTTTTTTTTTTTTTTTTTTTTTTTGAGACAGAGTCTTGCTCTGTTGCCCAGGCTGGAGTGCAGTGGCTTGATCTTGGCTCATTGCAAGCTCTGCCTCCCAAATTCAAGCAATTCTCCTGCCTCAGCCTCCCAAGTAGCTGGGACTACAGGAGCGCACCACCATGCCCAGCTAATTTTTGTGTCTTCAGTAGAGACGGGGTTTCACCATGTTGGCCAGGTTGGTCTTGAACTCCTGACCTCATGATCTGCCCACCTCAGCCTCCCAAAGTGCTGGGATTAGAGGTGTGAGCCACCGCGCCTGGCCCACTTTCTTGCTTCTTTTATTGCCAATAAGAAATTTTCTTAGTGCGATCTATATAAATTTTTTTTTTTGTCTAGCTACCTTTAAGTTCTTACCTTGTCTTTCTTGTTCTACAGTTTCACTATAATGTGGCTTGGTATAGACTTACTTTTGTATTTCTACACTGAGGTTTGTGCTTCCTAAATCTGAGGAGGTATGGCTTTCATCATGTAGTAATTTTCCCTATGAATATGACTTGTTCTTCATTCTCTTTAGTCTTTCATTTTAAAACAGCTGTCTTAGATCTTTTTATCTGTTTTATATTCTCCATGTTTCTCTCTGTGTGCTGCATTCTAGCTAATTTCCTCATAGCTATCTTCCAGTTTTAGAATATTCTTTGGCTGTTTGATAAATTAAGAGTTTCAAAAATTCAAAAATTGTATTTTTTTATTTCTGGAAATTCCATTCATTTATTTTTCTAACTTACTTTTTATGTAGTTTTTCCCTTCTCATGTTTCAATTCCTTCTTTGATGCTCTCCGCAGTCATCAGAAAATCATTTCAAAATGTTACTGCTCTGTTTTTCAGTCCCCATTTCATTCTCAATCCTAGAGATTTTTTTTTAAAAAAATAAGAATTCAACTAGGTTAAAAAGAAACTTTTTTGGGTTATATTTTATCTGTTATTTCTAGATGGTTTCAGTGGGAAGATTTTCAGGATTTTCTTACCATTTTAAAATTTTAATACTAAAAAAAAATTTATCCTGATTTAGAATTGTGCCTATCAGAGCAAGTCCATACCTTTTGGGCTACCTACTGTTTAACCCCTGAAGTGAGCAACCATCTACTGGGATGGGAACATTGTTATTTCCTTGTTGTTATTAAATAGTGAATGTCAGATGAAAGCAATTCTTAGATACCTTAAATAGGTTCTATTCCTACTTCTTGGAGTGGATTCTATAGTCATCCCAACCCATGATGTGAAAGCCAACCTCCTATAAATGGAAAATTTTCATTCTCTATTCCCCCAAAAGAAAACTGAAGAATAAAAGAAAACATGGGTTTGTCTTTTTTAACTAAGGAAAGCTTTTATTTAAATTGTGCAATCAATCAGTATTTAGACAGCAGTTTCATAAACATTTTGGCATTTAAACTTTTATTCATTTTTGGCATGACCTATAGGGTAGTATATAAACTACCCAGTGGGGTGGGGGCAAGTACTAAGCAATATTTACTATGATACTAGAAAAAAAAAAACAAATCTACATTATTAAACAAATATGTTTTAAGAAGACATTAAAAAGATACATTCAAAATCAAGGCAAACATTTGCTTTCTTCGTGCAATGGCATTCACAGAACTGATCCCCTGAGTCAAGTATAAAATTAATATAGCTCAGCTCTACAGTCCATTAGCAAGTCTACAAATGCTGCCCTTACAAGAAAATGGTATACGGAGTGAAAGGATCCAGAACACCCATAATACAAAATAATTTAACTGGCTCCCACACTTTCATTTAATTCACATCTTTGAAGAAAATAGAAAAAAAAAAATCATACACACAGACATAAAATTTTGTCCAACAACAGCAACAAGCAGACACATTTTCTTAACATATGTCCTCTACTCTACTGATAGGCTAAGGCAATGTGTGTGTATTCAGGCTTTGCAATTTCCTATTAACAGGCTCAAGTTGCTAATCATCAGTAATAATTTTCATTTGCAAACAAAATAGATATCCAGAATGTGATAACAGGAAACAGAATATTTCAAGGTCAAGATTTGTAATATTTTTGTTTTTAAAGACAGTTCCATAGAAAAAATAAACTTCTGTAACATAAATTTTTTTTCAGTTGTAAGTCAAGACTATGTCTATATACCATGAACTACTTACAAGCTATGAACTTAAGGAAATCTGCAAAGCTGTTCAGAATAGTATATGGATAAGAAAAAAGGGAAAATATTTCCTCTAAAAAAAGAAGCCAATCATATAATTCTTCCCAACAAACCCTACATATGAACTCGAATAAACCAGAATCAGGTGCCAGTATGTGTTGCCCTATATAAAATGCATTCATTTGGAATAGTTTGCAGAAATATTAAAATACTCCATAATCTTGAAAAAGATCTTTTAGAGAAAAATCCTAAATATGTACTTTTCTCCTCACCCATCTATCCTGCTGGACAGATCTGATTCTCTCTTTAACTCTTTAAAAGCCAATATATATATATATATATATATATATATATATATATATATATATATATATATGACTTAAATTGGAGTAAGATGACTTCAAATTTAGTACTTTGAAAGTACAGTCAATTCCCATTTTCTCTTATGATTTTATCCACCTAACATATGAGTGTTTCCATTTCAGCTATATCTTTTACCAACCACTTTCTTCTATTGGTTTTGTGTATGCGTACGGGAGATGCAAACATTTTTCATTTCAACAAAGGCAAAATATAATTGCAAAGGCTGACTTGAAAAGAAAGAGTCTGTAAAATCTTTCACAGCCTCATACAAATGAGTTTCAGATTATGATTATTTACACTTGAATTTTCTCTTAAGTTTTCAAAGTACTATTGTTTCATTTTGCACAAAAAAATTATCCTCATTTCATGGATGGAGAAGGCACAGAAACAGTTTAAGAATTTTTGTACCAAACGATTCTCAAAATTGTCAAGATTAGAACTTAGGTGCTCCAAAGCCTAACTTATACTTGTTCTGTTTTATGACTCTCCGTTAACTTTGCTGTCTCCTACATTAATGCAAATAATAAATTAGTTTATATTCATAAAAAATCATGAACTCTTCAGACCTAACAAGAAAGGATTACTGTTTACACACCTGACTTTTTCAAGTCAATGAATTCCTGTTTGGAATATGGGAGCTACAGAAAATTACAAAAGATAAAATGCAATTCTGAAGACATTGTCGAATAAGGAAATGCTTGACTAGAAAAGGACTCTAGAAACCATGCCTACCTTATTTGTAATGTAACTCTAAGTACAAACAGCCTTCAGACACAATTTTAGCTGAGATAAATGGAAGGTTTTGGAGGAGAGAAATTAGGAGATGATAAGGGATGAGTTACAGCCGCCTTAATCCCTCCTGTGAATAAGTGGATTTAAATAAGGTAGTCTTCTCTTTTTCGATTGGTTATTACTCTGTAGAAAGGTTGTTCTGACACAACCTGGCTTTTGTGGATACAAGGAAAAAACAGTTGTATCTGGTCACACTATGGAAGGCACTATGACCCTGGGTGATTAAATACCTTTTTTTTTTTTTTTTTTTTTTAAGCTGAGACAATGTATCATAGTCCTATACACTTCTGAGTAAGGATTAACTAACTAGGGTTTGTATCTTGCCTAAACCACTCACTAGCTGTGACTTTTGGCAAGAGATCAGGAAGCTGTTCCTAATCCCTAAAATGCGGATAATACTTGCTTTACAGAATGTAGCAGCAGTTTGCAGAGATGAACCATGTGCTTGGCACACTGTAGATGCTCAACAAATGGCATCATATTACTTCCTAGAGTCGGGAGAAGTTGTAAAATGACCAGCTTTCTTATGCTTACTCGGAGTATTATTCTGGCCTTTCTCATAATGGAGACAGCTTTATCGATTTAGTTGAAGAAATGCTGAAAATTGGGGTGGAATTAGACATTATGTTTTAAAGTTCAAAGAGGGCCAGACTTGCGATGATCCAGAAATTAGAAGAAACTAGAGCTTTGAGAACCAGGAAAAGGCCGATTGGAACCAAAAAAGAATGACAAGAAAGATCAAATTTCCTAGGAAATGTATATACATGCTGATGGCATAAGGAGAGGCTCTTGCTGAGAAGGATGGGGAATGTGAGGGTTAATAAAACTGAAAAGCATTCAGTGGCTTGGTGAAGCTGAAGAGAGGAACCAGATTTAAAGGCAGAAAGTTGTGAATGTTGTGAATATGTCATTAAAAGAAAACAAAGAATAAACTTGAGCATGGTCCTGTTCATCACTCTGAGTTCCTGTGTTTTGAGGTCTTCCCCCAACTCTTCCCCAGCAACATAACCACTGAAGAGAAAAGGAGAAAGGGTAACTATAAGAAGAGTTTTCAATTCTTTTTCTGAATAAATTCCATAAAGTTAGACGCAAATATTTAGGACACTTGCTGATAAACATGAGATGTTATTTTATGAAGCACATATTCAGAAACTTTAAAGATAAATTGTTTCACAAGTATTTTGGAGAGAAAGTTTAGTGTATAATTTTGGTAGGCTACAAGTCAAAGTTTTCATGCTTTTAATCTTTAAAGATCCCCAAGGGGCACATGACCTCAGATTTCCAATCTCTTTAATGCTACAGACATTTTACAGGGATCAGAATTCCACAGAAAGAATGTACCTGTTGTGGGCAAAATACTGGCCACCTACAGAAGTCCATGCCCAAATCCCTGGAACCAGTGAATATGTTACCAAACATAGCAAAAGGAACTCTGTAGATGTGATTAAGTTGAGGAACTTCAGTTGGGGAGATTATCCTGGATTATTTAGGTGGGCTCAATGTGATCACTGGAATCCTTAAACCTAGATAACCTGTATCAGCTGGGGTTGGACAAAGAGAAATGATAACGGAAGGAGCTTCAGAGAGATGCTACATGGCTGGCTTTGAAGATGGAAGGAGGGGTTCCCAGCCTTAAAAAACTAGAAAAGGAAATAGATTTTTCCCTAAAGCCTCAAAAAGAAACAGCCCTGCAAGCGCCTTGATTTTGTCCCAGGGAGACCTGTGTTAGACTTCTGATCTGCAGAACTTAAGAAAAATTTGTGTTATTTTAAGCCACCACCTTCATGGTAATGTGTTACAGCAGCAATAGGAAAAATAATACAGTATCTGGTAAAAATACAAGACTGTCATGTTAATCTTAAACACCATCAACGGCTTAAAAAGGGAAATTGAGAAGATTAAAGCCTGAAACATACACATTGCATTAGCCTGTGATCTTATGTCCTGAGCATAAATCAACTTAACACAGAACTCTACGGTTACATTCTTCTAAACATCAATAAAAAAATCACAATTAGACAACTGGTTGTATATGGTAGTCTCCAGAACCTGCTACTCAGTGCTCACAAACTGCAAAGATTATTTTGACTATTAAACCAACAGAATCTTATCAGAGACCCATGTGGCAAATGGTCAGGAAGAAAGTCTGCAAAACACATGTGCAGTCTTAGTGACTGTTTCAATATAACTGGAGTTTTTTTTTTACATTCAGTATTCAAAATTTACATTCAGTGAAACAGAAATGTATATAAGTGAACCACTATAGCTACTGCTGAAGTGAAACCACATCTGGGTATTCTTGCATTAAAAAATAAATGATATTTTCAATTCCAAATTCTTGTGACACGATCTGAATTGTTTTCAAAGGTGTCTGCATAAGAACTTGAACAATGATCCTGGGTTGTCAACCACGAGCACATTTCTGGCAGAAGTCCTTAACAAAGCCAAGACAAACTGATGCAAACCTCTGTCATTGTTCCCAATGTTGGCATTGCTCGTTTCAAGCACAGACAAAAGTATAGCATGTGACACTAAGAATCTAATTTCTTTGGTATGGCAAAACTGATTTTTAAAAGTCACTTAATGGATAAAGCTGTATTTTTACTTTTAGGCTAATCAAAATATAAAACCCCAGATTTCATTAAAAATTTTTTCCCTTTACCCAAGGTTCCATTAAAGTTTGAAAACTGAGCTCCTTTGGTGCAATGCAAACATTTCAATTTAACAACTCTAAATTCCAATCTCACACCTTTAAAGAGCACATCTATCAAAGCATAGCCCACTTAAAGAATGACATGATTTGTTTGCCTCTTACATCCTTAGAGATGAAAAGCATCCCTATTATTAAGGGACTGCCTCAAGCCGTCTGAGCTAACCAGGTAATGCTTAAAGCAGGAAGAGAACTATACAGGCTAATTCAGAGGTACCATAATACTCTGCAACATAAAAGCTTGCTGATATTTCTGTTGACATTTCACACTCAAGGTGCTTTGGAAAGTATCACATCATTTGGCAAAAACATCATGTGGCTGAATCACAGATTAAATGGAAAGTCCTCATGCATGTTATTTGTATACAGACTGTGTTCCGAAGAGACATGTTTGGTTTAACATAAAAACAAGAAACAACAGTTTAATGTACAACTATATTTGCCTATATGCGGAGGTAACCTTAAATATCTTTGGTTTTTTTCTTTTTAATTTGCTGATAAAAAGTACTTGAATAAAAACACTGATAAATACCAATATAATTGTATTGCTTTTAATTATGTAAACTTAGCCCTTTGATATTTTTTGCTACTAAAGCTAGATTCTCTATCGGCCTCTAAATAAATTTATTTCAAATCTGCTCATCTTTACTTACTTACAGGCTAACCTATACATCTTAATGGTCTTTGGTATGAAAATACTGATGAGCAGTATCTTGTAATATTTGGCATAAAAATGACATGCAGGTATCAGTACTTACAGCAAATACATCTTTGGAAAAGAAAATAGTTACCATTTGCATATTAGCCCCTTTGAAGTACAATACCATGAAGTAATACCACTATGAAAAATGAGTGAAAATCTTCACATTTTAATTACAATTTCATACTTAAGACTTCAAAGAAGCTTGATTTGGTCAAGTAAAAAGAAGTCTTTGCTGTATTACTAAATATCTTATTCAATGAGACCAAAGTATTTATTTTTGGTAAAAAAAAAAAATTTTCTCTCCAACAAGTAGTTTCAACAATATAAAAATACTTTAATACTGTATAGTTGAAGATTTACTTGCTGAAGAAAAAACTATACCTGAAATTCTTTGGAACGATCTGCTGGTAAAGAAAGTATTACAACTTATTTTAAATGCTCTGGTAACAATAAGGTAGTTAACATTACTAATCTATTTAACTACAACAATCAATATAAACCCTATTGTTTTGGGTTAGTAACTACTTGTGTAAGTTTCATATCTATAAATGCTTCTAGTTAATTCAATTTGGGGGGAATTATAATCAAAATTTTATTTTCTACTGAAAATTCTTTGGTAACAGAATTATTATGAAAAAGTCCGTATAAGAACAAAATGAAAAGGTAAAAAATGTACTGTTAAATAATTATCAAATAGTTATAGCCTAAAGTTCTATTGTAACTATAAGCCTATTCATCAAAAACCAAACAAACAAAATACTTTCCTCAAGGACTTTAGCTCGTCTTTTTAGCCATTTAAAACCACTCGAATTCATGTAGTCCTAGACACATCTTCCATAACCATGATGGATGATGTTTCAGCTTTAGATTTTGTTTGCCTTTTAATGAAAGCTTAAAAATAAAATGATCTCACTGTACTTAATTTTAGATACTGATAAAAGTTGGCCCTATATACTTCTACTTACCAACCACAAAGCGCTATACCCTGTCAATCTGCCTATGCTTCCATGAGGCAGCTCAAAAGTAACAAAACGTTCCCTGAGTACAGGAAAAAAAATAACACTAGAATAACTTTAAAAGGAGGTAGTATAAAACAGGAGCTATAAAGGCAGGAGCAGCATTTTTCCTTGCTGCAGACTGTTCACCTAAAGCTCTGCTTTTTTGTTTGTTTTGCGATGAATTCCGTACTTAGATAACTAACTGGGGGACTCTGAGTTTAGTTCAGAAGTGGTTGCTGGCATTGAACTTTAGTCTTAATCACATCCAGTTTGGCACAAAATTACAGATTTAAAAAAATTAAAAATGTTATATCTACAGTCATTAGACTAGCAGATGATGCTGGGACTATTATCTGCTAATATTCCTTTGATTTTAGAACATCAGTGAACATGACCCTGCCTCCTCTAGGAACAAAGCATTTCAAGTGTAAACCCATTATGATTCCTTTTAAAATGAGAATCAAAAGTCACTTCCAGAAAATTTGAAAAAATACTTTTAAAAGGATATGGGACCCCTTCTCTACACGCGTTTAGTTCTTTATCCTCTCCCACTGCTCGGCACCTAGGTAACTGTCTCATGACGGAGAAAAGGCCTATGTTATGTAGCTGAGTAAACAATTTGCTGATTTCAAACCTGCAAGAGGATTAACTCACTCCTGGAGTTAGCATTCCTCATTCACAGCACTGACACTGAAGGAAGATTAAGTAGATACCATATTCTCTAAAGAATTCAAGAAAACACAAGTAGGGTGGTAGAACTCTGAATATTTATCCCTAAACAAAACCTGCACTTAAAAAAAATGCCTTGGTAAGATACTATACATCAAAATAGTTACTGATAAAATCCAAGAAACTCTTAAGGCAACTTTTTGTACTCCTGTTCCTAAACAATTTCATGAATATTAAAAAGGTATAAGGCAAAGAATTTCATTATACTGAAAGGCACTGTTACCATAATAACTTCGAGTTCATTTTACTGTCTACTGTTGCATTTACCTTCATTCTTAATAGTTCATGAAATGTCTTCACTCCTTTAAGCCAAACTGGGATTTAAAAAAAGAAAAAAAACCACCTTAACCCATTTTCTTTAAAAATCCATATTCTGCATGGGGTTTTGCAACTAATACTGGCAAAGTTGAGGATGCTTTGCAAACTAGACAGTGCAGCCTTTGGCCAACCGTCAGGCAAAGGGGAAGGTAGAAAAGGCACAGTTCTGGGCAGCTTGAGGTTTGGGATATAGGAGATAAAGCACTCAGACTCTAATGCCCAAAACATAAAGGCCTTTTAAGCAAAATGATCCCTACCTGGTATTGAATAGTTCTGTTCTCAAAAGAAATATACTTTCTTGTTTTGGTCATCGTTAGAAGAAATAGCCCCACTTTTCCTCTTCTCAGTGGTTTAACGGTCCTCACAGCCAGAGGTATGAACTTATCCAAACCATGCAGATGTCATAGTTTCTTTTTTTAAAAAAATCAGAGCTTCAGATAAACATTCTTACTCATCTACCTATATGACTCCTTTGATCACACACATTACACGTACAGCAATGAAAACACAATACTACTAGGAAGTATCATTGGTTATGTAGCTGAGATAAACTATAACAACAAATGAGGTAACAAAGTTGTCTTCAGAGTTTGCCGGGAGGCAAACTGAGGTAGATAGTCAGCAAAGGGGCTTTCAAAAGTCTTCCCTTTGCTCCAGTGATATATTTTATAATCCAGTCAAACATCTCGACCGTTCTTTCACATTGCTGACAATGAAACATTCAAATTACACAAGTTTAAAAATAAAAAACAAAACACATTCAAAAAAAGCTAAAATACCCCATAAAGATATTAAGATTTTCACAAAAGGCTTTGGTTCCCTGTTCATTGTCCTTCGAACAGATTTAATGGTGAGAATACCTGAGCATGGCCGTCTAGATTGGAAAATCATTTTTATCAAAGCATAGCATGGCAGATGGCGGCTGCAGAACTAAGGAGGAAGTCTGCTCACTAACAGATGACACAGCAGGGTCTTCACACTTCCTCAATGCGGAATCTCCACCTGAATCACTGCCAGTGAAAGAATCAGAGGTTGGGGGGTGTGGTACTTATAACTGAGGACAGATGTATCTCATCGTTGGACTCATGAGAAAACCGCCCAGAATCCCCAGTCTCATGGCTGCCTTCACTATTTGCTGAATGTTCTGTATCAGCTGCAACACCAAAGGGTCTTGAGAAGCTGGTTGTCTGACCTGGGGAGCTAGGGGAGTCTTCATCACTGATTAATACAGTGGTGCCTGGCTGGTAAAAGCAGACCGCTGGAGTAAATCTTCTTTGAGGCTAGGCAAAAAAAGATAAGATGGCAATGAGATACCAGACTGATCGAATCCACGAGCAAAAGCTCATCAGGTCCCCACAGACAGGTGGGAGCACATCAGAATTACCCGTGGCAAGCGAAGTGTCAAAAGCTTCTTCAGTGCTTCTGATGCACGCTCCTGCTCCTATCCCTTACCTCACTGACCCTACTCCCCACTGAAAACCACAGCTCTGATGACTATTCCAACTTCTGTTATCATTCACCTCGCTCTCCACAGAGCCATGCCCCAAATTAATAAAATCACAGCCATGAAGAACACAGAAAATTAAAATAAAGCATGAATTCACATTTTCCTCTTTTTAAATCATCATTTCATATATCACGCATTGCCAAAAATTTTTCTCATTTAGATAGGTTACCTGCTCAACTTGTATCTTCTTTGAGTCTTGGAAAAAAAACCACTTTTTCTTAGAGTTGTTTTTAATTATAGGACCATAGCTATTAATTATCAGGTCAGTTCCTCCCTGAGGAAATAAAAGAGGGGAAATGTAAAATATCCTGGTATCACAGATTTCACTTTATCACAAGTAGTGCATACTTTAACTTTTACTATATGCTTCACATTTCCCTTTTCATTTTTATTTTATTTTAGATTCAGGGAGTACATGTGCATGTTTGTTACATGAGTGGGGTACATATTGTGTGGTAGTGGGGACTGGGCTTCTAATGTACTCATTACCCAAATAGTAAGCATTAGTACACAAAATGCTTAAATGTTAACAAAAATGATCATAGATGTGATCATTTCTTCTTTAAAACAGGCAGTACGGCTGGGCACAGTGACTCACACCTGTAACCCCAGCACTTTGGGAGGGCAAGGTGGGTGGATCATGAGGTCAGGAATTCAAGGCCAGCCTGGCCAAGATGGTGAAACCCCGTCTCTACTAAAAATACAAAAATTAGCCAGGCGTGGTGGCAGGCGCCTGTAATCCCAGCTCCTCAGGAGGCTGAGGCAGAGAACTGCTTGAACCCAGGAGGGAGAGGTTGCAGTGAGCTGAGATCAAGCCACTGCACTCCAGCCTGGGCAACAGAGCAAGGCTCCGTCTCAAAAAAAACAAAACAAAACAAAATAGGCCAGGTACGGTGGCTCACGCCTGTAATCCCAGTACTTTGAGAGGCTGAGGCGGGCGGATCATGAGGTCAGGAGATCTAGACCATCCTGGCTAACACAGTGAAATCCCGTCTCTACTAAAAATACAAAAAAAATTAGCTGGGCATGGTAGCGTGCGCTTCTAGTTCCAGCTGCTGGGGAGGCTGAGGCAGGAGAATGGTGTGAACCCGGGGCCGAGATCGCGCCACTGCACTCCAGCCTGGGTAACATAGCAAGACTCTGTCTCAAAAAAACAAAACAAGACAAAACAAAACAAACAAACACAAAACAGGTAGTACAACATAGTCAAGGTATTTGTTAGTGGTCAAAACAATATAATAGGTTTATTTTTAAGCTTATACATAAAATATATATTCCAAAACACATTAAGATACATATATATGTGCTATATATTCCAAAACTTATTTTCAAATGGTATAGCAAGCAAAAAGTATATAAAGATACAAAACTATGATATTAACAATTATTAATTTGTATATTCAGTACATTATTCTCTCAACTTTTCTGTATGTTTGAAAATTTTAAAAAGCAGATGAGGATAAACAAACCATAATGAACCCACATATGATCAACAAAATGACATTAGATGGAGTATCAACTCTAGGGCTAACCCAAGGGAATTAAGAGAGATACTCTCCAAATGTGTCTCTCTCCTTCACTTCAGGCCTCTACCTCTCTGCTCCTTTCACTTTAGTTTCTTTTTTTCCCTACATCATCCTCCCCACTCTGCTTCTCTCCTAACCTCTCTCATATCTACTTCCAAACTAGTAATAATACAATCACAGTTACATATTAGTACTTGTTTTTTTTTTTTTTTTTTTGAGACAGAGTCTCGTTCTTGTTGCCCAGGCTGGAGAATATGGCGCGATCTCGGCTCATTGCAACCTCTGCCACCTGGGTTCAAGCAACTCTCCTGCCTCAGCCTCCCGAGTAGCTGGGATTACAGGCATGCATCATCACACCCAGCTAATTTTTTTTTTTTTTTTTTTGAGACAGTCTCGCTCTGTCACCCAGGTTGGATTGTAGTGGTGCAATCTCAGCTCACTGCAAGCTCTGCCTCCCGGGTTCACACCATTCTTCTGCCTCAGTCTCCCAAGTAGCTGGGACTACAGGCGCCTACTACCATGACCGGCTAATTTTTTTTTTTTTTAAATTTTTAGTAGAGACGGGGTTTCACCATGTTAGCTAGGATGGTCTCGATCTCCTGACCTCGTGATCCGCCCGCCTTGGTCTCCCAAAGCGCTGGGATTACAGGCGTGAGCCACCGCGCCCGGCCACACCTGGCTAATTTTTGTATTTTTAGTAGAGCTGGGGTTTCTCCATGTTGGTCAGGCTGGTCTCGAACTCCCGACCTCAGGTGATACACCCACCTTGGCCTCCCAAAGTGCTGGAATTACAGGCGTGAACCACCGCACTTGGCCTGTATCAGTACTTTTTAAGCTCATTTAAAAGTTTTAGGTTCTAATGTTTTAGATCAATTTGAAATAAGTTGAATGGCTTAATTTGTATTGAAAAGTAAAACCTAAATTAGGCTGCAAACAAAAAAAAGAGAAATAGCAAATATTCATTTATTCATATTTACCTATAATATGTATTGTATACAATGCTGTACTAGATACAAGTAAATTACATCTGTTGAATATAATTCATAAAATTTAGTATCAAAACTGCCTGAAATTTTGTTATACTTCTGTTATTCTAAATTTTAGGAAAGGATAAAGGAAAAATAATTTATAACAGGGTTTGGCAAACTTTTTCTGTAGAGGGCCAGATCGTAACTATTTTAGGCTTTGCAGGCCACATATGGCCTGTGTCCTATCATCATCATCTTGGATTTTTTTTTGTAAACAACCTTTAAAAATGTAAAAAACAGCTGGGCACGGTGGCTCACACCTGTAATCCCAGCACTTTGGGAGGCCAAGGCGGGCAGATCATCTGAGGTCAGTAGTTCGAGACCAGCCTGACCAACACGGTGAAACCCCATCTCTACTAAAAATACAAAATTAGTCAGGCATGGTGGCGCACGCCTGTAATCCCGGCTACTCGGGAGGCTGAGGCAGGAGAATCGCTCGAACCGGGAGGTGGAGGTCACAGTGAGCCGAGATCGTACCACTGCACTCCAGCCTGGGCAACAAGACTGAAACTCCATCTTAAAAAAAAAGTAAAAAACAGTCTTAGCTCAGAAGGTAGCCAAACAAAAACAGGCCCCAGGCTAGCCTGGGTGGGACTGTTTGCTGACAACTGATTTATAGCACATTGGTTGTGGGAGCTATTCCAATAACGTACAGTATCTAAAGTTGTAATGTGACTAAAAATAATTTTAAAAGTTATTGTTCACAATGCTTACAACAGCACTATTATTATATATACTGGAAAGGACATGAAGTAACTTCTTCCAATGGTGTTTCTGTACAACTTTCTTCAGCCATAAAACGAAGGATCTTGAGGCACCTATTTAGATGCTCCATATTTTTAAAAATGGCATTCATACTTGGGATGTTCTGATAAGCAATTAAGTTCAACAATCAGCCAAACTAAGTCAAATGGATTAACAAAAAGGTGACCACCCAGTAAATACAGGTCAGTCCAAATTATAGTAAATATAGACTAATGACCATGGTGTCCTTGGTTAAAACAACTTCACTCCATATAATCTCATCTAACTGAGATTATATGTTGGAATATAATATAAATGAGATTATATTATATGCTATATATTATGGCATCTTTCTCACCTTTTATCTATCCTCACCTTTTTCCCCCTAAATATTTTATGTAAGGAATGATCTCGGTAAAATTTCAATATTTCATTAATAAGAGTATTGGTATAATACATTCAACATACAATTTTGGGGGAAGTACATTTTACACACACAGGGAGGAGGAATGGAAGAACGGCTTATGCAGCAAATCCCGCAGCTCAGTACCTTTGCATCAATGAAGCTGTTTGGCATGATCATTGGCATTAAAGATTCTTCATTTCCTACAGCTCCTTCCAGGTTCTTTCCTACCTCATTTCCACTAGCTAAGGAGGCACTGGTACGAGGTAACTGTTGAGTTCCATTCTGTGCCGTCTTGGAAGCAGATGATTTCCTAAAACATTGGCAAGAAGAGGAAGTCTTCTAATTTCATAGAAGATGCAGGCAAATGAACCACCTGGCCTATCAACAAAACTTTGTAAGCAATGCAGTTCTTTAATACCCATTTCTCAAATATTTTTAGAATCGAGTGTTAGATTTTAACTTACTGCTGCAAACTTTTATTATTTGAAGAGGCATCTTTATTTCTTTTTGCCTCGCTGTCTACTTCATCTAAAATTACTCTCTACAAGTATTGTTGCTTATTCATAATTTGTGCAGAAATTACAATTTTTAACTTCTATTTTCCCCTTAAGGTCTGAGGATTATTACACTAGCATAACAATTCACTTTCCAATTAATGATGGTAAATTTAGAGTAGTACTTCAAGATTTAGGCAGTAATAAATGTGCATAAATGTGCATAAATATTTTATTAAAAAATTCTTAAAGTGAGAAACTTGGACAATAAAACTAAGGCAATTCAATACACACAAAAATGTTAGAACTATTTCATTAACATAATGTTTTGAGTAGTATGTTTCCATGTAGAGCTACAAAACATATAAACTGAAAAATCTATGCTAATGGAGGGAGTCTAATGACGGGGATTACCTAAAACAACGTGTATTTGACGTTGATTTTTTTTTAATTCAAAAAAATAGCCTTAATAAATGAAAACAAAACCCAAAATATAAAAGGCTAAAAATAGACAAGTTCACTGAATGCAAGTTACTGCTAAAAATTTAGCCAAAGTCAATCCATAGATGAGATTGCATGACAGAGTTTATAGACACTCAATCCATGTTTATTACATTTGTTTTAACCCTTGTCTAGAGAATCCCACCATATGTCCCGTGGTGTTCTCAGCGACTCAGGCATTTCAGGCACTGTTACTGAAACAGAAAATATTCCAGATAGTAAGAAAAAGCAATCTTCTTGTAAACATGATTAATTGTGTTTTCTTTTTTTTTTTTTAGACAGGATCTCTCACTCTGCTGCCCAGGGTGGAGTGCAGTGCTACGATCATAGCTCACTGTAACCTCAAACTCCTGAGCTCAAATGATCTTCCCACCTGAACCTCCTAAGCAGCTACGACTACAGTCACATGCCCACTATGCTCAGCTAATTTTAACTTTTTTTTTTTTTTTGAGATGGAGTATTGCTCTGTCGCCCAGGCTGGAGTGCAGTGGCACGATCTCGGCTCACTGCAAGCTCCCCCTCCCGGGTTCATGCCATTCTCCTGCCTCAGCCTCCCGAGTAGCTGGGATTATAGGCGCCTACCACCACACCCAGCTAATTTTGTATTTTTAGTAGAGACAGGATTTCTCCATGTTGGTCAGGCTGGTCTTGAACTCCCGACCTCAGGTGATCCGCTCACCTCGGCCTCCCCAAGTGCTGGGATTACAGGCGTGAACCATTGCACCCGGCCTAACATTTTTTGTAGAGATAAGATCTCACTATGTTGCTTAGGCTGGTCTGAAACTCCTGGCCTCAAGGGATCCTCCCACCTTGACTTCCCAAAGGTCTGGGATTACCAAGGTGTGATACCACCATGCCTGCACAAGTGTGCCATTATTATTATTTTTAAACCAAAGGATATTCTTTCTGTTTCTCAAAATACTAAGAAAATGAGGATACTAGGCCGGGCGCGGTGGCTCACGCCTGTAATTGCAGTACTTTGGGAGGCCAAGGTGGGCAGACCATTTAAGGTCAGGAGTTCAAGACCAGCCTGGCCAACATGGTGAAATCTACTAAGAATATAAAAATTAGCCAGGCGTGGTGGCAGGCGCTTGTAATGCCAGCTACTTGGGAGGCTGCAGCAGGAGAATGGCTTGAACCCAAAAGGTGAAGGTTGCAGTGAGCTGAGACTGTGCTACTGCACTCCAGCCTGGGCGACAGAATGAGACTTTGTCTCAAAAAAAAAAAAAAGGACACTAGTCCTCATTTAAGAATATTGGCATTAGCATTGGCTGGGAGCAGTGGCTGATACCTGTAATCTCAGCACTTTGGGAGGATGAGGCGGGCAGATCACAGATCACGAGGTCAGGAGATCAAGACCATCCTGGCTAACACGGTGAAACCCCATCTCTACTAAAAATACAAAAAAAAAAAAAATTAGCTGGGCGTGGTGGCGGGCGCCTGGAGTCCCAGCTACTCGAGAGACTGAGGCAGGAGAATGGCATGAACCTAAGAGGTGATGCTTGCAGTGAGCCGAGATTGCACCACTGCACTCCAGCCTGGGCGACAGTGTGAGACTCCGTCTCAAAAAAATAAAAGAAAAGAAAAAAGAAAAAAAAAGAATATTGGCATAATGTTTTCAAACAGCAAGAAAATAATCTCCCTCTAAAATGAGCACATTTCTATAGCTGTAAGAACTCAGGGAACAATACTGCACATTTATTTTAAAGTAGGAAATCCCAGTTACTCTAAAAGGCACTTGACTTTCATTTGTTTCCTGTGGCTACCGTAATTTAAATGTTTTTCACCTCAACATCTCTAGCAATGGAAACACACCTGGCTTTACTTCGGTATATCAAGATGAGAACACAGATGAGGATGCAGGTCAAGGCTATGCCAACACCTACAGCAATGCCAGTCATTGATTTTTGGTCCAGATGGTAATATCCTGAATAAACTAGAAGGGAAAACACATTTACTCAGAATCAATCAGAAAAATAAATTATTTAATTTATAATTCTCAGGTACTTGCTTTTCCAAAATTTTTCTTTATCTCATAGGAAAAGTTTTGACATTGTCAACATCAAAGCAGAAAGGACACACAGTAATCTTTAATCAGTGATTTCAGAGACAGATTTCTCTTCCAATATTAAAGTTTTTTTTTTTTTTTTTGAGACGGAGTCTCGCTCTGTTGCCCAGGCTAGTGCAGTGGCGCAATCTCAGCTCACTGCAAGCTCCAACTCCCGGGTTCCTGCCATTCTCCTGCCTCAGCCTCCCGAGTAGCTGGGACTACAGGCACCCACCACCAACGCCCAGCTAAGTTTTTTTTTTTTTTTTTTTTTGTATTTTTAGTAGAGTCGGGGTTTCACCGTGTTAGCCAGGATGGTCTCGATCTCCTGACCTCGTGATCCGCTTGCCTCGGCCTCCCAAAGTGCTGGGATTACAGGCGTGAGCCACCACGCCCGGCCCAATATTAAAGATTTTAAATGAGTTTTAGATATATTATTATAGCAATCATGAACATCAATTCATAATTTATAAAACAGGTACAAAACATAGATGTTCCTTGATAGACCCAAGAACAGATTTTATGTCATGCCTTAAAAGCAGATCTGCATGTTGAAGATTAGTTTTCCATTTACATACACTAAAGCAGGGCTTCTCAAACTTTCATGTGCCTGTGAGTCACTAGGGATTATGTGGAAATGCCGACTCTGACTCACTAAGTCTGGGGTGGGGCATGTGATTCTGCGAGTCTACGGAGCTCTCAGGTGATGCCATGCTGCTGGGCTCTAGACTACTTTGAGTGGCAAGGTATTTGAGAAGCCAATATGAGCCTTGCTTTCCATTTCCCCTGATAACACGGTGGCTACGATGGCTACCTCCTTCCTGTTCTTAAAACTGACTGCCCTGTCCTGCTCTTTTCCTCTCTCATTCTCTTTCTAACACACACACATCCCTGGCACCGAATGACCATTCTCTGTGAAGCTACGAGCCCTTAATCCTGCCCTGAGTTCAGCTGGCATTTCCTCCATTTAGAGCAGCCCCTCTTCTCCACAAGCCTACTCCCCCAGAGAGGAGGCAAAGGCAGTGTCCAGTCCTGTGCTACAGGGGGCACCAGCTTTCTTGAGAACACATGGACAGCTGTGATGAGTAGTGTAAGGGTAGCTCTTTAAAGATATTTTTTCCAATTGCTTTTCTGGAGACAGAGAGGGAAAAAAAAAAAAAAAACTTTCTCTCCAGAAAAGCTGTTTCTCTGTGGTGAAAACTCTTAATGAAAACCATGCTCTCTTCTTAACTTGAACACCACAACCACCACTGCTGTTTATTTCTGTGAAACCTCTCAGGAAGCCCACTCCTACCAGTTCATGGCTGATGTGGCTCCTCTGTCTTGGTGGATGCACAGCTGGGAGAAGAAGTAACTGGAAACAGTGATTTCAAAACTGCAGTTGATTCTGAGATAATTTTGCCTCCTTCTAGGAGTATGAGGAAAAGCCATGCAACTCTATAACATCAGAAGCTCATCAGCAACAACTTACGGAACTGAGAGCCGGTTTAGGGATACAGCAATTGTAGGAGCAGAAATAATGTGTAAGGAAGAACACTTTTTTTCTTAAGAAAAATCACAGTGACTACGGCAGTATACAGACCTTTGGCATCAGCAGAATCTAAACGCTTGGGCCTCTGATTTGATTCAGAGGTTTCCTTTGGAAGTACTGCCAGCTCCACAGAATTTGAAAAGGGTCCTTCTCCCACCTCATTGGATGCAGATATCTTGACAATGTACACATTTCCTGCTACCAAGTTTTCTAGCAAAGCCATGGTTATTGCCCCTAGAAATACATCAATTACAAATTAAGTGAACATTTATCTTTTATTCTTTCACTCATATTATACAAACACGTTCCTTTATTTTTAAAAATATTTTTCTGATTATAAAGATGACACATATTGTAGAACATTTAGAAAATAAAAATATAAATAAAATTACAATCTTTCATTGTTAACATTGTAGTGTATTTTGTGTGTGCATACGTGAATATTTGTGAATATATATTTACTGCATGAATTTTTATATATTAGAGTTTTCACTTAACATTGTAGTATGTACATTTCCCCAATATAATCCTTTTCTGTAATTCTATTTTAGGAGTTCTTAAAAACAGTACACATTTTTGTTTGGCTTTGTATATATATATATATATGTGTGTGTGTGTGTGTGTGTGTGTGTGTGTGTGTGTGTGTGTGTGTGTGTGTGTGTGTGTAATGTTTTACTCTTTACATAGATATGAATACAAACAGAATTTAGGACATTTTATTATGGAACATTTGAAACATGCACACGAAAATAATGGTATAATGAACCCAGATTCAATAATTATACTCTTATTTTTTAGAGACAGGGTCTTGCTACATGGCCCAGACTGGACTGGAACTCCTGGGCTCCCCAGTAGTTGGGACTACGGGCCCACTCCACTGTGCCAAGCTTTCAATGATTATAATTGGATTTTTAAAAATCCAATGCAAGAATCTTTTTTTAATTGGGAGTGTTTATGGTAATAGCTGTGACAGGTAATCCTGTTCTTCCTACCTAAATTAGAACAACATGATTATTTTTGAAAGCATGAATATATTTTTACTGGTCTAATTTTTTTTTTTTTTTTTGAGATGGAGTCTTGCTCTGTCGCCAGGCTGGAGTGCAGTGGCATGATCATGGCTCACTATAACCTCCACCTCCTGGGTTCAAGCAATTCTCCTGCCTCACCCACCTGAGTAGCTGGGACTACAGGCACCCACCACCACACCAGGTTAATTTTTTTTTTTTTTTTTTTTGAGACGGAGTCTCACTCTGTCGCCCAGGCTAGAGTGCAGCGGCACGATCTTGGCTCACTGTCAGCTCCGCCGCCCAGGTTCACGCCATTCTCCCGCCTCAGCCTCCTGAGTAGCTGGGACTATAGGCGCCCGCCACCATGCCTGGCTAATTTTTTATATTTTTAGTAGAGACAGGGTTTCACCGTGTTAGCCAGGATGGTCTCGATCTCCTGCCCTCGTGATCTGCCCGCCTCGGCCTCCCAAAGTGATGGGATTACAGGCATGAGCCACCACGCCCGGCCAATTCTTTTGTATTTTTAATAGAGATGGGATTTCACCATGTTGGCCAGGCTGGTTTTGAACTCCTGACCTCAAGTAATCTGCCCACCTCGGCCTCCCAAAGTACGAGGATTACAGGTGTGAGTCACCGCACCCAGCCTGGCCTAATTATTGTCACAGATTCAAGATAAACAGGGAAGAAAATGCACAGTTACGCAGGAACCTCAGAGTACTGAAGACAGGTCTCAGATTAAACTATCAAAATCACCACCAGCAATCTGTGTAAGATCTACTTCTCTTCATAAGCAATTATCATTTGAATTTATACATGACATTTGATATCTAAAGGTATTTTCTCTGTTGCATGACTGATAAGAAAGATTCCTATTTGGACACTGCCATTTCTTAGGTGTCTTTCTGTCCTTGTTCTGCCACTGCACCAAAGTATTTCCCTTACAAAAAAATTCCTACCCTAGGAATTAATTCTAGTGCTAAAAGTGTAATAGAAATTCAACCAGAAAGTTGTTTCAGCACTATGTTTGTGGGTGGATATGCACAGGGAAATCTAGCTTTCCTGTGCTGATTTCATCTCATTTTTTCCTGACTCAGGGCAACCTTACAATAGCTTCAAAGAGTTTACAATAGTTTGTGACAGTTGCCTCCTGGCCAAAGGTACCTACTCCAGTGCACTTGCTGGAATATATTTCATTAGGCAAATGAAACATGGGGTGATCATAAAGCTGAGGTCATGAGACGGAGGCCATCTCTGCAGGTCACACGGTGTGAGGCAGCCAAACCTCCAGCAGCGATGCCAGGAGCCAGAACACAACTTGTTTTCATGTTCTCTGGTTTCAGCTTGGCCTGAAGAGAGTGTGAGCTACTTGAGTACACAACTGTTCAATAAACAAAGTGACCCCTATTTAGAATCAGGAAGAGTCTTTCCACTGTTGCTATGTTTTTAGGCAGAGGAATTAAAAAAACAAAGATGTATTGTGACATGTTACACTTAGCTGAAAGGAAGAACATTTCCATGTCTTCACAAACAGATATAAATAAATTGAGTTTCCATTTTATGGTAAAATGCATTTAATTTTAAAAAGTACTTGGCAAAAACTAATCACTACCAGAAACTAAGTCTTTTCACTTAATTTGTTTTATACAAGGACCAGCAGTACATGTGTGCACGCATTCCCCTTTTCCCCCAAAAAGTATCTTCATTTAGAAAAAAGGGAAACTATAACATTCTGGTTCCCCTATGAGGACACTCAAAGCATTTCACAAATACTGAAGTGATCTCAGTGATCTGTCTATATTCTCTCAACAGACTTCTCAATCTTAATTAGTGTGATTATTTCCGTCTCCTGCCTTTTATATGTGTCTGAATCTTCAGTCAGACTAGGAATCTTACAAGCAAGACAGTATAACAGGCTAATTCACATCAGTGCTGGTCAAATCTCGTCATGTAACCAAGCGAGCAATTTCTAACTTGGGGCACGTTACTGAACTGTACTTTCCTCACGGAGACAATAGTTCCCACCTTATATAATTATTATAAGGATTAAATAAACTATTATTGGCAAGTATCTGACACAAGTGTAAATAAAAGTGAGTTTTCTTCCTTTACCTCCGACTCCTCTTCTTCCTCTTTTGGAAGACAGAAAACTTTTTTTCATATTTGGACCATAGTGTCCATTCAAATTATAAAAGCAAAAGATTTTGGGGTTGGAGAAGTGCCCCAGGATACAATCTCAGATTTTTCTCTCTTCTGTCCACATGCTTATGTGATTTTTTTTCCAGATCCACAGCCTTAAACATCACCTATACATTGATAACTAGATATATCTATAGTCCAAAACTCTCCCATAAACTTAATCAGCCTCTGCTTAATCAGCCTCTCTGCATGGACAGCTAAGACACATCTCAAATTTCACACTTTCAAAACCAAACCCTTGATTTCTCCCAGTGATCTGGCTTCTGTTTTTTCTGATGCCCCACATCAATCTACAAGCATATCTGACTGGCTTTTTTTTCTACTTATGTTCCAACAGCTTATTACTTTCACCATTACCACTCCTGTCCAAGCCCTCATCAACTCTCACATGGACACCTGCCTATGAAATGGTCTCCTAGCTTCCACTCTTACCTCCTTACAATCTACTTCTCAGGTGGCTGCCAAAGCAATCCTTTCTCAACGTAAACCTAATCAAAGGTCTCCAATACCTTCCTCTCTCTTAGAATAAAATCTATGGCTCATGAAATCTGGTCTACATCTGCCCTTAGTTACCTCCCTACTTCATTTCTTACTGCCTGCTCTTCCCCTCACTCCAATCTCCTTGGCCTTCTTGCTGTTCCTCTAACATGCCAATGCACACTTCTGCCTCAGGGCCTTTGCACCTCCCCCAGATATCCACAGGGTTATGTTTGAATGTCATTTCTTCCGCAGGAACTCTTTTACTATCTCTATCACTTTGTCTCTTTTCCCTATTGTAACTGTCTTTATAGCATTTATGACACTACTTGAAAATGTATATATTTGTTGGTTTGTTACCTGTGATACAAGCTCCAGTGGAGGTAGGGACTTTGTTTTGGTCACTGCGGTACTGCCAGTGCCTAGAATAGAGCCTGGCACATAGTCATCACTCAGTAAGAATTAGTTTAGTAAAAGAAAATGTTCCTACTATTGGTGGTCCAATTCATTTGGCAAATGTTGAGTTAAATGGATTCCTTTATTACAAGATTGCTAATTTCCAGTGTGAATCTCTAACAAGAGGAAAGGTATATGGTATTCCTCCAACTTATTTAACCATGATGAAAATTTTTTGAAAGAGGGGCATCTTTATGATATCAGTAAACTCATAAAGGACAGAATTCATGAATTGCTGAGACAGAACATAATTTCCTCCAGTGCTTTTTAGATTTAAAAAGAATTGAGCAGTTTGTGCTGATTTACTGCATATGAGGAGGGTAAAGGCCTGTAATCTTTTTTTTTTAATACTGAGTGCAGTGGCACGATCTCGGCTCACTGCAACTGCTGTCTCCTGAGTTCAAGCGATTCTCCTGCCTCAGCCTCCCGAGTAGCTGGGACTACAGGTGCATGCCACCACGCCCTATAATTTTTTATTTACTTTAAATTACATACAAGTATAATTTCATATGATGTTTCTGCTCAACTATTGTACTACCATGTACCATTTTAGCCACAAGTATTATATGCTCACCAGAAACATTTTTAAATGTTTTGATTCACAAAAACTACCTTGTTCCATTTGTATTAAAATATGTGGATTAAATATATATGTAAATATGTATAAACCTAATGAGAAACTGACACTCTCCCTATTCTTTTTTCCTTCATCTTTTTCTATACCGTACCTTTTCCAAAAGCTGCCATAATTATACATAAAAGACATTTTAATTTTTCTTTAAATGCCATGTTATATTCCTTGCTTTTTGTTTAAATGTGAGTCAAACTGTTTTTCTCTCTCAGAAAAGTAAACTCAGTTGCTTTTTACTGATTTATTTGTTCTCTATGAATCATTGGCCTTAGCTACGAAAAAAGTTCTCTGCATTTAACAAATGACAAAAGCTTTTCACAAATGTTTCTTAAAACCACAACAACTAAGAGAATATTTTTCCTGTGCACTATTATATAGCTAGAAAGGCTTATACAGATGTAAAAATCTGTAACTGTAATCCCTTTCACTACTGAGCCATCAATGAGACAAAATACTATTTTCTGAGCTCTGTTCCAAAATTACAAATGAATACATTTAAAAGGAGCCAGAACAAAATATACATTGCTTTTTTTTTTTTTTTTTTTTTGAGATGGTGTTTCACTCTTGTTGACCAGGCTGGAGTGCAATGGCATTATCTCGGTTCACCACAACCTCTGTCTCCTGGGTTCAAGTGATTCTCCTGCCTCAGCCTACCTAGTAGCTGGGATTACAGGCGCCTGCCACCACGCCTGGCTAATTTTTTATATTTTTAGTAGAGATGAGGTTTCACTATGTTGGCCAGGCTGGTCTCCAACTCCTGACCTCAGGGGATCCACCTGCCTCAGCCTCCAAACTGCTGGGATTACAGGCGTGAGCCACTGCACCTGGCTCTATACTGCTTCTTTTTAGGCAGGTGCAAATGAAGAACTAAAAGAAGTATGTGTTCATGCTATCAAAATTCTTTATTAATACTTACAACACCTCATTAAATCAGGTTAGTTATTTGGTTAAGTGCTGTGTCAATAAATCATTTTGGACTTGAATGACTGAAACTAAATTATACATTTTAAGAAAACTGTGAGGCCAGGCATGGTGGCTCATGCCTGTAATCCTAGCACTTTGGGAGGCTGAGGTGGGCAGATTGCCTGAGCTCAGGAGTTCGAGACCAGCCTGGGCAACACAGTGAAACACCCGTCTCTACTAAAATACAAAAAATTAGCCAGGCATGATGGCGTGTGCCTGTAGTCCCAGCTACTCGGGAGGCTGAGGCAGGAGAATGACTTGAACCCAGGAGGAAGAGGTTACAGTGAGCCAAGATCCACTGTACTCCAGCCTGGGCAACAGAGCGAGACTCCGTCTCCAAAAAAAAAAAAGAATACTGTGGTAGACTGTAATACTGAGGGCCCCAGTGAATTACACCCGCATCGATTCACACCCCTGTAGCCCTCCCAACACTGGTTTCAGACTTGGCCATGTAGCTTACTCTGCCCAATCAGACATTAGCGAATGTGAAGCAAGCAGAGGCTTGTGAAAGCTTTGTATGTGGGGCTTCCTCTCTTCTCTTCCTGACTGGGGAGCCCTCTGTTGTTGGTTCTGGGTGTGTGTGTGTGTGTGTGTGTGTGTGTGTTTTTTGAGACAGAGTCTCACTCTATCACCCAGGCTGAAGTGCTGTGGCACAGTCTCAGCTCACTGCAACCTCTGCCTCCCTGGTTCAAGCAATTCTCCTGTCTCAGCCTCCCGAGTAGTTGGGCCTACAAGCATGTGCCACCATGCCTGCCTAATTTTTGTATTTTTAGTAGAGACAGGGTTTCACCATATTGGTCAGGCTGGTCTTGAACTTCTGACCTCGTGATCCGTCTGCCTCAGCCTCCCAAAGTGCTGGGATTACAGGCATGAGCCACTGCGCCCAGCCTCTGTCTTGCCGTTTTTAGACTACTCAGAGCCTATCAAAACTGTAATATGGCTGCAGCCTCGTGAGAGACCAACAGAACTGCCAAGCTGATTTCAGTCCAAATTGTTGACTCAAAGAATTGTGAGAAAACAAAATGGTTATTTTAAGTTGTAAATTAGTTTGTTAGGCAGCAATAGATAACCGATATAAACATAAAATCATATTGCTGCCAAATACTTAGTACTTTCAAGTCCCTTCAGTGACCAGGAAATCATTACTTAGTGGGGCTTCCGCTTAATGAAAAATACGAACATGCAACGATCAAAACTCCAGGTAAAGTCATCATCTGCTTATTTTAAAACTCATAAGAGTTTTATATTACATGAACATAAATATCTTTTAAATTTATCTTCTTAATTGGGTAAATATTCCTCTTGAAAAGTACAATGTATGTGGGAGTGCCTAGTACTGTACAGTGTATAGAATATAGTGTATAGGTGGCCACTACATTTCCTGCCTGAAATTCTTCTTCAGCTTTTTATTGGTTGGCAAACTACTCTCTTCTCAGAATATATGTCTAAATTAAGGAAGTGCCAAAATAATGAAGTTTTACTATTTATGTGATGGCCCATCTAAAATCTGGCAAATGTGACTTGTCCAACTTAAAGATTCAAGATTTAGGCTGGGCGTGGTGGTGTGCATGCCTGTAATCCCAGCTACTCAGGAGGCTGAGATTCTGTCTTAAAAAAAAAAAAATGCAAGATTTAGAAAAGGATATGATAAAAGTATGCAGTAAGAAACCTAAAAACTTTGTAATTCAGTTTTTCTCAACTAAAAAAAAATTACTCTTTAAAAAATTAAATTCCGTGTTCTTAAGCCCTAATCAGCTTTTCCCTGTATTTAAGAGGACTCTAATATTCATACGGGTCAATTTTTTTTTTCATATGTGGACCATTTTAGTCCCTTTAGCACTACTAAGGTCTTCTCCCTTCAATCATATCTCCTTCCAGTGTTTCCTTCTCCTTGCAAGACACACTATCAGAAACCTAAGACTCATCCATAACAAATCTCCCTTCCTCAATCTTCTCTCCCTTCTATCATCCAAGCTATCAAGTTCTATCAATTTTAACTCCCAAATACCGGCCAACCATCCTATCCTTTCCATCTTAATCCTCACTATCCTAGTCCAGGACTATCACCTCTTTCCTGGACGACTACGGTAATTTCCTAACTAGTCCATTTGCATTACTCTAATCTCCAGTTGGCCTCAACCAAACCTCTTTTTTTTACCCCCCCGAGACAGAGTCTTGTTCTTGTTGCCCAGGCTGGAGTGCAATGGTGCAATCTCAGCTCAATGCAACTCCGCCTCCTGGGTTCAAGCCAATTTCCTGCCTCAGCCTCCTAAGTAGCTTGGATTACAGGCGCCTGCCATCACACCCAGCTAATTTTTGTATTTTTAGTAGAGATGGGGTTTCACCATGTTGGTTAGGCTGGTGTTGAACTCCGGACCTCAGGTAATCTATCCGCCTCGGCCTCACAAAGTGCTGAGATTACAGGCGTGAGCCACTGCGCCCGGCTATATCTCTTCTATTAACAAAAGTAACAGTAACCTTTTTGAAATACAAACTATTCTTAAAATTGGTGGATGGCTTCCCGATGCCCTTTGAACAAAGCCAAAATCTTTTATTACTTCATACATAAAAATGTAAATTCAAAATAAACTCTAGATTCCCCTTTCCTTTTGTTTCTTTAATATTAATAATCGTACTTTTCACCCTTCATGGCAATTTATGATATTTACCTTCACGGTGTAAGACCTGCCACTCTCCTGCAATCCAGGCCTTCCTAGATGCATATAAGATAGTATAGCGGGTCACAACTGTTTCTGGGCCATCAGGGGGTTTCCAAGAAACCAGGGCAGTGTCATCCTCTATTAATGTCACTTTTACTCCAACTGGTGGGCCTGCTGGTGCTGTGCAGACACAACAAAACATTGTATTAATATAGTAAAATGGTTCATAAATACTCAAATACCTGGCTTATAGGCTTAGAAAAAAGTTCAAAAAATTAGAAACCTCCATAAGAAATCACAGCTTTCAAAGATCATTAGTGATAATACTAAAGTACCATTTTTCTTCTTGTATTTTCATAATACTCAAACATTAAAACACATTAGATTCCTAGATGGAGAATCTAAGTTAACGGGATAGCATTTTTAAGGTTCCTGAAACGTTTTGCTAAATTGCTAACTAGAAATGTTTACTTCCACAAACAGCACCTGTCCATCAGATATTGGGTTTCACCCCATTAGTACTGATAGTTCTTACTAACATGTATAGAACATCAACTTAACCTGATCTAGGAGGCCAGTGAAGAAAATGCTCCTGACATTAAAACATTTAGTTATTCCTGGAAAAATTGTGAATCAGTGAATTTACAGGGCAGACTTACATCTAATAATATATCTGTGAAAAACAGTAAAATCTTGGAATTTAAGTTGACTCCATGTTTAATATAAGCTAAAAGTGTGAAGAGCTGGTTTTTAACACATCTTATATGGAATATTGCCAAAACCATAGCAACAAAGTCCTATGTTCACTGTCATAAATGTCCCTTACTTTCTCTCTGTATAATTAAAATAGAGCAGAAATGATGCTTATATAATAGATTATCTAGTCCTTCGTCCTCATTCTAGAGATAAGAAAATGTTGGTCTAGAGACATAAAATATCTTAGCTAGAGCCACAGATAAGCTACAGAATTGGTGCTCAATCCGATATACAAATTGCACTGTGCACACTATCAAGCTGCTATTCATACAGAAATAACTTCATTATAACGTTGGCTCCTAAGATCATTAACAAACATATTATTCACTTACCGCCATTTAAAATTTTTTGGCTGCAAATTTGAACAGCACACCTGATCTTTTTTTAAGGTTTCTAAAAGGACACTAAATTTAAGCCTACGTGCTTGCACAATACACACACTGAGAAGAAAAAATTTAAATAAAATAAGGAAAAAGAAATTTCAAAAGCCAAAAAATGAAACAAAACAAATACATATATCAAGTGGTAGGTGGCAACTAGGGTAGTATCCTACACAGAATGACATACATATTTTTAAAACATTTCCTTAATTTTTTTTAAAGATAAAATCTATAGGGAGCTGTTTTCTTTACCTTCTGGAAGAGTAGAATGGTAGACTACAGGGCTCCAAGGACTGGAAAGCTGATCCACATGTAATCGAACGGCAAATTCGTATTTGGTGTTTGGTTCTAGACCTTGAACCAACATGTGAGTTTCTGATCTATAATAACGAGTGATGAAGTTGTTAATGCTGGTAGTATAATATTGTTTGTAAAAGAATGTCAGCATTTCCAAATAGGTAAGGGCATAATGTTATTTTTCATTACCTCCTTATTTTATATGAAAAAATGTTTAGACTAAAGAACAATTTAATTGGACTTTAAAAAATACTACATTTGGTATTGTCCTGTAGAAATAAGCCTACTAGTTGCCTCTCTTTGACAGTAAACTCGAAATGTCCCAATACAAAGGGATTTCCTCTGAAATACTGGAAGTCAAATCATTCATTCATTCATTCATTCATTCATTCATTCATGATGAGGTCTTGCTGTGTTATTCAGGCTAGAGTGCAGTAGTGGGATCATAGCTCACTGCAGCCTTCATCTCCTAAGCACAAGCAATTCTCCTGTGTTAGCTTCCCAAGTAGCCAGGACTACAGGCATGCACCACTATACCTGGCTGATATAAAAAAATATTTTTGGAGAGATGGGATCTGGCTATGTTGCCCAGGCTGATCTTAAACTTCTGACTTAAGCAATCCTACCACCTCAGCCCCCCCAAAATCATTCTTTTAGAGCACCGTGATGGGCATCTTTCTTAACTCTAACCTAGAAACAGAAAGACAACTGGCCCTACTTTTTGACTGCCAGCATGAAAATAGTCTCCTTTCTTTCTTTAAACATGCTCAGTTTAATCACTTGAGAGTAATAATAGCTTCTTGCCTAATCTTGTTGCATGAGGCAAGGAAAATTTAAAAATCACTTACATAAATTAAATGTCAAAAAGTATGGTTTTCAGAATATGGTAAGGATGCAAAACTCCTAGCCACTTCATAAATAACTTAAGTCCTGAAACAAATGCTTACAGGTGAAGCCCGAGCTGGGCCCAAGATGGTAAGAGGTAGAAGTTGGAGTGGGGGTGTGGTGAGGTAAGCAAAGAAAATAACCATTAACAGGAGCTACATACGTTTGAAGGTACAGAACCAAAGAAGCATTCTGCAGGCCAACAGGATTACAGCGGATGGTGTAGTTAATGATTTGTGCAGCGGTGAATGCAGGCCTCCTCCAGTGCAGGAAGATGGAAGATGAGGTGTTAGCCTTCGCATAGAGATGGTGGGGTGGTGGTGGAGGAGGGACCATGCGATCACGAACAGCTATTGAGAAAAACAATGTTAATTTACGATACGACATAACATTTTAACATAGAAAGTGGTAAAATGGTAAAATAATAATATCCCACCCTATAAGTTGATTTTAGGTCTTTCTTCCACCAGAGATTCATAGTGATCTAGAGATGTATCATCCAAACCTAAACAGCTCTTCCGTGAGTTATATAAGAAGTCAAAAACAGTCATGCATCACTAAAGAACAGGCATACATTCTAAGAAATGTGTTAGGTTTTTCATCAGGGGATTTCATCATTCTGTGGCTGTCAGAGTGCAGTTACACAAACCTAGATGGTATAGCCTACTGCACACCTGGGCTTTATGGTACAGCCTATCACCCATAGGCTATAAAACTGTATAGCATGATATTGTACTAAATACTGTGGGCAACTGTAACACAATGGTATTTGTGTATCCAAACATATCCAAACAGAGAAATGGTAACAGGTTGCTCTATGAGATTGTAACAGCAATGTCATAGGTGATAGGAATTTTTCACCTCCATTATAATTTTATGGGACCACTGTCACATATGTGGTCCATTGTTGACAGAAATGTCATTCTGCTGTGCGTGACTATATTACTGATAACAGATTGGAAGGCAGAAGCACAGAGAAGTCAGGCTACTAGCCAAAGACACTGAGAAAACCAGTGGGGGACTTAAGACTAGAACATCCTTCTTAGGAGCAGTACAAGTGAACAGCAATTGGAGAGAAACAGCCTCGAGGGAAAAGCAGACTTTAAAAAATTTGGTATGTAGATATTCAGTGGTTATTTTCCTCAGTTAAATGTCTAATGGTCTTTTGTATGCAAAATGAAAATAGGACTTATAATTCAATATATCTTACTTAAATATTTACTGAGCACCTATTTGTTTAAGATACTTTAGCCAGGTGCGGTGGCTCACGTCTGTAATCCCAGCACTTTGGGAGGCCAAGGCGGGTAGATCACTTGAGGTCAGGAGTTCGAGAACAGCCTGGCCAACATGGTGAAAACCCCGTCTCTACTAAAAATACAAAAAAAAAAAAATTAGCCAGGTGTGGTGGTGGTGCCTGTAGTCCCAGCTACTCGAGAGGCTGAGGCAGGAGAATCGCTTGAACCCGGGAGGCAACAAACAAACAAACAAAACAAAAAAACTACGCTATACAGCACAGAGGATAGAAATTAAGCCACCAAAGCTTCCAAGTAGTAGTGAGACTGTAACTTAAAGGAGGAGGAGGAGAAAGAACGGTGTGAGCCATAGTAAAACAAACTGCCATGGCTTTCACTTACACACGCATCCTGGAGTGCTGACAGTCTGATCTGCCTGATAGCCATCGTCTATGTTGTTGTAAGCCAGGAGTCTCACATGATATTTTCTTCTGGGGTCTATAAAGAAACCAATAGGAAATAATTAGGACCAGGTCTCTAGATCTGAGCAAAGGTTCTGAATGAAGCCTTTATAGATTTTGGTTTAAAAACCTGCTGAATGCATAAAAGTTCTCAGTAATATAAAATTACTGCTCATTGACTCAGCAATCCACCTTCGTATGACACTGCTATTGTGACTATCTACCAATAATTTACAATTTTACTTTACTTAATCTAATTTCAAACAATAATACTACCACAACCACTTCTTCTCCTTTCTCTCCTCTTCCTTATCCTCTTCCTTAAGTGGCAGATAGATTCTTGATTTTAAAAGCCTTCAGTTTGCTTGATGGATCACTTGCAAGAGGTTACACTTTGTAGAAGTTTTTCGTTTAAGCAGTTATATTTGAGGGCCGTTTACTTCAAAGTATGGAAATCAAACTGAGATTGTTTTATTCCAAAAAGTTAAAGAAAATTACAATTGTCATTCTTTAGTACCTTTGAAAACTTATATAACCATGTTTTGTTTAAGTTTTAAGTTTAAATGTGTCCTTTCTACAAACCTACATTCTCAAGTGCGAACTTCACCAAGAAAGATGAGTTGGAGCTCCCTCTACTGGTGTTTATTAACTATCACGATACTAAAACTAAAGTCCATCTAATACACCCTAAAACAATTTTTTTCAGGGCTTTGAAAAAATAGGCCGGGCGCGGTGGCTCACGCCTGTAATCCCAGCACTTTGGGAGGCCGAGGCGGGTGGATCATGAGGTCAGGAGATCGAGACCATCCTGGCTAACAAGGTGAAACCCCGTCTCTACTAAAAATACAAAAAATTAGCCGGGCGCAGTGGCGGGCGCCTGTAGTCCCAGCTACTCGGGAGGCTGAGGCAGGAGAATGGCGTGAACCCGGGAAGCGGAGCTTGCAGTGAGCCGAGATTGCGCCACTGCAGTCCGCAGTCCGGCCTGGGCGACAGAGCGAGACTCCGTCTCAAAAAAAAAAAAAAAAAAAAAAATAGTTATACATTTCAACTCACATAATTTAAGAAATAATCAAGAAGTTTAATAATAAAAATACATTTAAGTTAACTGTTTATGATGACATTTAAATACAGAATACTTGCTCAGGGCAAAAATATACAACTCAGGCTGGGTGCAGTGGCTCATGCCTGCAATCCCAGCACTTTGGGAGGCCGAGGCGGGTGGGTCACCCGAGGTCGGGAGTTCGAGATGAGCCCTGCCAACATGGTGAAACCCCATCTCTACTAAAAATACAAAAATTAGCCGGACGTGATGGCACATGCCAGTAATCCCAGCTACTTGAGGAGACTAAGACAGGAGAATCGCTTGCAGTGAGCCAATATTGTACCACTGCACTCCAGCCTGGGTAACAGAGCAAAACTCCATCTCAAAAAAAAAAAAAAAAAAAGGATACAACTCAAAAATAATATATTTGTCTATTATACTTCTCTAAATAATAAAAAACACAAATAAATTCAACACTTCATAAGGGAAAACAGTAATCCTTAATAGATATAACCAATCTGGAAAACGACGTGAAATTAAAGGTTAAAAATAATTCTAGAGTGAATCCAAACATTTAAAAATCTAAAAATAGAGGATGGGTGCAGTAACTCACACCTGTAACCCCACTACTTTGGGAAGTAGAGGACAGGAGTTTAAGACTAGCCTGGGCAATATAGCAAGATCGCATCTCTATAAAAAATAAAATAAAAATTAGCTTGGTGTGGTGGTGCATGCCATAGTCCCAGCTGCTCAGGAGGCTAAAGCAGGAGGACCAGTTGAGCCCAGGAGGTGGAGACTGTGGTGAGTTATGACTGTGCTACCGTACTCCAGCCTGGGCAACAGAACAATGCCCCATCTCTCAAATAAACTAACTAAATAAAATTCCAGAATAAAATATAAAGTTTATAAAACTCTCCAAAGTAGTATGTTTGTATAAATATTTTAGAAACTGATATTTTCTAATATTTAATATTAAAATTCATTGAAAGAATGTTCTAAATATTTTCATTTCCATTTGTCTTTTCAAAAAACCACAAGATGAAAAATTTCTGAGACTTAGAAAACTTCTAACCTTTCTAGATAGAAAGGTAAGAAGACTAACCTAGCATTTGACTATCCTATAGAAAATGTCTTTTGGATACATCCTCTTATTTGACTATCAGAAAACACCATAAGGTAGATGTTATATCCATTTTATGTGTAAGCTGTGATACCAATGTTTCTTTTGTTTGTTTTCTGAGAGAGGGTCTTACTCTGTTGCCCAGGCTGGAGTGCAGTGATGCAGTTATAGCTCACTGCAGCCTCAAACTCCTGAGCTCAGATGATCTTCCCACCTCAGCCTCTCGAGTAGCTGAGACTACAGGTGCACACCACCACACCTGGCATTTTTTGTAGAGACAAGGACTCAACATATTGCCCAGGCTGGTGTCCAACTCCTGCACTCAAGCTATCTGCCCGCCTTGGCCTCCCGAAGTGCTGGGATTACAGGAATGAGCCACTGCAGCAGGCCTTCAAAGGTGTTAAGGAGAATGTCCAATATACATGAAGCTGAACCAAGAACTTGTTATTTCCGTGACAAAGTACAAGACCTCTAAATTTACACAAATACATGTGCCTCTGTCAAAAGAAGTTTGTCTCCTAATAATAATGATTTTTTTTTTCTTTTTGGACACTGGGTCTCACTCTGCTGCCCAGGCTGGACAACAGTGGTGCAATCATGGCTCATTGCAGCCTTCACTTACCTGGGCTCAGGTAATCCTCCTACCTTAGCCCCCCAAGTAGCTGGGACTGCAGGCACACACCACCACACCTGGCTAATTTCCCCACGTTGGTCAGGCTGGTTTTGAACTCCTAGCCTCAAGCAATCCACCTACCTTGGCCTCACAAAGTGCTGGGATTACAGGTGTGAGCCAGCACGCCCAGCTGAAAAATACTTCTTCATTCTGTCTCTACTTAATTAGAAGAGGGTCTTTAGGAAAGCCTCCAGAATATAAAGGTATTGTGCCAGAATACAGGAGATACAGAAAAGGAAGGATAGGACAGATGTGTCCTCAAAGTAGATCATGTTCTCCACAGGGGGCCAGATATGAATACAGCTATTTCACAGAGAAAGCTCATTTTGATGAGGGTTATGAGTGTAGGTGGAGAGATAATCTTTTTTCTACCATGCAAACAACTTCAATCAATACTGCATGAATACATTCCTGGAATGGTTCCATTTGTTAGCCCTAAAATTGATTCTTCAAGTTTTCCCTTCTTCCTTTTTAAAAAAATAAACTTCTTATACTAAATTTTAAACCCAGAATTAAACTTTTCTGTTGGTCAGACAGAAACAGCTTATGTGTCCCAAAGAGATCAGAGAACCGAGTTGCTCCTTTAATGCCCCAAGCACTTGGCTACTGCCCACTCAGGACAGACTCACATAAGCCCCATGAAAGGAAGAGCAGTTCCCCGTCTCCTATGTGGAAATCATCAGGGAGTAACTGTCTCAAGGACCAGGTTCCTTCCCATGTTATATCAGGCGTACAAGATCCTTTCTATCCAAATAGAAAAGTTTAAAATACACACACACTCCCAGAATAAATTCTGGAAATTATTTTACTAGAAAAAAGATTATAGGACATAGGACATACTATATGGAAAAAATAAAGGAGTGAGAAACCCCACTTACATTTTTCATAAGTGAACTACTCTTTATGTTGTCCTGTGAACCATTTTTAAAACTATAAAGTACCAGGTTAGGGGCAAAGCTGAGCAGCGGACAATGTGGATTTACCACACCTTCCTCTTTAGCTTTAACAAATTTGCCTTTGATCTCAAAATCTAGTCATAATATTATTTTGGTTTATTAATCCAGAGACCCTGGAATATCCTGGTTCATTCTTGTTCATTAATTTTTCAGAAATTTGACTTCATGTTTGTAAATTTAAGAGTGGAAGGGGCCGGGCGCGGTGGCTCACGCCTGTAATCCCAGCACTTTGGGAGGCCGAGACGGGCGGATCACGAGGTCAGGAGATCGAGACCATCCTGGCTAACACGGTGAAACCCCGTCTCTACTAAAAATACAAAAATTAGCCGGGCATGGTGGCGCGTGCCTGTAGTCCCAGCTACACGGGAGGCTGAGGCAGGAGAATGGCGTGAACCCGGGAGGCGGAGCTTGCAGTGAGTCGAGATCGCGCCACTGCACTCCAGCCTGGGCGACAGAGCGAAACTCCGTCTCAAAAAAAAAAAAAAAAAGAGTGGAAGGAGGGACTAGAGCCCTCAAATAGTGTTAAGATAAACATCACCAGGCAGTAAGAGTGATCAGCTAAAAAAGAAAACATAGAACAGCTACAGAATTAACAGAACTAAGGATATAGGGTAAAAAACAGAGTTTAGGACCAATATGTTAAATACACGTAAATACACAAAGAATGAACCTCAGCATAAGCAGCAAAAGTCAAGTCCTAAAACTTCATAGTTCTGCAAAGACCCTCCAACGCCTATGGGACAAACCAGAGACCAGGGCCAACACTGTAAAATGCCACAGGGAACCAGTCCCAAGGCCTGTTTCAGCCCTTCTTGTGTTAAGCACTGCCACGTATGTAGTGCTTGGTTACATGAGACTCAGCGGACTTAGGCTATGTGGTTTTTGGGGGAAAACAGCAGAGTTAGAAAGAACAGCCACAAACAGGGCAGGCCTCCTCAAAGCCCAGAAAGGGAAGGAGGAGAAAGGGAAGACAGGGAGAAGTTGGTTCTAGTTTGTTCAAAACTCAACACAAGGTGCATAAAAATCACTCCTCAATTTATTATTTATTATTTTTTATTTTTTTGAGACAGAGTCTTGCTCTGTTGCCAGGCTGCAGTGCAGTGGTGCGATCCCAGCTCACCGCAACCTCCTCCTCCCGCATTCAAGCAATTCCCCTGCCCCAGCCTCCTAAGTAGCTGGGAGTACAGGCATGCACCACCATGCCCAGCTAGTTTTTTTTTTTTTTTTTTTTAGTACAGACGGGGTTTCACCATGTTGGCCAGGATGGTCTCAATCTTCTGACCTTGTGATTCACCCGCCTTGGCCTCCCAAAGTGCCCGGATTACAGGCATGAGCCACTGTGCCCAGCCTCACTCCTCAATTCTCTTTTTTTTTTTTTAGGACGGAGTCTTGCTCTGTCGCCCAGGATGGAGTGCAGTGGCACGATCTCAGCTCACTGCAAGCTCCGCCTACAGGGTTCACGCCATTCTCCTGCCTCAGCCTCCCAAGTAGCTAGGACTACAGGCGCCCGCCACCACGCCCGGCCAATTTTTTGTATTTTTAGTAGAGACGGGGTTTCACCGTGTTAACAAGGATGGTCTCGATCTCCTGACCTCGTGATCCACCCGCCTCGTCCTCCCAAAGTGCTGGGATTACAGGCGTGAGCCACTGCACCCGGCTGTCACTCCTCAATTCTTAATGGTTCTGGGGTGATGGCTCAAATGGGTAATATTTGAATTTAGGGTTAAACTTGCTTAAAGATTTAGCAATATATAAAGATGAAGGGTTAGGAAAGAAAGCTCAAATTAATCTAACACAAATTTGATTCATAACAGTACAGCTCTGAACTGTCAGCTTACATTTACATTTTGTCCCTAGCCAAATGTACTTTTCTTTTATTAGGGAGTCACCCTTTGGCCCAAAAATGAACATCTTCCTGACACACTGCTATGGCTGTACTCTCCATCTTCTCCCTGCTGTCCCTAGGACTGGTCTAACCCTCCTTCCAACCTGATTCATTCTCATCACCAGCTCTTCTACTTGGATTATTAGTCACATAAAGAAGAGTCAGGCTGGACATGGTGGCTCATGCCTGTAATCCCAGCATTTTGGGAGGCCGAGGCAGGTGGATCACTTGAGACCAGCTTGGCCAACATGGTGAAACCCCATCTCCACTCAAAGAAAAAGGAATAGCCGGGCGTGGTGGTGGGCGCCTGTAATCCTAGCTACTTGGGAAGCTGAGGCAGAAGAATCGCTTGAACCCAGGAGGCAGCTGTTGCATGAGCCGAGATCACGCCATTGCACTCCAGTCTGGATGACAAGAGTGAAACTCCGTCTCAAAATAAAAAAGGAAGAGTCAGAGCCAGAAGTCTGGCTGGCTAAGAAAGAGTTCACAGGTATCAATAAACATTTATCAAGAGCCCACCAAAAGTCAGGCACTGCATGAGAGACTCAAGGACTAGAAAGACGCAAATTTTACTTTAAATTTCAATCTACCAAACAGGCTGATAAATGAATATTCTATCTGTAGGTATTATTTACCCCTAACAGTTGTATAGACTTGAGCAAGTTTCTTTCTTTTCTAAGCCTCATTTATTTTGACTTGGAAGATGGAAATGTAACAGGACGTCTCTGATAGGGATTTTAAGAATATTAAATGAAATCATGCCTATGAAGTACTTTGTAGAGTTCCTATAATTAATAAACACACAATAAATACTATATTGTTGCCATGTGAGTAAAGGTGCCTGGGAGAAAAGGTAGTATCAAAAATATGGCAAACTTAACACATTTTGGAATCAACTTTGTGAAAGCTTATGAATATCAAAGATCTCTGTTCGTTCATACAAACAAGATCTAGAGAACAGAATATCCGCAAATTAGCAATTGGCAAATACTGAAGCTCAGTTTAACCACTCTCTGTTCTCCCTAATATTCTCTGGTGTATAGAGCAGGCAGACAAAGGTTCCCAAGTGTGTGTTGGCTTGCGTATACTATTGAAACAACTGTGTTTTGTGTTTGTGGCCACTAAGAATGCTTGCTGCTTTGGCAACCATGTCACATGGTATATATTCCTTCCAGTGGTATATCTACCTTTACCCACATCTTCCATATTGATCTAATAATCTCTCATCTGCCAACAAAGAAATGGCCCTAATGATGATAAATGCTTTGGAAAACAATAAATTCCTTTTGTAGTGGAAGAACAGTAAGTCATTTCATTAAAGGGAAATCTGGAAGAATTTGAGGGCAAGTATTAGAAACAGCAAGCACATGGACCCAAAAATTAATTCAATCTGTTATTAATAATTATATCCCATTTTTACAATGAGGTGTTTCTTATCCTCAATGACCAGACTCAGAACAAGACAAAGGCCTATAAAATGAGACTCTCTAATGCCAAAATCTTTTAAAGTTGTACTCGTCAACAACTTGCTTAATTCCATTCTAACTGCATATGATCTAACAATAATAATGCATTAACTGTATCTCTGTGCAACACCTTAAGTAACCTACACTGAAACATATTTCTAAACACCACACAACAAAAAACCCCATGCCTTCGTCCGGCATTTTACTTGAAAAACTTGCATTTCTGTTCTCCATCACTAGATGGCATCTGTGTACCTGTTAGGAGAGTGATGACCCACTCATCCAGGTGCTGAGGTTGGGAGATATTCAGAAAACAGCTGAATTCTAGTATCTGAGTATCTGATGAATGAACAAATCAAAACAGTTATGCATGAACTATGGCAATTGCTTAAGTTTCACCAAATGAAAGTCCTGATGAAATAGCAGTAAAAAGAAGGGCTATCTTGGATAAGTATTTGCCATACCTATAAATATTTCATATAAACTTCAAAAACCTCTGTATTGGCCGGGCACGGTGGCTCACACCTGTAATCCCAGCACTTTGGGAGGCCAAGGCGGGCGGATTATGACGTCAGGAGTTTGAGACCAGCCTGGCCAATATGGTGAAACCCCGTCTCTACTAAAAATACAAAAATTAGCCGGGCGTGGTGATACGTGCCTACAGTCCCAGCTACACGGGAGGCCAACGCAGAAGAATCACTTGAACCCAGGAGGCGGAGGTTGCAGAGACCCGAGATCACGCCACTGCACTCCAGACTGAGCAAGACTCCGTCTCAAAAAAAAAAAGAAAAAAAACAAAAACAAAAAAAACCCCTCTGTATCAGTTTTGCTTCCATGTCCTCTACAGTGAGTGGATGCTGAGCCAAATAGAAGACAACATTCCTAATGACTCAGTGCTACTAAGAAGCTAAGAGACAGCCTAGCATAGTGGTTAAGAGCTGGGATATTAAACCCAGGCTGACTGGAATTCCAACACTAGCTTGGTCATTACTATGAAACTTGGAGAAGTTATTTTTTCTCTCTGTACCTTGGTTACAATCACCTGTAAAATGGGTATGACAATGATAACAGCATCCATCTCATGAGATGTTGGGGAGGGAAAATAATTTAATTCCATGAAGTGCTTTAAAAGAGGGCTTGAGTACAACAACAACAACAATAGTAATATACTAATAAAAATATCAATAGTAGTGGGGCACGGTGGCTCACACCTGTAATCCTAGCACTTTGGGGGGCCAAGGCGGGTGGATCAGTTGAGGCCATGAGTTAGAGACCAGCCTAGCTAACATGGTGAAACTCCATCTCTACTAAAAATACAAAAATTAGCCACGTGTGGTGGTGAGCACACAAAGAAAGTAATTCCAGCTACTCGGGTGGCTGAGGCACAAGAATCGCTTCAAACTGGGAGGTGGAAGTTGAAGTGAGCTGAGATTGGGTCACTGCACTCCGGCCTGGGAGACAGAGCGAGACTCAGTCTCAATAAATAAATAAATAAATAAATAAATAAATAAATAAATAGTAATAATATAATTGCTATTAGCATCCTATGATTCCTAATCCCTGCTCCCTCTCATGTACAAGTGCAGGGTGGTGTAGTAATTGAACAACAGACTCCATAACCACACTACTTGGGTTTTGGGTTTGAATCAAGTTTCGTCATCTATAAAATGTGGATTAAATGAGTTTATATTTGTAAAATGTTTAGAAAAACATCATAGGTGTCTTTTAGTGCTAAATGACTAAATTTAAGGGAGAAAGCTGGTTTGGGAATTTGGAGATTTGGATATAAATCTTAGATTAACACGCTGTGTGGCTATGAAAGTTGCTCAGTCTGGTGGAGTTCAGTTTTCTCATCTGTACGATTAGAAAGCTGACACGTTTGTCAGTGTTCTCAAATTTCTTTAGATAACAACCTATTGGGGAGCTAAGACAAAAAAGGGTAAATATAAGTACCATCTAAGATAGGAATAACCGCTGCAAAAGAGATGTGTTAAACTCTAAGGGCATTCACAAGAGAGAACGATTACCACTTACTTGGAGAGTGGGCAGGGCTTCACAGAGGAGGTGGCATTTGAGCAGAACTTGACCCTACAAGAAGCATGGGGAAGAAGAGATCTAGGCCAAGGGAAGAGTATAAGCAAAGGTGTGGAGAGAGGAGCACATTCTCCCTGAGAGAAGTCACAGGGAGGAATTCAGATTTGCAGCAGTAAAGGGTATTTTATGGGGGAGGGTCACACAGAAAAGTGAGGCTGGGGACAGATCACACAGAGCTTTGAGAGCCATTGTGGATTTTATTAAATATACATGGAAGGCAGATGACTAAACGGAACTGTTGAGAGAAGAGACTAAGGAGTAAGAAAGTACCAAGTGGCTGAGCTTGGTGGCTCATGCTTGTAATCCCAGCACTTTGGGAGGCCAAGGGTGGCAGATGGCTTGAGCTCAGGAGTTCAAGACCAACCCGGGCAACACAGCAAAGCCCCCGTCCCTACAAAAAAATACAGAAATTAGCTAGGCATGATAGTGCATTCCTATAGTCCCAGCTACTTGGTATGCTTAGGTAGGAGGATTGCTTGAGCCCAGGAGGCAGAGGTTGTAGTGAGCTGTGATCCCACCACTGCACTCCAGCCTGGGTGACAGAGTGAGACTCAGTCTCAAAAAAAAGAAAGGAAAAGAACATGTCAAAGTTTCCAGCTCAGGTCAACCAACAGAAATGGAAGAGGACATGCTTGGCAGAGGGTTGTCCTTCAGTTCCAAGTCTGTGCTTTTGGGCCTATTTTGTAAAACAGGGGCCCTATATCACTAATGTTTGAGAAATCAGATAGCAAATAGTAAGAGTATGTGTAAAAGAGTACCTTCCAAAGAATGGCATCCACTCCTACAAAGTGGCTTGAAACCTTTCCCCCCGCCCCCACAACTTCTTGGTTAAGTTATCTCTGAAACAGGCCCTGAATAAATGGGAGATATGAATACATACATTCAACCTACGCAAATGTCCAGTAGAACAAAAGCAGAATAATCAGATATATAAACATTAGGTAGTAAATTAATTTTACTTTAAGGAGAACACATTCAAGAATTCCAATCCTGCTGCCTTTTGATCATTGCTTTACTCTTACACTTCAAGACCCAAGGCAAAAGCTAAAAAGCTCGCTGAGTAGGAAGCTTCTATACCATACCTTCCCCCCAATACCATGAAGAGTAAGTACTGCCTGATTGAAGATGAACTAAGATAGTAAAACCGATGGACATCAAATTCAAACTTTATGGACTCTTTGTTGTAATACTAACAGGTTTGTTCCCTGGAAAATGCATAAGAAAAAACAATCATTTCAAAGTACTGGGCTGTGGATCAACAATAAGAGATAATATTTGGGTCATGAAAACTAGGTCTTTGTTGCTTTCAGGTGATGTTTGTTTCTGAGGCTCCAGAAGCCTTGAAAAGAGCCAGGTCAGAGCAAGCAGGTCGGGGTTAGATAAAATTAAGAGAAAACCTGAGGTCAAGAACATGAGAAAACTTTTCCCCCAAAGGAGTGACTCCACCTCCAACACTATTTCTAAAATTCAGCTCTGGTGAAGACTTAGAGAGTTTTATTTCCCATCCTTCTATGGAAATTCTCAAGTAGGGGGAAAAAATCCTCCTACGACCAAAGGAAGATAAAGCAATTACATCTACTTTAGGAATGCCCTCTGCCACTTTTCAATTTACACACAGGAACATGCTGGGGTGGCCTAATAAAATGCATAAAGAAAATAAAAAAGCATTATTTGAAAATGACTATGTACAACTTTAAATTGTTTACTTAAAATGCTGCTATAGAAAAGCTTTGCTATAGTAGCAACAAAGTGTCACAATTAACACAGCTTCAAAGCATTAAAAATCGTCGAATTAGAATATATATGCAAAAGTAGGTAGCAATCAGAAAATATGCTGATATAACGTCAGGATATGCCTAATGTATATCCTGATATAACGTCAGGATATGCCTGTAGGAATGATCAGAATAAGTAGGTAGGAAATGATCAGAATAAGTAAGAAAGGTGAAAGTCTGAAGGATGAAACCTAGTGTCTAGCCAAATGTCCATTTTTAATTTAATCTTTTGTGCTACAAGGTTTTGTGTGAGCCTTTTCAGGCCCATTGTTCCCCTGCAGTCCAACTGGAGAGCTCCTTGGTCTGGCTAGCCAGGGTGACTGCACTGCCCCCAAGCCTGTCCCTTCGACACAATACCCCCCATATAATTATTCAGAGAAGAGGCCAGCGGTACGGCCTGCTCTGACACCTGGGTCATGGCCTCTGACATAGAATCTGGGGCCAGCTCAAGTCTGGCCCAGCAGCAGAGGAGCAGGAAAAACGCTAAGGGGGATGGGTGGGAAAGGGAGCCGAGTGAAACGCTACGATAAAATGCTATGTGTAAGCACAGTAACAAAAACACAAATCACATTTGCACAATGCGATCTGCCTTCAAGTTTTCCAAATGTAAGACTACAGTGTTTCTCCAATTGAAATCACACCGAGATGAGGGGAGCAGATCTCTAAGACAGAATTCTTTGTCTCATATCGTCAAACTTGTGTTAGAATGGAAAACGTTAATTCATGATGATTAAAATAATATCTTACATGAAGGTACTAGTATGCTGATTTAAAAACAGGTTTTTAGCTAAAAGAATGTAAACTTTAAGCCTAGATTAAAAATTCATTCTCCATTTATAAACTGAATTTCTAAAAGGGATTGTTAATCAGAAACATTTTTCACTTTGTTTGCATTATAAATTTAAAGGAATTCTCTTTAATGATGACTATGTCAAAATGTTATAAATTTGTTGTATGATAATATATAGAAGATTTGAGTATAAAATAGACAGAACGGCAGTTGGAGGGGTCAGTCCTTCACTTCTCAAACTTTCCCTGTGTATTCTATATACAGCTTTCATGGAAGCTGACCAGTAGAGTACTTGTCTAAACCTGAAATGATACACTCTTTTGTTTTGCTCCCACCCCCCATAGGGTCTTAAGACAAATAACACCTCTCACTCCCAGTAAAAACATCCCCTCTCCTACTGAGTTTAGAATAATTTAGAGGAAAGTTCTTTGTACGTGTCCTTTGAGAATCAGTTTCCTACCAAAATAAGTATATTCTATTGATCATCTCTATTTTTTTTTTTTTTCTGAGATGGAGTTTCGCTCTTTGTTGCCCAGGCTGGAGTGCAATGGTGCGATCTCGGCTCACTGCAACCTCTGCCTCCTGAGTTCAAGTGATTCTCCTGCCTCAGCCTCCTGAGTAGCTGGGATTACAGGTATGTCCCACCAAGCCCAGCTAATTTTTGTACTTTTAGTAGAGACGGGGTTTTGCCCTGTTAGCCAGGCTGGTCTCGAACTCCTGACCTCAGGTGATCTGCCCGCCTTGGCCTCCCAAAGTGCTGGGATTATAGGCGTCAGCCACTGCGCCCGGCCAGATAATTTCTATGTTTAAAACCTCCCCCAAATGACTGGGATTGTTTTGTAAACTTCAGAAGCATAAGGCTTTCCCAGTTATGTTGTGTTCACTAATGTTTTGATCCTGTTATTCCTTTTTTGATCATGTAATTTCATTTTTAATTGTCCATCAGGCTTTTAAGAATTCTTTTAAAAACATTTTTTATTTTTTGACAAATGTATTACCTTAGGATGTCTAGATAAGAAATATTTAGAGTTGAAGATTTCTACCTGAACTTTGCTATAAGTGAATCTGATTTACATTCAAACACTGAAAAACTAATACGAAAGTGAGATTGGAAGGTCCCACAAACATGGTTTTTGATCTTCTACGTACTTCTCTAATGGAAGACTTTTCCTTTTGTGAATCACTGTGGAAGAAAGGAACCTCACTGGCCCCATTTGGTAAGATGAGTCTCTCCACTGCACTACCAATTAATGGAAATATGGTGAGGGTTGATATCTCCTTTGGTTAGGGAAGAGAAAAAGAAAAGAACACTTCAAAAGGACAGTGGCTTAACTGTCCCAGAATTTATAGTAGTTGTATATGAACCATATTATTAAGGCTATGTCCACATATACCTACCCATATAACTTAAAAGCGAGTAAAATGGAGTGATCATTGATTATAAGTACGAAATTTATAATTCTAAAACAAAGTGTGTTAGAATAGCGGTGTGTGTGCCGTATCCTGGGATAATTAAGGTATAAAATTTACAAAGGAAGTTTAAAGTTGTTACATCAGAAAACGAAATAAATTTGATTATGTTGACATTTCTATCAAAAACAATTGTTACACTAAAAGCATCCGAAGTAGAACACTTGACTCATGCTACTGTACTTGGCTTAGCATTTGTTTAAGTAGCTGCTCTGTCTGCCAACTCACATACACGGTCTGTCTCACATACATCATTGCCTTACAAACAATATTTTTATAGACTGACAGAGAGAGCCTATTCATGACAACCAAACTTCCCCTGAAGCTATGAAATAAATTTCCTCCCAGGACTAATATTTTTCCGTTTCACTGTCGTGGGCTTGCCATGCCATTTTGACCCTTATGTGAAGCAACATGAAAATATCATCTATCATCTCCTGAACCACAGTGACTTGGTCAGAGGTGCACAGTTTCATTGCAAAAACATCTGTAGTTTGATAACCATCCCTTCAAATCTCAACCCTCAGCAGTGAAAAACAAGCTTACAAAATGAGAAAGATGCAGATAGCTTGAAACCAATCTTAAATTCTTCTCAAGTGGGAAATGCAAGCTGGTAAATATCAGCTTCATCAATCACAGTGATAAAACCATGATTATTTATTTATGCCTTCTTTAAAACTCACAAGAAACAGTATGTTACAACAACTTATGTAAACTCACTGCAATAGATTTTAATGTTAGCAAATAAAAGAATTCTGGGAGTTCTTAGATCCAAGCAGCTGCATATTATTAATGTGTTAACTGGCTATAAACAGTCTATTCAACCAGAAATTTTTTAGTTATTAAAAGACACTGAAGATGCTTAGGGGTACTGAAAGGTATTCAACATATCTTAAAATGGTTTTCAACACGTATGACACAGAACCTCAAACAAATTAAGCATATAGAATTAAACCAAAAAGATTTTCTGATAAATAAAACATTCAACAGATCTAGGTTTCTTATATTCAATCTGAAATATATTATTATAAATATCAGTTTACAAACATTTCATGAATGAGTTATTCAGTTGTTTAAGGAAATAATTTCAGTTCAGAATATTTTTATATTATGCACTCAGTTACAGAAACAGCCTTTAGTTCCTCAAGTGGGCTTTGGACAGTAAGAATAAGACAGAACTTTGGACAGTATGAACTTTAGACAGTATAAACTTTGGACAGTATGAACAGGCGGGCTCTGGACAGTATAAGAAACTGATGTTCTGTGCCTTAATTTCTTAAGAGGCAAACTTATAGTATATACTGACTGATACAACTTTTAAATATCCCCACATTCCTAGAGAATTTTTTTATAAGCAATTACTTCAGAAGTGCTGTTGTTTTAACCTTTCAGTGCCTAATCATTGTAAAACCATTATCTAATTTGGAGATACTACAGACTAAAAATTGTCAGTACAAGAGTATAGGGCATTTTTAAACCTTTAAAATTAGTTATAGACATTTTAATGTATTTGCTTTATTTCTTATTCTTTTATTTGTGTGTGTACTTATACACATCTTTCCTTTTATTGAATCATGACACTTCACATCACACCTAAATACTGTGACATTTTCCCCCTAAAAAGGGATGTTCTCCAACATAAACACAGTATTATTATACCCAACAAATTTAACAATGGCAGCATTTATCTAATATATAGTCTGTATTTAAATTTCCAAAATTGTCCAATAATGTTCTTTATAACTGCTTTTCCCCACAAGAATCCAGGATTACACGCTCCACATCGTGTCTCCATCTAGAACTGTCTCCTGCTCTTTTCCTGTCTTCTCCAAGGATGGCATTTCCAGTTGAGCTGTTTTGTGGAATGTCTCACAATCCGGACTTATCTGATGGTTTCATTATTAGATTCGGGCTAAACATTTTTGACAAGAATACTACAAAGGTTAAATTATGACTTTAATTTAGGGTACTTTATAAAGGAAAATAAAAAATCTATAATCTATAATCTGTTAGGTTGCTTGTTGAAGAGAAACATGACTTCGAAAGCTTTCCTAACCCAGAGCAGTGTAATTTTTTCTTTTTTGAGATGGAGTCTCGCTCTGTTGCCCAGGCTGGAGTGCAGTGGTGTGATCTCAGCTCACAGCAAGCTCTGCCTCCCGGGTTCATGCCATTCTCTTGCCTCAGCCTCCCAAGTAGCTGGGACTACAGGCTCCCGCCACCATGCCCGGCTAATATTTTTGTATTTTTAGCAGAGACAGGGTTTCACCCTGTTAGCCAGGATGGTCTCGATCTCCTGACCTCATGATCTGCCCATCTCGGCTTCCCAAAGTGCTGGGATTACAGGCATGAGCCTGGCCAGAGCAGTATAATTGTCTTAGTGGCCAATTTTATCTCTTTTTGTCTATATCAAGTTATATCCATCTATCTATATACAAATGTTTATATTGATCACTTGTTTGACACTGAGGACAATAAAAAGGAGAGATACCAGCAAGCTGTCAGACTTCTAGTAAGATTTCTAGAACTATCTGGGACTTTGAATATAAAGTATGCAAATGCAGATTTCTTTTTAAATTCCCAATGAATCATACTAGAATGTCAATTTGTAAAATGTACACAGCACTGGAATACAGTATACCAAGAATGAGGCCATATAAGTACACAATTGAGCCCTCTTGGGACACAGAATTACTATAATTAAAATAATCCCTGTAATTTCTCAGAATAGAGATATGCACAGAAAAATAGGCCTTTTAAAAGTGTGTCTCCTTACTTCTTAAGGTTTTTGGAGGCTTTAAACATAGTTTCTATTGTTTTATGGGGTCAGAATTGAGGCCCATTGCCATGATTTTTCTTCTGAGACTAAAGGTCATTTTATAAAAAGAGTGGACGTGTAGCTATTCAAGAAAGGGGAACACACTAAAAATCATCATACTTGGCCATTCAGATGGAGAAAGGTGAAGGTTAAGAAAAAATTTTTTGTTTCCTCCACTAATATCTCTAGGTCAACCAAAACTCTGTAACTTGTTAAGTGATCCTAGATACAACAGGAATCACCTTTCCTTATTATATTATCAAGCATAAGTTAAAATGATTTCAATACATGTTCCATAGAGATTCTTCAACTATTTCAACATACAGCGTTTTTCTGGAGGTAATGTATCTGGGATTTTAATTAGTATACTACAAACTTCTTCTGATAATTAAAATATCCTGTGTCCCATAGCTAACTGTAGTTTGTTTTGACTGCAAGGAAGTTTGTAACTCAACTTATAGGCCATTTCTAGCAATAGTAGAAGACCATATGGCATGCAATAAAGAACATAATCCTAGTTTTATTGATTTTCCAGTCTTTATTTATCTTTGTCCCAATCTCTTCATCTAGGTATATTCAATTTAAAATTACTTTTTAAAAAATTATGATCAAATACAGTTATGAAACATTTATAAAATTCAGACAAGCCAAAAAAAGGAAATAAAAATAAAAGGTTCTTAATACCATCACACGGAGATAAACACTGTGAACATTAGGTTGCTGTTTTCTTTTCATTCCCTTTACTATCCACACATACACATATTCAATATTTATGTGTTTTATAACCTGCTTTTAAAATTTAATACACTGTGAACAATTTCTGTCATTTCTCTTTTAAAACATTCCTTTCAATGCCCATATTTATTCAGATGACATCAGGAGCATTCAGGATGGTATGGCTGTAGACTATATTCAAATTGTATGAATGTACCATAGCTTGTTAAACCTCAGTAGCTAAATATATAGGATTTCTCCAGCTTTTCCAATTATAAGTGACCCTGTATATTACAGTAAACACTCTTGCAGTTAAATGTTTGTGCATGCGCATTATTGTTTTTATTTTTTTTTTTTTTTTTGAGATGAAGTCTTGCTCTGTCGCCTAAGTTGGAGTGTAGTGGCATGATCTTGGCTCATGGCAACCTCTGCCTCCCAGGTTCAAGCGATTCTCTGGCCTCAGCCTCCCGAGTAGCTGGGACTGCAGGTGCATGCACCACAATGCCCAGCTAATTTTTGTATTTTTAGTAGAGATGGGGCTTCACTATGTTGGCCAGGCTGGTCTTGAACTTCTGACCTCACGATCCGCCCACCTCAGCTTCCCAAAGCACTGGGATTACAGGCGTGAGCCAACGTGCCCACCCCACATTATTATTTTCTTATGATAGGTCTCTATTAATGGAATTTCTGGTAAAAGAGTATGCATATTGTAAGTCCCCTCCCATTTTTGGTACTGCCCAATTACCCCTAGAAAAGTTGTATATTAATTTACATTCTCGCTTTTAGTATGGGTGTGTTTAACCCTAAATTCCTAATACTGGGCCTTGTCTCATCTATTTGTTTTTTATTTTCTTAAGTTTTGTGTTTCTGTATTGAGTCACTTCAAATTTTTCTTAGAAGGAAATGGGAGACATATAAATTTGAAATAATGACCCCAGTTAGATGTATTTACACAACCTACCAAGGAAGAGATGAATCAATTGTGATAATCAGGCAAAATGTGCTGCCTACTGTGTGCACAGGTTTCATAAGTTATTAACATCCTGGCAGGCTGGGAAAGCTAAGATGTCACTGTAACACTCAGCTGAGGCAGCTGCTCTAGTTCCTATGATAAATCAAGATAAAGGTCAATGGAGTCAGCTATCAAGGCTAATTCAAGGGGCCTCCTCTTACAGCAGCCCACATTTGCTGGGATTTCAAGTCTTTCAAGCTTCTAAACATCTCAAAATGGAATAGGAAAATATGTACAGTTTCAATAAACTATGTCAGGATGATGTTAGGGAACCCTCGTGGGATCACACTAGCTTATTCAAACCAACTGATAAATCAGGTTATTTAGACAGAAATAAGTACTCGTATTTAGCCTGCTTTGATGATCATTCTATCGCTTTAGTTTACACCATCCCTTCTTTCACTATCCCATCAGGATCCTTTGCCTAGTTAACTCCTATTATCTTTCAGATCTCAAATTCAGTACCAGCTTCTCAGGAAAACCTACCCAGACCCCCACCCTCAAACTATAGTGTCCACTATTACACAGCCCCTTCACTCCAAATGCTTTTACCTCATAACACTAAAATTGGTAATTATAAATTATGTGGTGATTTTATTAATGTCTATTTCCTTCTCTAGACTATAAAGCTTCCTAATGGGTAATCACTTAACCTGATTAGGCCGGGCGCAGTGGTTCACGCCTGTAATCCTAGCACTTTGGGAGGCCGAGGCGGACGGACTGCCTGAGCTCAGTAGACCAGCCTGGGCAACACGGTGAAACCCCGTCTCTACTAAAAACACAAAATTAGCTGGGCGTAGTGGTGCACGCCTGAAGTCCCAGCTACTTGGGAGGCTGAGGCAGGAGAATCACTTGAACCCAGAAAATGGAGGTTGCAGTGAGCCGAGATCATGCCATTGCACTCCAGCCTGGGCAACAGAGACAGACTTCAAAAAAAAGTCTCAAAAACAAAACAAAACAAAACAAAACAAAACACCTGATTCAATTTTTTAGAACAGTGGTTTCCAAATTTTTAAGTTTCACTATCCATAAGTAATTTTTTCTAACACACATACTCATTATATATATCTTCATTTATTTATAACATACATATGTGTGACCGCCTTAATATATTATGTATGTTATAAAATAAACATACAAAATATTTTTAAAGACCAAGATAAAATATTTTCCTCCAGGAAGCGTGGTCCTGCAGCTCCCCTTCAGTCCTTGGACTGCATAGTTAGTACAAGGCTTAAAATTTCATGTGCGTTAAGTTTTTTTAAGAAACTTTAAACCAAAAACAAAACAAAAACCACAAGTGTAATTACTGCTATGCAGCAAATGTTTTTTTTCTGTCCACCCTGAAGTTTCTTTCATGTGCTAATGGGTTTCTTTTAAAAAAAAGAAAACCCCTCTCGTTTAACTTAGATCTTTAAGGACCTCACACATCTAAAGATTCTTTACATTCACCAGAAACTTCCAGAGTGGTCTGAGGGCTGACGTGCAGTATGATTAATGGACAGTATTGATTTAATTTTCTACAAGAGTTCTTCCTTCTCTAAGGAGATGCTCTTTGCAATTCCCGTCAAGCATTTTACCATGCTTACAGACTCTTAAAAATAGGAGAATGAAAAGTTTACTGAAGCTTTTTCTTCATTTGTAAAAATACCATTTGAAAGTTTGGGCCTACCAGACAATCAACAGCCTGTCTCTACCTAGATGCATCTTCCTAAGACCAAGGAAACTTTTATTTGAGGTTTTATTAGCACATATAAAAAGGAAACAAAAAAATAAAGCAGTAAAATAAATTTAGTAGCTAAACCTCAAGATATAAATACAAAGTGCTATAAAAATATTGACTTATTTTAAAAGAGATACATAGTAGAAAGCTATTAAGTATTAAATAGATCTGAGTATCTGAGTATCGTTATGTAATAAATTACGAAAATTTCTTCAAAGGTCTCAATTTGATGCGCCATTTGGAGCAGAGTTAAACCAATTTTTCTGGAGACAATGGGGAACTAATTTTGTTCTCATGTGTTTTTTATGTTTTAAATCTGAAGAAAAATTTAATTTAACACATAAAGTGATAGGGGATTCCACTTTCCCCTATCTTTTGATCATGCCCATTTCTTCAAACAAAAAAAAGGTTTTGTCTTGCTTTCCCTAAAACAAACAAACAGACAAACAACTATCCAGATATTTCAAATGGGAATTTAATTTGAGGGAGCCAGCAGGAGGGGATATTCCCTGAGTACAAGAGAGACAGAGAAGGACACTATGCCCAGGGTAACCTCGACTCCAACTCTTCCAAAATCAGAGCACAAACTTAACTGACATCGGACCCCCTAAACTGGAAATGCATCCCAACTGGTATTTCACCTTATAAACTGATTAAAACAACAACAGCAGCAACACAGCCACATGAAATAATGGAACTTCCTCATATCCTGCTTATTTTCTCCATCTCCACAGGGGCCTTACTTTATTTAGGGTTCTTTTCAGTCAGGCATGTGGAGTGAGGCTCCACAAGTACTGTAAATCTTTACCCAGTGCCAAAGGTCAAAGGGTTATCTGTGCTATGCAGTTTCAGGGTAGACAATTTTCTTTACTCTTTCTTTTCTTTTTTAAGCAGGAAGACAAAATGCATGCATATGAATCACAGCAAGCTAATTTAGGTACTAAAAAAAGTTACTCTTCTCCACATGAACTGCTTTCTCAAGAAAACCACTAAATATCAACTTTTCAGTCATTCTACAAAGAGAAGCCAGATGCAACTGATCCCACCTCCCCACCACCATTGTCTGCTAGAAAGCTTGCCACACAGCTGCTAAAGCAGTAAAACAACTTCAGGCCTACAAAAGTGATGACCATTTAGGCAAATGCATCAGTTTTATTCTTGGAAGAAAAAGAAATCTTGCTTAATACTTAAAAAAAAAAAAAAGAGGAGTAGCTGTGTATCATTTTGTTCACATTTTTCACCTCAATAACAAGACAGATGTTTTTCACAGAGCCCTCCATGTTTTAGAGCATTTCGAAAGGTGATAACTATTCAATGCTAAGGATATAAAGGTCCAGGAAAAAAAACTCAAAATTCTTTTCCCAATTATTTGTGTTTGAAATTTTTTGGAAAGTTGAACTTTCTTAAAGATGGTGAAAAAAATGTTTAAGAAGTATAGGCATATATTGCTGTCTTTCTTCTTTCTCCAAAATGATTTAAGTATGAAATAAAGTGATCTATAACATCTCATAGGGTGGCATTAATACAACTCTGATACACTGCTATACACAGCACGCAAGTAAAAGGTATTTCTTCTCTCCGGCAGCACTGTTATTTTAATATTGTTTGCAATCCTCTGAATTTAAGAGGCAGAAATGCAAATCATGATAGTTTGTGCTACTGCATTCAACTGGGTTACAAAAAAAAAGTTTAAAAAAGGTTTTCAAATATTGAAGAAAGCAAAATATCTTCTGTAACTTGCTAGGAGGTTCCATTTGGAATGTCATCTATATTTTTCCCATAATATGGCAGCCTGATCTCCTTTGCTTCTTTCTTATTAAAAATTCCTCCATCTTTTGTGGCAAGTAAGAGAGACTGATAGATGTTTAGAATTTCACCAAACTAAGATCACATATAAATATGACCTTACCTATATTGAAAAATTTCAGTTTCTGAAAGTCTTTGAAGATTTTTTTTTAAAAGGGACTCCACTGAGAGATACATCTCAGAAAATGAGAAAGTTTGAAGTTTCACATAGTAAGAGAAATTTCAATGAGATTTGCTGGATATGCCTCTCTTTCCTAAAAGTGACCTAACTTCTTTTGTTTCACAATTATGCTGACTAGTTTCTTCTGCTGAAGTCTGATAATCTCTTTCAAAGTAGCTAAGCCAGAGAGACGCTGGTCCACAGACTTAACTTCCAACTGCACAACAATAATTCGCCATCTCAGTTCTTCTGAAATCTAAACCCATATATTAAGCTGCTATAGACATCTCCACTGGGACACCAACCTTTCCAACCCAATATGATAAAAAGTGAACTCAGTATCTCCTACTTCCCCAATCCTGGTCTTACTTCTCAAAGCCCTACTCCAGAGTAAAAGTACCATCCCTTAGAACACTTAAGCATCATTCTAATTTCTTCCTCTCCTTAATCATATTTACAGATAACAGTTATCGAGCACTTACTATGTACCAACCCGCTGTCCTGTGGGTTCTACATTCAATCCTGAGCAATCTAAATGTCTAGGAGAAACTGAGGTTCATGGAGGTCAAGTGACTTTACCAATATCACAGTCTTAGCGGGCTGGAGAGCTGGGATCAAACCCTGGTCATCTGATCTCAAAACCCTCAGTCTTCTGATTTAATTTAAAAATTAACATATACTGAAACTTATTTTTGTTGTTGTTGTATGGTCCTATTTAACGCATGTATAGATTTCTGCAACCACCACAACCAGAAAAAGAACAATTTCATCACATCCAGAAGCTCCCAATGCTGCCTTCGTGTAGTCAAGTCTTGCCCCCATCTCTAGTCATGGCAATCACTGATACGTTTTCCATCTTTTCTTTTCTTTTTTTTTTTTTGGTAGGGAGACAAAGTTTCGCTCTCGTTGCCCTGGCTGGAGTGCAATGGCGCTATCTCAGCTCACTGCAACCTCTGCCTCCCAGGTTCAAGTGATTCTCCCGCCTCAGCCTCCGAAGCAGCTGGGATTACAGGTACCAGCCACCACGTCTGGCTAATTTTTGTATTTTTAGTAGAGACAGGGTTTCACCACGTTGGCCAGACTGGTCTCGAGCTCCTGACCTCAGGTGATCCACCCGCCTCGGCCTCCCAAAGTGCTGGGATTACAGGCGTGAGCTACTGCACCTGGCCCCAGTTTTCACTTTTCAAGAGTGTCATATGAATGAAGTCATACAGAATGTAACCTTTTAAGACTGGCCTCTTTCACTCAGCATAATGACATTGATATTCATCCATGAATTGTTGCAAGCAGCAATATAGTTTGCTGCTTTTTACTGCTGAGGAGTATTCCAATTGTACAGATGTACTGCAGTTTATCTGTTCACCTGATGAAGGACATTTAGGTTGTTTTCAGGTTTTGGCAACTGTGAATAGAGCTATACATTTGTGTACAGTTTTTTTGTCTTGTTTTGTTTTGGCGGGGTGGGAGGTGTTTTTGTTTTTGTTTTTTGAGATGGAGTTTCACTCGTTGCCCAGGCTGGGGTGCAATGGCGCAATCTCAGCTTACTGCAACCTCCGCCCCCCAGGTTCAAGCGATTCTCCTGCCCCAGCCTTCCATATAGCTGGGATTATAGGTGTCTGCCACAACGCCCAGCTAATTTTTGTTATTTTTAGTAGAGATGGGGTTTCACCATGTTGGCCAAGCTGGTCTTGAACTCCCGACCTCAGGTGATCCACCCGCCTCGATCTCCCAAAGTGCTGGGATTACAGGCGTGAGCCACTGCGCCTGGCCAAGATGAATAAACTTTAATATAAAAATTTATAAAACAAGATATGGTAATTAAATTGGTACAGATAACAACTTGTTTGTAAACTAAGTAGCTTTATATAGTCATACATATGTACGTAAAGTTCTAATCTAAATTTAGAAATTTTTTTTTGTTTGTTTTTGAGACAGGGTCTCACAGGCCCTACTTCACCATGGCTGGAGTGCAGTGATGCAAATGGCTCGCTGCTACCTCGACCTCCTGGACTCAGCTGATTCTCCTGCCTCAACCTCCTGTGTATCTGGGATCACAGGCATGTACCACCATGCCCAGCTAACTTTTTGATTTTTTGTAGAGATGGAGTCTCACCATCTTGCCCAGGCTGGTCTCAAACTCCTTGATTCAGGCAATTCTCCTGCCTCAGCCTCTCTAAGTGCTGGGATTATACGTGTGAGCCACTGCACCTGGCAGAAATTTTGCATTTCTAACTGACATTATCTCCTAGACAATGTCTTCACGAGGAGTTAGGTGACGTATCACAGAAGTTAAAACTGCATGTTGGCCAGGCGCAGTGGCTCACGCCTGTAATCCCAGCACTTTGGGAGGCCGAGGCGGGTGGATCACGAGGTCAGGAGATCGAGACCATCCTGGCTAACACGGTGAAACGTCATCTCCACTAAAAAAAATACAAAAAATTAGCCTGCGTGGTGGCCGGTGCCTGTAGTCCCAGCTACTTGGGAGGCCGAGGGAGGAGAATGGTGTGAACCAGGGAGGTGGAGCTTGCAGTGAGCCGAGATCGCGCCCCTGCACTCCAGCCTGGGTGACAGAGCGAGACTCTGTCTCAAAAAAAAGAAAAAGAAGAAGAAAGGCATAAACCTAATGTCAAAATTCCTTACCCTTACGTGTTAAAACAATAGATAGAGGGGAGGCCTGAAATTCAGCATTTCAGTAAACTCCCAGATTATGCTGCTGGTCCTGGGACTGCACTTTGAGAAGCAAGAACTATACACAGTCTAAATCTAGAACTTCTAAATTCTAGTAATGTGGCCTGGTGCTCTTGATATACCTGTCAGCTAAAAAGGTTTTTTTTGTTTTTTTTTTTTTTAATCTTTCAGTGGTTAAAAAAATTTTTTCTTTTTTTTTTTTTGAGACAAAGTCTTGCTCTGTCACCCAGGTTGGAGTGCAGTGGCAGAATCTTGGTTCACTGCAACCTCTAGCTTCCAGGTTGAAGCAATTCTCCTGCTTCAGCCTCCTGAGTAGCTAGGATTACAGGCATGCACCACCACCCCCGGCTAATTTTTGTATTTTTAGTAGAGACAGGGTTATGCCATGTTGGCCAGGCTAGCCAGGCTGGTCCCAAACTCCTGACTTCAAGTGATCCACCCACATCGGCCTCCCAGAGTGCTGGGATTACAGACATGAGATTATATTTCACTGTACCCAGCCTGAATAAAATGTTTTAAAGAATACTATTTTGTGACACGTCAAAATTATATGAAATTCATACTTCAGTGTCCACAAATGAAGTTTTATTGGAGCATAACCACATGCATGCATTTATGTATTTTCCAAGGCTGCTTCTGTGCTGCAGTAGCAGAGTTGAATACTTGTGAAAGAGACTATATGGCCCACTGTATCAGTCTTGCTCAGGGCTGTCATAACAAAATGCCAGACTGAGTGGTTTAAACAACTGAAATTTGTTTCCTCAGTTCTAGAGGCTGGGAACTCCAGCATCACACTCTGGCAGGATTCAGTTTCTGGTGAGGGCTTTCTTCCCGGCTCACAGGTGACTGGGCTTTTGCTACATCCTCACATGGTAGAGAGCATGCTCTGGGCATTTCTTCTTCTTCTTATAAGGGCATCAGCCTTACTGGATTAGAACCTCACTCTTATGACCTCATTTAACCTTCAGCATCTATCTTTTCATAGGCTCTATCTCCAAACAGAGTCACATTTAGGGTGAAGGCTTTAAAATATACATTTTGGGAAGACACAAACATTGGGTCCAAAACACCCATAAAGCCTAAAATATTTACGATCTGTCCCATTACAGAAAAAGTTTGCTTATTCCTGGTCTAGATCTTTACTTCTCAAAGTGGGCAGAAATGCAAAAATTTCAGGCCCCACCCAAACCTACTGAATATTAGAATCTGTGTTTTAACAAGATCTGTGGGTAATCCATATACATTTTAAAGCTCAAGACGCATTAGCTTTCAAATCTAGTGATCATGGTAAATTACTTGAAAAAATATTTTTAAAACATACAGACACAATTTTTAAATACAGGCTCAATTTCTAAATACATTGCTCTCCTGGGAGGATAACAATTTTAACAACAAAAACAACTAACATTTGTTGAGAACTTATAATGCAGTTTTCCCAGGCACTATGCTAACTTTTATGTGCATTATTTCATTTAATCTCCCTAACATTCTAAAATCAATACCATTATCCCTACCTAAAAGATTAGGTGAACAGCTAGGATTTCATTTGTTAATAAGTTGTGAAATTTGAAGTCAAATCCAGGCAACAGACAAGAAACTTATTTGACTGATGTTTTTCTTTTACCGTCAGTGCCATGTGGTTTCTATAATAGAACATTGTAAATGATGTACCATGGAATGACTGACACCATTTAGAGTCACAAGAGGTTTCCCAGAAGTGTTGAGACTTAAAATCTGGGCAATATTTTTCCAAATGTAAAGAGGAGATATACCTCTAATTCATCCAGAGAACACCCAAAGTATTTTACAATGGCAGGAGACCTTTCATTTACGACAAATAATTTAAGAAAAAAAAAAAAAAACAGATAATGCACTGTAATTCTTATATAGCTCTTACAGTTTCATCAATCTGTAAACACTTTATTTTTCATTAGAGGTAGCTGCAAATTGGCAAATGAAAAATCTTTTCTTTTTTACTATCTTAATGTAATAGTATTTTTTTAGTAGCAGGATTTTTTTTAGAAGTAAATACTTCATTTCTTTTGAAGTATTGGTTTCTAAATTTTTCAAATATTAAGTTCTAAAATTTGAGTTGAGTATCAATCATATTTGGCATTTTAAGATACTGCAGAGAATGAAATATTCAAAAATTTCTGCTCTATTGGCAAATTAAGAAAAAAGTCTATGTTGAAGTTTCAACATATTTTGGCATAATAATATATTAAACATAACAAAAGAAAGGGTAACTTAAAAATATTTAATAGTGAAGAAAGTGAAATACGATAGTTTTTAAATATTCTCTTTTGTTATAATTTGTACTCACACTTTCGTCAGTTAGTTTTCTAGCCCACAAGGCAAGCAGTTTCCAAAAGTATTTCTTTAAAGAAGTTTACTGAGTTCAATTAAATGAATTTATTTTGTGACTGCTGGACAGAATGAATCAGGCTGGGCATGGCGGCTCACACCTACCATCCTGGCACTTTGGGAGGCTGAGGCAGGTGGATGGCTTGAGTCCAGGAGTTCAAGACCAGCCTGGGCAACAGAATGAAACCCCGTCTCTACCAAAAATACCAAAAATTAGCCCGGCGTGGTGGCGCACGCCTGTGGTCCCAGCCACTCAGGACCCAGCTGAGGTAGGAGGATTGCTTGAGCCTGGGAGACAGGTTGCAGTGAGCCGAGATGGCACCACTGCACTCCAGGCTGGGTGACAGTGAGATTACGTCTCAAATAAATAAATAAAATGCTGTATAGTTTATTATTTTAATTATTCATTTATAATTGGTGTGAAATCTCATGCTCACACTAATCATGCTTACTGTAAAATCAAATAAAATAATTAACAAGCTCAAGCTCTTTGGCAAAATAAAAGCTAAAGATGATCTAACATCAGTGTCCTAAATGTTAAACAACAGTATTACATAAAAATCTGCCCCTTTTCATCCTTTCAAATAAAGACTTAATAATTCAGAACAGTTTTTGACAGCTTGTGAAAACAGTTCCTTTGTAATTATAAGCTAACTTCAGAATTTAAAGCCAATTTCTGAAACAAACAGATGAAAAAAGGGGAACAAATCATTTCAATCAATTATCAGGGAACAAAAGTATGTTACTAATTTTGCTTTAGTTTATTGTGAGATGAATATAACAAGTATTTAAAAATCCTACTTACAACTGAGCTAAACATTGAAAGTGCCTAGGGGAAAAAATCTAAGTGAAATTAATCACCACAAAGATACAAAGTCTCAAACTACCACTTAGAACAAATCACACTAATGTATTAAATCACAAGTCTAATGCTTTTTTCCAACCCCACCACCAAAGTAAACCAGTTTTAATTAAAATCAAACTATATTTTAAAGTCATTAAAATCAAACAAGCTAACATCAAAATATTTCCATCACTCTGCCAATATTTATACTATGAAAGACACAATAATCTTTTTAGCTACTTTAAAAAAACTGTACATCTAGGGACTGAGCTTTGAGGTTTTAGAGTAAAAAGTTCTAAAATAACTTTCATTACTAAGTATAATTAAATTTAGTTCATTAGAAATTTGTGCAGATATTGGAAAAATCGTCAATTTAATGTCTTTTAATATTTCTTGTTTTAAGCAGAGATTACATCTGTTACACCTTTTTATGTAGTACTACATCTCAGAAAAATATTTGAAAATGCTCGTTAAATGAATTGAAATACATAAGTTCATTCGTCTTTTTCTTTCTTCCAGAAACAAAGAACTGTGTGTATTACCAAGGAGAGTATGTCCCAATAATATACTTTTTAAATTAAAAACTTAATTATCAGAAGTAAAAAAAAAAAGGTGTATAAAGGCATCAGAAAGGGGATTAGTATGAAAATGAAATTTTGAGACACTAGTTTGTTACTCAAATTGACATTGAATCAGCAAACAGAAGCATTTAAATTTTATTTCCAAGCCGACTTAGCAAATCTAGCTCCAGTTAAAGTATCTTTAATGTGCAAAAGCTCAGTGAAAGCAAGTATTCACCATGCAAGACACAGATAGGATTCCCTTAACCTACTGCCCTCCAGACACATCACTCTCTGTTAAACAGGCAGCTACTGCCAGATGCTCTCACTAAAAATGGTCACAGATGGTCAGTTGTCCAGTTAACAGAACATACTCCCCTCCCAATATTCGAAAGTAAGAAGGAAAGGATAGCTGCTAACACTTGCCTGCTTAGTGAGTTAAACGTATTTGACTGCTACAAGTTTGGCAAGGCCCCAACACTGACCTTCTAGGAAAGTAAGACTAGACCATAGGGGTCTCAAGATTAAAAGGCATCTTAAAGGTGATCCAGTCAACAGCTGCACAATACTTGAATCCACACAACTGCATCTCTGCTAGTCAGTCATTCCAGCCGTGACTTGGTAGCTCCAGGGGTGCGGAACCTGCTGTCTAACAAGAAAGTCTCTACAGCTGCAAGAGGTCTCTGTTATCCTGAACTGCAATCAGTCCAATCACTCAATATAATTCCACAGTCAGGAAACATGCAGCTATTTTAATAGACATAGTATATTGACAAAATAATTTTCCAGTTTATGCATTAGAAGTGATTTTAAATGGATTTACCTCAAATAGCATACACAGTGGATTTTACAACATAAAAACAAGGGCAGGAATATATGATTTATTTTTAAAACACAGGAGAAAATAAAGGTTTATAGTTTTAAAAGTTGACTATAGTTCAGAGATGATTTAAAAAGTTCAACAAAGATCAATGGGTCTTCCTCTTTATAAATAAATAAATACATACATGCGTGTGTGTGTATATATATGCATATATGTATCTGTAGAAAATTTTGAAGAATTGCTTTTAATTGCCAAAGTTTTAATAAAATGTCTCTCTAAACTTTTCACAACCCAAGTTTTTTTCTAATAAATTAGTCACCTATTTAGAATAAGCTCCCTGTGATGTATAAGAGCATGCTAATAATGTATTTTTTGTATCTTCTATATATTCATATTTTAACAGTGAGAAAATTGGAAGTAGTAAGCTTGATCTATGATTCTTCATCAACAATTGTCCCAAATCATGTTTCTTACATAATAACTAAGCAAAATTTTCTCGAATCAATAATATGCAGGGAAAGGGACAGAATACTGAGAAGCCATGACTAGGAATAAATGTTGCTGGCTTCAGTGGCAGTAGGTTGGGCTAATGTCATCTCAGTATCAATGGCTTAAGGAAGGTGAAACATATGTAATTTCTCCTCTTCATTTACAAAACTGTGTGACAGGCCGGGCACAGTGGCTCACGCCTGTAATCCCAACACTTTGGGAGGCTGAGATGGGCGGATCACCTGAGGTTGGGAGTTCAAGACCAGCCTGACCAACATGGAGAAACCCCCGTCTCTGCTAAAAATTCAAAATTAGCTGGGCTTGGTGGTGCATGCCTGTAATCCCAGCTACTCGGGAGGCTGAGGCAGGAGAATTGCTTGAACCTGGAGGCAGAGGTTGCGGTGAGCTGAGATTGTGCCATTACACTCCAGCCTGGGCAACAAGAGTAAAACTCCGTCACAAACACACACACACACACACACACACACACACACACACACACACACACACACACTTTGTGTGTGCACACAAAGAAGAGAAAAGAAAAAACTGTGTGACAGAGATCAATAGTGAAACTTACTTAACTGAATGCAGATTAAATTAAAAACCAACATAATGAGATTATAAGCAAAATACCATCTGGAAAACTGCATAGAACCACAGGATGAAGTTCTGTGTCCCTGCATCTGAAAACAGTCTCCCACCACTGCTTCTTACTGTGCAGAGACTCAAATCTAATGCTGCTCACACAGCCTGTGCTACCATGAGTCCAGGGAAGGACACAGAGAAGCCCATGGCTGTACAGCTGAGCCTTTTACCTCCCCTCACCTTCACAGGGCAGTCTGTGAAAGGAAAAGCCAGAGTGCTCTGTAAAATCCTAATATGTCCAGAAGGTGTAACAATTCAGTAGGTATTTAGCAGGTTAGTCATCATAATCAAAGGGACTGCTTTGTACTTAAGGGTAAAAATCTACTTATGAGCAACAAATAGCTAAGTGTACATTTTATACCTTGATGAGTTTATGTCAGTTTATAGTTTATATCCATGTATTCTTTTCTTTTTTCTTTTTTTTGAGACAGAATCTCGCACTGTCGCCCAGGCTGGAGCGTAGTGGCGCGATCTTCCTTGGCTCACTGCAACCTCCACCACCCAGGGTGAAGCTATTTTCCTGCCTCAGCCTCCCAAGTAGCTAGGATTACAGGAGCGTGCCACCAGGCTCAGCTAATTTTTGTATTTTTTTAGTAGAGACAGGGTTTCACCATGTTGGCCAGGCTGGTCTTGAACTCCCGACCTCAAGAGATCCACCCGCGTTGGCCTCCCAAAGTGCTGGGATTACAGGCATGAGCCACCACGCCTGGCCCATGTATTCATTTTGGATATACATTACTTTCTACTAAACATGTTTATATCATGAAATTCCTTTCACTCTACAAAGATAGGAAGACTAGGGAATAAAACAATGTCTTTCAGAACACTGACGAACTCAAATACAAAGTTAAGTGCTTTTTCTCCAGTGTTCCTGGGTTAGAGCTACATAAATATTCACAGTTACATGGGTCATATGTAAGGGCATTATTTATACCTAATTTGTAATTATATAGCAATTATATAGTACTCTCAGGCACATTTTAAGTGAAACTTAACCACTGAGTATGATTTGGTGATATCCCTATTCTAATTGCTATTCTACATCCGCCACACACTCACAATAATTGATCAGGACCTCAGTCTACCAGAAGTGAACGCCACAAAGAAAAGCAGATTCACAGAGCTGGACAAAGATAGAAAGATACAATGGCTGCCTGATATTTTGCCACTGGACTCACAATGGTAAGTCAAAGACCAATCACTGACTTCAGCAGTAGCATATACACACTGACATAGTAAAATCAATTCTTTTCTTTGTACCATTAAGTAAGTTCTCCTGCTTTAGATCCAATAACTTTTTTCGCAGTTTGTCAGAGAGGAAGGAAAAAGGGAAAAATACAGTACAAACTCACTCACCTAAGCCACTGAGAGTATAGAGTAGGTCCTTGGTATCCAAGAAAATGGGCCCATTCTCCTGCTGCCCTTCTTCCTTGTAGTACAGCTTGTAGCCCTGAATAGCAGCTGTGTCCTCTACATCTTGCTGCCACCTCACAGAAATGGTGGTACAGTTCAGAGGCTCCAAATGCAACTCTGGAGACTTAGGGGCTAGCAAAATTCATCAGAAAATGTATGTATAAACAACCCAATATCCACATAAAGACACAGAATAGGGTAGTTCTCTCAGTTTTAAGCAAACAATTACCAAAAGGTTCAATCCAAAAATTATACTATAACCTAACTTTCCAAATTTCACAATAATATTAAACTTTGAGATCAAAATTTAAAATATATAAAATACTATCTTAAAAAGACCAAGATATATAAATAGTAATATCTGGACATTTAATTTTTTTTCAAAGAGGCAATAAATACTTTCTAATTTTGGCCACACTCCTCTGTGATATAGAGAACAGGCACTATTGTCAGCCAATTAACAAGAAAACCAGTCGTGTTACATTCCACGTTAGTAAAACAGAAGGGTCTAGAATTTTGCAGTCCTATAGTCCTCCTACTGAACTAAGGATTTTAAAAATATATGGCAATAATATTAATTAGGCCTCTATGAATATCTTACTTTGGAAACTCAGTTTGATTTGGACTGATCTGTCCATGAGGCATTTGCTAAGCAAACTAACAGCACAACCAAAAAGTTTACACACAAATAAACTCTATGCAAAAGCGACTACTTAATAAAAAGTTTAATTTTTTTCAATTAAGTCCATCATCTATGGAATATTTTTATTTGTAAAACAAAATTTAAAAATATAAACATAATTTAGAGAAGAAAAACTTGATTCAAAAGTAAAAATACTGTATTTTCTTAACAGTCTTCAGAAATTCACCTTTCACGCTTGTAGCTTTGGGCGTCCTATGTGAAGTCCATACTGATGACTCTCCCAGCCCCACTCTGGTGGCAGCAGTAATCCGAACCAGGTAGACACTGTCAGGTTTCAGGCCTTCCAAAAGGTACTCATGCGTGGTCCCCGGGAGCTCCAGAACTTGGATTGAATTCTCAGTACTTAGGCGGAAAGACAAGCGATACAGCACCACTTGGCCCCGCCGATATTTGGCTGGGATTGGCAGCCAGGAGATGAGAATATCAGTGGGACTTCGACTTGTCAAACTAATTTCAGGAGGTCTCAGGGGAACTAGTCATAGAAGAAATCAGGTTGTTTATAAATATTTAGAATCGAATTGCCACTTAGCACACCAGTAACTGAATTCTCTTAATTAGCAACATATAATAAAGAAGAGACACTTTCAGCCCTAGCAGAGGTTTTCAGTGAAACAGAGTACAAACCAGAAAAAAGAAGAAAAAATAATGAGGGAGGGCTAAGTGTGTGGAAACAAAGAATATAAGATATTCTTCACTGTGGCTGTGATTGTTTTGTTGTTTGGAATGAATATGAGAATATTTGATATTCATACAAAATATGAGAATACTTCTCAAACAATTCCACCAAAGTGGCTTCGAAACAAGGGAGAGTGAATTATACAAGGGTGGGGAAGCCTAGTATTCTACAGTTATAACCAAGCAAATAATATTTTGAAGTGTAAGAGTTGCATCTTAAAAATTAATGTGAATTTTGTATTCCTAATTACAACATATGTTGTTTAATATAAAAACAGTTTTTCCTCCAAACATTTTAATAAAACTGCATTTCAGGAAAATGAGTCAAATACAGTGACAGGTGGTCTAAGAGTTCAGATGGGTTCTAGAGTTAGCTTCTCTGTGTCTGAAACCTTGTTCTACCATGTACGACTCTGTGATCTTGACCAAATTAACCTCTCTTACCTAGGTTTCTTCAGACACAAAATGAAGAAAATAATAATAGCTCCTTTTACAGTGTTTCCCTGCTATGCTAAGACTCACTTTCTTCAAGGATATAGAGGGAGAACAGACCTCACACACACACAAAATCTATCTTTATTAGCCTGCTTTTCACCTTAGACATGCATAACAGAGGTTGTTAATAGCAACGAGGTAACTAGAGATGTCATATATACTGTAGTTCACTCTAAAGTGGAACAGGCTCTTCAATGAAAACTAAAATTTGGAATTCATTAACCACATAAGTGAACCTTTTTTCATTTATTCTAAGTCTGATTTTATAAACACCTAAATAAGTGGCATGATAAAGATATAATAAGAGATCTGGGACTAAATGGAAAAAAAGGAGATTTGGAGATTATATAAAAACATTTTAAAAACTAAGAGCAGATCATTGCTTGAGGATAAAACATTTGCTAAGTGAGAACAGTATTGATTAAGCATGTATTAAATCATTCCCCTTCACATTGCAGGGTACTAAAAAAGGTCTTCTAGAGACTCTGGAAAGACAGATCCCTTCTTTTACAATATGGTATGAAGACTCAGAGGAGGATAATCAGTTCTCTCGGGCTATCTTAATATGGATGAAATTTCCCACCATTATAAGAATAATATGAATATCTGGCCTTCCCTAAAAGAATCACAACTCAATTTTCAACCCATGGTTAGGAAACAAACTGAACAAGTAATATTTTCCCCCTTAAGTAGTATAAGCATATTGTAGTTAATCAACAGGTACTAAGTGCTAAGAATTTTTTGACAGGTGATAAATCGTATAAAGTCCAAGTTTCAGAAGTCCAGTACCTCTGGCCCTGGTCACTACATACACTCAATATGTAACAGTCATTACAGTTATTCATGCCTAGAAAATGTTCTATTCAGTACAAAAAAGTTTGCAACATATTTACAATTTAAACTAGTAACCTTTGAAGAAATACAATGGGAATATAAGAATTTTATTATTAAATTTTATATTCTGAAAGTGCTCTTTATCCTTATGTTACTGGCAAAAAGCAAGAGTGAGATTTTGAACGGCAAATTTAACATACCTGTTTTTTAACCAAAAAGAGGATATTTTCTTTAAAACACATTTATTCATTGAAATTGACAAAACATACGAATGTTCATACTGAAATGATCTAGAATCATGTTTTCTTACCATCCTCTAGAGTATTCTGTGTCACATGGTCAGACATCTGGCTGGCTCCCATTGGCATATATGCTACAATGTAGAAAGTATAATTGCTGGCAGGCTCTAAGTCATCAATAATATAATGAGTTGTGTCATTTCCGATGACTACTTGATACTCTTCATTATTTAAACCTAAATTAAAGAATCCATGTTTTAAAATGACAGATATTCAAAATAAAATTAACAAGACCATTTTCCTGCACTGTGAAACACTGGTCCTTGGGTCTAATCTCAATCTCTTATCTTCTGTGCCCCTTTACAAAATGTGAACAGGAAGGTCTTTATTTTCTAAAAGTAACCATATTTCACTACAAATTATTAGAGGACATTTTTCCTGAATAAATCAAACTGAAAAGAATTCATCTTCTCTAAACTTCATTTACCATCTAGTCAAAACCCACAGCAGAGACAATGTACAGTAGTAACATAACAGAGCTTAACACAACAGAATATTGTAATTCATAACAGTGTAAACTTTACTTGCTTCAACTCATGGGGTTTTTTTTCTTTTAAACATAAATGGAGAGACAGTAGGGAATGTAATGGCTCCACTCTTTAGAAAAACAAACCAAACCAGAAGTTGTCCTGCGAAAGATCTCATTTTGCCCCTAGAGATTCTATTAAATTTGACTGACATAAGTTGTTCTTTTATTTATAATACTGAGGGCAAAAAAACTGGGAGTCACAGAATGTGCCTCAAAATGCTTTGTCCCACAGTGAGTTTTTTTTTTTAAGAGAAAAAAATTCTCAGCAACTCTTAATCAAATATGCATGACAAGGTATAGAAGAGGATTTGTCTTTGTAGGATTTAATTCCTACAGAGCAAACCTGTAAAGTGGAACAAGAGCATTGGCAGCCACTGTGCTTTGCTAACAATTCACAGTAAACGCATGTCAACTTAATCAAATCTCTCTAAGGACGGAGTCCCTTCTCCCCACACTGGATTTATAAACAAAACAGAAGGCAAATTCCAGTATTAAGTTTTCCCACATTTCTGAATTAACTTGATAGCATTTTAATTAGACAAGATTACAGGCATTTCACAACAGACTGGCTAATGGCTTGTTAATTAGGAGCTGCATAGTACGATTTCTGACCTACCAAACAAGGTCCTTGAGTTCGAATTAAAAAGCCTTGTTCCATTCCTGAATAGACCACTGAGCCTCATGTGGAGGCTCTAATGAAACAACCATAATAGGGAACAAGAGTGGTCCCCACCAAAACCAGCATTCCTTTTACCTTCATAAATCACTAAAAAGGGAATTAACATACTCCAGCATGCTCAGTTATCAGACTTTCATTCTTCTTGCTTCCATGACCCCTGATTTACATTCAAAATATTCCTTTTCAAAACCCTACTTCAAAGTACAAAAAACAAATAGCAGCAGCAACAACAAACCACCTGTTTCTATGGCTAATTTTATTATATCCCCATCCTTAGGTGTTTGAATTTGTTTTTAACGTATATTCCATAAAAGCTAGGCTGTTGAAGTATAGAACTGAAATTTCTAAGCCTCTACCATGGTTTCTATGAAAAAGCAAGAGAGAAATTTCTAGGATTTATCAGTAGTTTCTCTTTTTCCTCTAAGACATTTGCTAAAAGTAAAATATAAGAAAAATTTTTAAATCTCCAAAATAGAACCAATAATTCTGAACAAAAATTGGAAGACACATTTGATTTCTACTTTTATATGATGAGATAGCAGTAAAGAATGTCCTGTTCAATTTTCAGAGGGTTCTATATGATTTCAGAAAACATTCAAAATATACAAAATACTTAAAATATACAAAATCAAAAATATGGGGAATTTGACAATGTTTACTTTCTCCCTTAAAAATAATAAATATACATAGTTTATTATTTTACTAAACAGTCAAACCACTGTTCTAATGTAACTACATACATAAGTTGGTATATTAAGTCTCAGTTAAGGAATTTATACCTTGTCTGGAATGAAATTCGTAAGTACACCACTTTGTAACTTCTAAGCAGGCAGTGATGCTTTGCATTAGCTGGTAATTGTTTCTAAACAGAAAAATCTTAAACTATACTTACATATACAAAGTACACAACATGAAATTTAGAAAACAATAGATACATAGGTGATAGATTATTTTATCAAAGAAGATAAATGCCACCAAATTTCAAAAATATTTTATGGATTATGTAAGGCATTATTCGTACTGAAAACAAATCCTTGATAGCAAGGAGTACTTAAAAATAAGCACTCCTAAAATCGCTTACCTTCTGCTTTCATGTAGTGTACAGAATAGGCAATGACTTTGTCTGAATTATAAAGTGGCCTCTCCCAGGCTAAAAGAATGGCTGAGCTTGACATGGTTTCAGCATGTACATTATAGGGAGCACTGGGTCTGTCTTCTGACATCACTACAGTCAGTCTGGCTCTAGATAAAATAGATCCTTGGCTATTCTCAGCCATGCACTGATAAATAGCATCATCTTCAGGAATAATCTGGTTAATTACCAATTTACTAGGGAAAGAAAAAAAATTATTTCCATGAAAAATTCTAAGAATGAATTCAAAATAAAGTTTAGCTATTGCTAAATATACTCTCATTTTATTTTATTTTAAAATTAAAATTAAAATCAAGCATTTGTAGAACACTGCAGCAACTATGTGGAATCCTGAAGATTTTTTGGTGTGTTTTTGTTTTTGTCGTTTTCTTTCTGTTGTTGTTGTTTTAAAGAGACGGGGTCTCACTCTGTAACCCAGGCTGAAGTGCAGTGTCACAATCACAGCTCACTGCGGCCTCAAACTCCTGGGCTCAAATAATCCTCTCGCCCTCTTGCCTCATCCTCCTGAGTAGCCGGGACTCCAGGCATGTGTAGTTTTTAAACTTTTTGTAATTTTTTGTAGAGACAAGGTCTCACTGTGTTGCCCAGGTTGGTCTTAAATTCCTAGGCTGAAGTGATCTTCCCACCTTGGTCTCCCAAAGCACTGGGATTACTGGCTAGAGCCACCATGTCTGGCTTATAGTATCATTTTAGATAATAAAAGTTACTGAAAACAAAACAAAACAAAAACTATGTAATCTGTCCTATGAAAAATATTCTACATTAATCACTTAAAATTATTCATTTTTGAGTCTGCATTAATATTTGTGATATTCAAATGCTCTCTGCTTTAGGTAACAACTTATTTTTTTAAATTTGGCTCATTAAGAATTTATATGACTTGAATACCATCTAATTTACAGAATATTATAGTGTGTACATAGAATTCAGGTCAACAAAAATTTTTAAGTTTTGTTCAACACAAATGAGAATGTTACAATAATTTGTATTTATGCTAATAAAAATGAATTATTAAAATCATTAACTATAGAGAAATTATTAGAGAATTATTTCTTCTAATTTCCTCATTTTGTGGAAGAAGGAACTAAGACCCCAAGGAGCTAATATGCTTTCTTGTGGTAACTTAACTCTAGTGGTGGCTTAATAGCACTAGAACCCTGGAGTTTGGGGAACTGTGTAACATGCATTTTATTACCATCTACCACTTTCATGACCCATGTATAAAATACCAATGAGTATTTAGCATAGCACATGTATGACATGATAATGTTATAAGTCTTAATTTCTTAGTTTAGTTTCATTTTGTTAATAACTATCAAGATAATTTAGGTATTTGATATTATTATAACCATTTCACATAAAAATTACTAAAGCCATTATATCATATATAAAATGGTAGCAAAGTTACACAGCCTACCTGTTGTACATTTTAATTCTACCATTCGAATGTATCTTCCTTCCATTTTTCAACCATGACATCTTGGGAGAGGGGATTCCTTCTGCCTGACACACAAATCGAGCAGTGCCAGCTCGAGGCCTTGTTAAACTTTCTGGCCATTCAACAAATGAAGGAGGAGCTATTTTTAAAGAAAAAAATGAAATATTTCTGTGATCCTAATAGGAATGATGTAAAGGGTCAAGGAAGAAAACAGCAAATGAAACAAGCCCCATTCCTGAAGATGCCTGACATGCTGAGCTCCTGTCTACATCTCCATACATCTCTCCAGGTGCCTTTTCTCGGCATTGCTCAGTGTTCACTTCCTCCATGATTTCCCTATTCAGAGCATCTATATAGACACACTTAAAATATATGTACCTATCATCCTTCTTAACTAAGAACAATATATAGCCACATGCGAATGCAGTGCAAGTGGCAATAATCAAGAGATTAAATTTTTAAATTGGCAAATAGGTACACGGATATGTGTGTAGGTGTGATGGAGATAGAAGGGAAGCCTAAATAAGAAGGAACATAATGGTATGCATGTAAACAGAATGGTGACCTCAGAATGATTCTACAGTTATATTTTAACATAAATATTTGTTTTTTCCTGAAATTCATCATTTGATTACAATACTTCATATCAATGCTACAAAGCTCAAGAAAGAAGTAAGCTATGAATGAGATAAAACGGCAAATGTTAAAATGTAAGATTCCCCTGATTGCAGAATGAAAGGAACATACCTAATACAGTTAAAGTTGCCATAGCAACTGTAAAGTTGCGTGTGCCAGGGGTAGTGGCCCGACAAACATATACTCCAGCATGTTGTAGCCTGACATCAGATATCATGAGATTACCATTTCCAAGTACCCGAGTATTAAAGACATCAATGGATTTGTGATCTATTTCAAAGAGAATACTTCAGTTTAAACAATGTAACAAATAACCTGAAATTATGTCAAAAGACCACTATCCAAGCAATCAATCATGAAAAGTATAAAATTAAATATAAAATTCTCCATGTTAAGACCTTTTCTCTACTCACTGAAATGCCAAAAAAATTAAGACATTCAACAGCCAAACCTGTGTTTTTGTATATAAAATAAACATTTTATAAATTTCATTAGAATGAACAAAATTTAAGGAAAAGACTTTTTTTTTTTTTCCTGAGAAGACTTACCAAGGCGGCTCCAAGAAATGATTGGTTTGGGATTTCCTGTGGCCATGCATTCCAAAACTACAGTCTGATGAAGAGATGTTGTTATGTTCTGTGGACCTGCTATAATTGTTGGTGTGTGGAAGGATTTTGACTCCTTAGCTTTGGGGAGGAAAAGACAGAATATAAAAATAAATTATAAATAAGATATAATAAGTGAAATTAGTGAGACATTTATTCTTATCACTCACTTTTCTTTTTTTAAAACAACTTTATTGAGATATAACTCACATACCATCCAATTCACCCATCTGAAGTATATAATTCAGTGGTTTTTAGAGTTTTCAGAGTTGTACAACTATTACCACAATTAATTTTAGAACATTTTTATCACTCTCCAAAACAATCCCAAACCCATTAGCAGTCACTCCCAATCTCTTCTTCTCTCCACAGCCTAGTAACCACTAATCTACTTTCAGTCTCTCTGGATTTGCCTATTCTAGACATTTCATATAAATGGAACCATATATTATGTGGTCTTTTCTGAATGGCTTCTTTTCAGTTAGCATAATGTTTTCAAGGTTCACCCATGTTGTTACATGTATAAGTACTTCATTCCTTTATATTGAGCAATATATATCATTGTATAGATAGAACACATTTTATTTATCCATTCATCAGTTGATGGACATTCAGGTTATTTTCCGTATCATTACTTTTAATTGAGGTTCAAACATTCATTTATTTATATAATTATCTAAAATTTATTTAATTTACCTAAAATTAAAGCATAGCATTAAATACATAACTTCAGCCTCTTAATGTTTTTCTAAATTTCTTCTTTTTTCAGCCTTAAAGGATATGTTAGAAACCAGTATCTCTTGTGAAGAATAAACATTTATGTGAAGTTCAACAATGTCTTCAGTCCAGGTTTTCTTCTACTACATTTAAACAAACTTAACCTTTGAAATAAAAACTATCATCTATTGCATTTTAATGAAATATCTATTTCTTTATATGCATCTCTCTAGTTTCCCTTCTACCTATATTAATGTATGGCAAAATATATAAAATTGTGCTCGCTTAATATTAACAATGATAATTTTTGCATTAAGATTGAGGATATTTTTTAACTTTTATTTTTGTGTTTTTAAAAATTGTTTAATATAGAAGCTTTATATTTTCTATTTTCATAAACATTGCTTTTTATAAAATGCATGTATCATTTTTACAAATGCAAATCGTGGTATTTCTTTAAACGACAAGCAAAAGAATACGACTAGAAACAAGCATATCTTTTTCCACAACAGACAATTCTGGTAGAAACGGATGACTGTTATTCTCTTTTTTGTGCTTTCTGTATTTTACACTTTTAAAAACGAAAGTGAAATATAGCCAGCCCTCAGTATCTGTGGGTTGCACATCTGTAAATTCAACCAACTGCCTGTTGAAAATATTTTTTTAAAAAATAAAAATACACAAATTTTAAAATATAGTATAACAATGATTTACATAGAATTTACATTGTTAGGTATTATAAGTAATCTAGAGATGATTTAAAGTATACAGGAGAGTGTGCATAGGTGAATGAAAATAACATGCCATTTTCTATGAGAGACCTGAGCATCAGTGAATTTTGGCATTGAATAGAATACCAAAGACTGAATATTTGTTAATCTTTCTTAAGACTGAATATTTCTTAAAGACATTGACATAACATAGAAAACTGGCCTATGAAAGAAGAGTTGCTTAATAACTAAAAATGACCATTTTCCAAATAGATTATAATAATTTAAATGAAATTCTACTTTATGGCACATTATTACAGCAGAGGAGAAGAAGTAACAACTGCGCCAATAAAACGTCATAAAAATGGAAAAACCACTCTGCGTGGTACCTGGAATCACAGTTAGCGAGGCCTCCATACTTTTACGTCGGTGGGCTACAGTGGCAGCAATACAACGATAATTTCCAGAATCCCTTTGGCTGACATCATAGATCTGCAATACTCCTGTTGGTAGGGCAGTTATCCTGTTATGAGAGAAAGATAATTAAACTTTTTGTAGTAGATTTCATATTTTATTTATTTATTTATTTATTTATTTATTTATTTATGAGATGGAGTTTCACTCTTGTTGCCCCGGCTGGAGTGCAATGGCATGATCTCAGCTCACTGGAACGTCTGTCTCCAGGGTTCAAGCGATTCTCCCGCCTCAGCCTACCAAGCAGCTGGGATTACAGGTGCGCCACCATGCCCAGCTGATTTCTGTATTTTTAGTAGAGATGGGGTTTCACCATGATGATCAGGCTGGTCTTGAATTTCTGACCTCAAGTGATCTGCCCGCCTCGGCCTCCCAAAGTGTTGGAATTACAGGTGTGAGCCACCGTGCCGGGCTTAGACTACATATTTTATTTAACATATTCTGTGATAGGAATACACTCAACCTTTTTACAGTGCTACAAGCAATACTTTAAAGACCTTTTAAAATATTAGCTTGATTCTATTGTTTTCATTTGGGTCACTAAAGCTCTCTAAAACATAAACAATCCAGCATGATATGGTTTGTGCAATCTATCAGTCGAATTTTACAGAGTCTCATTTGACATTCTAGCATAGATTTAGTTAACTGGTGGCCTAGAGTTTAGTATAATTTTTTTCAAATTCCTGATTTTTTACCTATTAATATCCATATATTGTCCAAGACATATGTAGATATGCTTTTTTTTTTTAAATAAAGCACTTCCATGAATAACTTATTCCATCTTAGTGCTTTACCATGTTAGCAAATGTCTGCCAACTCAGGAGCAGGGCAGGAATCAAACTTTTTGGAGTTGCTATCAAGTTCTTGATTTTTCAATCCCAACCGCCCGCAGAACACTAGATGTGTGCATGTGTGCTTGTGTGTGCATTTGTAGTAAAGAGGGGGTTGAGAAGTGGAAGGCAGAGACAGGAGTGGGCAGCTACCAGGGCATACATGAAAGACCCTTACACCAACACTGCCCTTCCCAGCAATGAGAGTGTAATCTGGTTTCCTAAAACCCTGGGCTGCAGTCCAGATAGTCATGGTTAGAACAGATGGTTGAGGAAAGGATCAAGGCAGTAGGATAATCTATTTAAATTCTGATCTAAACCAGGAACCATGCCCCATGTGCCAGAGACTGATGATCTAATTCTTTGGCTAAGTTTGAAATGTCTTAAGCAATCAGTTATTACTGCCCTAAATAAAAATGAGGCCTATAATGGTGTTTCTCCCTATATAATCTCATATGAAGTCTTCATTACTCCCATATCATCTCCAAAGACAAAAATCTACATCTACCTGTCCATAGTCATAGGTAGAGTTGTCCGATTGAACTCCCATGTTATGACTGCAGGAGGGTGGGATGAAATCTTGCATGCAAATCGAGCAACTCCACCTTCGTGGACCTCAGTGGAAATTGGCTGGACTTCAAATGCAGAAATAGCTATAAGATAAAGTTTGAGAAATTCAGAATAAGTGCATGAAAATAACACTTAGAAGTAACATTACACTAGATATTACTTATTGGACTTGAACCCTTGCTTGGATATAAGACCAACCTAACTTAACCAGCATGAAGATAATTTAGTGAATAATTTTGGAGAAAACACTGGGCAGTTGCCCAATTTACGAAGTCTGGTCTTTCCCAGAATTAAATTCTAAATAGGTTCGCAAGAAATTTATCTATTTGGAGATAAAAAGTTAACATATGAAACAAAAATAAACAATGGTATATAATTACATACTAAACTGTGTGGTACAAACTTCAAATACTATTGTATATCAGAGGAGAGGGAAACAAATAAATTCAAACTAATCAGGTAAAAACCATTTACAGGAACTGGTTTTGAATTAGCTTTTGAAGAATCCACTGGATTTAGATGGGGGTGGTGGTGGTGGGAAAGCACAGAACATTTCAAGTGAAAAGAATAACATGAAGACAAGCACAGAGGTAAGAAATGCAAAGCTTGCATTCATAGGATTGTGAGGAAACAGCCAGAACTACTGCAAAATATTTCAGATCAAGACTTTATGGGAAAGCTGAAGAAGAATACAGATAAAACAAATTAAGGCATCAATTAAGATTTCTGAGCAAAGGCATGTCCTGATATTAGCAATGTGTGGGAAAAACTAATCAGGATGGATAGAATAAAGGAGTCTCAAGTCAAAAGTCCAATAGGCTATTAAATAGGGATTACAGAACTGGGTGGTGGCAGTGGAATGGGGAGAGTCTAGCGATATCTTAAAGAAAACAAAGACTTGGTTCTTATGCCACAGACATATCACTCTATCTGGAATCAGATGAAGCTGGTAATGAAGGAACAGGATGAGAAAGGAAAGAGAGAAGCCCAAGGGTGCATCTCAAACAAAAGGTAGAGAAACTCAAGAGACGATTTTTAGGCTCATCTATTTCCAAAGCAGAGATCAATCTTGAAGGGTTGGTATTTTCTAGAGATAATTATTCTTTGCAATTCTAGGCAGGCCTCCAGGAAGTGGTCTTCAGTGTCCATGATCACATTTTGAGGGAGTGTAAATTCCAGGTTTCCCTTCCTTCTACTAAGTCTTCCAAGATACAAAGAAAGGTCCACTACTATAGTCTTCCTCCTCCCCTCCCCAGATTCCAGTTCAAAGAAAAATTTGTTTGAACTTTATTATTTATAAATAAAATGAGAAGTTATGAAGAAGAATAGAGGTAATAGGGCTACATGAACTTATGCTTCATTAGGCTGAAAAGGGTAAAAGGTCATAGAAGGCTAACAAATTCTGCCTTGCACTTGAACTCATTTATCTGTAGATAGATCACAGGCCTTTACAAGCACAGGACAAGGCCAGCAAATAATGGTGAAAATATTCTTAGGAGGATGGACTTCCCAAAAGGGTGGAGTGGGGGTGAAATAATCCCTTATTTGTGTATGAAACATAAATCTGTTTCAAACTGCTATTGTTGGTGGATCCTCAAAGTCAGAATCATTTGCATAATAACTTTCACTCTCTTGTCTTGAATATACGGTGTTTTCCAGGAGTTATGTAATGCATGGTATTACAACAGACCAAAAGTTGAGGCAGACACATATGAGAACCCAGCTGTCTTCTATTAAGCTAACTAAAGAGATATGCACAAATGTAAAGCAATTCTGCTCCTCTGGCTAATTTTTTCCTCTGGAAAATAGTTATATTAATATGTGATGCATAAATGTTTTCATTCTAAAATGAATTAATGAATATTTTTCTCAGTTTTAATTTCTAATAGTGTCAATAGATGTAAGCTACATAAATAAAAGTTATTTGAGTTTTAAGAGTATAAAGAGTGAGACTCTTCAGTTGGAGAACCACTCTTAGAATATCAAACTCTAAAAATCGATATCATGAATCTATGTTGCTGATCAATTAATTAGTCCCTGTAAAACTCAAGCCCCATATTCAACCACTTACAATGGTGTTTCACTAACATTGAGCTACTTTTCATTGCTTCTGTACACTTGCTAGGATGTTTATCTGCAAACATTTTAATTTTGGATCTAAACCTATGGACCATCCCCTGCTGTTTATCTACTAAAGAATTAGGAAACAGATGGCTAGATTCACCTTTAAAATATCAGCTTCACATTCAGGCAGAACAACCTGATTTCTCAATAATCAGGTAAGTTTGTCTTTTTATAATTAACTTAAACTATGTTGAATACATTTATCTTGGGGGGAATTAGGACCTACATTTCCGTAAATATAATGCTTGCTTTATGAAATATAAAGCACTCTTGTCAATCCCATATTCACCTTTTCCATGTGTGAGGGGTGACCATTAGTTCTAGTTGTCACTGATAATCCAGTCCATATTCAATTGACAGACTTCAAAATGGGAATTTTACTTTATTATTTCTCAGACTCTACCTCTCCAGACTGAAATATCTTACTTAGTTTAAATTTTTTTTACAGAACAGAAGCTCCCCCAGCCTGTCCACTTTAACAATTTCTTCTTCCACGACCCCACAATGAATTAAGTATTCAATTCAAGATGTTTTATCTCATTTATTCCTCTCTCATATCTGACTTCTCTTCATCCCTAACAGTCCTCTGTTCAATTCAGGCCCTTATCATATCCTGTCTAGATGTCTTTCTGGAGCCTCTTAGCTGGTATCTCCCCTGCCAGCAACATCACCCTCAGTGATCATCATAAACCATGAATCTGTGTTGCTGCTGAATTAATTATTCCCTGTAAAACTCTAGCCTTATATTCAACCACTTACAATGATGTTTCACTAACACTGAGCTACTTATAATTCACGAAATACACCATGGTATTTCACACCTCTAAGGTTTATGTGAACATTTCCTTCTCTTGCTAATAACATTGGTCCCTTTGTCCACCTGATGAAATCCTGTCATTCTTTAAAGCCTGGTTCACTTATCCCATCCTTTGGGAAGTGGTTTCCGACCCTTTTCTCTGCTACCTCTGTACACTGCAGACCTTCACTGCTGCCTTTATTTCACATTATAATCACTTATTTACAAGTCTTCCTCCGCTTCTACATTATAAGCTCACTGAGGGGCAGCAGCAGGTCATGTTCTTTGCAGGATACTGCAAGACAGTAAACGGTGCAGATTTGGCACTAAAAAAAATATACTTTCTGAATTGAACTAGTATTTTGAATTTTCTCCAATTCTATTAGGTCTTTAAGCACAATAACTAGAATTGTAAGGAGTTTCTTGGGTACAAATACCAAGACGGGGTGAGAAGAAAATAGTGCTTTTTATTATTTTTTTGTTTGCTACAATTCCAAACAATGCCCAATATTTTACTGGCATTTTTTTTAGAGACAAAAATCTATCCCTCCCATACCAAAGGATTTTTATAAAGATTAAACAAGCCAATAGAGTGAAAACTTCTTATAAATGTGATTATTGAGAATAAAAATGATCACTCTGCTGCCTTGAGTTACTTCCTGCCAGCCACATAGGCAACTGAGTGTTGTTTTTTCACTCTGAATCTAACCAATCAAACAATATGCCTGGGCACCACTGCCTTTTCTTTGAGCAGTTCCCCTTTTTTCTCAAATGGATAAATCTATGAAATCCCTAAGATTTTTTTATTATAACAATTGAGCTAACCTTGTACTTTAGGCCTAATGGGCTGGAACTCTGGAGTCATAAAATTCTGAAAACTGAAACATAAATAGGTTTACCCTTGAAAACTCTGGTTTTCAGAAAGGTTTGAACCCAAGTATAAAGGTACACATTTTTTAATCCTCACAAACACCTTTATATTTAAAATATCTAACTTTTTGATATCTTTTGAAAATTCAATCCACTGGCAAAATAGTTTCGTGGAGAAAATACCAAGCCAGATACTGCTTAGGACTTTCATCGGTTACCTCTGAGACTGAAAGAAAGAGGCAACCATGAATCAACAATGAAAGTAAATTCCCTCCTTTCTGTTTGTAATCCCTCCATCTGGACACCAATCCCAATCTCTTCCCTCCCCTCTGGGATGTCTCTCTCCACTGCATATTCAAACTCTTCTCCCAGCTCCTTTCCCTCCACAAATAAAAGTGTTCCACTCTCTCCCAACCTCAAAAAACAAAAGGAAGAAAACTCTAAACATGTCTTTACATCACGTTACGTGATCCGTCTAGCAGCTATCTGCTCTCCTCCCCATGGGATCGAAACTTCTCTTAAGAGTATTACTGGCTGTCTCCCCTTCTTCCTTTCTGAGTCCATGCCTCAAACATCTAATCTGCCTTCTTCCCTATTATTTTATGGAAACAGGGTCTATGATACTACATGCTCCTTGTTCTCCTTTTATTGCTGTGGCTCCTCCTTCCTGTCTCCCTTTTCAAGGGCTCGCTCTCCCTCCTCTTCTGCCCTTCCTTCCAGAGAGTCTCTGTTCTTTTCTCTCTCCATGGTCTTTTTTGGTGATTATATCCTCTTTTAGTTTTCAACCACAGCCAGCTGTTGCTGCTGATTCCCCTAAATACCTCTTCCAGCTTAGATCACCATCCTCAGACCTTCGTACTCATCGCTCCAACTGTGCACTGGACATCTTCGCCTGGAGTTTATGAAAGGCACTCCAGGCCGCCGCAGTGGCTCATGCCTGTAATCCCAGCACTTTGGGAGGCCAAGGCAGGCAGATCACAAAGTCAAGAGATCCAGACCATCCTGGCCAACATGGTGAAACCATGCCTCTACTAAAAATACAAAAATTAGCTGGGCGTTGTGGTGCGTACCTGTAGTCCCAGCTACTAGGGAGGCTGAGGCAGGAGAATCACTTGAACCTGGGAGGCAGAGGTTGCAGTGAGCTGAGATCGTGCCACTGCACTCCCGCCTGGTGACAGAGCGAGACTCCATCTCAAAAAAAGAAACAAAACAAAACAAAGGCACTCCAAAGTCATCGTGTCCAAAATGAAGTGATCTTCTTTCTTCCAAAGCTGTATCTCTGCTTCATCTTTGTCACACCACTATCAAATTACTCACCTAAGCTAGAGACTACTTACTCTTTCTGTATTCTCAATCACCTGTTCCCACTGATTTTAACTCCTAAACACGTGTCAAATCCATTCCCTTCTGTTCCAGTCCCAATCTCTCACCTGAACCACTATCAGCCTCTTATCTTGTTTCTGCTTTCATTCTTCCCTTCCCCTCTTCAAAACACTCCAGACAAACACCAGTGTTTGATAAGCTGCATTAGACTCAAGCAGCTTTCATCTATCCATTCAAAGGCTTCTATAGGTTAATCCACTACTTCTAAAACCAACAAGGAAATAATCTCACAAAAATGTGATTCTAATTGTAAATGCTGTCAAAAAGCATCATGTCTCAGCATCCATCCTTCTAAATATTTAAACTGCTTAGCCTAATTACTAGAAAAAAATGAATGCATATCTCCTTGCCATAGCAAAAGAAAAAAAATCTTCCTTTATGCCAAATACATATTTTAACTCTTTTTAGCTGGGTGTAGTCCCAACAAACAGACTTGTTAGTGAGCGTTTGCAAAAAAAAGAAAAAGGGGAGGGAGTCTGGGGGAGGGATAGCATTAGGAGAAATACCTAATGTAAATTATGAGTTGATGGGTGCAGCAAAACCAACATAGGCACATGTATACCTATGTAACAAACCTACACGTTGTGCACATGTACCCTAGAACTTAAATTAAAAAAAAAAAAAGGCCAGGCGCAGTGGCTCACACCTGTAATCCCAGCACTTTGGGAGGCCAAGGCGGGTGGATCACGAGGTCAGGAGATCGAGACCACCCTGGCTAACACGGTGAAACCCCGTCTCTACTAAAAATACAAAAAAATTAGCCAGGCATGGCGGCGTGCACCTGTAGTCCCAGCTGCTGGGGAGGCTGAGGCAGAAGAATGGTGTGAACCCAGGAGGTGGAGCTTGCAGTGAGCCGAGATTGCACCACTACACTCCAGCGTGGGTGACAGAGCAAGACTCCGTCTCAAAAAAAAAAAAAAGAGTAGTTAGGCATCAATTATTTCAAAACCAAACTGTTTTTATGGCAACATGCGATAGTATTTAAACAACCAATCTTAAATAGTTATATGAAAACAATATCTCTGCTATTAAAGATATACAGTATAACTGACACGAAGGAGTTAATTTCCATGAATCACATATTAATATTGATCCCATTGTTCTTACAATAAGACCATTCATTTAGTTTGTGGTTAACCATGCTGATAGGCTCTGAGTCATAAAATTCTTGATAAAATAATGGACCAGATTTTCTCCCCAATTTTGAAAACAATTTTAATCACTTTTAGGAAACTTTTAAAGTAATCTCTTCTAAATTTATTAATTCATTCAATGAATATGCATTCAGTGTCTAGTATATGCTAGGCGCCAAGGATCTAATGAGGAACAAAACTAACAGAGGTTTTATTCTCAGGGATCTTTGTTAATGGTGGAGAAAAGCATTTAATTAAATTACTATCCAAGTGTAATAAATTCAAACTGTGATAAATGCTATGAAGAAAAAGGACAGAGCACCCCCAAAAGCTGAGCATTGCAAAAGTACAGAGAATCCCAAATTCAAAAATCCAAAATGCTCCAAATCTGGAACTTTTTTAGCACTGACATGATGCTCAAAGGAAATACTCATTGGAACATTTCAGCCTTTTGGATTTGGGATGCTCAACCGGCGTAATGCAAATATTACAAAATTTAAAAAAAAATGTGAAATCTGAAACACTTCTCGTTCCAAGCATTTCAGATAAGGAATAATCAACCCAAATTATAAAAGCAAATAACAGAGGTTTGAAGCAATTTAATAAAGACAGAAATAACAATAGGTTAACATTTATTGCCAGTGCTGCATTGAGCACATTACATATTCCAGCTTATTTAGTTCTCAAAACTATTACTCACCCAATTTTCAGTTAAGGAAACTGGACAGGGAAATTAAGCAACTTGCCCAAAGTTTGCAGCTAGTAAGTGGTGATACTGGGATCTGAATCCAGGTAGTCAACTTCCAAGACCCTTATGAGTAAAATTTGAGTTCCCCAAACTTTCTGTAGAAGATACAAATTACAGGTTCTAGGCCAGGCGCAGTGGCTCACACCCGTAATCCCTGCACTTCAGGTGGATCACCTGAGGTCAGGAGTTCGAGACCAACCTGGCCAACGTGATGAAACCCCATCTCTACTAAAAATACAAAAAATTAGCTGGGTGTGGTGGCAGGTGCCTGTAATCCCAGCTACTCAGGAGGCTGAGGCAGGAGAATTGCTTGAACCTGGGAGGTGGAGGTTGCAGTGAGCCGAGATCGCACCACTGCACTCCAGCCTGGGAAACAAGAGTAAAACTCTGTTTCAAAAAAAAAAAAAAAAAAAGTACAGGTTCTACTCCTAAGCAATTCTGCTGCTCAGTATAAAGTGAAATGCATTGGCTTTCTAGCTGGGTAAGAATATGTGTTAAGGCTGGGCACGGTGGCTCACACCTGTAATCCCAGCACTTTGGGAGGCCAAGGAGGGTGGATCACAAGGTCAGGAAATCAAAACCATCCTGACCAACATGGTGAAACCCTGTCTCCACTAAAAACACAAAAATTAGCCGGGCATGGTGGCGTACGCCTGTAGTCCCAGCTACTCAGGAGGCTGAGGCAGAAGAATCGCCTGAACCCGGGAGGCGGAGGTTGCAGTGAGCCGAGATCGTGCCACTGTATTCCAGCCTGGGCAACAGAGCAAGACTCCATCTCAAAAAAAAAAAAAAAAGAATATGTGTTAAATTTCTACATTTCCAAAACAGAAAAACACCTTTAAAACTCTGTGTACTGGAAGTTCAAAACTATGGCTCTCATCTCAAACAAAAGTATGTCTACTTCTAGGAACCTATTAAAGATAGGAAAGTGACCAGCCTGGGAAATAGGGCGAGACCCCGTCTCTACAAAAAAAAGTTTTAAAAATTAGCCCAGTGTGGTGGTGCGAGCCTGCAGTCCCAGCTACTCAGGCAGCTGAGGTGGGAGAATTGCTTGAGCCCAGGAGGTTGAGTCTGCAGTGAGCCACGATCACACCACTGCACTCCAGCCTGGGCAACAGAATGAGACCTTGCCTCAAAAAAATAAAAATAAAAATAAGAAAAAGATAGAAAAGTATGTAAACTCAGTTATACTACCTCAAGCTAAAATTTAGTAGTCAAATATTTTTTAAAAAACAAATCTCTTTTTTAAAAACAGTTTACCTAATAGGAATATCAGTTTTTCCTTTGTTGTTATTTTCCTGGTTCTAAGCCCACAAACATGTTGACCATCAAAAAGCCAAGTACTTAGAGGGAGAGAGTTTAGAGGTAGGGAGACTAACTAGTTAAGAGACTATCAGAACAGCAGAAGAGAGATCTGCTATGGGTTTTAATGATGGCAGAAGTAACAGGAACAAAGAGAGGGCGCACAAAAGAGACACTGTACACCAAACATCATTTGGCTCAGAGGTATTCAGGGGAGACCGAGGAAAGGATCCATATAGTTCTGAGGTTTCTGGCCCGTAAAGGTTGGGGGATACAATGTTGCCTGAATCAGAACATAGGAAGAGAGATCAGATGGTCTGCTGAATAACCATTCCAAACTCTCATTTGATCAGAATGAGAAGACACTGGACATGTTAAGGCAAACTGGGAAACTGTAAAATTGGCCATGGACTAATAACAGAAACAACTTAAAATATATATTCATCTTGATTTAAGTGTTTTTTTTTTAATTTTTGATTTACAGCTGTTCTACAATGATAAGTCTTGATTTTTTCACTAATGGCTCATACGTAAGGCTATCATTAAGATTTACAGAAAGACATCTTTGAGATTCTGTAACAGCAGCCTAAAAAAACAGTGTTTACTGTTTTTCCAATTTTAATGCAATCTCTTTTTTTTTTTTTTTTTTTTTTTGAGATGGAGGCTCACTCTGTTGCCCAGGCCGGAGTGCAGTCGTGCGATCTCAGCTCACTGCAACCTCTGTCTCCCGGGTTCAAGCAATTCTCCTGCTTCAGCCTCCCCAGTAGCTAGAACTACAGGTGGATGCCACCACGGCCAGCTAATTTTTTTTTTTTTTGTATTTTCAGTAGAGACGGGGTTTCACCATGTTGTCCAGGCTGGTCTTGAACTCCTGGCTTCAAGTGATCCACTGCCTTGGCCTCCCAAAGGGCTGGGATTACAGGCGTGAGCCACCGCGCCAAGCCAAGGATATTTTTTTAAAAGACTAAGTGGCAGGGTGTGGTGGCTCACGCCTATAATCCCAACACTTTGGGAGGCTGAGGTGGGCAGATCACCTGAGATCGGGTGGTCGGGACTGGCCTGACCAACAAGGAGAAACCCTGTCTCTACTAAAAACACGAAATCAGCCGGGCGTGGCGGCGCATGCCTGCAATCCCAGCTACTTGGGAGGGTGAGGCAGGAGAATTGCTTGAACCCAGAAGGCGGAGGTTGCAGTAAGCTGAGATCGCACCATTGCTCTCCAGCCTGGGCAACAAGAGTATAACTCCGTCTCAGAAAAAAAAAAAAAAGACTAAGTGAAATCTTGGCCTTAGCTGGTATAAAGAAAACCAGGAATAAAAGCCAGTACAGACCAGCATAATTTATGTGTATATAGGGAGGTGGTACACTGGCATAGCCTTGAAGGTAAGAGTACAGATATTAAAATCCATACATCTGAGTTAGAATCAGTTTTGCATTAATGAGCTGTGTGTCCTGGAGATGTTACTCAATCTCAAGCCTCAGTATCCCTCAGTAAAAGGGGATATTAAAAATACTTTCTAAGCACATTGTAAGAATAACATTAAATTATATATACATATACATATGTGTACCCAGGCACTGCTTGTTACCTAGTAAACTCCTAGCAGTTGTGCAGGCTCGGGAATAGTGATAGAATGCCTTACTATGAATACACTGGTTTTATTTTCAGAAGAATGACTCAAAGAATGTTAAACAAAGGATGGCAGTGATCCTCATATACAATAAAAATAAACTTTAAGGCCTGAATAAAGGCAAAGGTATTCTAAAATTTAATTTTTTTCCGTTATTTTCTACTAAGCCAAACTTAGGTAGCTTTTGCATAAAGGTATATAAACTACAGAGAAACAAAAGTAATTTTTCCATTTTGAATGTGCAGAGATAAATTATTTGAAGGAGATAAAATCCACTACTTCAATGATGAAATAATGGGAGATAAATTAAAAAGAGATAGGTAACTAAGTTCAGATCTCCAGTGGCAGGATTATGTATGGTGATTTTTATTTTATTTTTTACTTTACTTACATTTTTTCCTATAAAAGTATTTAATTAGGAAAATTAGTGTTCTTTTCATAAAGTATATATGCCGCTATGGGGCACAGATTGCAGTGAAAGTATGAATGCATGAATTTTCTACTGTTACTCCACTGCTTGATAAAATCCCTTACTTTTAATTTTTATCTGCCTTTTTAGTTCTTTTAACTTCTCACTCTTTGGGTAAACATCACTTATGATCAATGGATGCTTGATTTTCTTGCTAACCAGTGCCCTAAACCTGGAAATTACAAGAAAAAACTTGAATGAAACCACTGTGCAATTAAAAAAACAAATTATATAATATTTTATATCAAAACTTAGAAACTTTAGAAAAGCATGCAAATATAAAACATATATATCATGATAGTTTTAAATGTTGTTTCCTAGCAAGTATTTGCTTTTTCAATTTCGATTCTTTTAAGTGAGGCATTAAACTGAGTAAATGACTATGTCTTTCACAATGAATGTTAGAGCCTTTTAAGACTTCAGTCTGCAAACTATTTTCAGTATTATCAAAATATTTTGCATTTATTTAAATGGGAAAACACCTCATGTCCTATGCAAATCTCAGCTTACTTCCTTCCCCAGACTTTGTTTCCGCCAGTTAGGTATGATTTTACAAGTCTACAGCCTCCTTGTGAAACCTGACCTCTCTCTTCCCTCCACAGTCAGTGTTAACGTAAACCAAGAGCCCCACAAGAAGTCATTAAAGCTGTGCTGTTAAGAGGCCAGAGCTCTATAAAATAGGCAAGAAACAAGGTCTTGAGAAACATGCGCTGTCCTCAAAAACAACCTTGCAAACACAATAAATGTAAGTGCCTATTTTATTTGCGACTTCCTCCTCTTCACCTGTCTATTTAATCATTTGCTTCTATGATTTATAGTCAGAAAAAAAAACATTAAAAATGCCAAGATGAAAATGTTTTCCAAACTTTTATTTGACTAGAAAGCAACACTTATATGACTCTACACTGGAAATGTATGACTACTAATTTAATAAATATTTAAGTAATACGCTATGCATGCTTCTAAAAGGTTGCAATGAATAAAATGCTTAATACACGATTTTAAAACCAAATAAAAATGATGAATACAGTCTGAAATTACATACCATCTAACAATTTAAAATACGTCCACTACAATTTCCTAATGTAAGAAAAACATCACATTCTTTTTAAAACTGCAGAGAAAATATTATTTAAACATAAAATAATGAGGTCAGAATCCTAACGCAGGGTTTTAAACGGTGGTCCTAACACTGCAGTTCAGCCAGGGGATCCCAAGGCCTCATCGACTGCACCAGTCACTGCTGCCACACCCCCTCCTTGGGGAATCCTAAATGGCAGGGCAACGTGGGCAGAAGCACGTTCCAGAGGCCTCAGTGCTGTTTCCACATCTCTAAGTCACCAGTCAGTAGCTCTGGGAAATCTATAAGTAGCTCATCAAGAACACAGGGAGGGCTGGGCGCAGCGGCTCATGCCTATAATCCCAGCACTTTGAGGGGACGAGACAGGCAGATCACTTGAGCTCAGGAGTTGCCTGGGCAACACAGTGAAACCTTTTTCTACCAAAAATACAAAAAATTAGCCAGGCATGGTGGTTCATACCTGTAGTCTCAGCTACTCTGGAGGCTGAGGCAGGAGGATCACTTAAGCCTGGGAGGCAGAGGTTGCAGTGAGCCGAGATTGCACCATTGCACTCCAACCTTGGTGACAGTGTGAGACCCCATCTCAAAACAAAACACAACACAGGGAGGCCAGACACAGTGGTTCACACCTGTAATCCCTATGCTTTTGGGGGCCAAGGTGGGAAGTTCATTTGAGGAGTTTGAGACCAGCCTGGGGAACACAGGGAGATCCCATTTCTACAAAAAAAATGAGTTGGGTGTGGTGGCCTGTGTCTGTGGTCCTAGCTATTTGGGAGGCTGAGGTAAGAGGATCACTTGAGCCTGGGAGGTAGAAGCTGCAGTGAGCCATTATCATGCCACTGCACTCCAGCCTGGATGAGAAGAGATCCTGTTTCTTAAAAAAAGAACACGGGGAAATTTCTAACACAACTCTCAAGCATCCACAATTTCAGAGTTCAGTATTGAGTTTGATATATATTAACGTAAAGCTTATTTTTATGACACTGGTCTTTCAAATCAACCATGCGTTTGTATACTTTAGGCTTTACTAATCAAAACACAGTGGTAACTTCTTGCCTTATCAAGTCTGATTCACTCTGAGGCTTCCTACTTGAAGACTGACATGCAACTGAACATTAAGTAAAACTAAGAGATCTAGTCCCAACATTTCATGCTATCAATAGGTGAAAGTTAACCAAAGAACAGGTTTCAAACAGAAGGAAAACTTATATCCTTAAGACTAGGCAAGAAGCTATTTGTTATCTTAAATTATTTAACAGGAAAAAATCATCTGCTTAATAAAAATAATGTAACAAGACAAATGTGATCACTACATCTTGGGTGTCAACTCCTCTGTACAACTGTACTAAATATACAACAGCCATTCTATAAGTGGTTTATTACCTAATTTCTAGTGAACATGTTATCCTGCTTGAATCTGACAACTCTGACAACCAGGTGCCATGAAATACATTTTGCTTTTGAAAGAAAATATTTAGATCAAAATACGTGACTAAGTAAATATAAATAAAACAAAGGCTAGAGACTTTGTAACAAAGTTGGGAACCAGGGACTCTAAGAAATGTGCCCTACATGCAAAGTTTCTACAGACTATTTTCCAGTATATTCCTATAGTGCATTCATATTTTAAAACGCACCTTTAATAATACCTGAGAATTTGTTGCTTCTTTAATATTTCATCCGCTTTGCTCTCTGCCAAATGCTAGACCTGGGACTCCCCATGTTCAATTTATTTGGCCAGAAAGAGGGTAACACAAAACTGTTCAAGTTCCTCCTGACCACTGGGCCACTCACTGCTTTTCAGGAACTCTCTTATTAATCTCATTAGTAACTGGTTTTAACCATTCCCTACAATTATTCAGGTCCCCAATCACTTTTACCAGAGATTGTAAATTCCTTGAGTTCAGAGAACATGTCTTACTTGTCTGTGTTGCTAACAGCCAGAACAGTGCCCTGCATACAACAGGCACTCGATAAAGGTTTACTTGAATGAACTCAACAAACCACATCACCACCTCCCTCCTACTCACATTAGAAAACTTTGCCTCTTATCTCCCTCAGAAGAGTAACAGAAGGGATTTTGGCTGTTATAACTCTACCGTACAGCCCTAAGCAAATTTCTTTTTCTGTTTGTTTGTTTGTTTGAGATGGAGTCTTGCACTATCGCCAGGCTGGAGTGCAGTGGTGCAACCTGTGTCTGGGTTCAAGCGATTCTCATGCCTCAGCCTCCCAAGTAGCTGGGATTACAGGCGCACTACACCACACCCAGCCACTTTGTATTTTTAGTAGACACAGCGTTTCACCATGTTGGCCAAGCTGGTCTCGAACTCCTGACCTCAGGTGATCTGCTCACCTCGGCCTCCCAAAGTACAGGGATTACAGGCGTGAGCCACCGCGCCCAGCCTCAAATTTCTTACTTTTCCTGAACATGTTTTGTTCTGTAAAGTAAGGGACTTAAAAGGGTTATTATGGATAACGTAAGGTAATGCATGTAAAGTACTTAATATATTTCCTGTATTATTAAAGCACTCAGTAAATTTTAGCTATTTCTATTATCTTGCTGGACATAAACACCATTGATTCTTCTCCTTACCACCTCAAAATCTCTCCCTATTCACCTAGCTTCTCTTCCTTCACTTCTGGTTCTGAGGAATCAGTAACCATTCCAACTTGCACCAAGGTTAACCTTCTCCTGACGCTCTTAATCCCATCCCTCCTACCAGCTCTGCGCCCTTATTCCATTTATTATTCCCATTCTTTTGCATCACTCTCTCATTACTAGTTTCCTCATCAGTGCTTGAAAACATAAACTTATCTTCCCTGTCCTAAAAAGTAGCATCTAGATCTCAGGCCAAGCTAATATCCAATCAGGGTCTCTTCTGTCACTTTAGTTTTCCTTGAATGACTCCACCCACTCCATTCTTAGACAGGGTCTCTCTCTGTCACCCAGGCTGGAGTGCAGTGGTGTGATCTTGGCTCACTGTAGCCTCAACTTCCCGGGCTACAGCAATCCTCCCATCTTAGCCTTCCCAGTAGCTGGGACTACAGACACACACCACCACACCTGGCTAATTTTTGTGTTTGTGATAGAGTCAGGGTTTCACCATGTTGCCCAGGCTGGTCTCCAACTTGTGAGATCATGCAATCCTCCTGCCTCAGCCTCCCAAAGTGCTGGGATTACAGGCATGAGCTGCCACGCTCAGCCCCATTCATTACTTCTTCTGGGGTAGGGCAGGATGGAGAGGAGAGAGGAAGAGCCACAGGTGTATTTATATGCAGGATTCAGGAGGCTCCTGGGAATGGATTTTACCTTTAGAGAAGAAATGATGCTCATAAGTTTCATTTAAAAACAATGTGGCAGTTTAGGTGTGGTATAGTGTCAGAATTTGTGACTGCCTGACTCTCAAATTAGGGCAGTCATCAGGACTCGTGAATCATGCTCATAGAAAAAAAGGAGCAGTACAGAGAGGGATGGGGAGAGGGGAGAGAGTGCGGGGGTGGGGGAGATTCATTTGGGCATTGGCTGAAACTTAGTTCTGCTCTTCCCCTTCTTCTCATAACTGCGCATGACTAGTCTAGAAAACAAAACAAAACAAAACAAATGGTAGCGCTCTTCTCAGCAACTGCTGCCATTCCTTCCAGTTCTAAAGAGCCTTCCCAGAATCACAGTTCAGTGTACCCCAATCCACCTTCTAACTTTATATTATAGGATTTTTGGAGCTAATAGATATTATTTCTCTAGTTACAGCCATTGTAGCCATTTAAAAAATGACCCAACTTGGATGATCTTAAAACTCAATGATATGTTCAAATTATTCATAAAATAATTTTCAATGGCAAGTTTTCTAAAGCTTGGGCTTAACTGTTAAACTGTTAACTGTTAATGGCTTTTTTTTGGTATTTTCCCCCACCTTTCCACCTTCTGGCACCCCTTCCAATGAATACTCAACAAGAGAACAAGTTTCATGAAGTTAGTATCTGTCTCCTAAAGCCCAAGAGTAAGAAATTAGCAGTGATTTCAATGAACCTAAAAGTCATAGTGCTTTATACATAACTGCTTATCATTAAATGTCCACCAAAATAAAACTAACTCACAATTGGCTATGATGGCAATTTGCTTAATGGGAAATGAAGATTTAGAATAAGACAATGAATAACTTAAAATCAGTCCAAATTCTCTTATATTATTTTCAGCATCATTATTTTGTACATTTCAGTTCTAGCACATAAGGAGGTAATGACATATTTATATCTGTACATAAATATATGTATCATAAAGCACAGAAATGTGTTGGGACTTAGAGACTAGATTAGCCAGCAGACACAATGCCTATGACAAAGGATAAGGACAGCTGTATTTTCATTGGTCTAAGGGGCCTTGGACAAATCTAGAGCAGAGAACCCTTCATCCAGGAACTAGCATGATTATATTAAGTATTCACCAGATATAAAAAGGCTGGACACAAAATATACGAAAACAAGAAGTGGTAGAAAATTAAAGACAGGCAATTTTGCCCAGGCCAGCCCTGTCCTTACAGGCATAATAAAAAGCTACTCTAAAGTTTTTATGAAAAGGCAAAGGACCTAGAATAGCCAAAACAATTTTGAAAAAGATGAAACAAAATTGAAGGGCTCACACTGTCTGATTTCAAGAATTAAAATGATTTCAAAAATTACTGATAAAGGAAGTATGATAATGGCAAAAGGTTAGACATATACTCTCTGTATATGTCTGTATATGTACAGAAGAGTACAGAAATTAACCAATACAACTATGTCAACTGATTTTTATAAAATTGCAAAAGGAATTCAATAGAGAAGGGATAGTCTGTTCAACAAACTGTACTTGAACAAGCAAACATCCATATTTGAAAAAATTCATCTTTAAATAATTAATCTTGACTTATACTTTATACCTTACGCAAAAAAATTAATTAAATTGGGTCAAAGACCTAAATGTGAAATGTAAAAGTGTAAAACATTTAGAAGAAAACAGAAAAATCTTTGTGTCCTGGGGTTAGGCAAACAGTTTTTATATATGACTTATAAAAAGCACAATCCATAAAAGATTGATAAACTGGACTTCATCAAAATTAAGGAAAAAATAACCTTCTGGCTGGCAACGGTGGCTCATGCCTGTAATCTCAGCACTTCGGGAGGCAGAGGTGGGAGGATCACTTGAACCTAAGAGTTGGAGACCAGCCTGGCCAACACAGGGAGACCCCATCTCAACAAAAAATAAACAACTAGCTGGGTGTGGCAGTGTGTGCCTGCGCTCCCAGATACTTGGGAGGCCGGAGTAGGAGGATCACTGGAGCCTGGGAGGTCGAGGCTGTACTGAGCCTGGATCGCACCACTGCTATCCAGCCTAGGCAACGGAGACTCTGTCTCTAAAAATAAATAAAATAAACCCCTCCTCTTGGAAAAATACTGTTAAGAGAATGAAAGAACAGACTCTCCCACAGACTTGGAGAGAAAATTTTAAAATCACATACTGACAAAAGTTCTGTATCCAGAATGTATACACAACGCTCAAAACTTAATAATTAGAAAACGATTCAATAAAAAGTGGGCAAATGAGTTGAACAGATACTTTAACAAGGAAAACACATGAATGGCAACTCAACACAAAAGTATATCCTACCTCATACTTATAGAGAAATGCAAATTAAAACCACAATGAGATGTCACTACACACCTGTTAGAATGACTCAAATCCAAAACACTGCCAATACCAAGTTCTGGTGAGGATATGGAGTACCTGGAACTCTGATACATTGTTGGTGGGATGCAAACTGGTACTATCACTTTGGAAAATAACTTGGCAGTTTTTCATAAACACATACTTGCTATAAGACTCTGCATTCTTGGCCGGGCGCGGTGGCTCACGCCTGTAATCCCAGCACTTTGGGAGGCCGAAGCGGGTGGATCATGAGGTCAGGAATTCAAGACCAGCCAGGCCAAGATGGTAAAACTCCCTCTCTACTAAAATACAAAAATTAGCTGGGCATGGTGGCAGGCGACTGTAATCCCAACTACTTGGGAGGCTGAGACAGGAGAATTGCTTGAACCCGGGAGGCAGAGGTTGCAGTGAGCCGAGATCACGCCACTGCACCCCAGCCTGGATGACAGAGTGAGACTCCATCTCAAAAACAAAACAAAACAAAACAAAACCCTGCATTCTCATCTCTAAATATTTACTCAATAGAAATAAAAACTTACATTCACACAAAAGTCTGTATGAGACAGTTTAGGAAAGCTTTATTCATAATCATCCAAAACTGGAAACAACCTAATTGTCCTTCAAAGGTAGTGAATGAATAAACTGTGTTAAATTCATACAGTGAAGTACTACTCAGCAACAAAAAGCAGCAAACTACTGATAAAACAAAATATGTAAGTCTTAACAATATAGATCAATAAATCTCAAATGCATTATGCTGAGTAAAAGAAGCAAGACACAGAAGGTTACATAATATATAATTCTACTATTTATATGGTATTCCAGAAAATGCAAAATATATGGGCTGCTAGGAGTCAGGGGAGAGAGAGGGTTATGACTATATAGTACAGCCTGAGAGACCGTTTTGGGATGATGAAACTATTCTGTATCCTGATTGTAGTGATGGTTACACAACTCTACACATGTGTTAAAATTCATAGAACTATAGATTTGAAAGACAGAATTTACTATATGTAAACTTTAAAAATAAATTTCAAGAAGGCTATACTTCTTTAAAAAACAGAAAAGATTCTATTTAATTTTCTAGCCAGTGTTAAAGAAGAAAACTTATAAATTAAGCAGGAAGACAGCACACAGAGATTTAAAAAGCTGACTCCTAGAGACTATCTTCACCTCTTCTATAAAGTTAGTCCTGATTTTCCCAAGTAGAACTAGAGACCCCTTTAATATTCCCAGGAGCTTAGGATATCTTGTTTGCTTCACTGTTTGTTTCATCAGTTTTACTTTCTGCTCTCATCCACAGAATAGAGTCTTTTATCTTTTTATTTCTGGCACAGCACCACAGATAGAAAAGGCAGTCAATAGACATCTGATAAACACACAAATAAAATTTGTCCTAGAGTATGTATGGATTCAATTCAGTCATCACCTCCTTCATCTAGAGCATATAGTATAATGTGTACATAGTAATAATCTGAAGAACCATAAGATGCTGAAACTAAGTTTAAATTACTTTATAACACTATACATGAAAAGTGCACACAAAAATATTTATCCTAATAACTAGAAATGGATCTATGTTCCAGTTCTAACTATTAGAGGAACAGGAGGAGCCAGAAACCTAGAGCCCTCCTATTCCTATTCTTCTACCTATGGAAATGGTCAAAGAGCAGTCACACCTCTGCTGAGAAGCTAGGAGAGTTGGTATCAGTAAGCATTACACACACATGTGCAAACACACACACACACACAACCTGAAAAGCCCAGCCTAACCCTCTGCCTCTTGATGCCAGTGGCACACACAGGATTGCAATTCGGGGACAGACCTTTTACAGGCTGCTGATCCAGCATATCCTGCAGACACATGTCAGTTCCGGGGTCCCCTGACATTCTAAACCTATCTTGGGAATTCTCATAATATTCAACATAGCACAGAATCCACTAGGCCAGACTTGAAATTATTCAGAATTTGGTCCTAGAACCAGTTGGTCTGTTCCTAGGAATCTCAAGTGAGAAATGGATTTTCTAGAGTGGCTGCAGGTTCTTGGAATTCATATGTGACCAAGACTGCTGAACATTTGAGTACTTCTTCAGGATTAAACTACAAAAATACAAATATTTTTACCACTATTGAGTGCTAAAATAAAAGCATACTCTTTTGTACATGCATCTATGCCACACTGATATTTCTACTCTTCTAAAGCAGAGGAGAAAATAGTTACAGTAAATGATTTACAATATTGAATTCACAATCACTTCTAATGTCCTCATCTGCGGCTGAAGTATAGGGCTCTTCAGCTACCCCTTGGCTCATGTTCTGCTGGACTGATGGAGCCCACCCTAACGAGATCAGAAGTAACTAGGGCTTGACAGGCAACTAGGGTGGGTTCCCAGGACCAGATTATGAAGAACACCAGAAGTAGATGTAGAAATGTGATAAGAGGAAGAGTCTGTGTTGGTAGGAATTTAAAGAAGAGGTTAAAAACAAGGAAAATCATACACCTCAGCAAAATAAATAGGAACAGGTTGTCAATAAGAAAAGTCCAGGGAAGTAAGTTTTCGATAATCATTAAATTGTCAAAAAATTACCACCAACATTCTTTGTCTTCATCTCTAGAGCTGATAAAATGAAGATAAATCACTATTCACTTTGCCTATTACATCTTTCTCAACTTCTCAATTTAAACTTGACTTAAATTTTTAAAAACTATTCTGTCTCCATATGGCACTCTCATAATCTAGACAGACTTGTGTTAGTTTAGGAGTAAAATCTGATCTCACTTTGAAAGACATCCCCAACTGGGACTTTCTTCTTCTCAAATTATCTGTCTTCCCAGCAACAGTGTGTGGTCACAGAAGTGTATGCGACATGCTAATGCATTTATCAAGTGATTATTCTTGGCCCCTCTGCTGGCAAAAACAAGCAGGAAATGGTACAGAAAAAACATGCATAGTAAGCCACATTAACCAGCTTCAAAGCTGTTCAACTTGTGTGGCTCCTATGAATTCAAGGGGGAAAAAAAAGTGTCACTGCTTTGTCTTTACCAAGACCACTTTCCCTTCAGCCTTTTGCCAAGTGATTGCCTTATATTGCCTAATCCAAGAGATGCCTTTCTTATGCCTTGTTGTCATTCCATAAAGAATTAGTTCTGCTTAATAGCTCAACTGTGCAGGAAGAACATTCCATGCAATTTTACACTTTGCATCGGTCACAGAAAGAGAATCAATAAAGCATTAAGAAGAGTGAGGTTTTTGTGACAAAATTCATGTCACTTAGCAACTTCATCTGTGCAGAAATTTATAATGAGAAAAATCACCAAATCCATCAAGATCACAGCAGAAATATTTCTACTAGGATTACTTTTGCTTTACAAATGGTTATTTCAAGGACATTTAAAACCAATTCAAGAGATACAGTATATTAAATTATTTGTTGATAAACATTATAGCATTGTTCTTCATCGTTTTATATATATATTGCTTTATCAAATCATAAAATCCTTGGTTCTCCTTTCTCTTCCACATAATAACCACTCAGTGGTATTTAGTACTCCTTTCTCTTTCACATAATAACCACTCAGTATTTACTAAATGCCTGTTATGCCACACAATTCATTAAAATTTATACAATCATAATTTATAACATCAATTAGTCTACTTATGACATTCAGTCACAAACTGGGAATCAATCACTACGAAATGCCTCTCTCTTTCATCTTCTCATAGCTGTTAAATTAAAAAGCAAGCCAATTTAATTGATAACAGGATATATATAGACAGACAGATAGATATCAGATGACCAGTTAAAGTGAATTCATAAAGTAGACATAGACTTCTGAACTACTTGTTCACAACATAATGATGTCTTTTAATATTGTAACTTTTTTAAAATTAGGCTTGACAACACAGCCCTAAAGAAGAGAAGAGAGAATTAACCTACTATATATCATATGTACATTAACTGGTTTAATACTCTGAAAAACCTTAGCAGGTAAATAATATTACTTTTATTTATAATTAGGGAAATATGTTCCATTTGCTCAGGGCCACAGAATTAGTAAATAATGGAGCTGGAAGTCAAATGGTGCTTTAAAAAACTTAGCTTCAAGCTGCAGCCCTAGAGACAAAACATCCACTCAAGGAGTCCATCATAGCACCTCACAGTACTAATGCTAATCTAGGCCTTGTGAGTCTATTCTCCCAGTAGGACACATACATTCATGCAAAAAGAACAGGTAATGTCCTTTTCTCCAATTTTCTCTGCTTTAAACTTTCCTAGAAGTAGCAGCAAAAATATTTCCCTGACCTTCCACTTGATTGAATATTACATCACTCCCAAAATTTGTAGTAAGGGCTTTAGGATCTCCTGTCAACTATTTTGTCTTCCCCTTTCTACTTATTCTTTTTGTGAGAGAGGGTCTCGCTCTGTCGCTGGAGTGCAGTGGCGCGATCTCAGCTCACTACAGCTTCCACTTCCCAGGTTCAAGCGATTCTCCTGCCTCAGCCTCCTGAGTAGCTGCGATTACAGGTGACCCCACCACACCCAGCTAATTTTTGTATTTTTTTTAGTAGAGTTGGGGTTTCACCATGTTGCACTCCTGACCTCAAGTGATCCTCCCGCTTCAGCCTCCCAAAGTGCTGGGATTACAGGCATAAGCCACTGTGCTCAGTCTCCTACCTATTTCTGATCAACATCAATTTAATTGTACTGTTGTTTATCCAACATTCCACACCACTCTCCAATATGGACTTCATTATTTAGCCCAAATAAATCTACTTGCTATTCTTTTTTTTTTTTTTTTTCTGAGAAGGAGTCTCACTCTGTCACCAGTGCAGTGGCACGGTCTTGGCTCACTGCAACCTCCACCTCCTGGGTTCAAGCGATTCCCCTGCCTCAGCCTCCCGAGTAGCTGGGATTACATGCGCATGCCACCATGCCCAGCTAATTTTTTTTTTTTTTTTTTTGTATTTTTAGTAGAGACGGGATTTCACCATGTTAGCCAGGCTGGTCTCAATCTCCTGACCTCGTCATCTGCCCACTTTGGCCTCCCAAAGTGTTGGGATTACAGGCGTGAGCCACTGCACCCGACCTCTACTTACTATTCTTTACAAAAACACTTTGAAGGAAAGAATACTACACTGTTAAGTCTCTCCATAAAAGTAGAACCCACAGGATGCTACAACAACTACTGGCCATCAAAACAAAACTGAGAGTTGGGGATGGCATCAAGAAGACAGTGACACGTGATAAAAGGTGGAAGGATATCAAGGGATTATCAAGAGTAGTCCAGGCAGAAGGTGGAACATGGGTAAAGGCACAGAGCAATAAGAATACACAACACATGCAGAGAACTGGAACTCCATGTGGTGGGAATTTGGGGTATGGGCAGAAATCAGAGGGTGGCCGGGCACAGTGGCTCATGACTAACACTTTGGGAGGCAGAGGTGGGAGTATCATTCAAGGCCAGGAGTTTGAGACCTGCCTGGGCAACAGAGTGAGACCTTGTCTCTACCAAAAAAAAAAAAAAAAAAAAAAAAGTTGTTTTAATTAGTTGTACATGGTGGCTCGTATCTGTATTCCTAGCTACTTAGGAAGTTGAGGTGTAAGGATGACTTGAGCCCAGGAGTTCGACGTTACAGTGAGCCATGCACATGCCACTGCACTCCAGCATGGGTGATAGAGTGAAAACCTTGTCTCTTAAAAAAGAGAGAGAGGAGAGGGAGAGCGAGGCAGGGTAGAGACACAGAGAGACAGGGTGACAAAAGATGCAACTGCAGGGCAGAGATGATGCAGAGCTTTGCCTACTTACATTTTAATGCTTTGCTACTCTAAGTGCCATCCTTGGACCAATCTTAGAACTTGTTTGAAATGCAGACTATCAGGCCCCAGCCCAGAACTACCAAATGCCAATCAGCATTTTTAAAAGACGCCCAGGTGACTTGCATGGACTTTACTTTAAAATTTGAGAAGCACTACTCTAAGTATTTGGGTAGTATTCCGAAGGCAGTGGGGAGCCATTGAAATATTTTAAGTAAAAGATATACATGATCAGAGTTAAGGGTGATGTGGAATATCAAACCAAATGTGAGTTTTTTAATGATTCACTTGCTATTGAATTCTTATGATTGAGAATTGTGTTTTACAGAAGTACTTCCCTGCCTATACAAAGGCTCCTAAGGTTAAGAACATTTAAGGTTATCTCAAACACCAAGAATGTACCTTCTATAGGACAAAATCATGTCTAAACTATATCCAACTAGTGATTTAAATAAAATTTATAAAATCAGATTCCCTAAAGGGTTTCAACAACCCAAAGCTGCTGCATAAATGGCTTACTCTTATGACATACTCTATGCCTGTTAAAGGTCTTTGAATTGCTTCAGTAGGAAATAGGCTATATTAGCTGCACACAAACTATTTATTAAATGCGGAATGCATACTTCCTTTTAGAAATTTTTACCAAATTATATGCAACCTTTCACTCAAAAGAATAAAAGAAGAGAATTCTGGACAACAGCCATATAGAAATCCTCCATAATGCGATCAATAAGCCAAATCAAAACAATGCATAGTTTATAGGAGCAGGGCAAAAGAAACTTGCAGCTCATATTTCATCGGCTGTCAAGCGTCACATTCATTCAAGCACAGAGAGGTTAACTGATAGAATCTGCTCTTTAATGCCTGTTTTTGGTAGTGGAGAGCCAAACAATCTTACTTTTCCTTTGATGGTTTATAACAAATGTCACAGAAAAGATGAATAAAACTGCATTCAGGACCAACTGTAAAGCTAGATTTCCCAACTTTGTGCAGAGTTCTATTCACCACCTTATGCAAATTTTCCACATGGCTTAATAGAGACCCTGAGTTTCTTTCAAGGAAATGATCACCAGTGGGATCTGTTAATTTGAAAAATATTTGGAAATACACCAATGCTCAGAAGCCACAAAGGCAATGTTTTTCAACCGTCTCTTCTGTGATGGACACTCCTTTACATGTTTGAAGTCTGATTTCCCACAATCAGCATTTGCTGACAGACAGGACAGTCTGTGCACGCCTGTGGAAAGGAGGAGTAAGCTGGTAAAAAAAAAAAAAAAAAAAAAAAAAAAAACAGAGGCAGAAGAGTTAGTGAGAAAGGCGGGAAAGAGAAAAAAATGGAATGGAACAGATAAAGGGAAAAACATCACAAGAAGAAATGAAGCAAGTGAAAACAAACAAGACAACAGATCAGGAATGAATGGTGCAAATAAAGTGAAACCAGGCCAGGCGCAGTGGCTCATGCCTGTAATCCCAGCACTTTGGGAAGCCTAGGCGGGTGGATCATGAGGTCAGGAGTTCGAGACCAGCCTGGCCAAGATGGTGAAACCCCATCTCTACTAAAAAATACAAAAATTAGCCGGGTGCAGTGGCAGGCACCTGTAATCCCAGCTGCTCAGGAGGCTGAGGCAGGAGAATCGCTTGAACCCGGGAGGCAGAGTCTGCAGCAAGCCGAGATCACACCACTGCACTCTAGCCTGGGCGACAGAGCAAGACTCCGTCTCAAAAATAAATAAAGTGAAACCAAACTGAATAACAAAGGAACAAATCACTGCTGTACTAATCATTGCTAACTGTTAAGACAATTAGCTTCTAGTACATTTTAATTTGGTGACAGAGTAGTGAAGCTGACTATACTACTAAACAGGCTTAGCCAGGGTTATTTCAAAGTGATTCCTACTGAGGCTGTGATATACTTTTTTTTAAGTCCTTAGTTATCTGGGAAAACAAATACTTAATAGAATTAGAGAGGTTTTTGAGGCCGGGTGCAGTGACTCATGCCTGTAATCCCAGCACTTTGGGAGTCCGAGGCAGGCAGATTAGGTGAGGTCAGGAGTTCAAGGCCAGCCTGGTCAACATGGTGAAAAGCCGTCTCTATTAAAAATACAAAACATTAGCTTGGTGTGGTGGTGCGTGCATGTAGTCCCGGCTATTAGGGAGGCTGAGGCAGGAGAATCACTTGAACCCAGGAGGCGGAGGTTGCGGTGAGCCAAAATTGCGCCACTGCACTCCAGCCTGGGCGACAGGGTGGGACTCTGTCTCAAAAAAAAAAAAAAAAAAAAAAAAAAAAAGAATTACAGACGTTTTTAAAGCCCTATGGGACCCTTTAGATAGTTTAATTTCTTTATGGCCGTAATTATGAGTGAAAGGACATGGACATGATAATGACCCACTAGTACTTTTGGGAGACCCATAACAAAAAGAAAGTGCTGACAAGTTTTTTTAAAAAAAGTTTATATATATATTATATATAAAATATATATAAAATATACAATATATATATATAGAGAGAGAGAGCGCGTGAGAGAGTGTGTTCAATCCATTTAATGGGATTGCAACTACTTTGGAAACAGTTTGGCAGTTTCCTAAAAAGTTAAATAGTTAAATATATATTTATTATCCAAACCAGGCATTTCAACTCTTAGGTATCTACCCAAGTGAAATTAGTTCATAGTTTACACAATGACTTATACATGAATATTCCTAACAGGTTTATGTGTAATGGCCTCAAACTGTTTGGAAACAGCCCTAATGTAAATTAACAAGTGAGTGAATAAACAATCAGTGGTATATCCATTCAATGGAATGCTACTTAACAACCAAAAATGAACCAACATGAATGAATCTCAAAACATTTATGCTGAATGAGAGAATCTGTACAAACAAACGAGTACATATTATTTGAACATTCTAAAAAGGCAAACTAATCTATAGTGACAGAAAGCAGATCAGTGGTTGCCTGGCGATGGGGAGGAGGGAGGGACTCCAAAAACCATTAAGAAACTTTCGGGAGAGATGAGTATGTTCTCATTGTGGTGATGGTTTCATTGGTACACATATAGGTCAAATTCAACAAAGTGTGCACTTCAAATATGTGCAGTTTATTGTGCATCAATTATGCCTCAATAACATTTTTTAAATCTGAAAAAAAACCCGGCATATGTGGGCATATATGTGTTTGTAAATGCACAGAAAAAAGCCCCCGAAGAATATACACAACCATTAACAATGACTACAGGAACTAAGCACTTAATATTTTCTCTATTACTGCAATATTTATGGCAACTATTTTACTTCTATAATTTCAAAAATAAAAATAAAAATCAGTTAATTTCAAAAGCCTTTAAAAGTTCCAGAAAGCCCTATTGAAAATCACAAATATTTTCATCAGTTTCTTCATCCTCAAATATTAAAATACTTCATTTTTACATAAATCTACTTAATTACAGCAATGTTGTTCTACATTTTTCATTATACACATACAATTTATTGGCTACTATGTGAATTAAATAGGACTATTTGCAAACTGTTATTTGTAGCACTTTCTTCCCCCCAGGGAAAAGTGTTCTCTTAATCCCAAACCACTAAATTACTCACATTCAGTTTATGGCTTTCTCTTAAATGCCTGAAAGATGTGGATCTGGAGTTGTTTTTTAAAGCCTCATTTTCTGAAATTTTAGGCTGTGAGTACATTATAATATCCCAGAATCTAATGTTTTCTTGGTCTAGGATATTCACTACAGGAATGTTCATATACTTTTGTCTTTAAGTCATTCTTCTATTTTTGATACCTCTAAAAGCCTTCTCTATAAACTAAACAGTTATGTTTCTTTTATTGCATTCACTTGATTCCTGATCAACTTATATAGAATATAATTAAAATTATCAGTAAAAAATACACAAACTCCCCAAATTTTAACCAAGACATGGTGAGAGATAAAAGGAAAAGTGAAATCTTGTACCTGCCCCGAGACGACTTGCCTCTCTTCCTCTAAAAGGCTTTATAGCAGATGTGGTTTTTTGATTTTTTTTGTTTTTTTGAGACAGAGTTTTGCTCTTGTCGCCCGGGCTGGAGTACAATGGCATGATCTCAGCTCACTGCAAACTCCACCTCCTGGGTTCCAGTGATTCTCCTGCCTCAGCTTCACGAGTAGCTGGGATTACAGGCGCCTGCCACCACACCCAGCTAATTTTTGTATTTTTTTTTTTTTTTTTTTTAGCAGAGATGAGGTTTCACCATGTTAGTCAGGCTGGTCTCGAACTCCTGACCTCAAGTGATCCACCTGCTTTGGCCTCCCAAACTGTTGAGATTACAGGCGTGAGCCACTGCGTCCGGCCTAAAGGATTTAATCTTATTTATCCTTTCCTATTCCTCTGTAACCTTGATTTAGTAATTGTAACTTCTGTCTTCCAAATCTTATCACTGGGTACCACAGCTTACAAATATGTTCTTCTCCATCTTACACAGCTGATCCTTGACCTTGCCTCTGTCTCAAGCTGCTGTCCTCAAGGGTAGAGATCATTGGAAAACCAATGTAATTTTGCAGTTTCTCCCCATTTCTGGAATCTGGGCAGACCTTGACCTTGCCAGCAGAATGAGATGGAAGATCATGCTAATTCCATACCAGGTCCTTGAGAAGCGCTGTTTGATGCCACCCACTCTCCTGGAACTTGCCAAAGACATGTGAACAAACTCAGGACAGCCTGCTGGATGGGGAAAGACATGGTCCAATCTTTCCTTTCACCCCAACCAACAACCAACTATGTGACTGAGATCATCCAGCCAACATTCTCCTTCACCAGCAAGCCTATCAGCTGATTGTATACACACGAGTAAGTGCAACTGTGATCAGCCAATCCTGGCCCTTATGAGCAGAACCACCCATCTGATCCACAAGCTTGTAGACAATAATATATACTTACAGTTTTAGGCCACCCTGTTTAGAAATAATTTGTTATGCAGTGGTAGCTAACTAACACAATCTCTCTTCTGTTCTCAGGATATTGCCCCAATTTTAAAAAATTGCTCAATGAATGTGGATGTAAATAAAAAAAAGTTATACAAGTAGATGACAACCCTCAGGTGACTGTTACACAAGTGAGGTTCCCAGAAGGAAACAATCTAGGAAGGAACTGAAATGGTTAAGCAGAAGCCAAATGATTCTGGAGCTAGGGCTTGAATTGGGTCAAATTAAAATGAAGCAATGAAGGCATCCCCAGGCCTCAAAGTAACCTCTTCAATCACAGAACTGCATCCTAGCCTTTTAAATAAAGTGAATAAGCTCACATAGAATCTTTTCTTCCTACACTGATAAGTCTTTGACATAAGAATGTGAACTCTAGAGGGTTAATGAATCAATTGCCAGCACTTTGGTCAAGATGGTGAAATGAAATGGTTGGTCAGAGTTCACTGACCACTGGTCAAAGACAGACAAAGACCCCTGTCTCAAATAATAGCTTTAGTCCGTGGACAGAGGGGCTTGTTTTCTGTGCCAGCAAAGGTTTTCCAGAAAGCTGTTTCGCCTATGTGTTTCAACCAAACCCACAAATCTCAGGTGGATTTGATTTCTTTGGGTATTACTATAGCAAACTGAAAAGCAGCTGATTCAGTCCCTAATTTTTCATCCAATTTGATCACTAAGACAACCAAAATAATGGTGCATGATCTGGTTATTATAATTGTGCTGCCTCCCAAATTGAATTAACCATGTGGTAATCTGATTGATAACTCAAAGGCCATGATGAATCAACTTAAAACAATTTAGTGCCAAGTACAGATATAGCTCTAATTTTTCAACATATGCCCAGGAAAATGTTATTTCAGATTATTACTATCCTTTTTGATCCACAACTTCATGCAAATTCGTTATTTTCAAGATTTGGGAGAAAACTAGTAAAAAGCCAGTTAAGATAAAATTTAAAGCTGTCAAATAACTCAAGCAAACAAAAAAAATTACAATGTACCAGATATTTAATTTCAGAAGGCCACTAACAGCACATTTTATGTCTGACAAAATAGGAAAATGTATTTTAGACCACTCATTTAAAAATTGTTTAACCAATTTCAAACATGCAGAAGAATGAGTAGTATAACACTTTATCAAATAATAAATAGCACTTCGCAATATTTGTTCCAGAATTTTCAAAAAAGAATATAAAACACTATAGAGATTTGGTTAAAATCCCTTGTATACCTCTCTCTGATCTGATCTTCTTTCCCTCTCCAGAAACAACCACTATTTTCAACTTGGTGTTTATAATTATAAGAACTATTTTGTACTTTTAGTAATACCTATGTATTCACAAACAAAATACTGTTCTGCATAGTTTCTATCTATATACAAATGGTATCATAGTCTATTTGCTCTGTAAAATGCTCAACACTTTTTACCACTTATCCACACTATATATAAATCTAGTTAATCATTTTAATTAATTTAACTATATGTAGCACCCCACGATTTATTAGCCATTTTCTTACTGAGAGACATGTAAGTTGTTTCCAACTTCCCTTTATTGCAAAAGATGCTTCAAGGAGCATTCTTATATGCATCTGCTTATGTGCATGGGCAAGAGTTTTCCTATGCTATATGCCTAGACATGAAAAGGTTACATATATTTTCAATTTTTCCCGATATTGCCAAATTACTCTCTAAAATAGTTCCACCAGTTTAAATTTCCATCAGCTTTCTTTGCCATCATTTGGAAATCACAGGTGTTAAAATTTTTGTCAATTTACTGGATGTAAAAATAGTATCTTCTTTAAAAATTTCATTTCCCTGATTACAAGTGAACTAAGCATAATTTCATGTTTATAAGCTTTTTATGTTTTCCCTACTTTGAATTGCTATTTTTTTACTAGGATGTTTGCTTCTTTTTCATTGATTTGTATGAGTTCTTTCATCTTTTGGTTACTAATCCTTTGTCATTTAGATTCGCTGCATGTCTATTACCCCAGCTTGTCTTGTTGCTACATTACTGGTTTACACTGTCTTTCTGAAATTCAGAAGTTTAAAAATTTGTTTTAACTTAATAAAATTTATTAATTTTTTTCTTCATGGGTTAGGCTTTCTGTAAAATATTTTAAAATCTTTCCCAATCCAGAAGTAGGGCTAGGCCTAAAACTTCAGGTACTTAACCCTGTACATTTCTGTTCTGGTCCTCATAGATATTTCTCTCATTTTCAAGCTAGGTTTAGCTTTCTGTTTTAATATTTTACCTATCATTGCTATGTATTGGGAACAGATTATACAAAAGCATGAACTCACTGTAACACCCTGAGAAGTAGTCATCCTTTTATTTTCTTTCTATCTATTTATCTGTCTCTCTCTCTCTCTCTCTCTCTCTCTCAATCTTTCTATGACAGGGTCTTGCTCTGTTGCCCAGGCTGGAGTGCAGTGGTGATACCATAGCTCAACTGCAGCCTGGAACCCCTGGAGTTAAAGTGATTCTCTCATCTCAGTCTCCCGGGTAGCTGGGACTACAGATGTGCACCCCCACCCCCCCGCTAGTTTTAAAAACATTTTTTGTAGACAGGAGGTGTCACTATGTTGTTCAGGCTGATCTTAAACTCCTGGCCTCAAGGGATCCTTCTGCCTCAGCCTCCCTAAGTGTTGGGATTACAAGTGTGAGCCACCAAGCCTGGCATCCTTATCCCCCCCTTTTTTTTTTAAATAGAGAAAGAGCTTCAGATGAGGTTAAGTTTCTAAGTGAACACTATTTCCCCTCCTTATGCATCAAATAAGCTCAAAGTACTTTTAATTATTTCAGGTGTCATAATCTAGTCCAGATTGTGCCCACTCAACTCTCTTAACCACTTATACTTAAAAAGTAAACATACACAAAATAGCTGTGAGATGATTTTTTCTACCTAAAAATGCTATTTTTGCATCAAAATTGAGCAGCTTCTTAAATAAACATAGCTTGATGTTGCTAAAATTAAAATTTGAGAACAATCCTTAAAAACCTCTGTGTTTAATGAAGTCAAATGGTAATCCCACAAGGAGGACTTCAGAGAGTTCTTTAACATCTTAGCAGAGTTTTATATACAGCTCTTTACAGAGCTTTACACATATACAGATAAAATACTCTAATAATGATACTGAATACAATCAGAAAATATAATAAATTACTTCTTTATTCAAACAAAAATATTTTTCATACTCTCTAAACACCAAAATCATTTAATAAAATATCAACTGTCATATATTCATATTATTCAAAAAGGAACTGTTAAAAGTAATGTATCTATTGTTTAATTAAGGCTACAATGACAGTTTATAGATTGAAACAAAATATTATCATCCAAAGACCTCAGTGCCAAAGCTTTCTCATTTGCATCCTTGCCTAATGAATTAGTTTCCACCATATCTATGACAAAACCCTTAAAAAGTAAATCTAAATTTTCAGGCTAATCAGGATATTTTCCACTTGCCTCCAGGGATATAAATACTCTCTTCAGATAATCCCAACTGTGTTTTTCATTTGATTGATTCATTGATTCTATAAACAGAGGTATTAGACTATTAGGAATACTCTTAATGAAGAATCAGGAATCCTTATGCCTAAAAGCAGGAGCGTGAAGCCCTGAGCAGACGTGGGGCCTTGAGAGTATGTGAAGCATTTGCAAAAGTGACCTCAGGGCAACTCCAAGCCCTAACGGATACTTTAGTGTTTGCAAAAGCAGCAGGAAGTTCCTAATCCCCTTTTCCTTAAAAGAAGAGATAAATGTCTTTGATTTGGGATCACAACATCCGAGGTCCCCTGGAATTACATATCCAAAAAACCCTGAGTACTGGAAGTCCAAACTAGAGTTCCGTAAGGAAAATAATATACCACTTTTAAGATCCACAAAGGTTAACCTTTGAGCTAAAAAGGCAGTAAAAGAAACTAAAAAAGCAATACAACTCCTTTTGACTTGACTTGGTCTCTCAGCAAACATGAACTCCAAGTGAGAGAAACCTAAGAGAAACTTTGTGATAAGACATTTGGATAAACAATCCATTCCCTTCTGAATTGGCACCAGTTGGAGAAAGGGGCAAAGGTAGACTATTCAATAAAACTATTAAAACGCCCAACACTTGTCTACATTAGCTCATTTTTACAGATACCATCCAAAAACTATCATATAGACACAGTATAGTATTCTCCTTGAAAATAAAAGTTACTTGCCAACAAATTACAAATGAATTTGTGTTAACAATCATCTGCTAGCTGAGTGTGGTGGCACGCGCCACCTGCTCAGGAGGCTGAGACGGGAGAATCGCTTGAACCCTAGAGGCGGAAGTTGCAGTGAGCCAAGATCGTGGCACTGCACTCCAGCCTGGGTGACAGTGAAACTCTGTCTCAAAAACAGAAAACAAACAAACAACAACAACAACAACAAAACAATCAACTGGTTCTCTAAATAAAATTATATATCAATCACAATAATTTCACTTTTTATTTTAACCAAGATTGAGCTTTTTTCAGGATAAACAATCCATGGGCTGAAGAATGATGGGAGTTCCTCTGCCCACTACAGAACCACTTCCTTACCTCCCTAATCCATGTGACTGAACTCTTGGTTAGCCCTTATTTGTATGGGAGGGAAGAAGTCATCGGAAAGGTTTTGGACTATCAAGAGGATTTCAGCAGGAAGCTGCAACATCTCCATAATATGAAAAACATCTTAAAGTCAAGTGCTGGGAGGATCCAACCTTCAAGAACACAGTATTTTCCTTTATTTTCCCCCTAAATCACCAGACCATTAGGAGAAAAAAATTACTTCTCTACCTTTTCATAACCATCTTATCAAAACATACATTTTAAAGATGACAAATTTTTAAGATTTTAACTGAGTTCACCACTCAGCAGTTATCTTAACACCACTGCTGCTAAGATTTTAACAGCAGCGTGGAAAAAGCAACTTTACAGCAATATATACACAACAAAACTATGTATCACACATACATGTGTATGTACATATATATATGTACACGTGTACATATCTTCACCAAGCTTGATAATGCCTAAAATTCAAAACGCCATTATCAAATTAAAAAAGTTTTTCATTCTACAATGGAATTCATGTCGAGGAACATCATCAGGTACAAAATGGAGTAGCTATGGTAGAAGCAGTGGCTTTACTCAATATGAAACCATTTGAGCCACTAATACAAAGGCTTAGGTTACATGACATAGCTGACTAATAGAAACTTCCAAATCCCTAACTCTTTACTGTTCCATCCTGATATCACAAGAGATTTGGCTTTTATTGGAGAATAAAACATGTACATATTTAACACAGGTGAAATATTCTAACTTATTTCAAACAGAATGCTTTAACTAAAAATATAAATGAAATTTCACATAAAATAGTAGACACAGGGAACCATGTTACAATGAACCATTTCCTACTAAAATATTTCAAAATCTGGGAAAAACAATATTATCTGTAGAGGAATTCTGTTAGTTGTCAATGATTTTAAGAAGCCTCAGGAAGAAAAGGCTTTCTCTTGATGATTTATGAGATGTTTCTTTTAACCATGCCTCTCCAGTAATTCTACGCAAGAGAAAAAAAGCAAAAGCCACAGTGAAGGTTTCTGGGATTTACCATCTGAAAGCTTTTATTCTTCCAAAGAAAGAAAGTTATGACCTTTGACATTGTGCTATGGTGCTGAAGAAACTGCTCATAAATGTATGTCAGTAATGAAGCAGAAATCAATAATTTCATTTAATCTAGTGAACTATTATGTAGTGGGACACAATACATTTGAAAAGCCAAATGTCCTTCTATTACTTAATGACATCTATGTTGCTTTCTCATTAAAAGTTTTGTTTTACTTGCTTTATGTATTTTTAATCATCATAATTTCACTATCATACATAAAAAGTGTCCAGCATTTTAAAGTTAACTTTAAATTTTTCTTTAAAAAAACACACTTTGTAGGCTGACTCTCTTTTGGGACTCAGCCCGCCTGCACCCAGGTGAAATAAACAGCCCTGTTGCTCACACAAAGCCTGTTTGGTGGTCTCTTCACATGGACGCGCATGAAAGTTGGTGCCGTGACTTGGATCGGGGGACCTCCCTTTGGAGATCAATCCCCTGTCCTCCTGCTCTTTGCTCCGTGAGAAAGATCCACCTACGACCTCTGGTCTTCAGACTAACCAGCCCAAGGAACATCTCACTAATTTTAAATCTGGTAAGCGGCCTTTTTTTTACTCTCTTCTCCAACCTCTCTCACTATCCCTCAACCTCTTTCAACTCACACCTAACCTAAAACCTAAATGCCTTATTTTCTTCCGCAATGCCACTTGACCCCAATAGAAACTCGACAGTGGTTCCAAATAGCCAGAAAACGGCACTTTCAATTTTTCCATCCTACAAGATCTAAATAATTCTTGTTGTAAAATGGGCAAATGGTCTGAGATGCCTGACATCTAGGCATTCTTTTACACATCCGTCCCTCCCTAGTCTCTGTTCCCAATGAAACTCATCCCAAATCTTCCTTGTTTCCCTCCCGCCTGTCCCCTCAGTCCCAACCCCAAGCGTTGCTGAGTCTTTCTAACCTTCCTTTTCTACACCTTGTGACCCCCACCCCTGCCAGCCAGAGAACAACACCCCCGCTTTGACGGTAATTTTCCTTTACCTACCCAAATCTTATAAAACGGCCCCACCCCTATCTCCCTTCGCTGACTCTTTTCAGACTCAGCCCGCCTGCACCCACGTGAAATAAACAGCCTTGTTGCTCACAAAAAACAAACAAAAAAAAAAACACTTTGTAAAAATCATGCAAGTTTTTAAATACAATATCTTCACTTGAGTTTCTCCAGTATTATGGATGTCATGTTTATGATAGGCCTCTTAAGGTTCAAATTACTTTTCTTTTTTTTTTGGAGACAGAGTCTTTCTCTGTCACCCAGGCTGGAGTGCAGTGGTGCAATCTTGGCTCACTGCAACCTCCACCTCCTGGGTTCAAGCGATTCACCTGCCTCAGCCTCTCGAGTAGCTGTGACTACAGGTGCACACCGTCATGCTCGGCTAATTTTTTTTTATTTTTAGTAGAGACGGGGTTTCACTGTGTTGCCCAGACTGGTTTCAAACTCCTGACCTCAGGTACTCTGCCCACCTCAGCCTCCCAAAGTGTTAGGATTACAGGCATGAGCCACCGTGCCCAGCCTCAAATTACTTTTTGAAAAGAATTTCATACACATATATAACTGGTTCTATAAACATACATACTTTTAAACCACTATCTTACTTGGATTATTAAAATTGAATAACTGAATTGCTTAGAAAAGCCCTGGTACCAAAAACTGGAGTTGGGAAATAGACTGTTTTCATTGTCCTAATTGATTTTACTAAAATATTTCTGATATTTACAAGTTAATGAGAAATTGTTGCATATGGTATATCATGTCAACATACTGGCAAAGTTGATATTAGAAGACAAAACAAAAAACAGTGTGTTTGTTTTAAATCAAGCTTCTCAAGTTGAAAATCTGAAAGGTTAGAATTCTAGAAGAGTATATTTTGAGGGAATATCAATTTAACAAAAGACATGGAAAACTTTAATGAGAAAAGAATGAATGTCTATTAATGACTTCATATACTCAATGAATGTTAAAGAACATGTGCTCCAAGGCAGAAATGTATATGCATAGCAGTTATTGCAGATAAAATACAATGGCAATTTAACCAATTACTAAGTTAAACAACTAAGTTTTCTGACAATAACCAGGACATTGTTCAAAGTTTCAGGAAAATGTAAAAAGGTATTATTTTACTAAATCATAACATAGTAGTATTATTTCTAGTTTAAAAATTAGAAATATTTGGGCAATATTAAAACAATGAGAAATTGTCTCACTTAAGTTTTAGGCAAAATTCTTGTCTTAAAAACCGTGGGTTTGGCCCGGCGCACTGACTCATGCCTATAAACCCAGCACTTTCGGAGGTCGAGGTGGGCAGATCACCTGAGGTCAGGAGTTCAAGACCAGCCTGGCCAACATGGTGAAATCCCACCTCTACTAAAAACACAAAAAAAATTAGCCGGGCATGGTGGTGGGCGCCTGGTCCCACCTACTCAGGAGGCTGAGGCAAGAGAACTGCTTGAACTGGGAGGCAGAGGTTGCAGTGAGCCAAGATTGTGCCATTGCACTCCAGCCTGGGCAACGAGAGTGAAACTTCATCTCAAAAAGAAAAGAAAAGAAAAGAAAAGAAAAAACTGTGGGCCAGGCATGGTGGCTCACACCTGTAATCCCAGCACTTTGGGAGGCCGAGGCAGGCGGATCACCTGAGGTCAGGAGTTTGAGACCAGCCAGGCCAACATGGTGAAACCTCGTCTCTACTAAAAATACAAAGATTTAGCCGGGCTACTTGGGAGGCTGGGGCAGGGAGAATTGCTTGAACCACCTGGAAGGCAGAAGTTGCAGTGAGTTGAGATAGTGCCACTGCACTCCAGCCTGGGCAATGGGGCGAGACTCTACCTCCAAAAAACAAAACAAAACAAAATAAAACAAACATAAAAAAAAAACTATGGCTGTTTTCTTTCTAAGGAAACTGCTTTAAGACTTGACTGATCTGGTTCAAAGGGTATTTTTCACATCCTATTGGAATTCTTTCTTGCTTCTGATGTTTCATTTGTGAAACTTTGACATTTCTCCTTTGGGTTCTGTGATTTTGTACTCATGTGGTCGTCCATCTACCTTCCTGACAACTGTTTGTGTTTCTTTTGGTTGTCCTAGGAGTTGATTCTGGGCCCCCATGCTGCTTGCTCTGTATGCTCATCCTGCTCCATCCACCTCCACCTAAGGTGATGCTCAGCTGAGTATCTGTTCAGCAGTGTCCTTCTTTTGGCTTCCCTGGGCCACACTTGAAAAATAATTGCCATGGGTCACACATAAAACACGCTAACACTAATGATAGGTGATGAGCTAAAAAGAAAAAATCTCATAATGTTTTAAGAACATTTATGAATTTGTGTTGGGCTGCATTCAAGGCTGTCCTGGGCTGCATGCGGGTTGGACAAGCTTGCTTTAGGTCATGCCTCTCCTGACTCCCAACTGCTTTCTTGGATCACCTGCTGGATGGTCCACCTAGACATCCCACAGTCACCGAAAACTACGTTTTTCCCAGCCAAATTCATTACCTTGTTCCCTACATTTGCTTCTCCTCCTGAATTTTCTATTTCAGTTGGTGGCACCACCATTTACCAAGTCACCCAAACGAAATACTGGCATCATCCTGAACTTTTCCCTCTCCCTGATTCCCCACATCTAACAAGTACTGCCATTGTAAAATCGTAATAACCTAAAATGTGTCTTCCATTCATCCCCTTGCCAGTGCTCCAGTCCAAGCCCTTATGAGTTCTCACTGTGCTGTCCCAGCCTCCACTCTGCCTACAGCCCTGTTCACCTGACTTCTGCTCTCCTCACAGACACTAATGGGATCAATCTGAAACACAAATCTGATGAAGCCAATCCCTTGCAGTTAATCACTTGCAAGTTAAATTCCAGGTTCGTTAACATGGTACATAGTGTATAATGAGTCTTTCCTTGAGTGGATCCTGTCTACATCTCCAATTCCATGTTGGGGTGCCATTTCTTTGAAATTTATTCTCCAACAACATCAAATAGTTTACTATTCCATACGTACCGTGTTGTTTCTTACTACTATGCTTTCGACTATTCATTTCCTTCATCTAATTAAAATCTAGTTTTCCTTCAAAATTTAGCTTACACATCAGCTACATCAGGATCTCTCCCTGTATTACTCCTTTCTCACACTACTATAAGGACATACCCAAGACTGGGTAATTTGTAAGAGAAAGAGGTTGAATTGAATCACAGTTAAGGACGGCTGGGGAGGCCTCAGGAAACTTACAATCACGGGAGAGGGAGAAGCAAACATGTCCTTTATAGGGCAGCAGGAAGGAAAAGAACAAGAGCTGAGCAAATGGGGAAGCCCTTATAAAACCATCAGATCTCCTGAGAACTTACTCATTATCACAAGAATATGATGGGGGAAACCACCCCCATGATTCAATTACCTCCCACCAGGTCCCTCCCACCACACGTGGAGATTATGGGAACTACAATTCAAGATGAGATTTGGGTGAGAACACAGCCAAACCATACCACTCCCTAACTGCCCCTTCCCCCAGACTTGGAGATGCATGGAGAAGTATTTAGAGGTGAAGTGTCTGCAACTTACTTTTTTCAAGAAAAAGAGAGAGATGAAGTCAATGTGGCAAAAAGTTAGTTAACAGCTGGGAATCTAGGTGAAAGGTATTTAAGTGTTCATTATATTCCTTACACTTTTCTGTAGATCTGAAAATTTTCAAAATTAAAAGTTGGAAGAAATACCACCACATAAGCAACTCCACCAGGAATAAACTTTATTGTTGCACAACTATACTGTTTTAATAATTATTTAGGTACTCCTTTCCTATCATTGAGGTCAGGTACTATATTTTATTAGTCATGTCATTCTCAAGATCTAGCAAGAGTATGCTTTCAATAAATACTTGTTGGGGAAATGAATAACTATGACAGTAAAAGTAAGCCTAAACACAGAATTCTCAATCAGCCAGTAAGAATTTTAGTGTCTACAATGTGCAAAGCATTTTCCTACGTGTTCTAGAACCAAAAGGGAATATCAGCCAAGGGCCCTGAAAAATCTCATGCTGAAAACTAAAACGAAGAAAGTCAGAAATAAACAGAGAGGTGAAGTTGAGAACTCAGTCGTCAAGATTAGGCTTGTAGTTTCCAGAGTAGGAAGAGATTCTTCAAGATACCTTATTTCCTTATTTCCATTTCTGGAAAATCGTAGACTGAATAAACACAGATGCTCCTTCCCACTAAAAACACACAGAAATGCCACACAGAACATACTTAAAACACCACCACTAACAAAATTTGACAAGGTCAGAGCAGCAAAGTTTTGGCTTGAAGCCATGGTGGTCCAGAGCAAATATAGGAATTAAGAGCCTCCAGGAAGAAGTAGTGATTTTGTTCCATAGCAACATAGTTAACTGAGACCTGAAGCTAGGACCCTGGAATACGTGGAGAAAAAGTCAGTAGAAAAACCGAGCCCACCAGCAAGATTAACAACAGGAGGCTTTCTTTTGGATGAGAAAAGAATGTTTCCCCTGACAAACAAAAGCCCCTGGCCTATACCACACACTTGTGAGGATGCTACATTTTACTACCAATGTGGTGCAGCCAACAATTAACCCCAAAACTGGTCCATGACCAGGGAAACCTTGCGGCATGCCACAGAAGCATAAATTCCATGATACAGAATGTGATGTCTCACCACAGACGAGGTTATAATAAAAAATTACAAATCACATGTGGAAACAATCTGCCACAAGGGAAAATGTAAATGGAAAAGGAGAGGTTAGCACCTAAATAACTTAAGATAATAGTATAATTAATGGAGACTGTAAGATAAAAATTTCAAATGTTTTAAAACATGAAACAAAAGACACAAACAGAAACCATAAGGGAAGACTATAATGATCTAAAAAAAAAAAAAAAAGGGTGAATAGATTCTAAGAGACATGTGGGGCACCATCAAGCAGACGAACATATGCATTATGGGAAGCCCAGAAGGGAAAAAGAAAGAGAAAGAGGCAGAAAGAGTATTTGAAAAAATAATGGCTGAAAATTTTCTGAATTTGATGAAAGAAATAAATCTATACACCTACAAAACTTGATGGATTCCAAGTAAGACAAATTAAAAGAGATCCACATAGAAATACATTTATAATCGAACAGTTGAGAGACAAAAAGAGAAAATCTTGAAGGCAGCAAAAGAGAAAAGATTCATCACATATTTATTCTTCCTCAAAAAGATTAATAGCCATATTCTTTTCTTTTTTCTTTTTTTTTTTTTTTTTGAGTTGGAGTCTCGCTCTGTGGCCCAGGCTGGAGTGCAATGGTGCAATCTCAGCTCACTGCAACCTCCACCTCCCAGGTTCAAGCGATTCTCCTGCCTCAGCCTCCTGAGTAGCTGGAATTACAGGTGCCTGCCACCACACCTAGCTAATTGTTTGTATTTTTAGTAGAGGTGGGGTTTCACCATGTTGACCAGGCTGGTCTCGAACTCCTGACCTCATGATCCGCCTGCCTCGGCCTCCCAAAGTGCTAGGATTACATACGTGAGCCACCATGCCTGGCTGATTTTAATCTTTTAAAATGTACTGAGACTTGTTTTGTGGCCCAACATGTGTTCTATTCCGGAGAACGTTTTATGTGCACTAGAGGACAATGTGTATTCTTTTGTTAGGTGGAATGCTTTTATATGTCTGCTAGATCTAGTTATTGCTTATATGTCTGTTCGATCTGTTATTTCACTATTGATCTTTTGCGTAGATGTTCTAGCCATTTTTTGAGTGTAGTTGTGTTGAGGTCTCCAGCTTTTATTATAAAACTATTTCTCCCTTCAATCAGTGTCAGTATTTCCTTCATATATTTTGGGACTCTGCTGTTTGGGTGAATATAATGTATATATTACGTTTTTTGATTAACAGCCAATTTCTCATCAGAAATCACAGGGATTGGAAGACAGCGAGATAACAAATGTAAAGTATGAAAAAGGCTGGGTGCTATAGCTCACATGTGTAACCCCAGCATTTTGGGAGGCCAGCATGGGCATACCTCTTGAGGCCAGGAGTTTGAGACCAGCCTGGCCAACACAGCAAAACCCTGTCTCTACTTAAAAAAAAAAAGTACAAAAGTTAGCCAGGTGTGGTGGTGCATGCCTGTAATCCTAGCTACTCAGTAGCTGAGGCATGAGAATCACTTGAACCCAGAAGGCAGAGGTTGCGGTGAGCCAAGATCACACCATGGCACTCCAGCCTAGGCAACAGAGCAAGACACAGTCTCAAAAAAAATGAAAAATAAAATAAAAAGAAAACCAAGTATAAAGCAAGAATTATATATCTAGCAAAACTGTCCTTCAGAGATGAGGCAGAAATTAAGACATTCGCAGAGAAACAGCTGAGGCAACTCATTACCATTGACCTACTCTAAAACAGATGCTAAAGAAAGTGCTAGAGGCTGAAACGAAAGGACATTGAACAGCTGCTCAAAGCCATAGGAAGAAATAAAGACCACTGGTAAATGTCACTATGTAGGCAACTAGAAAAGCCAGCAGTATTGTATTTTTGGTTTGTACCTCCACTTTTTATTGCCTACATAATTTAAAAGACAAATGCATAAAAAGCCTATACATCTATATCACTATCTATACAAAACATATGAAGATGTAATGTGTGACAATAATATAAAAGGGGGGTGAAGCTGTATAGATGCAAAAATTCGCATACTACTGCAAATTCAAACTAGATTGTTACAAATTGAGGATGTTAAGTATAATTCCTGTGGTAACAACACACAAAATATAAACTAAAAAATACGCACAAAAGGAAATGAGAAGAAATTCAAAACGGTTCACTACAAAAGCAACTAAACACAAAAGAAGTTAGGAATGCTGAAAATGAGAGACAAAAAAAGGTATAAGGTAAGCCTAGGCAACAAAATAAGACCTTATCTCTATAAAAAATACGAAAAAATCAGCCGGGCATGGTAGCATGTGCCTGCAGCCCAGCTACTTGGGAGACAGAGGTGAGAGGATCACCTGAGCCTGGGGAGGTTGAGGATGCAGTGAGCCGTGATCGTGCTACTGCCCTCCAGTCTGGGTGAGACAGTGACCCTGTCTCAAAAAAAAAAAAATGGGGTGAAAGACATACAGAAAACAAACAGCAAAATGGCAGAAGTCCTTCCTTATCAGTAATTACAATAAATGCAAGTGGATTAAACTCTCCATCAAAAAGAAAAGGTTGACAAAATGGATTTTTAAAAACTCATGATTGAACTGTAAGCTGTCTACAAGAGACTAACTTTATTTATCTATTTGAGACACAGTCTCACTCTGTCACATAGGCTGGAGTGCAGTGGTGCCATCGCAGCTCACTGCAACCTCTGCTTCCCAGGTTCAAGCAATTCTTCTGCCTCAGCCTCCGGAGTAGCTGAGATTACAGGGACCCACCACCACACTCAGCTAATTTTAGGTTTTTTGTTTTGTTTTTGAGACAGAGTCTCACTCTGTTGCGAGGCTGGAGTGCAGTGGCGTGATCTCGGCTCACTGCAACTTCCGCCTCCCAGGTTCAAGCAATTCTCCTGCCTCAGCCTCCCAAGTAGTAGGATTATAGGCACGTGCCATGACGCCCAGCTAATTTTTGTATTTTTAGTCGAGACGGGGTTTCACCATGTGGGCCAAGATTGTGTCAATCTTTTGACCTCGTAATCCAACCGCCCAGCCTCCCGAAGTGCTGAGATTACAGGTGTGGGCCACTGCACCCAGCCCTAATTTTTCTATTTTTCATAGAGATGGGGTTTCACCTTGTGGGCCAGGCTGGTCTCGAACTCCTGACCTCAGGTGATCCATTTGCCTCGGCCTCCCAAAGTGCTGGGATTACAAGCATGAGCTACTGTGCCCAGCCAAGAGACTAACTTTAGATCCAAAGACGCAAATAGATAGAATGGAAAAAGGTATTCCATGCAAATGGTAAGTAACCAAGAGAGCTGGGGAGGCTGTACTAACATCAGAAAAAAATAGACTTTAAGTAAAAACTGTCATGAGAGACAAAGGAGCTACCAAGGCAGGACAATTGCTTGAACCCGGGAGGTGGAGGTTACAGTGAGCCGAGGCTATGCCATGCACTCCAGCCTGGGTAACAAGTGTTAACAAGAGCGAATCTTCGTCTCAAAAAAAAAAAAAAAATAGATTAAAATTATAAAAAGTATTTTCTCCAAACACAATGGAATAAAACTTAAACCAGAAGTAAAACTGGAAAACTCACACATATATGAAAATTAAACAACATATTCTTAACAAATGGGTCAAGGAAGAAAATGCGAAGAAAATTAGAAAATACTTTGGAACAAATGAAAATGAAAACATACAGGAGGCTGAGGCAGGAGGACTGCTTGAGTCTGGGCAAGCAGAGTTTGCAGTGAGCCGAGATCACGCCACTGCATTCCAGCCCAGGCAACAACAGAGTAAGAGTCCGTCTCAAAAAAAAAAAAAAGAAAAAGAAAAACTGTAACACACCAAAACTTATGGGATGCAGTGGAAGCAGTGCTCAGAGGGAAACTGGTGGCTATAAACATATTTAAAAAGAAGAATAATCTCAAATCAATAATCTAATTTTACACCTTGAAGAACCAGAAAAAGAAGTGAAAACTAAACCCAAAGCTAGCAGAGGGAAGGAAATAATTAAGACTAGAGTGGTGATAAATGAAATAAAAAAAACAAAGAAATAATAAATCAGGAAAATGAAAAATTTGTTCATTTTTGAATAGATGAACAAAACTAACAAAACTTTAGCTAGACTGACCAAGAAAAAAAAGAGAGATGATATAAATAACTAAAATCAGACATGAAATTTTTACTACTGACTTAAAAAAAATAAAAAAGATGATAAGAAAATACTATGAACTGACAAATCAGATAGCCTAGATGAAATGGACAAATTCCAAGGAAAACACAAATTACCTAAACTGACTGAAGAAGAAATATAAAATTACAACAGGCTTATAACAAGTGAAAAGATTGAATAAAAAATCTCCCAACAATAGGCCGGACATGGTGGCTCACGCCTGTAATCCCAGCACTTTGGGAGGCTGAGGTGGGAGGACTGCCTGAGGTGAGGAATTCGAGACCAGCCTAGCTAACATGGTGAAACCCCGTCTCTACTAAAAATACAAAAATTAGCAGGGCGTGGTGGCATACACCTGTAGTCCCAGCTACTCGTGAGGCTGAGGCAGAAGAATCACTTGAACCCAGCGGGCAGTGGTTGCAGTGAGCCAAGATGGCGCCACTGCACTCCAGCCTTGGCGACAGAGCGAGACTCCAACTCAAAAGAAAAAAAGAAACACCCAACAGTGAAAAATCCAGAACCAGGTGACTTCACAAGTGAATTCCACAAAATTTATTTATCTGTTTATTTAGAGACAGAGTCTCTGTCACCCAGGCTGGAGTGAAGTGGCACGATCTTGGCTCACTATAACTTCCGCCTCCCAGGTTCAAGCGATCCTCATGTCTCAGCCTCCTGAGTAGCTGGGACTATAGGTGTGTCCCACCATGCCCAGCTAATTTTTTGTGTTTTTAGTAGAGACGGGGTCTCACCATGTTGCCCAGGCTGGTCTCAAACTTCTGAGCTCAGGCAATCCGCCCACCTCGGCCTCCCAAAGTGCTAGAATTACAGGCATGACCCACTGTGCCTGGCCTCCACAAAAAATGTAAAAAAGAATTAATACCAATTCTTCTCAAAATCTTCCAAAACAATACAGTATTTTTATAGGGAATATTATATAGGGAATATTTCCTAACATATTCTATGACACCTACTCCACTATCAAAGCCAGACAGATAATCACAAGAAAAGAAAATTATCTTCTATGAATATGGATGCAAAATCTCAGCAAACTGTTAGCAAACCAAGTCCAAAAACATATTAAAAGAATTATACTGACCAAGTAGGATTTATCTCACTTTTATCCCAGGAATGTAAAAGTTGTTCAACAGAAGAAAATTAATCAAATAATTGATAGAACAAACAAAAAAGATGATTAGCACAGTTGATACAAAAAAGGCATTTGAAAAAATCCAATACACCTTCATAATATAAATACTTAGAAAACTAGGAAGAGAAGGAAAATTTCTCAACATGATAAAGGGCATTTATTTAAAAAGCCTCACAATATCATACTCAAAGGTGAAAGACTGAAAGCTTTTCTCCTCTGATCAAGAAAAAGACAATGATCTCTGCTATCACCACTGTGATTTAACATTGTACTAAAAATTCTAGACAGAGCAATTAGTCTAAAAAAAAAAAAGGCATCCAAATTGGAGAGAGAGAAATAAAGCTGTATCACTCATAGATTATATGATCCTATTTACAGAAAATTGCAAGGAATCCACATGAAAGCTACTAGAGCTAATAAATGAATTCAGAAGAGTTTTAGAGTATAAGATCCACATGCATAAAGCAGTTGTGTTTATGTACACAACAGCAATAAAGTAATTGAAAAGGAAATTAAACAATTCCATTTACAATAGCATCTAAAAGAATAAGATGCCCAGATATAAATTTCAGCAAAAAGGTAAAAGACTGTACATTGAAAACTACAAACAGTATCAAGAAAGTGAAAAGGCAAATGTTCACTACAGATGAAAACAATTCAAGTGTCCAACAGATGAACGGGTAAACAAAACATGGTCTATCCACACAATGTAATCTTATTTGGCCACAAAAAGGAATGAAGTACTGATACACGCCACAACGTGGATAAACCTTGAAAACATGCTAAGTGTAGGAAGACAATCACAAAGACCACATATTATATGATTTCATTGATATGACATACCACATATAGGCACATCCACTGAGACAAGAAGTAAATTCGTGGCTGCTAGAGGAAGGGGGAAATGGGGAGTGACTGCTATCGAACACAGCTTTCTTTTTGGGGTGATGAAAATTTTCTGGAATTAGACAGTGGTGAGGCAGACGCACAAAACCCACTGAACTCTATACTTTATAAAGGTGTTCCAGGTGCACTGGCACACACCTATAATCCCAGCTACTCAGCAGACTGAGGCAGGAGGACTGGAGTTCCAGACCAGCCTGGGCATAGCAAGATTCTGCGGGGAAAAAAAATAAAATAAAATAAAATAAAATAAATATATATATGTATATCTAAAAGGGTGAACTTTATATCTTAATAAAACTTATTTTTTTAATTCCATGATAGACAGAGGCTGTCACTATGTCCTGTTTCCATGCAATAATAATGACATGTACTTAACCATTTATTTAAAACTCAATCTTTTGACTATAAAAGAGTCTCACTCCATTGGTGGTTCTTCAAAGACATGTTGAAAATCACTGCTTTAGATCAAACTTCCATTTGGACAGATGTATCAACAAATGCCAAACCCCTAAAAGGACTGGAGCTCAACCTCCATGCACGGAGGATATACACAAGAAAAGAAATTCCATGAAGCGTTACAGGACAGCTGAAAATAGAAATGCATTAGCAATTTATTTTAAAAATCACCTTATACAACAAGAAACCTTACACAAGTATAGTAGTAATGGGTGTGTTGCACAAAAATGAAAGTCGCTTTTTTAATTAAGAAACTAAGGAATGTCTTTAATTTCAGCGTTGTTACTTTTTTTTTGAGATGGGGTTTCTCTCCGTTGCCCATACTGGAGTGCAGCGGCATGACCTCAGCTCACTGCAGCCTCCGCCTCCCAGGTTCAAGAGATTCTCCTGCCTCAGCCTCCTGAGTAGCTGGCATTACAGGTACTTGCCACCACGCCCAGCTAATTTTTGTATTTTTAGTAGAGACAGGGTTTCACCACGTTTGCCAGGCTGGTCTTGAACTGCTGACCGACAGTGATTCTCCCACCTCGGCCTCCCAAAGTGCTGGGATTACAGGCATGTGCCACAGCACCTGGCCGTTACCATTCTTTTTTATATTCTGGATTTGATTATATATATTTGAATACAAAAAGATACATCTCCACACAACTCACAGGGAAAAGCTTTATTTAAGCACTGCGAAGTAGTGACTATAGGCTAGATGCAGTGGCTCAAGCCTGTAATCCCAGCACTTTGGGAGGCCCAGGCGGGCGGATCACACGGTCAGGATATCAAGACCATCCTGGCTAACACAGTGAAACCCCATCTCTAGTAAAAATACAAAAAATCAGCCAGGCGTGGTGGTGGGTGCCTGTAGTCCCAGCTACTTGGGAGGCTGAGGCAGGAGAATGGCATGCACCCGGGAGGCGGAGCTTGCAGTGAGCCGAGATGGCGCCACTGCACTCCAACCTGGGCAACAGAGAGCAAGACTCTGTCTCAAAATAAAAGTCACGACTATAATAACAAAACCTGAGCTCTGGTGCTAGATAGTAGCTGTGCCCTTGAGAAAGGCACTTACCCCCTCCCAGCTTCCTATTCCTTATTTGCAAAATAAGTTTCTAAGACTACAGAAGTTGCGATCTTTACTTAAGGAAGAGGAAGGCATAATGATATTGCAAGTGAAAGTAGGCAAGGATTCTCTATTGACTACAGAGTAAGTTTTAAGGAATCTTAAATTTCTCTCCTCAAAATATTCACTGCCAGTATCTTAACAAGTCTAAACATTGGGAGATCAGTGGAAAATAATGATGTACTTTGTCTCTCTTTTATTTATTTATTTGTCCAATTTCATCCCCTTCTGAAAGCTGCCTAACAGGGAAAAACTTCTAATTGTTAGCTTCTTTAATTCTAGTATGTTAAGCTGGTTACATCTCTTCCTATTGTAAGTCCACTTTGGGGTCAATATTTTAATCTGAGTTACTTTAAATCCCATCAGGGGACGCCAGAGGACTCAAGTTAGTTCAATCTGAAAGCTGAGGGAGAAGAAATTACACCTTATCATTCTTTTTTTTTTTTTTTTTTTTTGGAGATGCAGTCTTGTTCTGTCGCCCAGGTTGGAGTACAACGGCATGCTCTCGGCTCACTGCAACCTCTGCCTCTCAGGTTCAAGGGATTCTCCTGCCTCAGCCTCCCGAGTAGCTGGGATTACAGGCACACACCACCACACCCAGATAATGTTTGTATTTTTAGTAGAGATGGGGTTTCACCATGTCGGTCAGGCTGGTCTTGAACTCCTGACCTCATGATCCGCCCGCCTCAGCCTCCCGAAGTGCTGGGATTACAGGCGTGAGCCACCATGCCCAGCCACACCTTACCATTCTTAATAGCAATCGGTGGGAGTGGGGAACCAGTATAATCAACCAGTATTAAAATACTAATACATTAGCAAAACTCTCAAGATAAAGTCAGAACTGTGTTTTTTAAAATACTGAGTCAACAAACACTGGAATATACTACTAATTATTAGCAAAACCAGACATATACAGTCTTGCATTACTTAATGACAGAGATACGTTCTGAGAAACACATCGTTAGGTGATTCTGTCATGTGAACATCATAGAGCAGACTTACACAAACCTAGATGGTATAGCCTACTACACACCTCAGCTATATCGCTCCTAGGCTACAAACCTGTGCAGCATGTAATGGTACTGAAAAGGGCAGCAACTGTAACACAATGGGAAGTATTTGTGTATCTAAACATATGTAAGCACAGAAAAGGCACTGTAAAAATATGGTATTATCATCTTATAGAACAGAACCACTGTCATAATATGTGGTCCATTGTTTGACTGGAATGTTGTTACACTGCACATGACTAGATTTGTTTGTTTTTGTTTTTTGAGACAGAGTCTTACTCTGTCACCCAGGCTAGAGTGCAGTGACACAATCTGGGCTCACTGCTACCTCCGCCTCCTGGGTTCAAATCTCCTGCCTCAGCCTCCCGAGTAGCTGGAATTACAGGCGTATGCCACCACACCCAGCTAATTTTTGTATTTTTAGTAGAGATGGTGTTTCACCATGTTGGCCAGGCTGGTCTCGAACTCCTGACCTCAACTGATCTACCTGCCTCAGGCTTCCAGAGTGCTGGGATTACAGGTATGAGCAACTGCGCCTGGCCAGGGTAAACTTTTTTTTTTTTTTTTTTGAGACGGAGTTTCGCTCTTGCTGCCCAGGCTGAAGTGCAATGGCGCGATCTCAGCTTACTGCAACCTCCGCCTCCTGGCTTCAAGGGATTCTCCTGCCTCAGCCTCCCGAGTAGCTAGGATTAAAGGCATGTGCCACCACACCCGGCTAGTTTTGTATTTTCAGTAGAGAGGGGGTTTCTCCATGTTGGTCAGGCTGGTCTCGAACTCCCAACCTCAGGTGATCCGCCGGCCCTGGCCTCTCAAAGTGCTGGAATTACAGGCGTGAGCCACCATGCCCAGCCGGTAAACCCTTAACAGCAGTTTTCAATGTATTATGTGTGTGAAAAAGGGATTGGAAAAGCACTGTCACTCCAATTTAGGTAGTAGGCCAAACACATTTTAAAAAAATATATACAACGCTTAAAAATAGTAAATGGTGGCTGGACGCAGTGGCTCATGCCTGTAATCTCAGCACTTTGGGAGGCTGAGGCGGGCAGACCACGAGGTCAAGAGATCGAGACCATTCTGGTCACATGGGGAAACCCCATCTCTACCAAAAATATAAAAATTAGCCGGGCATAGTGGCACGTGCCCATAGTCCCAGCTACTCAGGAGGCTGAGGCAGGAGAATCGCTTGAACCCGGGAGGCAGAGGTTGCAGTGAGCCGAGATTGCGCCACTGCACTCTAGCCTGGCAACAGAGCAAGACTCTGTCTCAAAAAATAGTAAATGGAGGCCAGGCGTGGTGGCTCACACCTGTAATCCCAGCATTTTGGGAGGCTGACTGAGGTGGTCAGATCACCTGAGGTTGGGAGTTCGAGACCAGCCTGACCAACGTGGAGAAACCCTGTCTCTACTAAAAATACAAAATTAGCCAGGCATGGTGGCGCATGCCTGTAATCCCAGCTACCTGGGAGGCTGAGGCATGAAAATTGCTTGAAACCCACAGGCGGAGGTTGTGGTGAACCAAGATCACACCATTGCACTCCAGCCTGGGCAACAAGAGCAAAACTCTGTCTCAAACAAAAAAAAAAAAAAAAAAAAAGTAAACGGAGCCCAAGCACGATGGTTCATGCCTATAATCCTGGCACTTTGGGAAACCAAGGTGGGAGGAATGCTTGAGCCCAGGAGTTCAAGGTCAGCCTGGGCAACATAGCAAGATCCTCTCTCTACAAAAAATTTAAAAATTAGCTGTGCATGGCGGCACGTGCCTGTAGCTCCAGCTACTCGGTAGACTGAAGAGGGAAAATCACTTGAGCCCAGGAGGTCCAGGCTGCAGGACGCCGTGACTGCACCACTGTACTCCAGCCTGGATGACAGAGCAAGACTCTGACTCAACAACAAAAACAACAACAACAACAACAACAAAAACAGCAAATCGTTCTCCAAGGAATACATTTAGCACTGCTACCACCAAAACAAGTAGAATATCAAGGATAAGATAGAAACAGTTAAAGTAACAAATTGTCCAACATCACTGGAAAGTGTTCTACTACTTTCGGAAACATCAGGGATTCTCAATCAGGAGTTATTTTGCCCCACAGTAGAACTTTCTTGGTTGTCACAACTGGAAGAGAGTCTATCGGTATTGGGAGGGTAGAGGCCAGGGATGCCGCTAACACTGCATACGACGCACAGGACAGCACCACAACAGAAAATTATCTGGCCCAAAATGTCAGTTGTGCCAAGGCTGAGATACCTAACTACCACAGGCAGAAATATCCTTTTTCTTTTTGGTAAATATTAGTAGAATGGAAGATAAGCCACTGAGTCAATCACATTCTGAGTAGTTTTAAAAGACTACAAAACTTTAAAAGGGTGACTCTGGAGGATTATTCCAAAAGAATATGATTTATTTAAAGTAGTCTGCATAAAACAGCAACATTAAGGGAAAAAAAAGCTGTCACACTGTTCTAGCTAAACTCCTAGGGATTTAATATTGCTTCAAGAAGTAAGCTTTAAAAAGAAAATTTTCTTTCTGTAAGTTTTAAGGACTAAATCCAATAAGGACACCAATTTGAAACCAGAGACCTGAACAATGATCACATTCTCTAACAGTTATTCATAATCTAGCCACTATAAATGCTAAAGCTATTTTATATATATATATAACATATATATGTATTATAAACACGAAAAAAGGGCAAATCCTCTGGAAACTGAAAAAACAAACATTTTTAAATTCATGCCTTCTGCTCAGTCTATAAGATTTTGGTTTTTAAACGCTCATCAAAAGTAGTTTCTGAGAACCAGAGGTTAAAAAAAAACACACAAGGAATGTAAAAGTCAGGAAAGTATTTGTCAGATTAGTGTCAGAGACCTTTGTGAGGATGACGCCTTTATCCTCTGCATACATATCCTTACAGCAGTTCACTTGGCTTCAGAATTAGAGCTGGTGAAGATAATTTGGTATGTTTTCTACCTTTTTTGTACACTGCAATTATCAATTGTTTACTGTGAGCTTGCTCTGCTCTGTGCAGCATACCATGTTAGGGCAACTGCAAATATTACTTAAATGATTACAACAGCATCTTCCTTTTCCTTTCTTATTTACCAAGATTAAAATGATGATTTTTTTAAAGATTTAATGAAGAGTCTGGGCACTGTAAACTCTCAAAAGTATTAAAATAGTCTTGACTGACAATGAAAACTTAATTTGGGAGGATTTTTATGATTTCTTTTAAAACATCTCAATAATCATAGCTGTTTTTAAATCCAAGTAGGATCCTCAACAAAATGCCTGACTTAACATTCTTTTTCATATAAATGGTAATTATCAGTTTAAATGCTTTAAATAATCAATTCTAACTGAGCAACCTTGTTCATGAGAGATAAAAATCATCTCTCAAAACTGCAGTCAAGAATATCGTGGTTTTCAAAAAGGTAACCTCAAATGTATTTTATTTATTAATTAAAATACTCCCTTAGCCTAAAACCCTGCTTAAAAGATTTGTTGCTTCCTATTATTTTAAATTGCTCTGGACTTCATCAATAGACCCAGCTGTTAAATTTGGGAGCAATGACAACAAATCCCAGAGCAAACGACCACTGAGAGTGAGATCCTTTCTTTAGAATAATCAGAGATAGTTGACAAAAAGGAGCCATACCAAATACCCTTTCAAAATTCCATTAAGAATCTGGACATAAATAAAACAAAATAAAATAAGTACATTTTTATACATCTTAAAGAAAATTCTAATTCTACCCCTCACTGGACCATGCTTTGCTAAAAAAAAAAAAAAAAAAAAAATTCCACCAACTTTGAAAAAAAGTGAGATAATGTTACAGGTTGCTGAAAATGAGAAATGATCCTCACTAATCTAGGGCAAAGTGAGAAAAACTGGTTCCATTACCCAGAGATTATCAGGCACCTGATAAACAGACTTTAAGTAGACAGACTTTAAGAACCAAATGTCATTCTAAAAAAGCCTGTAGAACTATATATGCAATTTCTACTTCCTTCACTTGACTTATGTAATATTGAGAGCCAATTTTAAGTTAAACATAACTTCTGAAACACACCTCCTCTTTTTAAAGGCGAATTTTTTTGGATCCCAGAAAACATCAACTGAACCTTATCTACAGTGTTGGCAGATTGGTTTCTCTACATACCTCAGTTCTGTTGGTTTGAGTTTTCCAAAATCAAATGACTTTTACTCATGTTTTAGCATTCTTGAATTAGGCCAGGTAACTGCTCACAGCTTGACTTCAAGTGAATAGGCACGCAGGTAAGAGACTCAGTCCTTTCCAGTGCCTACAGCTCTCAATAAAACAGTGACCGTGTAGCAAAGTCTTGCCTATTTCAGGTCCAGGATCATTAATAAAATCCAAAATCTAGCATATAGTCTCACAGTTCTTAGGTTCTCTTTTCAACGTATCACTTCCCCATCTTTTTTTTTTTAACATGACTCTTTATAAATGTTTTTAATATATTTTTAACTTCACATTTCAAAGACTTGGTATTATAATTTATGCATTACTTTTTAATACGCAAGCCTCACCCAAAGAACAGTTTTTCATGAATCCCACATAAACCCTCAAATTTCATCTTAACTTAAATTGATGTATGTTTTTATTAATAAAAAACCTATACCCTTTTAATGGAAACAACTACTACTACTTAAAAAGTTATAGAAATGCACCCCCAAACAACCTTACCAAAGGCAAACTCAACCTCAAAATTTTGGTTAAAAAATCATAAAGTTACAATAATTCCTATGCTCTTCCAGCTACAAAGGGTCACATAAAAAATTATTTTTTACCCAAGTGAACAGTCCTGGAAAATCAAAGAAATATAAGCTAGCTTTATGTTCTTTTTCCCTCTATCCTAAGACTTCAGTTTCCACCTTTTATGGAAAGGAAATAAACAACTAGCTTCCTGTTCAATCACTAGCTTACAGCCAGTCTTTTACACATCACAGAACACAACCCGCCTCCTCCTTTACTTCTCTCAAATGTCTCTTAATTTAAACTTGTTGAAACGTGAGACCATTTTACCACACTAATGCTTTCCTACGAAATTTATCTTACCTATTTCAACATTAAGAATACAAGAAAAGTCAAGATAACCATAGATCATTTCTTATTCCTAAAATATTTAAATTTAGATAACAAAGACTTAGTACCCATGAAAGTGAAAACTTGATTTGCTAAATTTAAAAATACTGAAATTTATAGGAAATGGTTTAATCTTCTGTTCTTGCTATTGTACACAGCTAGAAAAAGGGCATCCCATGTCACTCCTCTTTCTATTCCAATTACATGAAAATGTAAGGCCGCTAACACGGCTATTAATAAAAAGGATTATCTTTTTTTAAAGCTAAATATTACTTTAACCCTATACTTTCTTTTAAAAATGGGATGCCTTAGCAAAACTAAGTTAGATGAATTCTTTTGTGCTTGAATGAACAACAGGAAAGCAAAGCCTCCAGGCCTTTGGGGAGGAACCTTGTCCCTGCAGCCCTGCTCTGATGTGCTTGGGAGATAAGGCTCCATAGTGACACTTAAGGAAAGGCCTGTTCACATTTGAATTTCTGCATTCCTCAAGAACAATTCATGGCAATAACTAACTTTGCAGAAGAGCTACATGAAAGCTTTGGCCAATGAATGAGGGTCATCTGCTCTTTATCACAAGGGTAAACCTCATCCTGGCCAGTTTCTAACCTTTTAACCCTGTGAATTCCTAATTTACACATGAATAATGGAATTCTTGCCTAGAGTGCAACTTTCAGCTTCTAGTTCCTAAGTTTAGAGACCAAGACTTGATTGCCTGTGTGTTAAAAATCTAAAACTTGCACAGATTGAAGTTTTAGATTTCCAGGTGCTGTACTATTGTGCTTCTGTACAACCAAAAAAATATGCTTACTGACAAAATCCTTGACTAAGAAAAAAAACACACTTGTACCCTGCTGCTATCAATACCTAAAAGAGAACTAGCTTTAAAAACAAGGGGGAAAAGAAAACCAGAATGTCCACTTAATGCCTATTCTCTCTCTCTCTCTCTCTCTCTCTCTATATATATATATATATATATATACACACACACACACACACACACACACCACACACACTCTTCCTGTAAATATATATATATATATATATATTTACTCTGAACACAGGATAAAGGGATTTGAGCCTCCATCATCTAAATTTATTGCTTAGATATCAGAACTTTAATTTTAAAAATACATAAAATATAAAAACTTCACCACAACTGTCTGCAAAATCATTCACATGTAATTATTTATTATTAGTGATAATTTCTATAGAGATGCAAAAATCTAAAGATATTTAAAAAGCCAGTTCTGACATTTTGTTTGTTACACCTATCACACACCATTCACATTTTATTTATGAAGTTAGAAAGCTCTGTGTTTTTCCAAAAGTGTTTCTGGAAGCCCTAGGATTCTATCAGGCTTCTCAGGAGGTCCTGGAAACAATGTGTGGTCATGACAAATGCTTCATCTTCTCATGGCCTATCTGGCCACCTCCACTATGTACTCCCTATCCCTGAAAGATAAGATAAGTTACAGTTCCTGAAGATGAAAACACAGGATTCTACAAACTCTAAAAGGTGGGAAAATAACAACTCTATAGAACAAGTTTACATTGGACAAAAACTGAATGAACAGAATATAAGCATAAAAAGCACACTATCTTTAAAACAGTACTATACAGAAAAACCATTACTCCATGAAAAAAATAATTATTGGCCAATGATTACGGGGGAAGGAGGGAAGGAAGGCATGCAGGCAGGCAGAGGGAGGGAAGAGACAGGAAGAAGAGAGGGAGGGAGGGGGAGGAAGGTAGGGAGGAAGGAAGGAAGGAAGGGAGAGAAACAAGGAGGGAGAATGGTAGGCAGAGGAGGGGAGGGAAGGAAGGGACAGGAGGAAAAGACAGAGGAAGGAAGGGGGAAGGGAAGGGGGAGGGAGAAAGGAAGGAAGTAGGAAGGGAGGGAGAGGGAGGGGAGAGAGAGGAAGGAAGAAATGAAAAATCAGAAATCCTCTCAGGTTTATGCTGGTCTTTGGCAGGGGTAGGAGTGTGGCTAGAACCGCAAACCTCTGATTTTCTGATGTATCAATATAGAAATATCTTTGCTTGCAATTTATTTTCTACAATTAATCCTTATTGCAGAATAAAATAGTTAATATAAGGATGGCATAAATGGACCATGAACAGTAAAGTCACCTAGGAAATTCCTGCCAATAGCTTCCTAAATTTCAATTGTATAGAACTTGAAACTACTATTTCCTAAATATTATGGTGGTTTTGTATTTTTTTTTTTTTTTCCTTAAAGAGATGGAGTCTCACTATTTCCCAGGCTGGACTCAAACTCCAGGGCTCAAGGAATCTTCCTGCTTCAGCCTCCTCAATAGCTGGGATTACAGGCTAGCCACCAGCCCAGCTAAGATTATGCCTTTATCTCAAGAATGCCATCTACCTATTGCTCAACTTGTAAATGATCAATTTGTAGGTATAGTGCGAAATCTATGCTTTGTGGATTAACAAAAAGCATGCAGGTCAAATGCCTTAAAACTTTTAAGATTCAATTTTGGTTTTCGAGATTTAGTCTGTTAATCTTGAGAGCTGCGTGTTTCATCACCTGAAAAAGATGTAAAGCCTCAGTGGGCATAAGGAGTTCAGTACTTGTCCTAGGCCTATCTTTACACGCAACAGTTACAGGTCAACCACCAAGCAATGGATCACTTGGACAAATGGTTGATCTGATGGGGATGTTAATACAAAAGAAATCATTAGATAGCACACTTTATGACAAAAGGGAAAAAGTGAGCAGATATGGGTTTAAGTCCATTAGGCATAATATGGAAATGGCCTTAATCTCTTTCCCTCCCAGCAGGAAAAGACTAGGAATACTTCAAAGGCTTAAGAGTGACTGACCAATGCCCTCTCATACAATTAAAAGGCAACATGGGTGATCTAAAAGCAGTCAGAGAAATGGAAGCCTGTGCTATAAGAAAGATTTAGCACTCAAGAACCATCTGCAAAGCAGAACAATTTGCTTGTGATTGTTTTCATTAATTACTAATTTCCATAAGATTAAATTTTAGAACAACTTTTGTTGCGTTGGCCAAACTTCTACATCCAACTCTTCATACTTCGTGAAATGCTTAAAATTTTTATAAAGCCACCTCTACAGGTTTCATTTTACTTGGTGTTCTAAACCTAATTTGACTTCTGTTCTCAATTACTCATTTGAATTTATATACGTATTTTTTTCAGATTTCTCTATATGCCTCAGTTAGCATCAACTATTATCTCCAGTAAAATTCTTAATGCATGCATGATTCGGGGGATTATTATATTAATAAAGCAAGAAATCATCAAAATGTAGCAATGAAAAATGTCAACAACTAAAAACTTAAACACTTACTTGATAAGGCAAGATGAGCTTTTTGACTAAGAATGGCTCCATATTTGTTCATTGCCAAGCACTGATAAAATCCTTCATCGGACTGCTCTCCTCGCCTGCCTTCCACCTCACTGATGTATAAAGAGCCGTTAGAAAGAACCTCGATCCGTTTATTTTCAGACATTTTTGCTCCATTTTTCAACCATGTGACCTTAATAGGAACTTCTCCGTGAGCCTGGCAATCTAAAACGACTGGGTCCTTTCTTGTGACAGTTACATCCTGTGGTTCTTTTACAAAAGACAGTTCGCTAAAGCACCACACTCCTATAAGGAAAAAAAAGGAGAACGGCACATCCAGAATTACAGGCATAAAATGATTCCTTAACACACAACTGTAAAACACATATTCAGGGTATGAGATGACGAAGTTTAATAAATTTTATTAGTTAACTTACAAACACCTTAATGAACCAATCTAAATTTCAGCAAACTCTTTCAACAAGTCGGAGAAATCACTTTTTACATCTTCACTAAAAGCATAGGGAAGATTTCAATAACTTCTATGCTTTGTATAAATTCTGCTCTCAAGTTCCTTGCTAGAGTTTCAAAATCATCAGGAAAACTCATGAGCACAAGCTGTTTGCTTTTACAAGCTTGTCAAAAAGATCTTGAACAGAGTAAGTCGTAAAAGTCTAATTTTACAAGAAATCATTAGCAAAACTCCAACTCTGTGAACAAGCAAGTTTATTTCCTTGTCCCTTGAAGTGTTTTTGGAACCCGTGGCACCTACTCCTTTGGGAACTGCGTTTATCTTTTGTGACAAATTACAAGTTTGCATTTTTCTATCTGCCCTTTTACAGCAGGGACTCTATCTCCTCTCCTTGAAAGAAATCCATTTACTTAATTTCTGCAAAGCAAGCTAGGTATTTAAAAGACAAACAATAGACTTTGAAAAGTTGGTAACTCTTGCTGCTTGTACTCAGTGGGTGATCGGATTAAGAAACTTTTATTTCACTTTTCTAGAACTACCAACTGTTGGAAAAAATGCGTGACTAATTGGTCCTTACTGTCTAATAGGGATAGGAGATCGCTTAATCAACCAATACACATTTTTATCAGAGCAGAGGAAAGGCTTTATCCTAAGCATATACACATCGCCCCTGGGCCCTCGCCAGGATAAAGCATTCGATGACCATACAATACTCTGTCACCTCCTGCATTTAGTGCACAGGCCGTCTTAAAGTCTCACGTATTGATTGGGGGTGAATGGAGAATGGGGGTGTGTGGGGGAAGCGTTGCTTCACCTTCCTCCTGATCGTTGTGGATCCTTGATTACAAACCCCCAGAAATGATTTGTTTCTCCTCAAGGCAGGTCCTCGGAATACTCACTCTTCAAGGCTCCCTGCTTCCCGTAATGTATGCCCAGGGCGACGCGAGCCACCCTAACAGCCCAGCGCTGTGCGCGGACCACTCCGGAAGGCGCCCATTGTGTTTCTGAGCCACATCTGACTTTGATCCTTTTTTCAAGCCTAACAGAAACTAACCCCATTGCAGAAAAAGCCTAGCGTCTGTAACCTGCAAATAAATAAAATAACCCATTCTCCTGAACACCTCTCCTACCGTCACCCCATTCACTTTACACTTTTATCTCTTCTAGGAAACCAATACGGACGCAAGGTAGAAAAACGAGTTCATCCAAGTTTGTGCAAGGCAAATCTAGAATTTGGAAGAATCTTCAGAGCCGTACACACTTCAGGCCCTGCCCCCAAATACCTAGCTGTAGGAGATAAATCCTATTTACCTACCTTCCTTTTCAGCTTCGGGGACTTTTCCCCCCTCCTTTCCGGGGCACAAATCGGCCACTTCACTTCCAACCCTGCCAATTCCACCCTCCCATCTCCTCCTGGCTGGATCCAGATCCGGCAAGCTGGTGCCGATTGGGGTTATGAGTTCACCTATTCCCTCTCGCAGCCCTAAAAAGTGGGGGAACTCCCACAACAGACACGGGAAGCCGCGAGGAACCGCGGCGCCCCCTGCACGGCGAGGCTGCCACTAAGGAAACAATATAAATAAAGCCACGTGCAGCCGCGGCGGCCCCGGCGGGCTGGCGACCCGGAGTCCGGCCGGTCGCGGAGGCGCGGACGCGGCCGGAGCCGGGACAATGGCGCGAGAAGGAAGAGACCAGAGTGGACAGCGGCCGCCAGAACTCCGCAGCCACGGGCGCGCGGCGCGGAGGGGCGTGCGCCCGGAGAAGCTCCCGCAGCCCTGCCCAAGCAGCGCAGAGGCCGCAAGCAACTAGTGTCTGCAGCTGGCGGTTCCGGACAGGCCGCAGGGCGAGAGCGGGGGCCGGGGGTCAGCGCCACCACGGAGGACCCCGCCGCGCGCTCCCCACGCCCCATCGTTTCCTCTTTCCCCATCCCACTCGCGCCCGCTCCCGCCCCACAGCGGTAAGAGAAAGCAGAAGAAAGCGCGCCCACCTGGCAAAGGACTGAGCAGCAGCAGGAGCAGGAGCGCGCGGAGCAGCATCCCCGGCGGTCGCAGCCGGGCGAGGGGTCGCAGAGGAGGCGCCATTCAGCGTAGCCGCGCGGGCATGCTCCCCGGCCGCCCAGAGCCCCTGTCCGTCTGCGGCCCCCGCCCCGGGCGCTCTCTGCTCTGCGGCTGGTCGCACGCAGCCTGGCTCCCCGCTCCGGCTCCGGCACCGGCGTGGCGAGCGTCTCTGCGGCGGCGAGGCTGGTGCTCGGACGGCCGCTCGCGAGAAGCAAGGGGCCTGAGAGTCCGGCTGGGGGCGGAGTGAGGCGGCGGCTGCAGAGGGCGGGGGCGGCGGAGTGGACAGCGCCGCGGCCGCGGGCCTGGGACTACTTTCTACATCTGGCCCTTGGTCTGGGCCAGGGAGGTCGGCGCGGCCGGCGGAGGGAGACGCTGGGAGGGGGCCAGTGGCGGCCGGGTCGGAGCCCTGGGGGAAGGGTACGGGTCCCGCCGGACAATGCACCTGGGGGTCAAGCCCCGGCTGAGGGTCTCCGGCCCGCGTCCCCGCCCCCTCTGCCTCCGCGCCACCGTCGGGGACAGAGCCACAAAGGCCGAGCCTCCTGGCCCAGCCAGCCTCCGGGGCCCCCCTCCCGCGGCTAGTTGAGGATTGGGGAAGGGGAGGCGGCCGGGGAGGGCTAGTGTTGAGAGACAGGGAAAGGCCGGAGGCTTCTCCCTTGATGGCCCCCGCCCACCCCCTCCTACACCCTCCTACCCTCACACGCAGAGGCCCGGTGCAGGGAAATCTCACTCTTTCTCACTTCAGAGATTTGTCTGCTCCACTGGAGGCATCTCCGGATGATAAGCCCCCGGAGATGCCCCCTGCATTTGGGCACGGCTCTTCTTCTCCCTGCCCCCATTAGATGCAGCGCGGGCTTAAAAATATCTCCGAAGAGTGGTCTCAAATGAACAATCGCCTTTAGGGGGAGAGGGTTTATTATCTTTTCTTCAAGTTAGTCAAGTTCTTTAATTTGTGAGAACTGTGCACACAAAAGGCTCTGTCCTGAGAGCAGAGGCGAGATCAAGAGATTTGTAGATTCTGTGAGCTTGCTATGGGGGAGCAGGCTTTGATAGATTACTTGGTTATAAATTAAACTAAGACACAAATGTGAATTTGTTCACATCTAAGTTTAATTAAGGATAACAGGAGTTAAAACGTACATTTAAAGAATGTAATCAGATTGCTAAGCGTGTGGATCATAGCGTTTACATGTGGATTAACATTTGCTAATCCAAAACTGAATCTGTGGCACATGATGAGGGCACAGGCTAAAAGCTAGCCTTCATGAAAGCTGCTGATGGAAATCTAGCTTTGGTTACCACGACATCAACACACTTACTGCCTTTAGCACGTTCCAGAAATCCTCCTGGGACGGTGCGGTGGCTCATATTTGTAATCCCAGTACTTTGGGAGACCGGGGCGGGCGGATCACTTGAGGTCAGGAGTTCGGGACCAACCTGGGCAACATAGGGAGACCGCCCCCGTCTCTACACACCACTGACCCCCGTACCCCCAAAACTTAGCCGCTCCAGTAGTCCCAGCTACTTGGGAGGCTGGGGTGGGAGGATCACTTGAGACCAGAAGTCGAGGCTGGGGTGAGCTATGATCAGGCCACTGCACTCCAGCCTGTTTCCAATAAGTGAGTAAATAAACCCTCCTGATGAAGAAGTAGTGAAAAAAAATAGTTTAGAACATTAGGATAGCACTACCTTTCCCCCTTAAGCTCATTATAGTAAGGAACAGCCTATTTAGCAATTTCAACTTAACTGCATGTAAAACAGTAATATCCTTGGTATGTTGCTTCCAAAACTGTATTTGAAACTTAAATGAATTTGGACTATTTCTAAGCATCAGAATAAAGGTATGTGGGAAGGGAAAACGTTGAGAGGTAATAAAACGAAACATTTGCAAGTACGTTTTCAATTTCTGATAATTCAAATTTATACAAAATGATATTCCTGTTTGCCATTAGACTATTTTTTTCATTGTATCACATTCTCCCCCTTCCCCTTCTCCCTGTTCCCTTTTAGTCGATCCCAAGTGCTTATATTTCCTGAATAACACAGTACATGTCTGCTTGGACACTTACATTTTCTCTCATGTATAATACTTGTCTTATATCATGTACTAGGCTACATAAGCTATTTAAGGACTTGTTATCTAGTTCTGTGATGCCCCACAATTTCCATCCAGCAGAGTATCTTGCATATAGTGTGTAATACTGAGGTAGTTAAAAGTCTGGTTTTTGGTATCTAACAGACTAGCATTCAAATTTTTGCATTATATAGACAAGTCACTCGTGCACTCAGACCTAATTCAGGTAATGGAAATAAGAATAGTATTGATGGGCGCCAGGCACGGTGGCTCACGCCTGTAATCCCACCACCTTGCGGCCAAGGTGAGTGGATCACCTGAGGTCAGGAGTTCAAGACCAGCCTGGCCAACATGGTGAAACCCGTCCATACTAAAAATACAAAAGTTAATTGGTGGTGGCACGCACCTGTAGTCCCAGCTACTCGGGAAGTTGAGGCAGGAGAATCGCTTGAACCCGGGAGCCAGAGGCTGCAGTGAGCTGAAATTGTGCCACTGTACTCCAGCCTGGGCGACAGAGCGAGACTTCATCTCAAAAAAAAAAAAAAAAAAAAGAACTGAAGAATACTGATGGGCTGCTGTGATATAAAATGATGCATGCATGGAAAATACCTGGTGCATAGCTCTATAAATAATTGCCATTATTATATTTAGTAAATAAATATTCCCAATAGTGGCAAATCTTTGTCCTTTCAGAGTGGGCTTGATATTGAAAAGTTTTTAGGAGTCAAAGCTGATTAATTTGTTTGGTGATTATGCTGATGGTGACTCTCGTGACTTCTTTCAGTAGTTTCTAAGCTGGTCCTGAAAGAGGTTAGAAGTGCCTGAGTGTCTAACTTCCCAAAGCTACCCATCTGGAGGATAAATGTTGAGATAAACAACTACCTAAGCCCTATTTTGCTTTCATATTCCAAAACAATTATTTTTAGACCAGAAAGAGTAGAGTCTATATAGTTAAAGAGAACTGAAATCTGAGGGTAGGTTTAAAATAAATATACAGAATTATTTCTTTAACAAATTCAAGTCTATGTCCCAACTCTGAGGGGAAAAAAATCACGTAACTTCACCCATCAAATTATAGAGCTGTAGCAAATATCTTCAAGCCCTTTGACCTCTCAACATTATCTGGTTCTATGAAATCACAAGGCCATTTGCAGGAGTTTATGAATCACAGTGGCAAAAGACAGCAAAAGTCTAGTGAGTTGTTCAATTTTTCATTTAACAAATAATTATTGAGCTCCTACTATGATGATTAGAAGACCAAGCCCTGATGAGGATTACCTGCCACTATATTCACATTTCAGTAATCACTCCTGATGAGCTTAATATTTGTCATCAGAAATATTTTGAAATTGGTTATTTTAAAAGTGAGGCCGGGCGCAGTGGTTCACGCCTGTAATCCCAGCACTTTGGGAGGCCGAGGCGGGTGGATCACGAGGTCAGGAGATCGACACCATGGTGAAACTCAGTCTCTACTAAAAATACAAAAAATTAGCGGGGCACATTGATGGGCACCTGTAGTCCCAGCTACTTGGGAGGCTGAGGCAGGAGAATGGTGTGAACCCAGGAGGCAGAGCTTGCAGTGAGCCAAGATCGCGCCACTGCACTCCAGCCTGGGCAACAGAGCAGGACTCCATCTCAAAAAAAAAAAAAAAAAAAGAAGCTCCTGGCTGACCAGGCTGAGGCCCGAAGGTCTAAGACCAAGGAAGCACGCAAGCGCCATAAAGAGTGCCTCCAAGCCAAGAAGGAGAAGATCACCAAGACTTTGTTCAAGGAGGAAGAGACCAAGAAATAAAACCTCCCCCTTTGTCTGTACATACTAGCCTCCATGATTACATAGTTCAGTTATTAAAACAAAACAAGCCTTTATCTACAAAGAAAAGAAAAATATAAATAAAAACAAAAGTGAGTTGTAACTGTTGGGATTGTAAAATGGTGCAACTGCTATGGAAAACAGTATGGAGTTACTTAAAAAAAAAAGTTAAAAATAGGCCAAGCACGGTGGCTCACACCTGTAATCCCAGCACTTTGGTAGTGCGAGACAGGTGCATCACGTGAGGTCAGGAGTTCAAGACCAGCCTGACCAACATGATGAAACCCCATCTCTACTAAAAATACAAAAACAATTAGGCGGGCATGGTGGCAAATGCCTGCAGTCTCAGCTACACAAGAGGCTGAGTCACGAGAATCACTGGAACCCAGGAGGCAGAGGTTGCAGTGAGCTGAGGTTGCACCACTGCCCTCCAACCTGGGTGACAAAGCAAGACTCCATCTCAAAAAAAAAAAAAAAAATAAGAGGGGCTGGGTGCAGTGGCATGTGCCTGTAGTCCCAGCTATTGAGGAGGCTGAAGAAGGAAGATCACTTGAGGCCAAGAGTTTGAGGCTGGCCTGGACAATACGGTGAGGCCCTGTCTCTAAAAATGAACAAATAAACAAAATAAAAATTATTGATGGTAAATTTATGTTATGTATTTTTTACCACAATAAAAATAATTGCACATAAATGCATAGGAAATGCAGTGATGGAGGCTATGCATGGTGGGTCATGCCTGTAATCCCAGCACTTTGGGAGGCCAAGGCGGGCGGATTGCCTGAGGTCAGGAGTTCAAGACCAGCCTGACCAACAGTGAAACCCCGTCTGTACTAAAAATACAAAAATTGCAGGGCACGGTGGCTCATGCCTGTAATCCCAGCACTTTGGGAGGCCGAGGCACGGGGATCATGAGGTCAGGAGATCGAGACCATCCTGGCTAACATGGTGAAACCCTGTCTCTACTAAAAAATACAAAAAATTAGCCAGGCGTGGTGGCGGGCGCCTGTAGTCCCAGCTACTCTGGAGGCTGAGGCAGGAGAATGCGTGAACCGGGAGGCGGAGCTTGCAGTGAGCCAAGATCAAGCCACTGCACTCCAGCCTGGGCGACAGAGCGAGACACCATCTCAAATAATAATAATAATAAAAATAAAAATACAAAAATTAGCCGGGTGTGGTGGCACACACCTGTAGTCCTAGCTTCTTGGGAGGCTCAGGGAGGAGAATCACTTGAACTGGGAGGCAGAGATTGCAGTGAGTCGAGACTACACCATTGCACCCCAGCCTGGGTGACAGAATGAGATTCCATCTCAAAAAAAAAAAAATTATCTAGGTGTAGTGGCACCTGCCTGTAATCCCACCCACTCGGGAGGCTGAGACAAGAGAATCGCTTGAACTCAGGAGGCAGAGGTTGCAGTGAACCCAGATTGTGTCATTGCACCATTGCACTCCAGCTGGGCAACAGGAGCAAAACTCCGTCAAAAAAAAAAAAAAAAAAGAAAGAAAAGAAAAGAAAATGGAAAAGCAAAACATTTTCATTTCAACAAGACATTTGACCACTCAAATCTCATGATATTCTTAAGCATTAGATGAATAAATATTGATTGAGTACTAAAGGGATTATGCAAGATAACATCGGATGGAAGCTCCTATTCGCTCCCACTCAAAAACTCTCTGTTGCCAAGTACCTCCCTGGAACCTTTTAAAAATCCACTCTCCATTAAGTTTCTCTTGCTGCTGCCCATGTTTCAGCTCTCAGTGCCTCTCGTCTGAGCCATTGCATTAGAATGGGCTCTCAATAGACTTCCAACCAAACTTCCAATCTTTTCATATGCCTATCCATGTTTATAGTTGCTACCAGGTGAATTTTCCTGTGATACAGTGTTTCTGCTGATCAAAATCTTTCACAGCCTCATTACCTGTAAAATGTCCTCTTTGCCTATAAAATGACAAAGTGTTCATTACAAACTTCTTAATTCTAAGGACCCTCTGATCTGCTCCCAAACTACCATTACAACTGTACAGTCAATTTTTCCCTATATGTATTAAACACTCAGGCCAGGGTGAGCTATCTGGTGTTTTCCTAACAGCACTTGAATTGTCCTGACTCTGAGCCTTTGCAGGGTCTCTTCCCTAAACTTAAATACTCCCCTTACCCTTCACACCCATACTGACATTGAGACCTTTCCAAATCTTAATATATTTTCAGGGACAGTGCAGATCTGATTTTATCTGAAATCTTACTGTACTTTTGTGGCACAGAACTTGTAAGTATTTTATCGCGAGCCAGTAAGCATCTTGAGATCACAAATCATACCTAATCCACCTTTGTGTTATTCACAATGTGAAGGACATTGCCTTGCAGTTATTAAGAATTGAATAGATCTTCGCTGACTAAAGGAATAATGAATTACTGTACCAAAATGCTGATTAAATAGATGGAGAGCAATTGGGAGAAAACTCTCTGGAAGAGGATTACAAAGTCCTGTATTTGGGGTTTTCTTTGTCTAGTCTACATTTATTATCATGAGCTTAAGGACATGTTTATCTGATTTTGCATTTAACACAATGTGTAATTAATATGTTACATGGGCTGGGCGTGATGGCTCACGCCTGTAATCCCAGCACTTTGGGAGGCCAAGACAGGTGGATCACCTGAGGTCAGGAGTTTGAGACCATCCTGGCCAGTATGGTGAAACCTCATCTCTACTGAAAATACAAAAATTAGCCAGGTGTGGTGGTAAATGCCTGTACTCCCAGCTACTCGGAAGGCTGAGGCAGGAGAATCACGTGAACACAGGAGGCGGAGGTTGCAGTGAGTCGAGAGCGTGTCACTGCACTCCAGCCTGGGCAACAGAGCGAGACTCCATCTCAAAAAAAAAAAAAAAAAACGTTACATAGAATGAGAGTTTTCTCCACTCCTGGTAGTTGTCTAGGAAGTTGGAGACTAAGAAAAGAGGTCCTGAGGGACTCCTCAAGTGAAGATGAGGAGTACAACAATTTCCAACAGAGAGGAAGAGAGGAGGAAACAGGAGCCAGAAGTAATTCAGGCACCAGAGATGAAGGGGCAGGAAAAGAGAAGTGATGAAGGGTGTGCAGAGGGGAGCACAGGACGTTTAGAACTAAGGCCAAGGGCACTGGGCATCCCTGTGGACGTATGCCAGCAATGGGAAGAGTCTTAGAGGAACAGCTGAGGGCTGGCCACAGTCACTCATTCAACAAAGTTCTGAGCATAAAATGTGTTTCAGGAATGGATAGATGTTAGAAATACAGCTATAAGAAAATTATATAAATACTGACTGGGTGTAGTGGCTCACGCCTGTAATCCTAACACTTTGGGAGGCTGAGGCGGGTGGATTACCTGAGGTCAAGAGTACAAGACCAGCCTGGCCAACAGGGTGAAACCTCGTCTCTACTAACAATACAAAAAATTAGCCAGATGCAGTGGCACATGCCTGTAATCCTAGCTACTCAGGAGGCTGAGACAGGAGAATCATGTGAACCCAGGAGGCGGAGGTTGCGGTGAGCCGAGATCGCGTCACTGCACTCCAGCCTGGGCGACAGAGCAAGACTTCGTCTCAAAAAAGAAAAGAAAGAAAGAAAATTATATAGATACTGAATATTATGATGAAGGCTGTAATGTTCAGGATAATGTAAGAACAGAGTTTAAGGAGCAATTTATATTCCTATGGTGGAATGAGATGGGAAAGGAGAGAGCATGCTACCAAAAAACGTGAGGAGTCTCAAATTTTATCTTGCTTGCAAGCCAACAAGTTAGCCTGCCACTGTTTCATGGATGCAGTGTCAGAGATGAAGGACATTATTTTGTTCTTGGCAATAGTAATAATCAGAGTATCAGCAATTTTGCGTCAATTCCCGGGTCTCAAATCCCACAGAGCAACACAAAGGGAGCCAGCAATGGGAAGAGTCTTAGAGGACTCTTGTCCTGTACATGCAGTGGGTTGTGTTACAAAACTTAGAGAACCCAAATCTTTTACAATGGGCCGTAAGCATGCCTGCCTTGCTTTGGAGGGAGACACTATCTTTGTCTTCCAAGGCTGTTCACTATACAAACATTCTTGAAGATATAGTTCACATCAAAGTGCATTCAGTGTTTTTCTTGCAAGTTGTGCAAGAGTCTCATGGAGAAATATCACCTAACATGTGCTGCGCAGGGGAGCTTGTATCTGTGGTGAATCTGGAGGGTGAGTTGAAGTTTTCTAGTTGGACTGGATTGGCCTTCCAGAGAGAAAATTAGGAATAAGGCATTGAAGTATGAAAGACCAAGGCATATTCAGGAAACTACAGGTAGTTTAGTACAGCTAGAGTGCAGGCCACGTTGGAGAGAAAAGAAGCATGCCATGCAAAGGAGCTTGAAACTTTTTTTTTTTTTTTTGAGACAGAGTCTCGCTCTGTTGGCCAGGCTGGAGTGCAGTGGCGAGATCTCGGCTCACTGCAAGGTCCGCCTCCCAGGTTTGCGCCATTCTCCTGCCTCCTCCTGAGTAGCTGGGACTACAGGCACCCACCACCATACCCGGTTAATTTTTTGTATTTTTAGTAGAGATGGGGTTTCACTATGTTACCCAGGATGGTCTTGATCTCCTGACCTCGTGATCTGCCTGCGTCGGCCTCCCAAAGTGCTGGGATTACAGGCATGAGCTACCACGCCTAGCCAGGAGCTTGAACCTTGTCCTGGAGGCCTTGATTTCCCAAAGGCCACCCTTTGGAATAGTTGCCATGTTTCAGCTCTCAGTACCTCTCATCTGAGCCATTGCATTAGAATGGGCTCTCAATAGTCTTCCAACAAACTTTCTAATGTTTTCATATGCCTATCCATTTTTATAGTTACTACTAGGTGAATAGATACCCTGTTCCAGGTGCTTTAGAAGTTTTATCTCACTCAATCCTCATAACTAGGTAAGTTTGGTAAAACTATTCTCATTTTACAGATGAGCAGAAGCTCAGAAAGATTAAGTCGCTTAGTCTAGATCACACAGCAGATAGATGACAAAGGCATGATTTTCCCCCAAGTCTACCTGACTCAGAGTTTTTGTCCTTAGAATTCTGAGTATACTGTGAAAAGTAGAAGAGACAGAGGAGTGATAGCCAGATGCAGACAGATAGAACTACTGACAGACTCTAACAAGGTAATTTTTATTAGCTGAGAGTTGATTCTCTATTTCCTGTGCTCTGAAATGACACTTCTCACTGGTTCTTTCTGTCACACTCCCCATTCTCCTCGCAATCTACCTGAGACTACCATCATTTTTCTGCTTTGCATGGACTAGTAAACCACAGACAACTTGTAGATAGGGGATGTGAAATATCTCCCTTGCTTTTCATGTAGCATGGAATTTCACTGAGATAAACATAAACTCCTACTCTTTGGTTAATTTAGTTGCATTGATGGATAAGAGTCAGGGTTGGGCATGGGGAAACCTGACTATTGGTGCAGTTGGTGAGAAGACCTGCAGGTATGGATTACAACTGGACCACCAATGTGTGTGATTGTCAGTCTCACTAATGCAAACCTGTGCTGTGCTCATTGATGTGTATTGTCCAGGACAAGGAAAGCTTAGTTTCATATACACCACTTTGGTCATACTGGTTCTGGCATATTATAGTCATCTCTGAATTCTACATTTTCAGAGGCAAAGACAGCCAAGAATGCAAGCAGAGAACAACTAAGAAGGTAAGATGTTTGGAAACCAAAATACAGGTCTCCAACTTACAACGGATTGACTAACAATTTTTTAACATTACAATAGCGCAAAGACAATACACATTCAGTAGAAACTGTACTTTGGATTTTGAATTTTGATCTTTTCCCAGGGTAGTGAAACGCGATGTGATGCTCTCTCACGATGCTGGGCAGCCTTAGTGGACCACAGTTCCCAGTCAGCCACATGATCAGGAGGGTTAAACAACCATGAGATAGTCAGCACTTTATTATAAAATAGGCTCTGTGTTAGATGATTTTGCCCAACTGTGGGCGAATGTAAGAGTTCTGAGCACGTTTAAGGTAGGCTAGGTTAAGCTGTGATGTTTGGTAGGTTAGGTGTATTAAACGCATTTCTTTTTATTTCTTTTTGAGACGGAGTCTCACTCTGTCGCCCAGGCTGGAGCGCAGTGGTGGAATATCGGCTCACTTCAACCTCCTGGGTTCAAGCGATTCTCCTGTCTCAGCCTCCTGAGTAGCTAGAATTAACAGGCCTGCATCACCAAATCTGGTTAGTTTTTATATTTTTAGTACAGACGGGGTTTTACCATGTTGGCTAGGCTGGTCTTGAACTCCTGGCCTCAAGTGATGCGCCCACCTTGGCCTCCCAAAGTGCTGGGATTACAGGCGTGAGCCACTGTACCTGACCAAAATGCATTTTTGACTTACAATATGTTCAATATACGATGGGTTTATGGGAGTTACAACCACATTGTAAGTTGAAGAGCATTTGTGATACTAACATCAGCAACAGCAATAGCTAATCCATTTTACAGAGGAGGACACAGGTTTGGAGGGGTTAAGAAATTTTCCCAGCCAAGCGCAGCGGCCCACGCCTGGAATCCCAGCACTTTGGGAAGCTGAGGTGGGTGGATCACCTGAGGTCAGGAGTTCAAGACCAGCCTGGCCAACATGGCGAAACCCAGTCTCTACAAAAATACAAAAAAAAAATTAGCCGGGCATGATGGCAGGTGCCTGTAATCCCAGCTACTCGGGTGGCTGAGGCATGAGAATCGTTTGAACCTGGGAGGTGGAGGTTGCAGTGAGCCAAGATTGCGCCATTGTACTCCAGCCCGGGCAACAGAGCAAGACTGTCTCAGAAAATAAATAAATAAATAAATAAATAAATAAATAAATAAATAAATAATTCCCAAGGTCATACAACCAGTAAGTGATAATGGAGAGAATTCAAATTTGGGCTTCTCTGATCCATGCTTTATTGCTTCATGTATATTCTTTCCTTAACAACACCAAGAGTGACTTTATCCCTGGGCCCCTATTTGTGTAGGGTTCACAGGTCCATAGTAGACAGGATTTAATATCAATTAAAATCTTATTTTAGGGATTCAACCACAATGCAAATGACAAGCAAAATACACACATGCATGAAAATATGGGGTGCCTGAATATAACTTCTAGGATCTAAAAGGGAATCATCCCCTCCTCTTCAGCAATGGTCTTATCTTCCTGTAAGAGCTCTATTTCCAGCTGTTTTATATAACTTAAGGAGAAGAAAGGAAAAGATTAGGAAGTGAAAAAGTTGAGGAGGCTGAAGAAAAGAGTGATAATGAGAAGAGGTGGAAAAAAATAAATAAAGAAGTAAAAGTTGTGGGAAAAAAAATCACAACAACATCAAAATAGCTGTGGGTTTTAAAAAGTCTCCATCTGGGCTGGGTGCTGTGGCTCACGCCTGTAATCCCAGGACTAGGGAGGCCGAGACGGGTGGATCACTTGAGGTCAGGAGTTTGAGACCAGCCTGGCCAACATGGCGAAACCCCATCTCTACTAAAAATACAAAAAATTAGCCGGGCATGATGGTGGGCGCCTATAATCCCAGCTACTCAGAAGGCTGAGGCAGGAGAATCGCTTGAACCCAAGAGGCAGAGGTTGCAGTGAGCAGAGATGGTGCCATTGCACTTCAGCCTGGGCAACAAAAGTGAAACTCTGTCTCAAAAACAAAAAACAAAAAAGAAAGTCTCCATCTGCCCACCCACCCTGCTGCAGATCTCCTGTCCATTGAGGAGGTGCAGGTTCCTACTTGTGCTCTGTTTGGCGGATGAGAGAAGAAAAAAGTGGTGGTGAGGGGAGAAAATGCTGTGGACGAAGATACTGGCCCCAACACCTTCATGCTTCATTAGAGGCACTCCGGGGGTTTAAAGGGACTTCAGCACTCCATTTCCAGACACACCCATGCTAAGCTTTTACTTAGTACTTTCATAAATCTTTTATGACTGTCCTCAAATAGTGCACCATGCCTCAACACCTTTACATAGCACCTAGCAAAGTGCTTTGCACACAGCAGATGAGGGGGTCCCCACATTTTTGAGGGGAGGAGTAAATTGTTTTCCACTTTGTCTCCTGATGAGTGGAGAGGTACTGATAGTCTATAGTCCATGGTTGGTACATGTGTGGTGGGGTGATGTGGCAGCAGGGAAAGGAAAGATAGTTCACAATTAGAAGCCTCTGAACTGTGTCCTCCCCACCCCCAACTCACCTGGCCAGCATCTCATGTGCCAAGCTTCAAGGAACACCACACTCCACTTTCTGCCATGGGAAATTGTGATGATGCACGTGGAGAGAGATATCATGGCAACTTCTAGCCCGTACTTTACTGAGGTCGATTTTATGAACCAATCATTTTCCTGATCAGCTCCTCAAGGACTTCTACAAATTGTTAAGTATTTAATGTCCCATTGAAAATGGGTTTTATATCATTGGAAGATTTCAAGCTTGTCACTCTGTATTGGTCTACTATTATTCCTGCTCCTATCTACCGTGAACCATAGCATTAGTGGTATTTAGTAGTTGCTGTTTACTGTCTGCTGGGTGGCTGTATCCACACTGACCGCCATTGAGGAACCTAGAAACCTGTAGATTCTTGACACTAAGTACACATGCTTCCAGCTAACAAACATGTATATGTATTTCTCTAGTTTGTAGGTTGATGGCTATCATTGGTAAGGGATACTATGTGCAGGAGGTTTGGGGAGAACAGTTATAATAATTATAATCAGAGACATAGACTTTTTTAAAGGTTGTATAAGATTTCCAAAGATTTTTAGACCAGTGCAAGGTATTTGCTAGATCTCTCAACTATGAGAGTTAGAAAAGACAAATGAAAAGGTAATAAATGTAGGGGCATATGTAACTGTTAAATTATAATCCTATTACTCAGGCTTTGGGATTTTTCAGAAAACTGATATTCTGTAAGTTTACATTTTTTGTTAAAATAAAGACATGACTAAAAGGTTGGTAATTGCCCTATATTTGTTTTAAAAAATACTGTCTACCAATAAATACTCATTTTTAAATACTCACAAGATAAAGCAGCTATCTTTTGTAGCATTTTTAGTGTTAACATAAGAACTGTGAACAAAGACTGAGTATTTTGATATGTTTTCATTTTTCTGAGATAATAATGTATGCCTATATATTTGGGGGGTTAGTAAGCATGAGTTATCACAAGTACCAACAAAAATTAATCCTTTTTGATTATGTATGTTTAAAAAATTAGAGGATTTTTTTTTTTTTTTTTTTTTTGAGATGGGGTCTTCGCTCTGTCGCCCAGGCTGGAGTGCAGTGGCACGATCTTGGCTCACTGCAAGCTCTGCCTCCCGGGTTCATACCATTCTCCTGCCTCAGCCTCCCAAGTAGCTGGGACTACAGGCACCTACCACCACACCTGGCTAATTTTTTGTATTTTTCAGTAGAGACGGGGTTTTTCACCGTGTTAGCCAGGATGGTGTCGATCTCCTGACCTCATGATCCACCCGCCTGGGCCTCCCAAAGAGCTGGGACTACAGGCATAAGCCACCACACCCAGCCCTTTTTTTTTTTTTTTAAACACAGAATCTCACTCTGTCACCCAGTCTGGAGTGCAATGGCGAGATCTCGGCTCACTGCAACCTCTGCCTCCCGGGTTCAAGCAGTTCTGCCTCAGCCTCCCAAGTAGCCGGGACTACAGGCACCTGCCACCATGCCCGGCTAATTTTTTGTATTTTTGGTTGAGACGGGGTTTCATCATGTTGGCCATGCTGGTCTCAAATTCCTGACCTCAGGTAATCCACCCGCCTCGGCCTCCCAAAGTACAGGCATGAGCCACCGTGCCCAGCTGGAGATCTGAATTTTAAAGCTCAATTCTTAAAAGTTTTCCTTTAGGTTTGATGTCGACAGAGTAATCATATTGCCGTTTATAACAACCAAATCCCATTTATCACTGAATGGCAACTAACATGGAATGGTACCCTGGGTCCTCGCTTTTAGTTCAAAGCCCTTGTTCTGGTGAAGAAAGTGTTGATTTCTTCAAAGTCTTCACAGAAGCTCCTTTTCAGCCTTTGAGAATGCAGGGACTCCTTTTCTGAGTCCCATAGAAATTGTTCTGCTTTATCACCTTAAACATAGGAGGGAGGAGTTGCTCTCTCTTCTTCCTCCTCTACTTGAGGAATCTTACTTAGCTCAAGGGTGTTCTGACTGAAATCTTGCTGTGTGTTTTTTTAGGGCTGCCCTGTTTTCTAATAGGGTGGAGGGAAGCAGAGGAAGAACAGGGAGGAAGGGAGGTGAGACCTGGAGGAATGGTACCACACCATTCCTCCCCGCTGACATTCCCTCTCCTTACCCTGCGCTCTTTCCTTTCCCAGCACAGCATTCCTGCATGTATTTATTTGTGATCTACCTATTTCCTCTCCCTCCCACTACAGGACTTTTTCTGGCTTGCAGCAAACACAAGAGTTTCTGGACCAGAGTGAACTCTGAATATCTGTTAAATGAATGAATATATATATATATATATATATATATATATATATATATATATATATAAAATATTTATTTATTTATTTATTTATTTATTTATTTATTTTTTAGATGGAGTTTCGCTCTTGTTGCCCAGGCTGGAGTGCAATGGCGAGATCTCGGCTCACTGCAACCTCCACCTCCCTGGTTCAAGCAATTCTCCTGCCTCAGCCTCCTGAGCAGCTGGGATTACAGGCACGCCACCATGCCCGGCTAATATTTTATATTTTTAGTAGAGACAGGGACTTCCCCATGTTGCCCAGTCTGGTCTCAAACTACTGACCTCAGGTGATCTACCCACCTCAGCCTCCCTAAGTGCTGGGATTACTGGTGTAAGCCACCGCGCCCAGCCTAATACATTTTTTCTTTTAGAAATAATCATTTCCCGGCCAGGCGTGGTGGCTCAAGCCTGTAAATCCCAGTACTTTGGGAGGCCACGGAGGGCGGATCACGAGGTCAGGAGATCGAGACCATCCTGGCTAACACAGTGAAACCCCATCTGTACTAAAAATACAAAAAAAAAAAAAAAATTAGCCGGGTGTGGTGGCGGGTGCCTATAGTCCCAGCTACTTGGGAGGCTGAGGCAGGAGAAGGGCGTGAAACCCGGGAGGCAGAGTTTGCAGTGAGCTGAGATCACACCACCGCACTCTAGCCTGGGTGACAGAGTGAGATTCCATCTCAAAAAAAATAAATAAATAAAATAAATAAATAAAAAATAAAAATAAAAAAAATTAGCTGGGCCTGGTGGCCGACACCTGTAACCCCAGCTACTTGGGAGGCTGAGACATGAGAATCGCTTGAACCCGGGAGGCAGAGATCACAGTGAGCTGAGACCGCACCACTGCACTCCAGCCTGGGCTACAGAGCAAGACTCCCTCTCAAAAAAAATAAATAAAAGGCCAGGCACGGTGGCTCACGGCTGTAATCCCAGCACTTTGGGAAGCCGAGGCGGGGGGGATCACAAGGTCAGGAGATCGAGACCATCCTGGCTAACACGGTGAAACCCGTCTATACTAAAAATACAAAAAAATTAGCTGGGCTTGGTGGGGCGCACGTGTAGTCCCAGCTACTTGGGAGGCTGAGGCAGAAGAATGGCGTGAACCCGGGAGGCAGAGCTTGCAGTGAGCTGAGATCACACCAGTGCACTCCAGCCTGGGTGACAGAGCGACACTCCGTCTCCAAAAAAAAAATATATATATATTATCCCCTTCTCCCCAGGGGCCTGAAAGCTTGAAGGGCTGAGTAACTCCTCCCTTCTCAGGCCCAGTCCCAAGGGGCAAGGCCACTCGCGCCAACAGCAGGTGTCAGCAAGATAACAGACACAGGAAGAGAGCCAGCCGGAAGACACCTACCCTGGTCGCAAGACCCGTACCCCATGAAGATCAGGAGGGAGGCCGTCCGGGTACCGCCTAGAAGTTACATCAGACTGAGACACTTCCTGTTTACAGGAGACTATAAAACCCCTGCTCCGTCGTCATTTGGTCCTGACACCATTTTAGGCCTCAGCCTGCAGGCACCAGGCGCTCATTAAAACAGCATGTTGCTCCACCCTGCCTCATGCTGTCTGTTGGTGCACTGTCGGGGTTGGAACCGATACAAGAACCTTTTACTGTCCACTGAGGCTCTCTGCTGGATGCTGAGAAAATCAAGATGAATTGCATGGCCCTGGCCCTTTTTTTTTTTTTTTTTTTTTTTGCGACAGTGTCTCACTCTGTCGCCAGGCTGGAGTGCAGTGGCACGATCTCGACTCACTGCAACCTCCAAAAAGTCATGATGAAACTGGGAAGTTCAAGCAATTCTCCTGCCTCAGCCTCCTGAGTAGCTGGGACTAAAGGCGTGCGCCACCACACCCAGCTAATTTTTGTATTTGTAGTAGAGATGGGGTTTCATCCTGTTGGCCAGGATGGTCTTGATCTCCTGACCTCAAGTGATTTACTCGCCTCAGTCACCCAAAGTGCTGGGATTACAGGTGTGAGCCACCGCACCCGGCCGCGCACCAGCCCTCTTAAAGCTCACATCCTAACTGTGGAGATAAACCAATGTTGATGAGGCCCTGTAATGCATGCTGCAGCAGCTGTATGTACACAGTACAGCGGGGACTTGGTTGGGTAGGAATGCATCTAGGTGGTGGTGAGGACAATTCAAGACAGGATATAACTGTAAATATTAATGTAAATGTTACTAAAGTAACACATGTGTATGGAGCAAAAAGTAATGATGAAACTGGGAAGTTCTGTACACTTCCTTGCCTCCTGGCCAGAGGCCTCCATCTCCCTGCTGCAGCCTGGGCTGGTTACTTTACTGACCTGTAGTAGCTGTTTTCCTGGGACTACCCTTTCCAGGTCTCTAGAATTGCAGCCATGTTACCTGGATTCCATGTCTACTTCTTTCTTGCGTATTTCTGTATTTTGCTAAAGCATATCCTTGCGGTATGTCTCAAGAAATGGTGCCCGGGATGTATCATTTGAGTAATTATATATCTAAAAATGTTTTTGTTCCACTCTCATGCTTGATTGATAGTATAGCAAGACATAGAATTCTAAATTGAAAGTCATCATCCTTCAAAATGTTAAAAGGCATCCACTGTCATCTGGCATCAGTTTGCATTGAGGAGTCCAATATACTGTTCTGACACCTAATTCTTTGAATGTGGCTTGTTTTTTCTCTCTGATTGTTTTTAGGATTATCCCTTCAGTCAAGGTGTTCCAAAAATTCACCATCACATGTTTGGATATGGGTTATTTTTCATTCATTGTTCCACAAACATGGGCTCATTCTGAGTGATTTTTTTTTTTAAGAGACAGGTCTTGCTTTGTTGCCCTGGCTGAAGTGCAGTGGCACAATCATAGCTAACTGCAGCCTCAAACTCCTGGGCTCAAGCGATCTTTCTGCCTCAGTGTCCCAACTAACTGGAACTACAGATATGGGCCACCAGGTCTGGCTATCTTTTTTTTTTCATTTTTTTTTTAGAGACAGAGTCTCAGTATGTTGCCCAGCCTGGTCTCAAAATCCTGGCCTCAAGCAATCCTCCCACCTCCAAGTCTTTGGGATTACAGGTATGAGCCACCACTCCCAGCTTGAGTTACTTTACTGACTTTTATCAGTGTCTTCCATAGTTCCTTGTGAGATTGTGTACTCATGACTCTAGAAAAATTGGAGAACAAATTTTTGTATTTTGAATATTTTCAATAACTATTCAAAATAACTAATTTTGAATAGTTGTTTTCCTTAGTCCAACTTTAAATATTTATTATATGGAAGAAATTCCAAAAATAGAATTCTTTTCCACAAAATAAAACATATATCATAGATTAATGTCTTCCATTTATATAATTTTTATAATTTAGTGTTTTCAAAAACTTGATCCGATACAATATCTTACCAGCTATGTTGTAATATTTTAAAGAAGATAAATCACAACAACTTATAAATGAATAAAAACTTACAGCCTGGGCACGGTGGCTCACGCCTGTAATCCCAGCACTTTGGGAGGCCGAGGCAGGCAGATCACGAGATCAGGAGATCGAGACCATCCTGGCTAACACGGTGAAACCCCATCTCTACTAAAAATACAAAAAATTAGCTGAGCGTGGTAGCGGCGCCTGTAGTCCCAGCTACTCGGGAGGCTGAGGCAGGAGAATGGCATGAACCTGGGAGGCAGAGTTTGCAGTGAGCTGAGGTCGCGCCGCTGCACTCCAGCCCAGGCAAAAGAAACAGAGTGAGAGTCCATCTCAAAAAAAAAAACAAACAAAAAAAACCTACTTGACATTTTCTTTTTTCTTTTATTTTTTGAGACAGAGTTTCGCTCCTGTTGCCCAGGCTGCAGTGCAATGCAATGGTGCGATCTTGGCTCACTGTAGCCTCCACCTTCTGGGTTCAAGTGATTCTCCTGCCTCGGCCTCCTGAGTAGTTGGGATTTCAGGCGCCCACCACCACACCTAGCTAATTTTTGTAATTTTAGTAGAGACGGGGTTTCACCACGTTGGCCATGCTGGTCTCGAACTCCTGACCTCAGGTGATCCACCCACTGCAGCCTCCAAAGTGCTGGGATTACAGGGGTAAGCCACTGCACCTGGCCTCTTTTTCTATTTTTGAAAAAAATAGTAGGTATATGTGTAATTTTCTTGTATCAGGGATTTGGTTAGCATTTTCTTTGCTCTAGATAAATGAAAAGAACAGAGAAGAAAGGGCTGTGTGGTGAAGAATGTAGAAAGTAAAATGGGTAATTTGGGGGTGGAAGTCGAAAATCCAGAGAGAAAGAAAAATGCACACACACACACACACACACACAGAACTAGTAATGCGTGAGAGGAACCAGGCTAATGTCTTAGAAGACGCAGACATCGAAACAAAATGTTGTACTTTATGTACTGAAGCGACAACAAGGTTTAGCTTCATGAATTTGTAGAGTCCAGCTTGTCTGAGAGCGGAATAAGCAATAAGTCCTCCACTTTTGCTGCCTGAACATGGGGAGAGATTCTGTGACAATTTTTTTTCTTCAGTCTTTGGTTTCACCACTAAATATCATTTGGGTTCCCATCCAGTCTGAGAACAGAAATATGTCACTTGCCTTGGTTTTAGGTTTAAAACTAGATTTCACAGTTTCTAAGTTATGTGAATGCTACCAAAAGTAAAACAAAAATTCAAATTTTTATTAAGCCCATAACCCATTCAGTTATTTTTGCTTAATGTTTTTTTCTTTTTCAGCCCAACGAAAATCCAAGTCTTAGACTACATTGGCAAAAAATCTTAAAATAATTAATGCTCAGGTGGCTGGGGGTGGTGGCTCATGCCTGTAATCCCAGCAGTTTGGGAGGCCGAGGCAGGCAGATCACCTGAGGTTGGGAGTTCAAGACCAGCCTGACCAATATGGAGAAACCCTGTCTCTACTAAAAATACAAAAATTAGCCGGGCTGTGGTGGCGCACGCCTGTAACCTCAGTTACTCAGGAGGCTGAGGCAGGACAATCACTTGAACCTGGGAGGCGTACATTGCAGTGAGCCAAGATCATGCCACTGTACTTCAGCCTGGGTGACAGAGGGAGACCCTGTCTCAAAAAATAATAATAATAATAATTTAAAAAAGAATAATGCTCAGAAGAGTTAAAAAGAATAGTTAAAATGAAAAAGTTAACGTTAAAAAAATTTAAAGAATACTTAAAATGATTTTAGCTATTCATTTGATTAGGAACTAATTATATACAGTACTTGAAGGACTGTTCCCAAATTTCCTTCTTTTTTTTTTTTTTTTGAGACGGACTCTCACTCTGTTGCCCAGGCTGGAGTGCAGTGGCATGATCTCGGTAGACTACAACCTCCGCCTCCTGGGTTCAAGCAATTCTCCTGCCTCAACCTCCCGAGTAGCCCCCCACCATGCTTGGCTCATTTTTTGTATTTTTAGTAGAGACATGAGCCACCTTGCCCGGCCCCAGATTTCCATTTTGAAAGTCACTGTAGCCATTAAAAGCTAATGTCAGGGCTAGGCGTGGTGGCTCACACCTATAATCTCAGCACTGTTGGACGCCAAGGCTGGTGGATCACTTGAGGCCAGGAGTTCGAAACCAGCCTGGCCAACATGGTGAAACCCTTCCTCTACTAAAAAATACAAAAATTAGCCAGTTGTGGTGGCACACGCCTGCAATCCCAGCTACTTGGGTGGCTGAGGCACAAGAATCGCTTGAACCCAGGAGGTAGAGGTTGCAGTGAGCCAAGATTGCACCACTGCACTCCAGCCTGGGCGACAGAGCAAAACTGTGTCTCAGAAAAAAAAAAAGCTCTCTGGGCATGGTGGCTCACACCTGTAATCCCAGCACTTTGGGAGGCTGAGGCGGGAGGATCAAGAGGTCAAGAGATTGAGGCTATCCTGGCCAACATGGTGAAACCCCATCTCTACTAAAAATACAAAAATTAGCTGGGTGTGGTGGTGCACGCCTGTAGTCCCAGCTACTCGGGAGACTGAGGCAGAAGAATCAGATGAACCCGGGAGGCAGAAGTTGCAGTGAGCCAAGAGTGTGCCACTGCACTCCAGCCTGGGTGACAGAGAGCAAGGCTGTCTAAAAAAAAAAAAAAAAGGCTAATCTCAGGTGTGACCACTTGGGTTCAAATCCTATTTTATGTCATTTACTTAGTTTTATGATCTTAGGCAAGTTGCTTAATCACCTGAATTTCTGTTTCCCCACCTATAATATGTGGATAGTGGCCAGGCACAGTGGTTCACGCCTGTAATCCCAGCACTTTGGGAGGCCGAGATGGGCAGATTACGAGGTCAAAAGATGGAGACCATCCTGGCCAACGTTGTAAAACCCTGTCTGTAATAAAAATACAAAAATTAGCTGGGCATCGTGGTGTGCACCTGTAGTCCCAGCTACTCGGGATGCTGAGGCAGGAGAATCACTTGAACCTGGGAGGTGGAGGTTGCAGTGAGCCGAGATCGTGCCACTGCCTTCCAGTGTGACGACAGAGCGAGACTACTTCTCAAAAAAAAAAAAAAAAATGTGGATAGTAATAGTACCTATATAATAGAGTTGTCATAAAGATGAAATTAAATAATAGATATAAACAGCTTGGCAGAATGCCTGGCACATAATAAATACTCAACAAACGTGAACAATATTACATCTGCATAGATAATGCACAGTTGAGTTCCACATTCAATTAAGCATTTAATACTCTGTAAATGCTCAGATTTTGTTTTCAGTTAATATAATGAGGATTCTTGGCTTATAAAAGGTCAGAAAAATATCCGACGCATCCTTTCCTATATGTGAACTATCAGAATCAATGCACAGGTATCCAATTCCATGTCTGTTAATGACCAAGAAACTTCAAATCAACCTGTGCTATCAAACAGGATTACAAACCTACTTACAGAGTGTACTTATACACATCTTTTCCAGATAGCTATGTTACGTATAATGATCACCTTAGATTATAAGAATTTACTAGTTTAAAATAATTTTTTAGATATTTGAAGCAACTATGACCAGATATAAAGGTGCTTAGTATAGGAAGGTGCTGAGAAATTTATGAAATGAATTTATCAAGTTTTGTTTCTGCATGCTGTTTTGTTAGGCCCATGTATTACTTACCATAAATAATGATAGCTGCTGAAATTCTGTGGTTTAACACAATAAAAGTATATTTCATGCTTGTGCTGTATCCAGTGTAAATATGTGTGATTGGTAGATGAAGAGCCACATGGTCATTCAGGGACCCAGAGAGTAGAGGACCATGAAGGAAGTTTTTATAGGCCAGTTCTGGAAGTGCAGTGCATTATTTCAACCCATCTTCTATTGGCCAGAACACAACCACATGACCAACTCTTACAGCCTGGAAGCTGGGAAATGTAGTTAGATAAGTTCCAGGAATAAAAGAAATGGGCCAGGCATGGTAGCTCGCGCCTGTAATCCGAGCACTTTGGAAGGCCAAGGTGAGCGCATCACTTGAGGCGAGGAGTTCGAGACCAGCCTAGCCAATGTGGCAGAACCCTATCTCTACTAAAAATGCAAAATTAGCCGGGTGTGTTGGCACATGCATATAATCCCAGCTACTCAGGAGACTGAGGCAGGAGAATTGCTTGAACCCGGGAGTCAGAGGTTGCAGTGAGCCGAGATCGCACCATTGCATTCCAGCATGTGTAACAAGAGCGAAACTATGTCTCAAAAAAAAAAAGAAAAAGAAAAATTAGCCAGGTGTGGTGGCCCATGCCTGTAATCACAGCTACTAGGGAAGCTGAGGCAAGAGAATCGCTTGAACCCAGGAGGTGGAGGTTGCAGTGAATTGAGATTGTGCCACTGCACTGCAGCCTGGATGACAGAGTGAGACTGTCTAAAAAAAAAAGGAAGAAAGAAAAGAAAAGAAGTGGGTTTTAGTGAACATATGGTCTCCGCCATACCCCAGTACAGAAAGAAGGCCAACAAATATTCTTAGAAGCTGTCAGAGAGCTGACAGGTCTTCAAGGTCCAGTTAGAGAAAAAGTTTTGGTATCCATGGCAAAGTGACACAGGAATAATGGTTTTTGGAAGCAGTATGCTCACCAGCTGAGTGACATTGCTAAGTTCCTTGATCTTTCTGAAGCTGAGTTGTCTTGCTCAGTAAAATAGGAATAGTATATAATAACATCTCTCTCTTAGGGGTGTAAGTATTATAATGTATATAAAGTCCCTAGAACATAATAAACACTTAACAAATGTTAATACACTGGACAAAGGGATGATTTATGTCCTGGTGGGGACAGAGTGGGATGGCACAAGATTTCTTTTTTTGTGTGTGATGGAGTCTTGCTCTTTCGCCCAGGCTGCAGTGCAGTGGAGCAATCTCGGCTCACTGCAACATCCGCCTCCCGGTTTCAAGTGATTCTTACCATGTTGGCCAGGCTGGTCTTGACCTCCTGACCTCAGGTGATCCCCCTGCCTCTGCCTCCCAAAGTGCTGGGATTATAGGCGTGAGCCACTGTGCCCAGCTGGCACAAGATTTCATCATGCTATTCAGAATGGTACACAATTTAAAACTAATAAATTATTTCTGGAATTTTTTATTTTTCTTTTTTGAGACAGTCTCACTCTGTCGCCCAGGATGGAGTGTAGTGGCAGGATCTCGCTGACTGCAATCTCTGCCTCCCAGGTTCGAGTGATTCTTCTGTCTCAGCCTCCCGAGTAGCTGGGCTTACATGTGCCACCACCTCACCCAGCTAATTTTCATATTTTTGGTAGTGACGGGGTTTCACCTTGTTGGCCAGGCTGGTCTCCAACTCCTGACCTCAAGTGATCCACCTGCCTCGGCCTCCCAAAGTGCTGGGATTACAGGCTTCTGCCACCGCACCCGGCCAGTTTCCAGCTTCTAGAAGCTGCCCACATTCTTGTGTCACGTCCCTTTTTCCATCTTCAAGGCCAGCAGTGGCTGCTCAGGTTTTCATATCGCTTTACTCTGACCGCCTCTTCTGCTTCCTTCTGTCGCATTTAAAAGGACACTTGTGATTACACTGGGCCCACCTGGATGATCCAGGATAATCTCCCTATTTTAAGGTCTGCTGATTAGCAACCTTCATTCCACCTATTAGCTTGATTCCCCTTGCCATGCAATGTAACACCAGTTCTGGGGATTACAACATGGATATCTTGGGGAGGGGGTGCCATTCTGCCTGTCACAGTAGGTTAGAATTTCAGGAGCATCTTAACTCAGGGTTTCTCATGAGGGGGCAGTCAAGATGTCAGCTGCGTCTTCAGCCATTTGGAGGCCTGACTGGGCCTGGAGGGTGCCTTTCCTAGGGGACTTATCAAGTTGTGCTGGTTGTTGATGGAATGCATCAGTTTCTCCCCATATGAGGCTCTCTTCTGCTGCTTGCGTGTCCTCAAGGCATGGCTATTGGCTTCCCCCAGCACAAGTGATCCAAGAGAGCAAAGCAGCAGCAGCAATTTGGTCTTTTCTAATCTAGCCTCAAAAGTCACACACATTTCCACTACACTCTGTAGGTCAAAGACTAAATCATACAATGCGGGAGGGGACCATCCAAAGTGTGAATACCAGAAGTTGAGACTAATGGGAGCATATTGGAGGCAGGCTACCGCACGACCACACTCTTCCTGTGAAATCTGTTCTAACCACTTCCCTACCCCCACCACACTCCTGCATGCATTCTCTCTGCCCTCTTCTAACTTACACTACCCTTTATTTCACTCACGTGTCTACAGGTCAGTTTCCCTTTTCCTCATTTTGAGCACATTGAGGCTAGAGATGATGCTTTATTTACTTCTGAATTCCTAACATTCAGCATAGTGTGATTGAACTGAATTGAATTAAGGAAAGAAGTCAGATGACCAGAACTTGGAAACAAACCCCAGTCTTTTACGGGAGCCTTGCTGAATGTAGATGGTCGATTACTTGAATTTGAAGACTAGCCAGAGAGAGGCTTCATCTGGTAAATCCCTTGAGAAATAAGGTATCCTTACAGTAGGCAGTTCTGCCTATGGAGCAGCCATTTTGCTTACACTGTTGCCCTAATAAGCTTGCTTTCTTAAAAAAAAGGTATCTTTATAGTAAATATAAGGAACTTGAGAGCTGAGGACTCTGTATAATAATACTTCTTTTTATTACTTTCCTGCATTGAATAAAATTGAAACTTGATAACCATGCTGAATATCTGCAGTCTTTTTTTGTTTTTTTTTTGAGACAGAGTTTCACTCTGTCACCCAGGCTGGAGTGCAGTGGCATGATCTCGGCTCACTGCAACCTCCACCTCCCTGGTTCAAGCAATTCCCCTGCCTCAGCCTCCCGAGTAGCTGGGATTACAGGTGCACGCCACCACACCCATCTAATTTTTGTATTTGTAGTAGAGATGGGGTTTCACCATGTTGGCCAGGCTGGTTTTGAATTCCTGACCTCAGGCAATCTGCCCACCTCAGCTTCCCAAAGCGCTAGGATTACAGGTGTGAGCCACCGCACCCAGCCTTTTTTTTTTTTTTTTTCTGAGACGGAGTTTCTGTCTCGTTGCCCAGGCTAGAGTGCAATGGTGCGATCTCGGATCTCAGCTCACTGCAACCCCCACCTCTTGGGCCAAGCAATGCACCTGCCTTGGCCTCCCAAAGTGCTGGGATTACAGGCGTGAGACACCACGCCCAGGCCTTTTTGTCTATTTTTATGTGGAGGCTACTCACCATAAACAAGTCTGTTATTTTTATTTTTTATTTTTTTTGAGACAGAGTCTCACTCTGTCACCCAGGCTGGAGTGCAGTGGCACTATCTCCACTCACTGCAAACTCCACCTCCTGGATTCAAACAATTCTCCTGCCTCAGCTTCCTGAGTAGCTGGGATTATAGACATCCGCCACCACGCCTGGATAATTTGTGTAGTTTTTGTAGAAATGGGGTTTCACTATGTTGTCCAGGCTGGTCTGGAACTCCTGGCCTCAAGCAATCCACCCACCTCAGCCTCCTAAAGTGCTGAGATTACAGGCATGAACGCCCATGCCCGGTAAAGTCATTCTTGATCTTTCAAGATTTAACTGTGTGATGACAACTAATAAGTGAGGATGACTTTTCTGCCTTATTTAGGCCCCTACTCTTTCTAAGCATCTTTCCATACACCAGAGAGACTGTTGACAATTCCTCCAAAGACAGGACTTACTTGGACCCCTAAATTTAAAGTTTCTAGCTATTCTGTGTTCTCTTCTTGGATGGCAGCATGAAAGATTCCAGGGCCATATGCTGTGTTTGCTCTGGGTGTCTCCATATGAAATGTATGCAGTTTCCCAAACAGAGTATTAACCTAGACTTCCTAGAGATGTCTGTGTTAGTGAAAAGTATTGTAACATCTTGTGTTAGTGATAATGGTTTCAAATTAGACAGCTTGAATTTCTTAATAGAAACCAAAGAGACTTTTGGATAATATGTGAATCGAAAGGAAAGAATCTGCTAGTTTCTAGCCAAAAGGTGACCCTTTTAAAGACATATTTGTTAGTTGTGAGTGACAGAGGTTACAGAGTCAGCCAGGACCATTTCTAAAGTGTTAAACTGACCTTAGGTAACAAGGTCATGAGGTCGGTAGGGGTCAGGATTGGTCGAGGAGAACTCTTTGCCTTTTGTCGAGAGCTTTAAAAGGTTTCAACTTCCCGTCCCTCCCTCTCTTCTTTCTGGTCTCACCCTGCCTGGCTGTTTTCTAAAAGCCACCATGATTTGAAAACTGACTCATGGGCTGACCTTCCCAGCCTGAGGGCACATGGACAACCAGATGCTGTAGTTCAAACATATTCCTGTTTGGCAGGGTGGCAGGAGCCAGGAAGCCTGGAGATGGGGACTCTCCTCATCCCCCTTGCAATCTGTAAGAATTGTCTAATGAAGGCCGGGCGCGGTGGCTCACGCCTGAAATCTCAGCACTTTGGGGAGGCTGAGGCGGGCAGATCACTTGAGGTCAGGAGTTCAAGACCAGCCTGGCCAGCATGGTGAAACCCTGTCTCTACTAAAAATACAAAAATTAGCCAGGCATGGTGGCAGGCGACTGTAGTCCCAGCTACTTGTGAGGCTGAGGCAAGAGAATCGCTTGAACCCAGGAAGCAGAGGTTGCAGTGAGTCAAGATTGTGCCAACGCATTCCTGCCTTGGCAAGACAGCGAGACTCAGTCTCAAAAAAAAAAAAAAAAAGAGAGAGACACTAGAGAGAGAATTGTTTTATGAAGATATGACCTTCTGTTCTTACTTTGTTTTATTTTGTCTCTCTATGTTGCCAGGCTAAACTGCCATGGCTATTCATAAGCACAATCATCACACATTGTAGCCTTAGTCTAACTCCTGGGCTCAAGCAATCCTCCTGCCTCAGCCTCCTGAGTAGCTGGGACTACAGGATCTCACCACCATACCTGGCTTGGTCATCAGTTGTTTATATTATTTCCCTTTGGCTTCTCTGTGTTTATAAATGTTTGAATTGCTGTCTTTGATGAAGTTGAGCAAATCATTAAACCTTTTGGGGATTAATTTTTTTCTCATCAACAAAATGAGAAAAACTGCATAAGCTATTTTTCTTCATGTTCGTTTGAGTAGCTAAAATGTCTATACTTTTTTTGTTCTTGATTAGTAAAAATTAGAGAAGCCTCATGCTCTTTTCTATAATATCTAAATCACTCGGCTGGGCACGGTGGCTCATGCCTATAATCTCAGCACTTCGGGAGGCCAAGGCAGGCAGATCACCTGAGGTCAGGAGTTCAAGACCAGCCTGGCCAACATGATGAAACCCTGTCTCTACTAAAAATACAAAAAAATTAGCCAGGCATGGTGAACCCAGGAGGCGGAGCTTGCAGTGAGCTGAGATTGCGCCACTACACTCCAGCCTGGGCGACAGAGCGAGACTCTGTCTCCAAAAAAAAAATATATATATATATATTAGGCAGCCATGGTGGCAGGCACCTGTAATCCCAGCTACTTGGGAAGCGGAGGCAGGAGAATCTCTTGAGCCCAGAAGGCGGGGGTTGCAGTGAGCCAAGACGGCACCATTGCACTCCAGCATGGGCAACAAGAAACTCCGTCTCAAAAAAAAAAAAACAAAAAAACTATATCTCTCTAGGAATGAAGACACTGTAGTACTCTTGTTCCTGTGGACAATTCGCTATGTATAATTACTGGCTTTACAGAAGGTGGAGTAAGACATTTGGAACCCTGCCCAGGTGCTAACCCTTTGCTTTTAGCCCCAAATGACTTATGAAACTTAATAAACTCTTCTAAGCCCTTGCACATGACATATGCTCAGCATATGATTGTGTTTGGTTTCTCTGGCATGTAACTTGTATATTACTTATGTAAGCTTTACCACTTTACGATAGTGCTTTGAACAATGATTTCTTATTAAAAAGACTTTGGCTTTCCCCCTCCTGAACATGTAAAGCACATTTGAACTGACATCTTTCAAATAGAGAAACTGTGATTTGCTCACATATAGCTTAACTGACTCGGGGATATTTCCTCCTCATTAACCTGTCCCCATCAATTTGAGGAGGAAATCAGTAAGACCTCACCATGAATCCTCTTTACCTCTGTATTTCCTTTTTTCCTCTCTTTGAAAAATCTGCTGAAATCTGGGTCGGACTTTTGAATATTTTCCAGGCTTCATCCATAGTGATCTCAGCTCCCTAAGACCATAGTTGTCCACAGCTTCAGGGCTCCCCATAGGAGGCTGGTCCAACGGTTGGAACTCCAGAGGCTCCTCCCTGCCCACCCCCACTCTGTGGTGTTTGCCTGTCCAAGACTCAGGCAGACATAAGGGCAGTTCTGGCTGCCAGATGCTCATCCAATCATCTAGTTCCTTCCGCCTCCGTTTTAGGAGAAAATAACCAGGGAAAGAAGAGGAAATGATTGTTAATGATCAGGGCCCCAGAAAAATCTAGTGTATATGCTGGAGGAATAGAATGTGGGAAAGGAGGGCCATGAGCACCTGATTGAGAAATTTCAATTTCTTTCTATCTGATTCACTTTAATATTTTTAGGAGTAAAATTCTGTAATGTGAGCAGTGGAGATGCGTAAAACACACAAGAGGTATGTCCACATGCAGATCCACAATCTAGTGGAGGAGGAAGAAAAATACAGACAGAACTTAAATATAACCATATTAAAAACCTAGAAGCAATGTTCTGTGGGAATAGAGAAGAGGAAAAAAGTTATTTCAATGGAAAGACTCTCAGAAGGCTTTGTGTAGGAGATAGCATTTTAGCTCAGTCTTGAAGAATGGGTACGATTTAATGAAAGGATTTTTCTGGGAGTGGAGGCAGAGGTCAGGAAGGATATTCCTGGGAGAAAGGAGAGAAAACAACTTGAATAAAATCCCCTAGAAGAGACAGCAAATGAGGCTGGGTGCGGTGGCTCACGCCTGTAATCCCAGCACTCTGGGAGGCCCAGGCGGGCAGATCACGAGGTCAGGAGATTGAGACCATCCTGGCTAACCCAGTGAAACCCCATCTCTACTAAAAACACAAAAAAATTAGCCGGGGCATGGTGGTGGGCGCCTGTAGTCCCAGCTACTTGGGAGGCTGAGGCAGGAGAATGGCGTGAACCCGGGAGGCGGAGCTTGCAGTGAGTCGAGGTCATGCCACTGCACACCAGCCTGGGCGACAGAGTGAGACTCCATCTCAAAAAAAAAAAAAAAAAAAAAAAAAAGAAGAGACAGCAAATGGTGAGAGACAGACAGTTAGGAATCAGTAAGTTCTTGAACAATTAATTTTAGCTTAAAAATCATATGGCAGGCCAAGTGTGGTGGCTCATGCCTGTAATCCCAGCACTTTGGGAGACTGAGTTAAGAGAATCACTTGGACAGGCGTGGTGGCTCACGCCTGTCATCCCAGCACTTTGGGAGGCCAAGGCAGGCAGATCACCTGAGGTCAGGAGCTCGAGACCAGCCTGATCAACATGGAGAAACCTTGTCTCTACTAAAAACACAAAATTAGCCGGGCGTGGTAGTGCGTGTCTGTATTCCCAGGTACTCGGGAGGCTGAGGCAGGAGAATCACTTGAATCTGGGAGGCAGAGGTTGCGGTGAGCTGAGATCGTGCCATTGCACTCCAGCCTGGGCAACAAGAACAAAACTCTGTCTTAAAAAAAAAAAAAAAAAAAATCACTTGAGCCCAGGACTTTGGGACCAGCTAATACAAAAATTAGCCAGGTGAGGTAGCATGCATCTATAGTCCCAGCTAGTTGGGAGGCAGAGGCAGAAGAATCATTTGAGCCCAGGAGGTCAAGGCTGCAGTGAGCCATGATGGTGCCACTGCAGTACAGCCCAGAGTGAGACCATGTCTCAAAACATAAACAAACAAAAACCAAAAGTCATACTGAGGAAGAGAAATATGAAATTATAATAGCTGCATGGAGCACAGGGAAAAAATGTAAAGACTAGGTAACTTTGAAGGTTTCATTTAAAATAATTTTTGTTAAGAAAACACGGCAGGCCGGGCATGGTGGCTCACGCCTGTAATCCCCAGCACTTTGGGAGGCCAAGGCGGGCAGATCAGGAGGTCAGGAGATCGAGACCATCCTGGCTAACACAGTGAATCTCCGTCTCTTCTAAAAATACAAAAAATTAGCCCGGTGTGATGGCGGGTGCCTATAGTCCCAGCTATTCAGGAGGCTGAGGCAGGAGAATGGCGTGAACCCAGGAGGCAGAGCTTGCAGTGAGCTGAGATCGCGCCACTGCACTCGAGCCTGGGTGATAGAGTGAGACTTCATCTCAAAAAAAAAAAAAAAAGAAAAGAAAACATGGCAAAGGCACCTTGGATGATATAGAACATCTTGGGAAATGGTTATTCAGATACTATAAGGATTAGGGTAGAGGTTGGAAAAAGGAATAATACTATATGGGATAACAATTCTTATATTTAAGATTACTGTAAGGATAAAGTAGGTAATTTAGGTAAAAAGCTTAATACTAAATGGTATTAAGTAAATACAGAGCTAAATGGTATTAAGCTCCATAAATGGTAGTTGCTATTGCTATTATTTTTGAATTGTTTGTTTATTGCTATTGTTTATTGTTATAAACTTAAGCATAAAAAAGCAAGACTGGAAAAATGTTTGTCTATGAGAAGAGAGGGGCAGAAACTATCAAAACAAGACCCTAGAGCCGGCTCAGTGGCTCACACCTCTAATCCCAATGCCTTGGGAGGCCAAGGCAAGAAGATTGCTCGCATCTAGAAGTTTGAGATCAGCCTGGGTAAGATAGCAACCTTGTCTCTACAAAAACAAAAATAAAAAAATTAGCCAGTCTTGGCAGGATGTACCTGTGGTCCTAGCTACTCAAGAGGCTAAGGTGGGAGGACTGCTTGCACCCAGGAGTTTAAGGCTGCAGTGAGCTATGGTTGCACCACTGCACTTGGCAGCCTGGATGACAGAATAAGACCCCTTCTCTGAAAAAAAAAAAAAAAAACCAAAAAACAAAAACACAAAACTAAAACATGACCCTAAGGATTTGGAGATGGAGGTGCCATTGGATAAAGAATAAGGCTGAGAGATCTGGGACATTTTAGTCCCCTGCAGATCCTTTCCTCCAGCTTTGTTCTCTAAGCCTGCCCAGCTTTCTTCAACTGCCAGAAACCCCTTCTGTTTCACCAGCAATTTCCTACCCATCCCTCTAAGCCCAGGTCAAATGCCACCCCCTTCCTAGAGGCTTTTTCCTCTCATCAGTTAGAATGCATGAGTGTTTCTTGCATTTTCTCAGAACATGCTACTTGTGCTTTGACGACGCAAATATTCGTGTGTCTGTCTCCCTCCCCGGATTCTTTTTGGTTCCTCGTGCTTAGTGAGTGCTCAAGAAGCATTTATTGAGATAAAATGTGACACATAGTGAGTTTAAAGTTTACTATACATAAATTTTTCCCATAGATGTTAGGGTTAGCCTCAAGCCCCAGATGTGCAAAAAAGCAAATTTACTTTTCTGTAAGTCCCATTCATCTCTCTCAGGGTGACAGACAATTAGTACTAGTTAGTTAGGGGTATCTCCTGCTGTCCCCCATGCTGCCTATAAGTGCAAGGGGGCTCACTAGAGCCCTGTCTTCAATCTACACAGCACATGGCTGAGTTGTCCCTGTTCCTTGAGACTTCTCTATGCCTCTCAGGCTCAAAGGAACTCATTCTACTGCCCCTGTGCTGTTTGGACTCAGTTGCTCAGACACTCTCACAGACATAGCTGCTCTGGGCTATGCTGTCTTTGGTGTCTACAAGAGGACAGGGGCACCCTTTTCTCTAAGCTTCCCCAAATCCATCAGTCCATCAGTGGTTTCTGTTGTCATTTACCAACACTGCCCCCAGAGGCCAAGTCAGAAAAGGCAGGCTGGGAGCGCTTTAATCCCAGCACTTTGGGAGGCCGAGCTGGGCGGATCACTTGAGGTCAGGAGTTTGAGACCAGCCTGGCTAACATGGTGAAACCCCGTCTCTACTATAAATACAAAAATTAGCCGGGTATGCTGGCAGGCGCCTGTTATCCCAGCTACTCGGGAGACTGAGGCAGGAGAATCGCTTGAACCCGGGAGGCAGAGGTTGCAGTGAGCTGAGATGGCACCACTGCACTCCAGCCTGGGTGACAGAGCAAGACTCTGTCTCAAAAAAAATAAATAAATAAAAGAAAAGGCAGACAGAGCCCAGGCTTCCTTTCTCAGGGAGCTACCTGCTAATGATTTTTATCATTGTCTCCCTCCCCAGCCTGGACTTTCCTCCTCCCTTCAAAGCAGAAAACTTTCAAATTGGCCCAAGAGTGGGAAAACTTGCTCTGATGCAAATGTCAAGTTTTTTTCTGTGCCCCAGGGGTTCCTTCAAGGCCTGGACTTTTAAATGTCAAAAGCCTTTCTCCCACTTATTAAGGTACTAAATGTCCTCTAGTCTAGCTGCCCAATTAAAGGAAGAGTGGAGGGGGTAACGGGAAATACTGCAGTGGGAGAATCTTTAATATTTCCACCATGCGGGTATGTGGTGATGTGGAACTCATGGTAGAGAACTGCAATTGTAAATCTGGGAATCAAAAACTTATTCTCACAATAACCAAAGCTGGAATGAATCTCCATGCATGTCAAAGGGGAAAAAGAAATCAATCAGGTAATTTTTTGAATTAAGCACTGTGCTAATTACCCCTAGGGGACAGACAGGAAGCTTGCAATTTAGTTATAAGAATCTTTTGCAATCTGGCCCCAGGCTCCCTCTGTAGTCTCTTTCGTCACCACTACCTTCCTTGACAGCACTCTTCTCAGCACTCTGCCTTTGCCAGCCTGTTCCCTGAGGCTAGAATGCCTGTGCTGCTCTCTCCCTTGTCTTCCCCAGCCGGCAAACTCATCCTTAAAGGAGATCAAATGTCTTCTCTTGAAAGCTTTCCTGATGCCTGTGGCAGTTTTGTAGCTCTCCCTCCAGGCCCGCATTATATCAGCAACCACTGACCTGTGAAGAATCTGAGGGCGAGGACTGAACCTATCCCCAGTACCTAGTACATAGAGCTTGGAACACAGTAGATACTCAGTAAATATTTGTTGACTGCATAAGGGAATAAAATATACACTCAAAGCTGTAAGTGATAGAACAATGATACCTGAGCAGTCAACAACAGTAACAGTAAACATAGTAACTAGTGAACATTTTTCTTATGGTCCAGATACTGTTCCCCACCGCCACCCCGAGATGGAGTTTCGTTCTTGTCACCCAGGCTGGAGTACAGTGGTGCGATCTTGGCTGACTGTAACCTCTGCCTCCCGGATATAAGCGATTCTCCTGCCTCAGCCTCCAGAGTAGCTGGGATTACAGGCGCATGCCACCACGCTCAGCTATTTTTTGTATTTTTGGTAGAAACAGTGTTTCACCATGGTGGCCAGGCTGGTCTCAAACTCCTCACCTTGTCATCTGCCTGCCTCGGCTTCCCAAAGAGTTGGGATTACAGGTGTGAGCCACCATGCCCGGCCTGTTTTTGTTTTTTTGTTTGTTTTGAGATTGAGTCTCGCTCTGTCACCTAGGCTGGAGTGCAGTGGTGGGATCTCAGCTCACTGCAGCCTCTGCCTCCCAGGTTCAAACGATTCTTCTGCCTCAGCCTCCTGAGTAGCTGGGATTACAGGTGTGTGCTGCCACCTTACCCACCTAATTTTCATATTTTTGGGAGAGATGGGGTTTCACTATGTTGGTCAGGCTTGTCTCAAACTCCTGACCTCAAGTGATCCACCTGCCTCAGCCTCCCAAAGTGCTGGGATTACAGGCGTGAGCCACTGCGCCCAGCCCAGATACTGTTTTACCACTTTACCTTGGTTTATTTAGTCCTGGCTACAACCCTATGAAATAAGCACAATTTTTATCTCCATTTACAGATAAAGACCACTGAGGGATAGAGAGGTCAAGTTACCTGCTTAGAATTACTTGTCTATGTAACAATTCAGTATGGTAACTTAGTTACTAAATTAGGATTACTTAAATTTAGTAATAATTAAAGAAACAGTTGGACAACTGTTCTTAATTTTTTGAGACTAGTTTCCTCCTACCCAAAGTGAGGGGATTGGACTCTGTGATTTATAAGATCACTTTCAATTTGGAAAATCTCTTAATCAACAGTAAAGGATGTGACTAAAATGCAATGTATGCGAATGGTGG